>NC_000023.11:94337542-94962542 GCF_000001405.40 Homo sapiens
ACTTGGCCTTTTTTCTATATTCTACCCTTTTAGTAACATCAAGTGAGCGTTATAGAGGCTTAAAATTATTTTACTAACAAGAGTGTGGTGGCTCTTCACTAAAGCAATTACTAAGCTTTAGAAATAATAACCTGCCTTCTAATAATTCTAATAATTCTTCATAGCTCAATCTTTGATTTAAGGTCCAATGCAAAGGAATACAGTCAATTTTTAAATTTGAGTCTTGATATGTTATCCCACATATGCTACTATTCTTTAATCCTAAACTTCAGTCTTTCTCAGTTTAGCTCTGCTACATATCCTTTTAACTCATCCTTATTAAGTGAATCGTCTAAACCAACTGCATGCCAATTAATTTTTTTCACTTAACTCCATCACAACTTCATATGCTCAAGATTGAATTCAGTGAATGCTGATTGGCTTTTCTCCTGCATGGCTTTCTGTAATGTACTGATCTGCAAAATAAGGTCATAAGGCCCCTGCTTTTCTTTTCTTTTTTTTTTTTTTTTTTTTTTTTTTTGCAACAGAGTTTTGCTCTTGTTGCCCAGGCTGGAGTGCAATGGCGCTATCTCGGCTCACCACAAACTCTGCCTCCCAAGTTCAAGGGATTCTCCTGCTTCAGCCTCCTGAGTAGCTGGGATTACAGGCATGTGCCACCATGCCTGGCTAATTCTGTATTTTTAATAGAGATGGGGTTTCTCAATGTTGGTCAGGCTGGTCTCGAACTCCTGACCTCAGGTGATCTGCCCACCTCCCAAAGTGCTGGGATTACAGGCGTGAGCCCAGCTCTGATCTGCATTTTCAAAGTCTCATTCACACTGCTTGCTTTGTAATTTAGTCACTTACTAGCCTAATCATCTTGATTTTTGATCCACTGCTGTACCATCTGTATCTATAGTCTTCACTAATACTTATTTTATTCTCAATTTAAGATAAAAAGCAATGCTGGACAGTTAGGATCTTTGGCCGGCTTGAAAATCAAATAAACTGCTTATTTGCATCTTTATTTTTGCTTTATTGTTCCCTGTAAATAATTATAAAACAGAAATCTTGCTTTTTATTGAATTTTACCTCATTTCTTGAAAGTTGACATTTGGGCAGCAGATTTGCTGGCTCTAACCACAATCCTTTTGTTAGTTTTAGAATGTAAATAGCACCCATAGTTTTATTTAAACAATTTTCTAATTATTATATTTCGACAATGTAAACTTTCACCCTCACATAATTTTTATGCAATTAAACCTTCAGCATTCAAATTACACTTATACTACTATACAAGCAATAAATTATTGTTTTGATAAAAATTATTCAAAGCGACTCTGCTTCTAAATTATGTATTCATATCCCCCAAAATGCATTCTAATCATATCTGATGCAATAAGTTATACTAAAAGGTCCTCGAATATAAAAACTAAAAAATGGTCAATTTGGTATACACACCTGTAGTGCTGAGGAGAGAGTTTTTTCAAATACCTTTGTACCTGTGCATTGTATGAAATGTTGTTCAAGGTAAAGGAACATGGGAATAGGACTTCACTGAAAAGAAATCAAGAGACAATCTATGAGTAGACGTAAGTCTTGAGTCATTATACATCTATTATGGTCCCAGAAAACTCCCCAGAACATGAAAAACAAATCTGATCTAAGCCTGAAGATGTTGCTCTTCCAGGAATATATAGAAAACTTATTCATAACCAAAGCATTGTTATGAGTAGAGTCATATTTATAATAAGAGCTAGTCTAAAATGAGTGTGTGTTTCATTATAAACACAAAAATAATACAGATGTTATAAGTCTTCACTGCTGAAAATCATTTGAAAGGACAGAAGCAAGGCAGAACTAATAGATTACAACATTGCACATTGTTGTGTCATAGACAAAACTACAGGTCCACAGATTTGTGATGCTGTGAACAAGACTGCACTTGCTGTGCTTTCAAATTACAGATTTCCACTTGAAGCATAGATCCATTAAACTGTGGAATCCTAATTTTGAGAAGTGGCAACAAATGACATTGGTAAATGATTTGCCAAGAAACATAGTACTGGTTGCATTAGCAACCATATGAGCCATAATAGTCTTGAAATGTTTGTATTCCTTACTTTTAAAATGGAAATTTTTTTTGTTGAGTATTATATTCAGTTTCCTCTTTGTGTTGTGTTAGTTACTGATGTTTGTGGAGATGCTGGAACTGTTTTTGAGCTGCACCTTTCTATTTGTTATAAATATATTCCCATAGATTTAGGGAGCATTAACAAATGATTAGTGCTAAATGTGAGCCAACTCTGATATTTGCCATTAATTCCTTAATTATTACTGTGTTGGAAAGTGGATCTTGTACAGATATGCACATTAGATTCTTGTACATTTTTATCAATTCCAATATGTATTGCAAAGCTTGCAATCTCAGTTATAGCATTTAATAGATTTCAAAATCACTATATATATGGGAAAATAGTAAAAACATTTTAAAGAAAAGCTGTTTATGTAGAAAACTATTGTCTTTTTTCTAGATAAATGCTAACTAGATAATAATGTTAGGATAGACAAGTCAACTAATTAATGTTTGACGTGTTAAGGATAGTGTTTTGTTTGGGTTCCTTTCCCCTTTTTTAAAAAAAAAAAAATGTACAGCATATCCAGTAATTGTGTTTATTATACATGTTGCCAAGGAATCATTTTTGCTTCCTAGTTTTTCCTTTGTTGTAATCTTCTGCTGACCTTGTTATAGGTTGGGACAAAAGTAATTGCCATTACTTTTAATGGCAAAAATCGCAATCTCTTTTGCACCAGTCTAATACAAGCATTTCTTATTTCAGAGCAATTAACTTCAGAATAATGCACAGTTACACCGCTTTGTCTATTATACTCATGTTACTAACTTTTGTATTTATAATAGGCAGTACACAAGTTGTATGATTCCTTGATGTTTCGCGTACTATTTTCTTCCTTTTAAAGTAAAGTTGTTCTCATCCTTCTCTTTGACATTATTTGATCCTACCCCCATGCATAGAATGTTTTAAAAATTCTGCTGCATTGAGACACCACAGTTTTTCTTCAAGTGATAGTCATTGTTTTTAGAAATCACTTATATAACTAACATTAAATCAAAATTATATTATTCACTTATGAGTTAATTGATTCAGCAAATATTTTTGACGAATTGCTAGGTACTGTATTAAGCTAAGTACCTCTTATATATGGTAAGAGAAACAAAGTCCCTGCTCTCATAGACTTTACATTCCAGGGGTCACTCTACTGCCCCATTCATTAAACATATTTCCAAAAGCATCATGCCATGTGAAGTAAAGGCATACAATTTTTAGTTTATTTGATATGAAGACAAGCACTGGATTTATGCCTGTTCTCTCTCATCTCCCTCTAATTCTTTCTCTAGAAATAATCTAGAATAATCTTTATAGCATGTAAATCAGGTTGTGTCTCTTGTCCTCTTCAAACCCAACAATGTCATTTGATGCACTTACAGTAAAGTCCTAGTGATTTATGGCAGCCCATGACGTTTAGCCACTGCTGCCTCTTCAATCTTACTTCATGCCACTCTCTTATTTTATTCTTATACCCCAGCCAGAGTGGCTTTTCCATTCCTTGAATATGCACCTGTTGGCCCTTCTGACTCCAATGTTGTTTCACAGGGTTTTCACAAAATTTTCTTTTTAAAATCATCGCCTCCTTATAAGAAGTCTTTGTTGAGGCAGCCTAGGTTAGTAGATTCCCTGGCCTCCATTGTTATTATCTCTCTTGGCTCCTTTTATTTAAATAGCTCATAGCAACTTACATAATTCTACATTTATTTGTTTGTTTGCTTGTTTATTTTCTTCCTTTCTAACTAGACTCAACTCCCTGTGGGTAAAAGCAAGGTCTGTTTTATTCAGCATTTTATAATTAGTACTTAGCACAGCACTAGCACAGAACAAATTATTTAATACATAAATAGATGAATGGTTGAGTGAATGAAAGTCCATAATAGGGGATGCCGCCCTTCATTATGACATTTCCCCTAATTGCACAATTGAGGCAGGAGAATAGGTTCTGGAGGCAGGGAACTTAAAGCTGTTTCACGCCGACTTCCTATAACTAAATTGAAAGGAAATCCCTAACTTTCCACGCCTAAGTAACAAAAGGACCAGAGGCTACTCCCTTTAACCTTTTCTATGAAGCAGATGAGAAATTGGCTGTCTGCAAAAAATCAGACTGATTGCGGGCCGAGTCTTGGTTTGCATAGAAGTATAACTTTGTAACTTCACCCTAGCCTCTGATTGGTTGCTTTTTGCAACCAATCAGATGTTTGCATAGGAGTGTGACCTTTGTAACTTCACTTCAGCCTCTGGTTGGCTGTTCTCTGCAACCAATCAGACTGATTGTGGGCTACCACTTCATTTACATGAGGTGAGCATGAAGTGGCCAATGGGAAACTTCTAGGGGATATTTGGACCCAGGAATATTCTGTATCCGGCAGGCTCCCACACTATGGAATGCACTTTCGTTTTCGATAAATGCCTGCTTTCGTTCTTTTGTTGCTTCATTCTTTCTTTGCTTTGCTGGGCCTTTTGTGCAATTGTTCGTTTAAAACTCCAAGAACCTGGAGAACTTGCAGTCACAACCGTCTACCAGTGACATATCCTTTCTAGATCCACATAGTTTTTATTTCAGTGCCTTTTTCAGGAACACGATTTACTCTAAGTTTAAGAAATATCCACTTCAAAGTATGCCCCATTTTGTAAGAGTTTTATGAGCCTGAATTCAAAATTTATTCTGATATGGTACAAAAAATATTTTAGGCATATGGATATTATTCATTTATGCTGAAAATTGCTGAGTACGCTGTCTTCAACAAACAGATTAAAACAAATCAGTGATCTTAAAACTATTTTTATACATAAAATTATTATGGTACCTGCTAGGGTTTCAAAAATAAACTGTTGCATAACATTTAAATCTCTGTAGATTTGGTGAGCCATAAAGGCCTCCTGTGTGCAAACATTAACATTAAACAGTCACTAAAGGGAGTATCTAGCATGTTCCCACCTATATTTCTGAAGATACAACTAAGGTCTATAGTAACTTTTTTCCACAGTTTCGGCCTTAAGACACGTCTTCTCCATGCTACTTTTCCTAACTAGTCATGCCTTCAATTATATGCCTCTTTTCATAAATTTATATGTGCTCTGTGCATAATTTAGCACATAATTATGAGCTAGTCTTATTTCTCTCTGTTAATACTTTTTGTATGATAGTGTGATCTTTGTAACTAGATTACAAGTTATTTGAGGGTTGATAATTATCTTGTCATATTTCTTCTGTATACCCCAAATCTTCTCTCCTAATGTTGAATATAGAGAGAGTGCACAATAAGTACCTGATTACTATATGTGGTGGTTGTGAATATAAATATTTTAATACAATTTTGTTGTATTAAACACTCTCTAATTCCTTAATAATGCCCTAAGACAAGAAAATTTCATAAATAAGTCGTACTTTGCAATTTGTATCTACTATTAGAATTTTTCTGAGTTATATTTATATAGAACCCTCATAGATAGGTCTTATTGGGATATCGATCCTTGGCCTTAATAGGGAAAATATTTTTTCCTGTCTATGCTATAATTTATATGTTTTTGTTATGTCAGGAACCTTACCTGCGTTTCTGTAGGAGAAGGTCAGAGAAGTGAGGAGAAAAGCAAATTGAGGCTCCCTACAGTTTTTACCTTTTATTTATATTTTTAAGTCTTCTTGTTACTCCATAGAAGGGGATATAGTAAACACTTAATGTCTGCCTAAAAAAGAAATTAAAGAGTCAGTAAAGAGTCAGACTACATTTTTTTTTTTTTTTTTTGAGACGGAGTCTTGCTCTGTCTCCCAGGCTGGGGTGCAGTGCCACGATCTCAGCTCACTGCAAGCTCCGCCTCCCGGGTTCACGCCATTCTCCTGCCTCAGCCTCCCGAGTAGCTGGGACTACAGGCGCCCGCCACCACGCCCGGCTAATTTTTTGTGTTTTTAGTAGAGACGGGGTTTCACCGTGTTAGCCAGGATGGTCTCTATCTGCTGACCTCGTGATCCGCCCGCCTCGGCCTCCCAAAGTGCTGGGATTACAGGCGTGAGCCACCGCGCCCGGCTGACTACATTTCTTTATGTGCTACTTTCAGAGTCAGAGTCAGGGTCTTTCAGCACCAAATACAATGCTATTCTTAACTGATGGACCCCCCCCCCCCCCACAACAGTGTAGTCAAAGTTTCTCTTGGAATATTACTATAAATATGAAGTTTCTTAACTCTTTTCACAGTTGCGATCTAATTCAGTCCTCACATAAGCTCTCTGTGACAGTCATTACTGTCTTTATTACATATAAAAAGGAAACTATAGCTCAGAGAGTTTGGTTAATTTTCCTCAGGTAGTGAAATTGTGTGAGAACCTAGATTTTTTTCACTGTAATTTTTGTGTTCCTTGTAATATTTTAATCCTCCTTCCAAAACACACACATAGAAAAGAAGATGTTAGAGGAAGAAGGCTGAAATTGGGTGTTGCAGGTAGAGGCAGACATAAAGTTGTCACCAAGAAGGAAGAAAAGAGGGGAGATAAATACTTTGGAAAAATCTGCTAATAAAACAATTTTATTGCATTTTTTAAATATAATCTACTTCCAGTTTTCACAGTGGTCAAAAATTGTTAGACTATGGCATTACATAATGAGAATTGTCCCAATGTTTTCCATAGTTGAGTTTACCTGCTGCTTAGCTCTATCAGAAAGCTGTTTTTCTGCCCGTAGCAAATTCGTTAAAGTGCCATGGGTGTACAGAGTTCAAAACTATTACTTTAATAGCCCAAGAGAACTAAAAATAACAAAAAAAAAAAGCTCAAAGTAATTCTAAAACATTAGTCACCTTTCAGTTCTGGTTGAAAGAAAAAATCCTCACTAAGGAGAATGTGCTACAAAGAGGAGTGCCAGGGTTACTTTGTTTCCCCCGCTACTTTTTTTTTTTAGACCTAAGTGGTACCTGGGGAGAAGAAACAGTTTATTAAGCTGCACCCAGCATCGCCAAGATGTGGAAGAGGTTAAAACACTGATGAACAAACTTCTTCTAATCCTATACTAAACACACAAAAGCAGGCCACGAAGAGCTTTAGATAAAAATTTTAAGAATTACAAGGATCTTTAATACTGCTGTGCAATTAAAATTTCAGTATTAATGCCAACCTTGGGGAAGAAACTGGTTGGTTTAATAGTTTCCCAAGGTCACAAAAGTCATCTGCAATCCAGTAGTGAACTCTAATGTGAACTCCCTGGAACAGAAAGGAAACAACATAATAGAGATCATTCGTTAATTGCTTTCTAACATAAAGCGATGGTAGAAACAAGCAAAATGTAGATAATTTCTGAACCTCTTGCAGCATAAATAGTCCTTTGGACTATTTCGGCTTATGGAGAACATGAGCTGTGTCAATTATAAAGATATTTAAGAACTCTGAATTAAGAAAATTGTGAATAGTCATTTTTCGTGTGCATTTATAAGTGCAAAACACATAATGTTAATCAGATTATTTCTAAGTATAATCAATTAAATGTTTGCTACGGCATTGACTTTAAAGTCCTTTCTAGTAAACCACAAAGAAAGTTAAATTCATCCCATCTCTAAATATAGATAAAGTCTTGACAAGTTACATAGTTTTCTGAACTTGAATCCTAGTTGTGTATTTCACCATCAGAAATTATCACAAACTTTCAATGCTGTGTTTAAACTTATATTAACCTGAAACCCCGTATCCTGGAGTCAAAGGGTGTGGAGAAATAGTGCCACATAGAATGACTTCTGCCAGCCCTCTCTTTTCCAATTAATATGGCATAATGGTGAAGAGCTTAGGCTGTGGAGTCAAATTAGGGTTTTACTCCCACCTCCAATATTTAGTAGCCATATGCCAAACACTGTGTTGAGCAATTCACACATTATCTTATGCTGATCAGGTGGATAGGTATTATTTTAATTCTCCCATTAAAATTATAAAATCAATTATATTAATTTCATTATTTTCAATGCAGAAATTGAGGTTTAGACAGATTGAAGGATGACTCAACATCACACAGATGTTAACGAGTAAAGCCAGAATTCTAATTAAGATGTGTTTAAGTCCATTAATCACTCTATAATCTTTAACACTTGTAGCAGATGCTGTCAGCACCCTATCCAAATCTCCTGAAAACAATTTCTGGACACATTAAGGACTTTCTGTGTCTTGCGGCTTGGGGGCTGTGATGGTTAATATTAGGTGTCAACTTGATTTGTGTATTAGTCCGTTTTCACACTGCTGATAAAGACATACCCAAGACTGGGTATTTATTTTTATAAATAAAAAGAGGTTTAATGGACTCACAGTTCCACCTGGCTGGGGAGGCTTCACAATCATGCTGGAAGGCGAAAGACATGTCTTACAGGGTGGCAGGCAAGAGAGAGTGAGAGCTAAGTGAAAGAGGAAACCCCTTATAAAACCATCAGATCTCGTGAGACTTATTCACAACTACGGGAACAGTATGGGGGAAGCTGCCCCCATGATTCAATTATCTCCCACTGGGTCTCTCCCACAACATGTGGTGATTATGGGGACCAAAATTCAAGATGAAATTTGAGTAGTGACACAGCCAAACCATATCAATTGGATTAAAATATGCCTAGATAGCTGGTAATATGCTTAGATAGCTGGTAAAGTATTGTTTCTGGTTGTGTCTGTGAGGGTATTGCCAGAAGCAATTGGCATTTGAGTCAGTGGACTGGGAGGGAGAGAAAGACTCACACTCAGTGTGGGTGGGCACCATCCAATCAGCTGTCAGCATGGCTAGAACAAAGCAGGTGGGATAAGCTGGCTTGTTGAGTCTTCTGGCTTTTGTCTTTCTCCCATGCTGGATGCTGCCTTACGTTCCTCCTACCCTTGGACATCAGACTCTAGGTTCTTCAGCCTTGGGACTCTTGGACTTAACACCAGTTGTTTGCCTGGGACTCCCAGGCATTCAGCCACAAAATGAAAGCTGCACTGTGGACTTCCCTGCTTTTGAGGCTTTTGAACTTGGACTGAGCCATTACTTCCTTACCTTGCAGACAGCCTATCGTGGGACTTCACCTTGTGATCATGTGAGCCAATACTCCCTAATAAACTCCCTTTTATATGTACATATATCCTATTAGTTCTGTCCCTCTAGAGAATCCTGACTAATAAAAGGGTATTTTCTGGCCAAGGGGGCAAGCCAGGGAGTAGCACACAGATGGGCAGATTATTCAGATTAGGATATATGTGAAGAAATAAAAGATTATCCACTGTAAATGAGGTGGAGATGTCTGAACTGTTTAGACAGGGCATTGAAGAAAGGGTTAGAAGGCTAAGAAAGATGGGGCATTCTAGAGTGAATTAACTATGGGGACCATAAAATCATCATCTGACTATGATTCTCCTGAGGCCCATAGAGAAAATTCTTCACCAAAGTGAGAAGTAATAGTTTGGCAGATCACCAGAAGTCTTGAAAGGGCAACATTTTAACATTGAAGACAATGAAATTTGAGAAAGATGATTGTGGCTAAGACAAATATGTGAATATTTGTCTCAGGTCAAGCCCTCCGGACAGCATTCACTATAGACAGGGCACTGAACAATTGGGTGGCTAGGAATGACTGTTTTAGTGGTTTGCATCTAGCCTACATTTTCTGCTATCCCATTGCTTACATGTTAATCATACATAAATATATTAATCATATTGAATAAGTTTTCCTGCCCTGCTTGAACAAATTTCCACAAACTTGGTGGCTGGAAAGAACAGAATTTTATTTTTTTGCAGTTCTAGAGGCCAGAAGTTCAAAATCAAAGTGTCAGTAGCATTGTACTCCCTACAAAACTTCTTGGAAAGAATTCATTTCATGCCCCTCTCCTTGCTTCTGGCGGATGTTGGCAATCTTTGGCATTTTTTTTTCGTTTGTAGCTGTATCACTCAAATTTCTGCCTCCATATCACACTGCCTCATGTTCTTCTGTCTGCCTCTCCTCTTTGTCTCTTACAAGCACATTTATTATTGGACTTAGAGCCCATCCACATAAACCATGATATCCTCATCTTGAGTTCTTTACTTAATTACATCTGTAAAGATCCCTTTTCCAAATGAGATAACATTCACAGGTTCCAGGAATTTGATATGGACATACCATTTAGGGGCCATATGCAACCCACTTTACATGGTAGCAAAATTGGCAATTATGCATAGGCTCAATAGCATAAGCACCTATCAACAATGCTAGTGTACATACTGCTGCAGCTAAATAAATAAACAGCAATGACCAAGACTGAGCCCTTGATATAGTACCACTGTTCAAAGAGACCAGCCAGCTACTTGATTTCAAGTTGCTTACATCAAACTCTTTCCACACAGCAGGAAGCATTGGTTAGTTTTTACTGAAAATTATATCAATTATTGGTGTGGGTGTGCCTTCTCCACTCACACTGTTTCTGATAACACAACTGCTCAAAGACTCATAGAGTATCATAGTTATCCACACTGGATTCCACATAATATTACCTTGGAGCAAGGGAGCCACTTTTTGGTGAAGAAGTTGCCACACTTAGAATATGACCAAAGAATTCATTGCTTTTATCATATATTACCCAGAAGCTGCCAGTCTGATGGAACATTGAAACAATCTCCTAATGATGTAGCTAAGGCACTAGTTTGAAAATGGCTGCATTAGGCTGTTTTTGTGTGGCTATAAAGAAATACCTGAGACTGGGTAATTTATGAAAAGAAGAGGTTTAATTGACTGACACTTCTGCAGGCTGTACAAGCATGGCACCAATATCCCCTTGGCTTCTGGTGAGGTCCTCAGGAACCTTACAATGCTGGTAAAAGGTAAATGGGAAGGAGGCATGTCACATAGCAAGAGCAAGAGCATGGATTGGGGGAGGTGTCACACACTTCCATACAACTATAGCTCGTGGGAACTCAAATGAGAGCTTACTTATCACCAACGGGATGGCCCAAACCATTCATGAGGAATCTTCCACCATGATCCAAACACGTCTCACCAGGAAAGCCTCAATCCAGCATTAGGGATTGCATTTCAACATGAGAATTGAGTGGGGACAAATATACAAACTATATCAATGGCAACCTCAGAAGTTGGGATGCTCTTCTTCAGGATCTTGTACATACCTTAAGCCAATGTTTATTTTATGGTTCTATTCTTCAGAAGGTAGAACACATGGGTCCAGGAACAAAGTAGTAAAAGTAGAAATGGCACATTCCCTGTCACTCCCAGTGACCCACTTGAGGAATTTGTGATTCCTTCTCCAGCAACTTTAGATTCTATGGGTCCTGCTTCTCACAGGAGAAAATTTCCATTAGCAAACACAATAAAAGACCAATGAAATCTAAATCTATGGCTGAAATGGGTGTCTTCGAGTTCCTTCTATTAGTAGAAAAGCAGGCACATAAAATGTTACAATACTTGTTGTGGTAATTGAAACTAATTTCACAAAGAGCTAGGGTTGCTGATCCATAATGGGGCCATTCACTCGTATTTCTCTTTGTGCTTCTGTATTGTGTACTAAAAGTAAAAGGGAAATTGTATCAATGATGGACTGACAAGGGCAAATTAAGCAGAAGCTTACAACTTTCTAAAATGAAGGTCTGTGTCACTTAACTTGGCAAACAACTCAGACCAGTAGAAGAGCATGCTGAGGGTTAGGGAAGTATATAAACAGAAGATGCATATCAGGAAAATTGCAACATCGAGTACTAAAGTGTGTCCATTAACAAAATTTTTGTCTTTTATTTTCTTCAAGGGATTCTAATTGGACACTACCATAACCGATTAGTGAGTGACGGGACAGGGTTGGCTTTAGATGGGGCATAAGTGGATATAAGTGGTGCAAGGGTTGGACTGTAGCAGATACTTCCTCTGCTCCTCCCATTCAACCTATTCTTTATACTGCTTGAAGACAACAGATTTCTTCCTTTGTTTCTCTACCTGAGGACATTCTCTGGCTTTGGGGAGTATGCTTTGCTCTGAAAGTGGGCAGGCCAGAAGTGTTAGAGAGTTTACATCCTTGGTGCAATAATCATTGAGTGTGGCATGGGACAATTCTGAAGGCATGTTTCATACCATCTATCAGAAGTTCCCCAATGGAATTGAGACCCAGTTCCCAGCAGTGGAAATCCATGCCCTAGCATAAGCTTTATTTTCTTTTTCCAAATTACACTCCCTCATAATGATTTATCTTAAAAACTCTAAAGAATACTACTTTCAATCCTTTCTGGGGATCTGGTTTTTTTAGGCCACTCTTCTTATTTACAAGAAATTCACTTCAAATTTAACAACCTGGGTAGTTTGAAAGAAAAATGGTGAAAAAAGGTATACAATGTAAGAATTTATTAAAATAAAGCAGGAATAGCTATGTTAAGACCAGATAAAGTGGACAGTGGACTCCAGAGCAAAGAAAATTATTGCAGACAAAGAGAAATCTTACATTATGAGAAAAGAATCAGTATACCAGGAAGACATAACAACCTGGGATATGTATGTATCAAATAATGTAGCCTCAAAATAAAGCAAAAACTGATAAACCTAAAAGGAGGAATAGACACATTCACAGTTATAGCTAGTGACTTCCAAAACCTCACAATCAGCAGTTAATAGAACTACTAGACATAAAGTCAGCAAAGATATAAAAGAACTAGGAAACACCATTAAACAACAGAATCTAATTGATTTTTATAGAATAGCCCCCTCAACAACAAGATAATACACATACCTTTTCCTAGCAGCCATTCACCAAATAGATCATATCCAGGGTCACTAAATAATCCCTCAAGATATAAAATAACTGAAGTCATGTGGAGTATATTCTTTTTCTATAATGGAATAAAACTAGAAATCATTAACAGAAAGACAAAAGAAAACTTTCCAAATACTTATAAACTACACACCAAAGTATTATACAATACATAGGTGAAAGAATAAGGGTCAAGAATATTTTGTAAGATATATATATAGAACTGAATGAAAATAAAAATAGAAAATAGAAATGTATATGGGAAGCAGCTAAAGCAGTGCTGAGAGTATACGCTGTAGTACTGAATGCATTAGAAAAGAGGGGAGGCCTCAAATAAATAGACTACATTCTTACCTCAAGAATCTAGAGAAAAAAAGAGCAAAATTAACTCAAAACAACCAGAATGAAAGAAGCAATAAAGACAAATGCAGAAATCAATGAAACTGAAAACAGGAAAACAATAGAGAATATCAATGCAATGAAACTTTGTTATTTAAAAAACAGACAAAACTAACGAAGACAAATAGAGAAAAAAAACCCAAGGCACTAACATCAGGAATGAAATAGAGGATATCACTATAAATTTTGCAGCCACAACGAGAATAACAAAGAAATACTACAAACAACATTACTTTTATAAATTCAATGACTGAATTCCGTGAAATTCACAAACTAACCTATTTCCGCTAAGATCACATAGACGATGAAAATAGTCCTATAACCATTAATAAAATTAAATGTATAATTTATAAGCTTCCCAAAAAGATATCATCAGGTACAGATGGTTTCACTGGAGAATTCTACCAAATATTTACAAAACAATTATCATTCATTAATTATATACACTATCTTCCAGAAAATAAAAGAGGAAGGAATTTTTTATGAGCCTAGAATTTTATGAAGCTAATATTACCCTGATACCAAAACCAGACAAAGACAGTACAAAAAAGAAAACTATAGACTGATATCTCAAGATTAATAACAGAATAACCTTTATAATCAGTCTGAAGACAATGACATACTTACTTTACAATATATATAGGACATATATGCTGAAAATTATATAATGCTGGTGAAAATCAAAGAAGACCTAATTAAATGGAGAGACATACCATGTTCATATGTTAGAAGCCTCAACATTGTAACATATCAATTAACCGCATATTAACCTAGGCAATTATATAATTTCTATTGAAACTCCAGAATGGTTTGGTTTTTTTTTTTGTAGTTGTAGACAAGCTTATTATAACATTTATATGAATGACCACAGGTTCTAGAATTGCTAAAACTATCCTGGCAAAAAGGAAAAAGTGTACAGAAATACTGTGCTTAATTTTAAGGTTTATGATATAGCTACAATAATCATGGCAGTATGGCATAGCAGAGGTATATATTCAAATATCAAAGGGACAAAACAGCGTAAGAGCAAAATGGTGTAAGAGAAGTTTAATGAAAAGTGTAATTTTTTCAAAAAAAAAAAAAAAACGGAAGAAATTGGATATTCCTGAGAAAGAAAAAGTTGAACAGTGATTTAACCTCACATCTTATAACTCAAAAAATAAAATGGATCATGAACTTAAGAAACGCAAAACTATAAATACATGATAAATTCTTCAGGATATAGGTATAGGCAAAAAGGTTTTTTGTTTGTTTTTTTTTTTTTAAATAATTGACACCAAAAGCACAATAGCTGCACAACACCAAAATTAAAAACTGACATTTCACCTTAGAGGATATACTTATGACAAATGAGCACATTAACTGTGATTAAACATCATTAGACCTTAGGAAAATGTAAATTAAATCCACAATGAAATATCACATGACACCTATCAGAATGGCCAAAGTTTTAGAAAGGTTTTAATAAGTGGAAGAGAAGAGAAAAATCTGTGCAGAATTTCAAATATTTTATGTTGATAGTCTGTCCTCAAGAAGGTGTAACATAACTCTCCATTCCTTCCCATTTCACAACGTGGAATGTACATAATGATTTTTTTCTAAAGTGTATTGTATTTAGAGAGGGAACAAAGAGTAATTTCAGAAAAGAGAAACCTGACAAACATTAATTGAGCCAGGTGACCAAGGTCACATCAACAGTGACAAGTCACATTGACAGTGTATACCTGTGATATAATGTGATGAAAATGGCACTTTATCTCTATGGTCTTCCTTCCTGAAATCCCTAACTCCAGTCTAATCATTACAGCAACCTAGTTGAGGAACTTTCTGCAAAATACCTGACCAGCACTCCTCAAATCTCTCAAGGAAATCAAAAATAAAGAAAACATGAGAAACGATCACACCCAAAAATGGCCTAGGGAGAAATAGGAACTAAAGATAATGTTGTATCTTGGATGAGATTATGGAATAAAAAAAAAAAGTAGGTAAAAAATAAGAAATTTTGAATAAAGTTAAAATTTAGCTTTAGTTAAAAACAATATATCAATATTAGTTTGTTAATTGTGACTAAAGCACTATACTAACAAAAAAATGCTAATAAAAGGAGAAATTGGAGACGTGGTATATTCTAAGTCTGTACTACCATCTGCATTTTTCTGTAAATCTAAAACTGTTCTAGAAATAAAGTGTATTAAGCCAGAAAAACAATAAGAACAACACTAAATGCTATTAAGGGTGCAGAGAAACTGGATCACTTGTAAATTTCTGGTGAAATTTTAAAATGATTAAGACACCTCTGAAAGAGTTTTTTTTCATAATCTGGAATACTATAAACATGCAAATCCCATATACGGCCTAGTAATTGCACTTCTGGACATTTATTTCAGAGAAATAAAAGCATGTTCACAGAGAAATATGTACAAAAATATTTTTAGCAACTTTATTTGCATTAGTCAAAAACTGGGAACAATCCAGTTGTTCATAAATGCGTGATTAGATAAAGAAACTATTGTACATCCATATCGTGGAATACTACTCAGCAATAGAAGGGACAAGCTATTGATATGCATAACAATTTGGATGCATCTCCAGGGAACTATGCTGAGTAAAATTTGAAAAAGAAAACAACTCTCAAAGCTTACATGGCTTATGACTCCATTTATATAACTTTATTGCATTTAACAAATGGAAGTCATGAACAGACTATTTGTTGGCAGAGGTTAGGGATAGGGAGTGTTGAGGAATGTTGGTGTGGCTGCATAGGATAGTAAAGTCCTTGATTTGTTGGAATTATCCTTTATCTTGAATGTGTCAATGTCAATTTCCTGGTTGTGACATTATAGTACGGTTTTTCGAAATGTTACCATTGGCAGAAACTGGGTAAAGGGTATGCGAGACTTTTGTATTATTTCTCACACCTTCGTGTGAATTTATAATTACTTTAAAATAAAATGTTTAATTAAAATACACAGGATAATATTCATGAGAATTTTTCAGTATAACAGGTTCTCCAAGAGCAGTGCTAGGACAATCAAAAACACAAATTCTCTACACTGAGTTTTCCAAGGAGTAAACAACACCACCAAAAAATTCAAAACCAAAACCCAAAACAAAGAAGCATTCCCATTTAAAAAGGGACCTAACTTGACTCTGCTTCAGACCTACTAAATCAGAATTTCTAGGTTGGGTTTCAAGAAAATGCATTTTTCTAAGTTCCACTGGTGATTTTTATGCACATGACTGCAAAGGAATCACAGAGAAGTACTTACCAAATTGCAGTTAAAAACCCATTGAAGCTGGGTGTGGTGGCTCACACCTGTAATCCCAGCACTTTGAGAGGCTGAGGCAGGCGGATCACGAGGTCAGGGGTTCAAGACCAGCCTGACCAACATGGTGGAACCTCGTCTCTACTAAAAAGAAAAAAAATACATTTATTTCTAGAACAGTTTTAGATTTACAGAAAAATGCAGATGGTAGTACAGACTTACAATATACCACATCTCCTGTAATCCCAGCTACTCAGGAGGCTGAAGCAGGAGAATCACTTGAACCTGGAAGGTGGAGGTTGCAGTGAGCAAAGATTGAGCCACTGCCCTCCAGCCTGGGTGACAGAACGAGACTCTGCCTCAAACAAACAAACAAACAAAACAAACAAACCCATTGATTGGTAATAAAATCAACTGAGTTTATGCTAAACCTTTTTTACAAAAATGAAATTGAATAAAATAGAAAACATCAGAGTACATTGTTTATAGTAAGCATCAGTATTGTCTGGTAAAATTTTTGTTTCTCGTGTGTGTGCGTGTGTGTATGTGTGTATGTGTGTGGTTTGAAACATAACATGCAGTTCTCACCAAGGATTTTGGCCAACTAAGTAGGAAAGTCACTTACTTCTCAAAGATGATCCTTCATCATAGGACAGATATAGGATCAAATGCTGAGTAGACACCAGTCTCTGAAATAATATAAAACTTCCAAAAGAGTTGTCAAGTTAGCAGTTGATATCAGGGATTCTTATTTTAGTGCTGTTCATTGAAGGCATTGCCAAAAAATTGCTAATGAATGCAAAAATCTCATCTGTAGTAATTTTCCACTTATCACACAAACTTGCTGATAACTGCATAGTTTTCCTTTTATTTCTAGATATATAAAAATAATTTTGTTAACAAACATTTGCTAAACACTCTTCATGATTACGCAGAATGATCTTAGTATCATATCTCAGGCATCTCCATTATTCTTCTCAAGATAAATGAGACTGCTTAGAAATAGAAGGTAATTATATATGTATGAAAATATTTAAATCAGATAAAAGCCTAGGAGCATGTTGTTTAATGCCTCTATGCTGGGGCATTAAATATCAATTGCAATTAAGCCTGTGAGCCATGTATCTGATTTATGATCACACTCAGAAATGGAATTGAGCTCCTATATATCTCACACATCATGTTCCGTAGAACTAAATAGTTAAAAATGTGAGTCATTTATGCTGGTCCCTGACAACATTTCAAATTCTTTAATGTGAAGCTAGAAAGCATCATAGGGAGCTTTTCTATTTTTTAGAGGAATAAGAGCAGTACTTCCAAGAATCCAATTATTCTCAATTAAATGAGTTCTGCAAAAGTAAAGGCCTGATTTCACTATTAAGAGGCAGAAGTTAGCAACCAACAGAAGAGTAGAGTATGTATGTAGACTTTTCCCATTTAGAAAAAAAAAGTGCAGCTCACTGACAGCACTCATTAAATTTTACGTAAACATGCTCTTCGAAGCTGAAGCAAATCTGACTAATTTTCAATGTGAAAATAAAATATAAAAAACTGTTTTTTGGAGCTATTTCTAAACAGAGCTAATATCAGAATTGTCTGAGTCATCAGAATCGTCTATTTCAGAAAAATTGGATTTATCAAATGAATCTACAACCAAAAATTGTTCGAGAACAATGTTAACATCACACACAGGAATCCTACATTTTCTAAGATTTGACATTTTCAGCGATTGAGAATTACTACATTTTATAAATGGAAATAGCACTACTAAAAACAGAATGCCATAAAGAGAATGATGCATTTTGTTTCTAAAGTCAATATACTAGAGTGGTGCAAACATAATAATAAAAGCGAGATATTTTGTGGCAAAGTTATCTTGGGGTAAACACTGCAGCCGCAAGTGTCACTGGTGCGTATTCTTGGGGCAAGCAGGAAAAGGGTTAAAATGGAGATGTTTTTAGTGCAAAAGGGATGAACTAACTCAACTCTGGAGGAAATAAAATGAAAGTAAGACAAAAGATGATATACAGATGGCAAATAATCAAGATAAGATGCTCTACTTCATATGCCATTAAGGAAATGAAAATTAAAGCAACCGTGAGCTACACTACACACCTATTACAATGGTCAAAATCCAGAAAACTGACAACACCAAATTCTATTAAGGATATAGAGCAACAGTAACTCATATTCATTGCTGGGGGGAATACAAAATGGTGCCCACTTTGGAAGACAGGCAGTTTCTCACATAACTGAACATATTCTTGTATTCCAGCAGTGTGCTCCTTGATATTTACCCAAATGGTGTAAAAACTTATATCTGTACTAAAACCTGTACAAGGATGTTTACAGCAGCTTTATTGATAACTGCTAGAATCTGGAATCAACCAAAATGTCTTTCAGAGTGGATAGATTGTGGCATATCCAAACAATGGAGTATTATTTAGTGTAAAAAAAGAAAATGAGCTATCAAGCTAAGAAAACACATGGAGGAAACTTAGGTGTATATTACTAAGTGAAATAAGCCAATCTGAAAAGATACGAATCTGTAGGATTCAAACTATATAACAGTCTGCAAAAGGCAAAACTATGGAGACAGTAAAAATATCAGTGGTTGCCAGGGGCTGGTTGAGAGGGAGGAATGAATAGGTGAAACACAAATAATTTTAGGCTCATGAAACTATTCTGTATGGTACTATAATGGTTGATACATGTCATTATACATTTGTCCAACCCCATAGAATGTACGACACGAAGATAAAACCTAGTATAAACTACGCACTTTGGGTGATAATTATGTGTCAATGTAGATTAATCAATTGTCACAGATACACTACTCTGGTATGGGATGCTGGAGGAGAGATATTAGAGGAGAGAGAGAGAGAGAGAGTAATCAGGAGAATAGAGTAACTCTGTACTTTCTGCTCAAGTCTGCAGTGAAACTAAACCTACTGTAAAAGAAATAAAGTCTATTTAAAAGGAAAATGGAAGAGAGATATTACCATATGTTGCATACATAATAGCCTTGAGTGTATTGAATATCATCAAATATATATTTTATATATATCATTTGTATATATAATATCTATATTCCTGATACCTTTATTAGACTTAGGAGTCTAACAAAGGCATTATATGTAAAACAAAACAATGCAAAACACTTTTTACAGTCTGCAAGAAGATATAGAGGCCACAGGATTCAATGGAGTAGATAACGGGTTCAGCAATGACTTGACAGAATTTTCTGGAGCACTGAAGGAAGTGCATTTTTAATAATTTGTAGTAGGGGCATTAATAATAACTAAAAATAGAGTAAATTATAGAGGCAGCTTGTGAATTTCCATGAGACATTCTTAAGATCCTGGGAGATTAAAATATAGAACAAATTGTCCTTTGTAGGGACATGGATGAAGCTGGAAACCATCATTCTCAGCAAACTATCGCAAGGACGAAAAACCAAACACGCATGTTCTCACTCATAGGTGGGAATTGAACAATGAGAACACATGGACACAGGAAGGGGAACATCACACACTGGGGCCTGTTGTGGGGTCGGGGGAGGGGGGAGGGATAGCATTAGGAGATACACCTAATGCTAAATGATGAGTTGATGGGTGCAGCACACCAACATGGCACATGTATACATATGTAACAAACCTGCACGTTTTGCACATGTACCCTAAAACTTAAAGTATAATAATAATAATAATAATAAAAAAGAACAGGACATTGATATCCCTGTCTACAAAGCTATCACAGGTACTAACTGCTTAGTGAGGAATAAAAACTAAACTAGCAATCAA
The DNA here is from genome assembly GCF_000001405.40 of Homo sapiens. Taxonomy (NCBI): domain Eukaryota; kingdom Metazoa; phylum Chordata; class Mammalia; order Primates; family Hominidae; genus Homo; species Homo sapiens. Next base: position 94,357,830 of record NC_000023.11, read on the forward strand.
AACTAAATTTACTCCTGTGCCGTACTTCTGTAATTTACTATCCAAGCTTAATTTAACTGCTTGCTTTGTTTTCAAATTGATCCACACTGTGATTATGTTACACCCAAAAAAGTACCTGTATATTTTGTGGTAACTAAATAACACAATCAGGTCTTAGCAAAAATCAGCAATACCTGAATGTGGATGAATCCTATTAATCAGCTGATTACTAGACTGATGGAGGGATAGGCTGTCTACCTGTATCCTACCTTAATGACCAGGTAAAGACGTAGAGGCTATAGGCCGGGTGCAGTGTCCCATGCCTGTAATCCCAGAACTTTGGGATGCCGAGGCGGGCGGATCAGGAGGTCAGGAGATCGAGACCATCCTGGCTAACATGGTGAAACCTCGTCTCTACTAAAAATGCAACAACAACAAAAAATATTAGCCGGGTGTTGTGGCGGGCACCTGTAGTCCCAGCTACTCGGGAGGCTGAGGCAGGAGAATGGCGTAAACCCAGGAGGCGGAGCTTGCAGTGAGCAGAGATTGCCTCACTGCACTCCAGCCTGGACGACAGAGCGAGACTCCGTCTCAAAAAAAAAAAAAAAAAAAAAAAAAAAAAAAAAGATGTAGCGGCTATAGAACTAGTGCCCTGAATGTAAGCACTTAAATCTGTAGCACTCATTTCAACAGTGGTTTGATGACTTCCTTAGAAAACTTTAACATACCATGAGATAATGCCAAAGAAAAAAAATTTAGAAAAAATGCATTACTTTTATTTGAGAATAAATTATATCATTCAGTGGAATGTATACAATGTTCTAAATGGTCTTTGTGAGACATTTTAGTTATTTTCAAACAAGAGATTGCAAGGAAAATAAGGTAGCCTTCATACTGCAACGCAACAACCTTAATATGTATCACTGGACTTCTCCAAATACATAACATTATATCAAATGTTTATTCAATTACCAAAACTATTAACAAGAAAGAGTAAATGCAATTATACCTAAGCTTAAATCTTATCAAATATTCTGGTTCCTAAATAGCATAATGCAAAATCCGGAGGAGAATACAAAAATGGATGAAACAGAGTCCCAGTATGTCATTAAAGATATCATAATTTAGTGAAATTGTAAAATAATGCTTATTCTCTATGGCTCTAGGAGAGGCTCTTTTGTGTTCTTGTTTTGGAGAGCGGGATGTTGCTATACTTTATTGTATTGGCAAATAACTTCTAACTTATCATCCTGGAAACAATTCTTCAGCCTATTGAAACTATCTGGGGTCTATATAGAGTAAACTGATTTTAAATTATAGCATGTATGTTAATGATGCCCACACTTTTGAAACCTGTGTTATTCTAATTTGTTGCAACGATTTCATGGTACGCCATTTCCCTTTTGCCCATTTATTACTTCATTGTATCCAACACACAACCACTTTATAGCCAAAACCATTAAATTTTTACTTTACTCTTTACATTATCTGTTTGATAATTTCCACAAGCTGAGGTTTAAGAAAACATTTGGATGTACTAATGTAAAGTCACTATCAACTTTGACAAGAATATAACTCAGGAAAAGTAGAGCTTCTGAAACGGTGGATTTAAGACCTAGACGGATCCTCTTCCTAGCAAATTTACAATTTAACTGGTGAAAGCAATAGAAAATAATCATTTACAATCTCTAGAACTTGCCCTAAGGGCATATAGAAACATTTATTCAAGAAAATCTACTAAATCTCTGTAAGAACAACATGAGTCTGTGACACTGGAGCCATGACCTGCTCCATTACCCACCACACCATGTCTAGCTGCTGGGTGTTTAGGTAGTCAATTAGGACAACAAGCCGAAGTAATAGAAATAATAAAGACTTTATTCACTTACCATGATAATTCAGGCAAGAGACCAAAAAAAAAAAAAAAAGGAGTGCTAGCTCTCCAATGTTCAATTTTTTTCCCAGGGAATGGCAAAAGGTAAGCACCAGTTATGACAGGTGATGCAGGCATGGGAATTGTCTCAGTGCCAAGGAGCCCTGAATAAAGCAGTTCTACTATTTTATGAACCTTGAGAACCGAAGGTCAGGAGATCTTAGTGGAGGTGGCTGAAAAGTGCCATAGCAGAGGCCCACAGAAAAGGTGGCCTCTTAATGGAGACACCTCATTTCAGAATACAAATATGTTTATGAGCATTGCTGGCTCAGAGGGGGCCAGAGGCTTCTTTGACTGCAGCTCAGTCCAGACATTTAATGCACTGGCTATGACCCAAGTCTGGTGTGGGGAGTGCAGTTTTTACCCATGAGACTTTTCAGGCAAAGCCTTTGTAATTGCCTGTGGTTGGGTCTGAAAAACTACACACAGGATTTTGGCATGCAGCTGGACTTTGTGGCCCCAAGCTCCCTCCATGCATTTGAGCTATGATCCTACCCTGGACATGGGCAGCCAAAAAGATGGTGCTCCTTCTCCCCCACACTTCCAGTCTGCAGCCACATTTTAAAGCTGGGAGTATTACCAAACTCAGATCTGGGCCACTTGTCCCTTGAAAGCCAAAAACTCAAAAGACGAGCTTTAGTAAAATAGAAGTTAGCTTTATTCAAGAAGCCAATAACTTGGGGGTGGCAGTAAAATAGTATTCAAAGAACACCTCACCATGTTGTGTCTTAGATCAGGGGTTTTCATGGAAAACTAGGAAAAATAATCATCAAAACATTCTTATAAAACACGTGAAGCTGTCGTTGCAAAATTATAATGGAGACAGTGAAAGAGATCTGATTTAACCAACTCCATCTTTCTTCTAACCTCCAAGCTGCCCTTGTTCATTCCTGGGCATAGGGTAAACTAACTTTGGGAGGAAGTTAGTTTATAATTTATAGTTTAAAACAAAGACTAATAACAGTCCTTTCCCCAAACATGCCCTTCTTGCCTGGGGACTAGACTGCCTTTGTAGTGATGCAGGATTTTTCTGCTCCTTAGCTCGGCTAGACCCAGGTTCTTGTCTCATGACTAGGAAAAATTGGGCACATGGACACTTGGAGTGCATGGAGTTGAATTTATTAAGCAAAAAGGAAAGCTCTCAGCAAAAAGAGGGGTCCTGAAAGCAGGTTGCCTGTTGCTCCATTCTCTGTTTGATACGGTGCTTTTTTTTTTTTTTTTTTTTTTTTTTTTTAAGGCTGATGAGGCTGGGTTCCTTATTTGTAAGAGACTCCACCCCATCCTCAGACTAAGGGGCCATTAGTCTGCTGGGGGCATGTTTGGGCAACCCTCCTGTGCAGATTCCTTTATCTGCACAAAACATCTAGTGTAAACACTTGTGGGGAAGGTTGGAGATTCTCCAGGACCCTTCCCTTACTGTCTACATAAAGCATGCTGGCCAACTCCTTTCAGTAGGACTAACAAATTAGCTATAAGATTAGAAATTATGGTTTAGGAGTCATGCATCGAGAGGCTTCAAGATTCTAAACCTCCCAAATTGCGCCAGGGATAACATCACTATGGTAAAAGCTAAGATCGGTGCTTGAGATATTGTGCAGACGTTGCACTTGATGGATCAGCTGAAACCACCCAGATGGATAAACTGGCTCATCTGGTCTTGTGGCCGCCACCGAGAAACTGACTCAGTCCAAGAGCACAGCTTTGACTTTCTATGATTTCGTCTCTGAGCCAAGAGCACAGCTTTGACTTTCTAAGATTTCGTCTCTGAGCCAACCAATTAGCAGTGCAGACACTGCCCCACCCACGCACCAAATTATCCTTAAAATCTCTGATCCCCAAAGGCTCGAGGAGACTGAATTGAGTAATAGTAAAACTCCTGTCTCTTGCACAGCTAGCTCTGCAAGAATAACTCTTTCTCTGTTGAAATTCCACTGTCTTGATAAATCAGCTCTGTATAGGTAGCAGGTAAGGTAAACTCATTGGGCAGTTACTCATGACAGTCCCAGGTGGACAGTTAATCATTGATTTTGGTCAATGTTTTGTGGCCTTCTGCAGGCACATTAGCCTATTTCTATCAGGCCAGTCAGCCCATCCCCAGAGTTGTTGGTCTGCATATTTTCTCTTATCTCTTTTGAAGGTCCTGTCTTCCTAAGGCTGTTTTTAGTGAGTAATCTACAAATTTAAACAAATTAATAATTATATTTAAGCAGGGAAGCTTTTCTTGAACATGGAGTCAGTACTGTTAAAGGAGGGGCAAGCTGTTAGTATTTCTCATTTTTTCTCTCCCAGATCCGTATTGCAAAAACTCTATTTCAGCCAAGTGTGGAATGGAACTATATTTTCCTTCCCCTCCCAACCACTACTCATATGGCAAAAGCTTTACTTCAGGTATGGTAGGCTGAGAGCACCATGAACCTCTGTCACAGATTACTTTTAGAAAGGAGGTTTCATGCCAGAAGTGGGCAAGCCAAGAAGATGAGGGGCTGCCATTTACCCCCTACCATGCCTACATGTAAAGTGGAGGTGGGGTCATTCCTGGAACAGTGGAATCCCAATCTCAGTTCCTGTGCAGTGGGACAAGATTTCTGCCCAGGGGGATTGTGGACCATAAGAATAAAGACATCTAAAGCTCTGCCTAAGGGGACAAGTCTTCTTTGGAGCTCAGGGAACTCCCTGTCTAAGGGCATTGTTGAAAACCAGGGAGATTTTTACGGAAGGCCCTTATTACTCTGATGGGTTGTGACTTCATTATACAAACAAAATCACGGAGCAACCAGAGGTTGAGGTATAAGTATTTCATACACAGGTTTCTGTATTGTCTATTGTTGCATCTCAGTATAAAGTTAAGCATTACAGGTTTAATAGAGAAAAAGTGTGTAGAATGGGAAACATCAAGACCTTAAATTGTCCTTAGCACAAGGTTAATGTACTCACATGGAAAATAGGGTCAGCCATAGGTATTAGGAGAATGATAAGTGATTAAAGATGATAGTTCTGCACAAAAGCAAATATTGAAATCCTTGGTGAGACTTGGTTCTGTTAACCTTAAATAACGAGATTCAGAAAATAAAATTAAGTAGTGAGTTTATTCCAGCTCAAAGCTTAAACATAGCTATCTGGGATTCAGGACATCCTGATTATACACTTGATTAGCAGAAGTTACAAGTGGGTTTATCAAGAAAAGAAATGAGGCAGTTTCTAATTTTGCCAACAATTTACATTAAATTAACATAATCTATTAGTCGACTATACATTGTTCTTTGTATCACAAATTCCAGGAACATAAAGATAATGGGTGAGATAGCAAGTTAGAAAAAAAATGCCTTTTAACAGTTGCCCCAGAGCATGGGTGGGTGAGGGTGGCCATGACTGAAGTCCCCCATATTCATGTCTCTCTTGCCCTGATAAATTTTGAAAAGCTAACGGAGCTCAAACTGCTCTGAGCTATTTTTCTTTTCTTACTTCAGAAAACTCAATAGTTGAAAGTCAGAACCTTTGGGCTCTAAATTAAGGCCCATGAAACCGAAACTTGTCAACAGTATCTGGCTAATGCATTTAAAATTCAATGTTATGCTAATAGCAAACAAAATTGTTCATGAAGATAACTGGCAGAGTTCTCTTAAAAATCTGATGACAATTTGTCATATATGATTTATTATTATTCCAGGCAATCCTAATCATAGACTAGATAGAATAATAAATAGTTGATTGATTAGTGGCCCTTCTAACTTGGCTTTAAAGAAAACCTCTAAAGATGTAAGAAGTCTTCATCAGTACAAATATGACTACTTAGCTTTGAAACAGTTTAAACAGGATTCCAATTGCAGGAATGCAATTAATATGCACTGTGTTATATGCAATGTGTGTTAATAATGTTAATGTTATACATGAGTTCCCACAAGAGGGATTTAATATACACCATTTCCCATTTAATAAAACAATCTTTTGTTCATTTATTTCTTCCTCATGCATAGTAATAAAATTTTCTATAAGTTACAACTAAAACTAAATCTTTTATTTATAATCCAAAATAGGCTAAACTGCTGCCAAATCTAATTTCAAGGAGCAATATACATGCACAAGAAATTATAAACTATATGAGATATGACTGTACTTGTCAATTTTACCTTGTACAAGTTATGCTTACTCTAATTTTCCAAGCATCACTTATCAATTTTTTTTTTTTTTTTAAGACAAGGTCTTGCTCTGTCACTCAGGCTGGAGTGCAGTGGGACAATCATGGTTCACTGTAGTCTGGAACTCCTGGTCTCCAAGCAATCCTCATGTCTCAACCTTTTAAGTAGTTAGGACTACAAGTGTGAGCCTCCACCACCATTCCCAGCTATTTTTTTAATTTTTATTTTTATGTAGAGACGAGATGTCACTACATTGCCCAGGCTGGACCAAGTATCACTTCTTACACACCTCTTACTCAATGAGTCATTATGTAACAGAGTACCCCCATTTTTCTAGAGGTTGCTTAATTATTTTTTTCCTCTATTTTTTCTCACTTCCCTGGCTCCCTGTTCCGAGTTATCCCTGAGGGCTAAGCTCTGATTTTTTTTTTTTTTTTTTATCTTGCCCAAATTCTTATCTAAGTGGTCTGGGGATTCATGCCCTACAAACCATAAATTCTCATCAGATTAGTTTTATTTAACCCTCTATGTTGTGACTTACTTTCCAATCCGACTCTGGCATAACATTATGTGACAAAGAAGAAAGTCAAAATATTTTACCCCAATACATGTTTCTTGGCCGTATTTTGAAATGGCCCTGCAAAGCTGTCCTTGGTGTGGTGGGGGTGGGGGGAGGGAATTCGCATCTGTAAAGAATCTCCATTAAAATAGCTATATCTTTTTCTTCCGTGCCCTCCAATCCTGAAGAGATTAACTAAGAGCCTAGTGCCTTTTAAAGGTCTGAACAGGAAACATATATCATCTATTCTCTCTATGGGCAGTGACTACACGACTTCAAAAGAACCTTGATGGCCACAATCTTTTAGCTTAACCTGAACATTTCCTTTCTATGGATCCCAGGTCTTTTGACAAACTCATCCAATTGCCACCAGAAAATGTTTAAATTTACTTATAGCCTAGAATCCCCTGCTTTGAGTTGTGCTGCCTTTCTGGACCAAATCAATGTATTTCTTAAATGTATTTGATTGATGTCTCATGCCTCCTTAAAATGTATAAAACCAAGCTGCACCCCGACCACCTTAGGCGCATATGCCCAGGACCTCCTGAGGGCTGTGTCGCGGGCCACAGTCACTCATGTTTGGCTCAGAATAAATCTCTTCAAATATTTTACAGAGCTTGACTCTTTGTCGACAGCCCTTCAGAAATGCAAATATAACCTTTCACCTATCCCCTCACAGACATTCCCTACAGGTTAAGTTCTTCTGATTGTGTGCTCCAAGACAGATCTCTCTTCCAGAGTTGACAGTTGACTTGCAGACCAAAGCATACCTGACAAGGAACTTTCACCTACAGGGAGTTGGCCCAGAACTTCCATTCTTCAGGAGCCACCTGGGAACTCACACCTACTAGGAGGATATATTGAAAGCATGCCTACTTGGCCACTTTTACAACTTACTTTTGCCCAGGAGGGTGCCAACTCAACTGTCCAGTAGATAACTGCCTGGTAGCAGGGGGACCTCTGCCCTTGCTCATTTTCTCCCCTTACCTTATTAAAGTGTCTGCCTTCTGTGCCAAAGGGGAAGCAGCACATTTAAAGGTAGGACACATTCTGCTTCTTTCCCTAAGCTAGCCTTAGAATAAATTCACTTTTCTTTTTTTGTATCAGATCACTCTTGTTAATTGGACTCTACATGCAGTGGGCACTAACCTGCTATTTAGTTACAATTGCAGTAATGTTTTAAATAGCTGTGTTACTGTAGGATGCATAATACTGTGAAAGAAAAATTAATCTCAGGGCCCCAGAATCACTAAGCCAAAGAAAAAGTCAAGCTTGGAACTATAACATACTAACCTGCCTGCCATTTTATTTTTAAATAAGAGACCTACAAAGATTTAAAAAAAAAAAAAGATAAAAAGATACATACCTTCCTTACAATTTGCCCACCAGGAAATTCCTTGTGGACAAAGGACAGACAGAATTCAAAGTCATCCCTCTGAGGTTCCCATGAGACAAATGCATATCTGATTACTTCCTTTGCCCTTTTGTTCTACCAAGCCAGACTAAGGCATAAGTGACTATTTTCTCTATTCTCCTTTCACACGCAAATTGTGTATTCAGTGAAAGGCTAATCAGAGACTCAAAAGAATGCAACCATTTGTGTCTAATCTTCCTATGACCTGGAAGCCCCTCCACCACATCGAGTTATTCCACCTTTCCAACTGAACCAATGTATATCTTACAGATATTGACCGATGTCTCATGTCTCCCTAAAATGTATAAAACCAACCTGTGTCTCGACCACCTTGGGCTTCCTGAGGCTGTTTCATGGGTAAATACTTACGTTTGGCAAAATAAACTTTCTAAATTGGTTGAGACCTGTCTCAGATATTTTGGGTTCACAAAGTATATTCATATATTGCATCAAGCTTTATAAATAGGTATTAGGCTTTGTGTCGAGGTCCATTTTTTGCTACCACACTCACTAATTAGAATAGTGCAAGTGGGCACTAGGTTATTTTGACAGATGGGGAGAACATAGTGACAAGAAATTTAGGAGAAGATCATGCTGAGAAATCCAGCTAGGTTAGCAGTTGAACTCAGAAAAGGTCATCAGTAGGTAGACTTGCCGATCTCTCCGATTTTAAATTTGTTCCAAATCACTATTCAGGATGACTATTATTATAGGACTTATTAAGAAATTATTTTAGGCAGACAGGGCAAGGAGTCCTCGGTAAGGCTTTTTGTTTTTTGTTTTTTTTTTTAATAAAGCAGCTCAGGAAACATTTGTTTTCTTTCTAACAAAAAGGAAACTTGAAGGGCAAGGCTGGCAAGCTTTGATATGCAAATGCAAGCCATTAGAAACTGGGTCCATCCAAGATGGCGATTTCCACCCTCTTCTTGTACATGTGCCAAGCATCATGGCTGCCTCCAGATAACTCCACGTATGCAGGACATCATGGTGACTTGCATTTGCATATTCAAAGGCTAGGACGTGGGGGCCAGTTTTTTGTGGGCTATGTGAATGACACACCTGGTCAAACCAATCCCCTGAGCCCTATGCAAATCAGACACCTCCTCCTCCAGGCTCCTAATATAAAACCGCATCCAGAGTTTTTCTCTCTCTGCTCAGTGGCCCCCTCCCTCTGTCTCTGTACAGGGGAGCTTTTTCCTTCTTTTTGCCTATTAAACTCTCTGCTCCTTAAAACCACTCCACGTGTGTCCGTGTCGTCTATCTAATTGGCAGGAGACAAAGGCCCCTGTGTTCCTCCAGTCATAGGAGCCATATCACTATGACTGCCTTGAGTCCTGAGTGCTGAGTTTCTTCCATAGAGCTGCTGGTGTAACCTAATTGGCCACAGAAAGTATATACTCCCCTATGCTTTTAAACATTTCTTTTGTCCTTCATGTTTTCAGCCTCCCTAGTTAATGCTGACATCAAATAGCTGTATGAGGATAACTCAGTATCTTGCAATGTATATGTTGTTAGGAGTATTGACTCAATTTTGGTGGATTGGTTGAGATTTTTATTTTTATTTTTTGTTTGTTTGTTTTTTAAGCCTCTGACTCTAAGCCTCCTCTCTGGTGATCACATCCTATTTGCTAAGACTAAGGTGAGCTCAGCTATAATATTGATAAGATTGCTTGTGAAAGTCAGTGAGGCACATTTGCAAATCTATGGTTAAATAAGAAAGAAGTTAGAAAACAAAACTGATATCCATCTTTGTTAGTTCTGGGTGCTAATAATATAAAATTACAACCAACCACTCTCTTGTATGTACATTTTTAAAAGTGGAAGAAAAGGCTAAAACCCTGTAACTAAATGATTTAATTAGCATATAAGTTTCCCTAAAGGGCTGATCTACGCGGATTTATTCTTAAGTTCTCCTTGAAAATATAATAAAATCATTATTCTTTCCTCTGCATCCATTTATATGCATTTTTACTATACTCGCATGCATTATCTACTCTGACTTTCACTCTAAATTGAACCATAAAAATCTGACTTCATAAATATGTTTATTCACTCCTACCATAGAAATTTGAATGAAGAAAACCCCCATAAACTGTGATTTTTCATTGACTGGCGTGTCATTCCAAAAGCACAAGTTTAGAATATGCAGCCTCTTGATATGTATTGATAGATCTCTCAGAGTTTTATTGTTATATGAAGTTCACTTTCAGTATTAACATTAAATTATTTCAAATTATAATATGAAAATAAAATTGAAATATCTTTCAACTTATGGGACATCTTTTAAGGCCATTTTTTGTTCTATATTGCCATTTAGTTTCCATTTGAAGTCTCCTAAAGACAAACTATATGACTAAAAGCATTAACTTGTTTGCAGTGATAATAATACTAATTTTAAGTAGCATTATACTTCTTGGTTTATAAGAAGTTGCTACTGTGTCCAATCCAATTATGCATTCAGATATCATAAAAAACAATTATTAGGTAAAATGCTTTTTTCTAAGCAGTACCTTTCCTGGTTTCATATTTAACTCAACGATGCACAAATTGTTGGTTAAAAGGTTATGAAATGAGGTGGAGAAGAATGGCAGAACACAAGGCTCCACCAATCATCCCCTCCACACAGTAACACCAAATTAACTATCTACACAGAAAATAACACCTTCCTAAGAACCAAAAATCCAGTGAGCCCCCAAATTATCTAGTTTTAACTCCATATTGCTGAAAGAGGCACTGAAGAGATACAAAAAATATTCCTGAATTGTCAACACTCCCCACCCCCCGACACCCAGCAGTGTGGTAGTGTGGTGGAGAGGGCATCTCTGGGCTCTGGGGGAGGGAGAACACAGCAATTAGGAGGCAATGAACTCAGTGCTGACCTGTTAGATCAGAAAGGAAAACCGGACGAAACTCAGCTGATGCCAGACCACAAAGGGAGAATTCGACACAACTCTAGCCAGAGTCGAATAGCAAATCCCAGCAGTCCCAAACCTTTTGCCCACGATGGTGAAGTTTGAGTTTCCACAAACCTCACCACCATGCGCTAAAAAGTTCTGTGCTCTTAATAAACTTGAAATGCAGTCTAGGCCATAAGGGCTGCAACTCATAAGTGAGTCCTAGTGTTGGATTGGGCCCAGAGACAGTTGACTGGGAAGGCACATGACCTATAAGACACCAGCTTGGGTAACCAAGGGAGTGTTGGCATCACCCTTCCTCCAGGCTGTAAAGCTGGTGGCTCCAAGAGAGACCCCTTTCTTCTGGGGAAGAGTGAGAAGGACTTTGTTTGGATACCAGCTCAGCCACAGCAGAATAGGTCACCAGCCAGAATCATGAGGCTCTTTTTCCAGGACCTACCTCCTGCATATTTCTAGACATACCTTGGACAAGAAGGAAACCTGCTGCCTTGTAAAGAAAAACCCAGTCCTGGCATCATTCATTACCTGCTAAGTGAAGAGCCCTTGAGCCCTGAGTAACCAGCAGTGATACACAGTTATTATGTTGAAGGCCTTGAGTGAGCCTCTGAGAGGTGCTGGGTTCAGGTGAGACTCAGCGCATTACCACCTGTGGTGGCTATGGGGCAAAACTCCTTCTGCTTGAGAAAAGCCGAGAGAAAAGTAAAGGGGATTTTGTCTTGCACCATAGGTACCAACGTGGCCACAGGGAAGTAGAACAGCAAGAGGGGTCTTGGTATCCCCAATTCCATGACTTGACTCTTAGATGGCATCTCTGGACCTGCCCTGGGCCGGAAGGGAGACCACTGCCCTGAAAGGTGAGTCCCAGGCCAGGCACCATTCACAACAAGGTGACTTAGGAGCCCTTGAACCTTAAGGGAACATCAGCAGTAGTCTGGTAGTACTTTCTGTTGCCTGTGGTGGCAGTGGCTATGGCTATGGGGTGAGGCTCCTCTGCCTTTGGAAGAAGGAGAGAAGAGTGGGAAGGAATGTGTTTTGTGGTTTGAGTGTCAGCTAAGCCACAGTACAATAGAACATCAGGTAGACTCTTAAGGTTTTTGACTCTTGTCCCTGACTCACAGATAGCACCTCTGAACCTACCCAGGGCCTGAGGAAACTCAGTGCCCCAAAGGGAAAGTCACAGACCTGGCTGACTTTGCCACCTGCTGATTGAGGAGCCCCACGGTCTTGAGAAAACATAAACAGTAGCCAGGGAGTGGTTACAGCAGGACTTGGTTGAGACTTACTGCTGTGCTGGCTTCAGGTCTGACATAGCAGTCATAGTGGTGGTGGCCACATGGGTGCTAGTGTCACTCCACCTCCAGTTTTAGGTGGCTCAGAACAGAGAAAGAAACTCCATTTGTTTGGGAGAAAATAAAGAAAGACAACAAGTGTCTCTGCCTGGTAATCCAGAGAATGCTCCCAGATTTTGTTGAAGACCATCACGGTGGTAACTTTATGAGTCTACACAAAGCACAACGTTACTGAATTTGGGGTTTCCCCTGAAGCAGATACAGATTATATCTCAATACCCAAGTCCATTCATATACCTGGAAATCCTTCCCAAGAAAGATGGATACAAACAAGTCCAGACTACAATAAATACCTAACTCTTCCATGCAAAGACACTGAAGACCATCTACTAACAGCAACATCATCCAGGAAAACATGACCTCACCAAATGAACCAAATAAGGCACTAGGGACCAAATCTGGAGAAACGGAGATATGTGACCTTTCAGAGAGAGAATTCAAAATAGCTGTGTTGAGGAAACTCAAAGAAATTTAAGATATCACAGAAAAGAAGTTCAGAATTCTATTAGATAAATTGAACAAGAAGATGGAAATTTTTTTAAAAAAATTAAGCAGAAATTTTAGAGCTGAAAAATGCAACTGGCATACTGAAGAATGTGTCGGAGCCTTTTAATAGCAGAATTGTTCAAGCAAAAGAAAGAATTAGTGCACTTGAATACAGGCTATTTGGAAATAGACAGAGGAGATGAAAGAAAAAGAATAAAAACAATGAAGCAGGCCTACAGGATTTAGGAAACACCCTCAAAAGGGCACATCCAAGTTATTGGTCTTAAAGAGAAGGCAGAGAAAGAGATATGGGGTAGAAATTTTATTCAAAGGGATAATAACAGAGAACTTTCGAAACCTAGAAAATAGCAATATTCACGTATGAGAAGGTTATAGAACACCAAGCAGATTTAACCCAAAGAAGACTACCTCAATGGATTTAATAGTCAAACTCCCAAAGATCAAGGATTAAGACAGAATCCTAAAAGCAGCATGAGAAAATAAACAAATAACATACAATGGAGCATCAATATGTTTGGTAGTAGAGTATTCAGTGGAAACTTTACAGTCCAGGAGAGTGTGGCATGACATATTTAAAGTGCTGAAGAAAAAAATATTTTACCCTAGTATAGTATATCTAGCAAATCTTTATGTTTGAAATATCCTTCAAACATGGAGAAAAAATAAAGAATGTTTTCTTGAAAAACAAAAGCTGAGGGATTTCAATAATATAAAACCTATCCTACAAGAAATGCTAATGGGAGTACTTTAATCAGAAAGAAGAAGCTATTAATGAGCAATAAGTAATTACCCGAAGGTACAAAATTAACTGGCAATAGTAAGTAAACAGAGAAACACAGAATATTATAGCATAGTAACTGTGGTGTGTAAACTACTCTTACCCTAAGTAAAAAGCCTAAATGATGAATCAATGAAAAATAATAACTATAACAACTTTTCAAGACATAGTGCAATAAGATATAAATAGAAACAACAAAAGTTAAAAAGGAGGGGAATGAATTCCAGGCATAGAGTTTTTATTAGCTTTTTTCTTGTTTGTTTGTTTATGCAAACAGTGTTAAGTTGTTACCAGGTTAAAATACTGGATTTATTTAGATAGTATTGGCAAACTGCATGGTAACTTAAACCAAATAACATATAATGGGTATACAAAAAATACAAATAAAAAAATAAATCATATCACAAGAGGGAATCACTTTCACTAAAGACGGAAAGGAAAGAAAGAAAGAAGAAAAAAGAACAAAGCAACCAGAAAACAAATAACAAAATGACAGGAGTAAGTCCTCGCTTACCAATAATAACAATGAATGTAAATGACCTAAACTCTCCTGTCAAAAGATATGGACTGGCTGAATGAATGAAAATAGAAGATTCATTGATCTGTCACCTATTAAGAAACACACTTCACCTATAAAGACACAAATAGACTGAAAATGAAGGAATGGGAAAAGATATTCCATGCCAATGGAAACCAAAAAACAGCAAGAGTAGTTATTGTTGCTGGGGATGCTGGCTCATGCCTGTAATCCAAGTACACTTTGGGAGGCCAAGACGGGCAGATCACTTGAGGCCAGAAATTTGAGACCAGGCTGGCCAACACGGTAAAACCCTGCGTTGACTAAAAATACAAAAATTAGTCAGGCATGGTGGAACAAACTTGTAGTCACAGCTACTTGGGAGGCTGAGGCATAAGAAATGTTTGAACCAAGTAGGTGAAGGTTGCAGTGAACCAAGATCATGCCACTGTATGCCTGCCTGGGTAACAGAACGAGACCCCATCTCAACAAAAACAACAAAAAAGAGTAGTAATAGTAGTTATCTTAGACGAAATAGATTTCAAGACAGAAACTATAAAAATAGACAAAGGAGGTCACTACATAATGATAAAGGGGTCAATTCATCATGGTATTGGCATAAAAACAAACACATTGACCAATGGAACAAAACAGAGAAACCAGAATCAAATTCACACACCTATAGTAAACTAATTTTCAACAAAAGGTGCCAAGAACATACAAGAGAGAAAAGACAGTCTCTTTAATAAATGGCGCTGGCAAAACTGGATATTCATATGCAGAAGAATGAAACTTGACCCTTACCTCTTGCCATATATATAAATCAAATCAAAATGGATTAAAGACATAAATATAAGACCTCAAACCATGAAACAACTACAAGAAAACACTGGGGAAACTCTCCAAGACATTGGTCTGGGCAAAAATTTCTTGAGTAACACCCCACAGGCACAGGCAATCAAAGCAAAAAATTTAAAAAAATGGAATCACATCATGTTAAGAAGCTTCTGCACAGTGAAGGAAACAATCAACAAAGTCAGGAGAAAATCCACAGAATGGGATAAAATATTTACAAACTACCCATCTGACAATGTATCAATCACCAGAATTTATAAGGGGCTTAAACAATGCTATAGAAAGAAATCTAATAATTTGATCAAAATATGGGCAAAAGATTGAATGGGCGTTTCTCAAAAGAAGACATAGAAATAGCAAGCAGGCATATGAAAAGGTACTCAACATAATTGATCATCAGAGAAATGTAAATCAAAACTGCAATGAGATATTATCTCACCCCAGTTAAAATTGCTTATATCCAAAGGAGAGGCAATAGCAAACACTGGTGAGGATGTGGTAAACAGGGAACCTTTGTGCGCTGTTAGTGGGAGTGTAAATTAGTACAACCCCTATGGAGAACAGCTTGGAGGCTCCTCAACAACCTAAAAATAGAGCTACCATATGATCCAGCAATCCCACTGCTGATTATAGCACCAAAAGAAAGGAAATTAGTATATTGGAGAGATATCTGCACTCCCATTTATTTTGCAGCACTATTCACATTAGCTGAGATACGGAAGCAAACTAAGTGCCCATCAACAGATGAATAGATAAAGAAAATGTGATACTTATACACAATCAAGTACTCTTCAGCCATCATAAGTGAATGAGATCCTGTCATTTGTAAAAACGTGGATGGAACTGGGGATCATTATGTTAAGTAAAATAAGCCAGGCACAGAAAGAGAAACACTATATGTTCTCACTTATTTGTGGGATCCTAAAGTAAAAACAATTGAACTCACTGACATAGACAATAGAAGGATGGTTGCCAGAGGCGGAGAAACGTAGTAGGGGGCTGAAGAAAAGATGAGGATGGTTAATGGGTACAAGAAAAAGAGAAAGAATGAGTAAGACCTGTTTTATAGCACAACTGGGTGACTATAGTCAATAGTAACTTAATTGTAAATTTAAAATCATTTAAGAGATCTAATTGAATTGTTTCTAACACAAAGAATAAGTGCTTGTGGGGATAAATAACCCCTTAAAAGTTACGAAATTACAGTTTTCTGAAAATATACTATTTATAAGATGTATTATTTTTAAAATAATTTTTGTCAAATTACACAATACCTTTTATAAAGCTCTCTGCTTAAGTCTTAAAATGTATGCCAATTTTTAGTTAATGTGGCACATCAAACATACCCTTTTTAAACACTACAATAAAGGTACATAAAAGTTTTCATTCAGAAGGATGAAGACAAGAAAGGAAGCAATAAGCCACAGGAGTTTTGAAAGTTTTACAAGATTTTAGTGGATAGAATATAACCACATGAATGGTAACTGACTCAAAGAGGTGAAAAAAAAAAAAAACTGAGACCTAAGTGCTACAAGAAAGTAAGCAGAAACATATGCAGCTGTTCCTTGTTGATTAACAACTCAGCTCTCTAAGAGAAGCTCTTTCCATTTATTGCCTTACCTTTAGTGTATTGAGCCAAAAACCTGTGTCTATATAATCAAACATGTTATTACTTCAGTGCTAGAAGTGTTTTTATTGTGCATCTCAAAAATAATTTTTCTTAATCATTTGTGGAGAAGAAATTGTTAATCTATCTTGCAGTCAAAACAACTGAAAAAACAGTTCATCTGTTGAATACCATACTGGAGCCTTTGTCCTTTAGACAAATCAGGATAGACTCCCCTCTGCAATTTTGAACTTTTGTTGTCTAGAATATTTTTTATTATTGAAAACAAAATCACAGTAAACCAGCCTGATTCAGTTCTGAGTGAAAAAGGTAGATTAAGTCTAATTCAAGATGCCACCTATGTAATTATGCCTTTCTGGCACTGCAAAACATGAAAATCATGCGGTTTTCCAGTACATACAGTATATAGCTGGGGACCTTTCTAATTGTCCTTGGGGAAAGCCAAGCACTACCACTTTTCTAGTAACCTCCAAGATATTGGAGGTGGAAAAGGTAGTTAAGTATGTAAATACTGGTGAAAAATAAATTGCATGAGGGCTTAATAGAAGATTTTAAGAGCAGAAATTCTGTCACACAGATTCATGAATGCAGGCAGTATTGGTAAGGAGTCATACGAACACAGCTCATTAAAGGAAAGATATCTGAAATATGCAAAGCAAGCTCATGACATTTGATGGCGGGATAAAAAAACTTGCCTATGTGAAAAAAAAATCTCCCTTAATTACCTCTCCGTAGCTACTACCAAGTCACAAAGTCCCCCTCACTCCTCAATTGAATCTAATTTTATTTTTGCCCTTATTATTCCATTGGAACTTCTCCCGCTAAGGTCATCAGTGGCTTTGTGTCATTAATTCTAATATGCATTTTTTGATTCTTAGCTTACTTGACTTCTCAGCAGCATTTGACGCTTATGACCACCCTCATTGGTCTGGACAATGATTTCTTGGTTAGAGCCCCAAAAACATAGGGAACAAAAGCAAAAATAGACAAAGGGCATTGCATCAAACTAAAAAGTACAGCAAAGGAGATAATTGAGTGAAGAAAGAGCGCATGGATTGGAAGAAAATACATGTAAACAATCTATCTATTAAAGGACTAATATTTAAAATACATGAGGAACTCAAAAACCTCAACAGCAAGGAAACAAATACCCCGATTAAAAAAATGGGTAAAGAACCTGAACAGACATTTCTCCAAAAACAACATGTGTGGCAAACAAGCATATGAAAAAATGGTAAACATCTCTAATTATCAGGGAAATGCAAATTGAAACCACAATAAAAGAGCAACTCGCTGCTGTTAGAATGGGTGCTATCAGAAAACAAAAGTTAACAAGTGCTGGCAAGTATGTGCAAAAAAAGAGAACTCTTGCACACTGTGGGAATTAAGTTAGTACAGCCATTATAGAAAATAGTATGAAGGTTTCCCAAAAACTAAAAATAGAATGCCATATGATACAGCAATCCCATTTCTGGATATAGATCAAAGGAATTGTAAGCAGTATGTTAAAAGGATATCTGCAACTCTCATGTCTATTGCTGCATTACTCACAATACCTAAGATGTGGATTCAACCTAAGTGTCCATTGATGGATGAATGGCTAAAGTAAATGTGGTGTACCTACACAATGGAATTCTATACAGTCTTAAAAAAGAAAGAAACCTTGTCATTTGTGACAACATGGAGGAATCAGAAGTACATTATGTTAAGTGAAATAAGACAGGCACAGAAAGACAAATACCACAATCTCACATATATGTGGAATCTAAAATAGTGAAACTTAAGTAGAGAGTAAAATGGTAGTTACCCAAGGCTGGGAGAAGTAATGGTAGGGAAAGGGAAGATGTTGGCCAAAGAGTACAAATTTTAAGTAAGATAGGAGGAATAAGTATTGGTGATTTATGGCACAGCATGGTGACCATAGTTCATAATAATATATTGTATATTTCAATATTTCTAAAAGTATAGATTTTAAATGTTCTTACCATGAAAATGATAAGTAGATGAAGTGATATATTACTTAGCTTGATTTAATATTTCTACAATGTATACATATATCAAAATATGACATTATATTCCATAAATATATAATTATTTTTCTACAATTAAAAAAATCATTGGGTGATTTCAAAATTCTATTAGAAAACAAAACAAAACTTAACAGCTCTTTACTCTCTTCCAAAATAGGTCCTTCACATGTGATACTAAGTCATTCCAAAATTCTTTACACATACTCCAGCTCTCAAATAATTATTTATACGCATCTTTTCAACCTTACCGACTCAAATGTAACTTTATAATAAAAATTTCCTGAGATGAGTTCTCATTTCTATCCTCAATTCCATGACCACCCCCCAAGTTTAAGCCAGATTACTTCACTGTGGGTCCTCAGCTTACCATAGTTATTCAGATTTTTTTCTGTTTGTGGTTAGACATCCATTAGTATGATTATTTAATTGGGGTTTACTAGATTATAATCTAATTAGGGAAGCAACCATACCTCTTTTGTTTACTGATGCCTAACATAACACAGGACCTGATAGTAAAATCTTTTTTTAATAAATTTAAATAGTTGGAATAGATAATCTTTTTGGACTCTTCCAACTTGAGTACTTTTATATTTTAGGATGTTGAAAATTATTGTTTGGCTGGGCATAGTGGTATGCATTTGTAATCCCAGCTATTTGGGAGGCTAAGGCAAGAGGATTGCTTAAGACAAAGAGTTCAAATATAACCTGGGCAACATAGCAATACCCCATCTCTAAAAAGGAAAACAATATATATGTATTGATCAGTCTATAAATATCATTCGAATTAGATACCTATGTTAAATATTTGGAGATGATGTCTAATTCACCAAATATACCCCTAAAAAGTAACACTAGATTAATTTTTGCCTCTATTGAAAGATAATGGGTGAATTCTTCTTTAAACCATAATGCAAAAGGCTGGAAAATATTACTGCTATCCAAAAAAATGAGAAAAAGCCACATGAAGTATACAATCAGCTTTTCCTTAACCCATCAAAAAGATGAAGTTATAAAGCAATAAGTAGCTTAAAACTTTAGGAGAGACAGACATCTCCAAATAAAAAGGAGACATAAGTGTTGTGTCTCCTGTCACAGAGAATAGAATGAAGACATGCTAAGAGACATATAGGTGGCTAAAAATAATTTTTTCTAAAACTTTTAACAAATTGTCAAAGGCTGGACTAACATGAGAATAAAGAACCCATGGTATACTATAGCAATTGGTATGTCCAAGGCTCCAGTAAAAACAGTGGGCAACGTGTATGAAAAGACACAAAATTTTAGCAGAGAAATTTCAATATGACGTTTTAGATGGGAAACGGTAAGAAATAATAAGATGGACACATTATAAATAAAATATATGGTAACAAAGACAAAGAGTATACTCTCTGTAGCCTTACACTTTGTGTTCAATAGAGAGGTTAGGAACAAAGTGAAGGACCACAGAAAGACATAGTGATGTGTGTCTGGAGGACATAAGTGGTAACAATTGCAGGAAATGCATGAAGCCCCACTTAGACTCGACTCCCATGAAGAACATTAATCTTAAACTACTTGTGGAAGGCTAACAAACTCTGTCATCTCCAGTTCCAAAGTGAAGATGGAGCGTGGCAGAGTAACAATTAATGAATACTCTCTGCCTAGGAAGTAGGAGGACAAAATTATTCTAACCACAGATCATTAGAGGTCTCCTAATCATGGGGAAAAAGCAGGGAATTTTGCAAACGTCCCACCAAAGTTACAGGTTAGAGTTTGCACTGGGATAAAGGGGCAGAATCACTGAGAAAGCCCCACTCCTGAGATGCCAGAACATGGGTCTGTCTATGAAAGATGCTTGACTAGGATAACAGAGCATTCCGCATGCTCTTTACCACTAAGCTAGCACAGGTACCCATTGACAAGGGACAGAAGTCTACTACTAGAGGACAGGCAGCCACATAAAGAGAAAACCTCTCTGAGATAAAGGCAAATAGGGCCAGTAAAAAGCTGAGGGTGTATCCCCAAGGGCATAAAATCAAGGTAATACAAAAGATACTTGTATCCATCTGTTCTCAGCCTGCTAATAAAGACACATCCAAGACTGGGTAGTTTATAAAGGAAAGAGGTTTAATTTATTCACAGTTTCATATTGCTGGGGAGGCCTCACGATCATGGCAGAAGGCAAAGGGGAAGCAAGACACATCTTACATGGCAGCAGGAAAGAGAGCATGTGCAAGGAAACTCCCCTTTATAAAACCATCAGATCTCATGAGACTTATTCATTATCACGAGAACAGAATGGGAAAGACCCGCCCCCATGATTCAATTACCTCCCATTGGGTGGCTCCCACAACATGTGGGAACTGTGGGAGCTATAATTGAAGATGAGATTTGAGTGGGGACACAACCAAACCATATCAATATTTAAAATTGGATATATACTTATGGCAACCACAACCACAATAAAACCCAAACCTAGCTCAGTTCCTAATTAGATTGACTCAACCATTCCACCATACACATGAAAAATCTCGTAGGCTATTATTAATAAAAGAAAAGGTATACTCATTTCCACAAATATATACTATTTACTGCCATAATATTGTACACAGTATGCCTACCACTCAATAAATAACAACTGTGAGACTCATTTTCAAAACAGTATTAACAATACTGTCTTGTTACAAAGTAATAAAGAAAAGATGATAGAGTGATGATCCAGATGGTGACAATATCAGGCAGGTAATTTAATGTAACTTAGATTAGTGTCTTAGTCCATTGTGCTACGATAAAAATATGTAAGACTGGGTAATTTACAAACAGCAGAAATTTATCTTTGACAGTTCTGGAGGCTAAGAAATTCAAGATCAAGGGACCAAAATCTTGGTGTCTGGTGAAGCACCTCTTCTTCCAGGATGGTGCCTTATTGCTGCATCTTCGAGAAGTGAGGAACACTGTGTTTTTACATGGTGATAGGGACTGAAAGGGTAAAAGGACCTAAGCTAGTTCACTGTAGTCCTTTTATAAGGCACTAATCTATGTATGAGGGTGGATCCGTCATGATATAAACGTTTTCCAAAAAGAACCCACATCTCAGTACCACCACAATGGGAATAAAGCTTCAATGTGAATTTTGAATGAGGCACACATTTATTCTTTTCTTTCTCAGGGACTCACTAGAAAAGGGCAACATATTTAAACCATAGCAATTAGTATGTTCAAAGCTCTAGTAAAAACGGTGGGCAACATGTATGAAAAGATAGAAAATTTTAGCAGAGAAATTTCAATATGGCGTTTTAGATGGGAATCACTAAGAAATAATAAGATGGACACATTATAAATAAGGTATATGGTAACAATATAACAAAGAATGTCATCAATGGGCTCCTCAGTATACTTGAAAAGTAAAAAAGAATCCACAAATTTGAGTACTGGTTGTATTAGGGTTCTCTAGAGGGACAGAACTAATAGGATAGATGTATATATAACAGGAAGTTTATTGAGGAGTATTGGCTCACATGATAACAAGGCAAAGTTCCACAATAGGCCATCTGCAAGCTGAGGAGCAAGGAAGCCAGTCCAAGTCCCAAAACCTCAAAAGTAGGGAAGGTGACAGTGCAGCCTTCAGTCCATTGCTGAAGGCCTGAGAGCCCCTGATAAACCATTAGTGTAAGTCCAAGTATCCAAAAACTGAACTTGGAGTCTGACCTTCGAGGGCAGGAAGCATCCAGAACGGGAGAAAGATGAAGACTAAAAGCCTCAGCAAGTCTGCTCATTATACTTCCTTCTGCCTGCTTGATTCTAGCTGAGCTGGCAGCTGATTAGATGGTGCCCACCCAGATTGAGGATGGGTCTGCCTGTCCCAGTCCACTGACTCAAATGTTAAGCTCCTTTGGCAACATCTTCACAGACACACCCAGCAACAACACTTTGCATCCTTCAATCCGAACAAGTTGACACTCAATATTAACTATCACACTGGTCGATAGAAATAACCATCATTGAAATATAAAGAGAGAACAAAGCATCCAAGAACTGCAGAACAATTGCAAGTATTTTAACACATATAATTGGAATTCATGAGTAGAAGTGAGAGCTTGGGCTGAAATAAATATTCAAAAATATACCGGCCAAGCTTTTTCCAAAATTAGTGACAATATTTAATGCTCAGCTCTAAAAAGCTCAGAAATACCTTAAGTAGGTAATTAATAATCTAATGAAAAATATTAGCAACATTTAGTGAGTTCATGGCCTATATAAAAATAAAACTTAAGGCAATAATAGCACAAAATATGAAAGAGAAAAATTGGAAGTATACTATTATAAGATTCATATACTTTATTTAAAGCAGTATAATATGTTTTGAAAGTAGACTTAATTAATTGAAGATGCATATTATAAACATCACAATAACTCCTTAAAAATAAAATGGTAGTATAAATAACGAACCACTATTATTCTCACAAAACAGAATAATAAAAACAATTAATCCAAAAGGACACAGAAAAACTGGGTAAAATAAATATAGAACCAATGAAATGAAGAGAAAACGATTAGTATCCTGTAACTTAATGCCAACCATATCAATAATGACATTAATTGTGAAAGTCTAAATCAGGCACCGGCAAACTACATCCCAACAAGATGAATCTGCCTTGCCATCTATTATTGTAAATAAAGTTTGATTGGAACACATTCATAACCATATTTTTACCTATTTCTGTGGCTGCTTCCATGTAACAACAGCAGCGCTGGGTACTTGAGAAAGAGACCGTAAGGCCTGCAAAGTGTAAATTATTTACTCTCTGTTCTTTTATGGAAAACATTTATCAAATTGTGGTCAAAACACATCAATTAAAAATATTGGTAGGCTGAAATGTTTTTAGAAAAAGACCCAATTATAACCTGTCATAAATTTATTTGATATAGTTGCTGCTTCACCATGCAATTTTAGGCCTAAATAATGATATGAAACCCACTTACCCAACCAACTTCGGCCTAGTTAAAACTTCCCATCTCTATGTGGTTGTTTGTGATTACTTTCCCATCATTGAAGAAAGACATAATATTAATATCAACTCTACAAAAAAATACTCTCCATCAAAACAGAAGGAAAGAAAAAGTTTTGCAACTAATAACATGGGCCCAACATTACCCTTATAGCAAAGCCAAAGACATTAAAATAAAAGAACATTACAAATAAATATCTTTCATGAACATGGATGCTTAAAAATATATAATTAAATCAAATTCAATAATGTATAAAAAATAATAGCTCAAGAGCAAGTGAGTTTTACACCTGGAATGAAAGGCTAGTTCAAGTTTCAAAGATCACACAATTCAGAGTAACTTTCTGAATGATGTAACAGCTCTGTAAATCTGCTCTTCCATAAAAGTAATGAAAATACTAGCAAAATCATGAAAGCTAACTTTTTCAAAACTCTTGAAATTAAATAAATGGTTGCAACAATTTTAAGAATGTCAAACAAATATTGCCCACCCTTAGCAGTAACAAGTTATGTGATAGTTTAATCTACCTCCTCACAACACCTCTACAACTCCACAGTATCTTTCAAAGCCAGCAGTTTTTACAATGGAAGCTAGGAAAGACAGCAGCCTTGGAGCTACTGGAGGGTGTAGCTGAGCTTCTAAAAATTTTCATCCCCAGAGAATTGTCACTATTTGACATGTCTTGTGGCCCTCTGGAAAGACTCTAATAGAGAGTGTTCTCTTTATTTGACATGACTCAGATCTGGTTCAGTGGGAAAAAACCCTGTATCTATGGTGTTTGTTGAAAACAATCAGCTGTAATTGATAAATATTTACAATTTTAAGGCTATGAAAGCAATTTGGACAGAAATGATTTCAGCCAAAAATTTAAACAAAAGATCTGAGGAGTGAGATGTCCACAGGAAACTTTGAGAAGCTGTGACATATTCTTTGGGATCTAGAAGACAACATGCATGTTCTGCATTGTTCACCTGCTTGGGAAAAACATGAGAGGGCCCTAGTGACTCACCTCTGGCTGAAACTGAGGCCATGTATTAGCAGAAAATGAATGCTAAGGCAAGTTTTAAACTGGTCGAGTGTCAAAAGTATGCCAAAATGCACAAAAAAATTTCTTTGACTAAGGCATTTAAGGAAATCTCTAATTATTAGCTGTCTTCTAAGCTAGCTGAGAAACTACTACAGTGATTACAGCTTACAGGGAATACAGAAGTTGCAAAATTAGTTCAGAAAGTTTACTAAACCAGCAACCATCAACAATAATGTCAACAAACCAATAGTAAAAAGCAACAGTAACAACACACCCTAGGAATGGGAGTAATATAATTTCCCTAAATGACATACGATATCACCTTTATATTTTTTAAATGTCCATTTTTGAAAGAAAATTACAAGACATGCAAAGAAGCAGAAAAGTATGGCCCATACACATGATGAAAAAAAGGCAACACTAATGGCCTATGATAGGTCCCAGATGTCAAATTTAACAGACAAATTTTTTAAATCAACTATTAAAAATATGTTCAAAGAACTGAAGGAAAACATTTCTAAAGAATCAAAGGGGCCGGGCACCGTGGCTGATGCCTGTAATCCCAGCACTTTGAGAGGCTGAGGAGGGTGGATCACAAGGTCAAGAGATTGAGACCATCTGGCCAACATGGTGAAACCCCTTCTCTACTAAAAATAGAAAAATTAGCTGGGCGTGGTGGTGCATGCCTGTAATCCCAGCTACTCGGGAGGCTGAGGCAGGAGAATCACTTGAACTCAGGAGGTGGAGGTTGTAGTGAGCCGAGATTGAGCCACTGCACTCCAGCCTGGCAACAGAGAAAGACTCCATCTCAAAAAAAAAAAAAAAAAAAGAAAGAAAGAAAAGAAAAAAAAAAGAATTAAAGGAATGTATTAGAACATTTCTCATCAAATAGAGACTATCAATAAAAATATAGAAATTATAAAAATAACATAATAGAAATCCTATACTTAACAATAACAATAACTGAAATGAAAAATTCACTAGAAGGGTTCAACATCAGAATCAACTTGGAAGAAGAAAGAATTGCTCAACCTAAAAATATATCAACTGAAATAATGTAGTCTGAGGAATTAAAAGTATAATAAATGAGGAAAAATAAATAAATGAGCCTCAGAGAAATGCAGGATAACATCAAGTGGGAATTCTAAAAGGAGCGTAAATAACAGGGAAAAATATTTGAAAAAATAATTACTGAAAACTTCTCGAATTTCATGAAATACATTGCTTCACACAGCCAGGATGCTCAGTGAACTCCAACCAGAATAAATGAACAGATAGCTACATCAATAAATATAATACTTAAACATACTCAGATGTGACATAGAAAAGTCTGGAAAGAAAAAAGACTGTGAAACAAGAATTCTATCCAGTAAACTTACACTTCAAAAATGAAAGAGAAATGAAGACAAAAAGAAAATCTGAGATTATTCATTCCTAGCAGACTTGCACTATAAGAAATAATAAAGTGACTCCTTCAAGCTGAAATAAAAGGACACAGGCAATCACTTACATCCACATAAATAAATTTTAAAAAACACTACTAAAGGTACATACATAGTTAAATGTAAAAGGCAGTATAAATATATTTTTGTTCATAAATCTATCTGAATTAAGACAAATACATAAAAGTCATAAGTATAAAACTTTGTTGATGGGCTCAGAATGTATAGAAATATAACTTTTATGACAATAATAGTAAATATAAGGGTAAGGGAGAAAGCTATACTGGATTCGTGCTTTCAGAAATAAACCCTCATATTTATAGTCGATTAATTTACAGGAATTTAATAGGAGAAGGGGGTGATCTTTTTCAACAAATGGTTCTGGGACTTCCTATTATTTACAAAATTTAAGCAAAAAATGTATCAAAAAACTAAATGTAAGTCCTAAAACTATACAGCTGTGAGAAAAAACCATGGATGTAAATTTTTGTGACCTTGGATTAGGCAACAGTTTTTTAGGTTTCTTAGATAAGACACTTAAAGCACAAGCAGCCAAAGTAAAAATCAATAAATTTTACTTCATCAAATTAAGTATTTTCATACTTCAAAGAACACTATAAAGAAACTCAAAAGATGATTGACAGACTGAGGGAACACACTGTCAAAACATATACTTAATAAAAGTCTAGTTCAAGAATATATACAAATGCTTATAACTCAACAATAAAACAATATTTTAATTATAAAAGGAACAAAAGATTTGAATATGTATTTCCTTAAAGAAGATATACAAAAGGCCAAAAAGACATGAAAAGACAATGTCATTAATCGTTTGGGAAATGCAAATTCGACAACCCATAATGAGATACTACTTTACACACAATAGAATGGTTATAATCAAAGAAAGGGATAACAACAAACATTGGCAAAAATTCAACATTATATATTTATGATGGGAATGTAGAGTTGTACATACGTGGTAGAAAATAATTTGGCAGTTCCTCAAAAATTTAAATAGAATCAACATTTGACTCAGTAATTTTACTCCGATGTGTACACCCCCCAAAAAAAGAAAAACATATATTCACACAAAAACTTGTATAGCAATGTTCATAACAGCAGTATTCATAATTTCCAAAAAGTGAAAAGAATACACATGTCTACCATCTGAGGAATGGATGGACACAATAGAGTTTATCTGTACAATTGAATATTATTCAGCCATGAAAAAGAATGGTATTCATTTATAACTAAAACATGGATGATTCTTGGAAACATCATGGTAAGTGAAAGAATCCATACACAGAGGACCACATACTGTGTGACTCCATTTATATAAAATATCTAGAAAAGTCACATTTATAGAGACAGAAAGTAATTTAGTGCTTGTCTGGGGCTGAGAAATGGAATAAGGATTCATTTTAAAGGGCACACTGAGTCTTATTGAGAGATGAAAATGTTCGAAAGCTGATTTTGTACCATGTAGTAAAGTTACTTAAAATCATCGAATTGTACACTTAAAATAAGTAAATTTTGTGATTTGAAAAATATACCTCAATAAAGTTGTTTAAAAATCAATGAATACAAATCACATATAAACAAATCAAACATATAAAACCATGTCATCAACACAATTGTTTTAGAGAAATCATTTATTTGATAAGAGTTCAATATTCATTGGTGGTAAAATCTGAGCAAACAAGATAGAAGGAAACATGTTAAGATTATAAAGAATATCTACAAAAACATGCAACTGACATCACACTAAATGGCCAAAGATGGAATGCTTATTCACTATGGTTATAAGCAATACAAGGATGACCATTTGCACCACTCCAACGTTACACCGGAAGTCCTATCTAGTTCAATAAGTCTAAATACATACATACATACATATATACATACATATGTACATACATACAAACAAGCCATCCAGACAGAAATGGCAAAAATAAAACTGCCTTATAAGAGTTATCAGAACTAATACGTATCTTTAGCCAGGTTTCATGATACGTGGTCAGTATATACAAATCTATTGTATTTTTGTACTATAATAAAACCAGAAATTAAAAATTTTAGAAAGTACTCTTAAACTAACACCAAAAAATAAAAACAAAATACTTAAGTACAAGTTTAACAAAAGATGTACACATATTTTATGGTGAAATCTATAAAACAAAAACAAAAACAAAATACATAAATTAAGAGCTGTATCATGTTCATAGAAAGAAAAACTGAGTATTACTAAGATATCAATTCTTCCTAAAGTGATTAGTAGATTCTATGAAATCACAAACAAATTCCCAGTAGCATATTTTTTAAAGTTAAAATCAAATTGGATTCAAAAGTCATATGGAAGGGTAGAAGAAGCAGAATGGCCAAAATATTTTTTTTAAAATGAAAAGAAAGTTTGAGGGCTCCTACTACTTGATTTAAGACAATATAAAGCTACTTTTATTAAGACAATGTGGTATTGACAAAAGAATTGACACATATATCAATAAAACAGAATATAAAGTCAAGGAATAAACCCATGCATAGATGTATTGCTAAAGATTCACAGGCAATTAATGAATAAAAAGTTTAGTATATACAACAAAAAGTGCTGGAACAATTTTATATCATATGTTTTCAAAAAAAAGGGTCAACCCATGCCTCCTACTATCTCCAAAAGTTACCTTAAATGAGTACTATCATTATTTATTGAAGAGTCTATCCTTTCCCTATTGAATGTTCTTGGTGGCTTTATCAAAAATCAGTTGCTTATAGATATGTGGATTAATTTATGGGCTCTCTATTATGTTCTAATGGTCTATGAGTCTGGTTTTTATGCCAGTACCATACTGTTTTGGTTACTATAGCTTTGTAGCATATTTTGAAGTCTGATAGTGTGATACTCCTGCTTTGTTGCTTTTGTTCACGTTGCTTTGGTTTTTCAGGGTCTTTTGTGGTCCAGCAGCAATTTTAGGATTTTTTTTTTTTTTAACTATTTCTGGGAAGAACATCATTGGTATTTTGGTAGGTATTGCATTGAATCCATAGATTGTTTTGGGTAGGGGTAGTATGGTTATTTTAATCATATTGATACTTCTGTTCCATGAGCTTGGGATGTATTTTTATTTGTTTTTATCCCCTTCAATTTCTTTCATCAGTGTTTTATAATTTTCCTTGTAAAGACCTTTCACCTCCTTGGTTAAATTTATTCTTAGGGTTTTTTTGCAGCTATTATAAATGGAATTGCTTTATTGATTTGTTTTCAGCTGGATGATTATTTATGTATAGAAATGCTGCTAATTTTTGTATGCTTATTTTGTATCCTACAAGTTTGCTAAATTTGTTTATAAGTTCTAAGACTTGTTTTGGTAAAGTTGTTGGGTTTTTTAATATATAAGATCAAACTATCTGCAAACAGGGAATATTTGTCTTCTTACTTTCTGATTTGGATGCTCTTTATTTCTTTCTCTTGTCTAAATTGCCAGGACTTCCAGTGCTATGTTGAATAAGAGTGGCGATAGTAGGTATCTTTGTCTTGTTCCAGTTCTTAAACAAAAAGCTTTTAGCTTTTCTCCATTTAATACAATGTTAGCTGTGAATTTGTCATGTGTAGCCTTTATTGTTTTGAGATACTTTCTTTCCATTACTAATTCATTGAGAAACTCTCAATTAAATGACACTGAATTAAATAACATTGCAATAGTGTTATAAACTCATTGAAATGACTAAAGCAAAGCATAACAAAACAACAAGAAAAAAATTGAATATAAACTTGTAAGGACATGGAGCAACTGAAACATTCTAACTTTCCTGGTGGAAAAGTTAGATTCACCTATGTGAATATAATTTCACAAGTGGTTCACTTGGGCAAATACCCAGTTATTTGGACAATTCATATAAGTGAATACTTATGTCCATACAAAAACCTGTATATGAATACTTAGAGCAGCTTTATTCGTAACCACCCCAAAGTGGAAACAACTGAAATTGTTTCAACTGGGGAATGTATAAACAAACAGGGGTAACTTTACATGATGGAATGATACTCAGTAATAAAAAGAAAAAAAATAATTATACATATAACATGATACCTCTCAAACTCCTTAATAAGAGTAAAAAATTAGGACTTAAAAGGCAACATGCTATATGATATTATTATAATATTTTTTAAAAGGCAAAATATAGAAATGGAGAGCAGATCTGTGGTTTTCAGAGGCAGGTGGGGGAAGTGGAGGGTAGCAGGATGAGTTGACTACTGTAGGAGCTATAGGAAAACTTCCCCTTCACTCTCTGATATTTCATTAAAAAATCAGCTGTGTGAAGGCAGATTAATTGGAGAAAAGCAATATAAATGTATTAATGTATACATGGGGGAGAATTACAGAGTGTTACCCCAACACCCCAGTGGAATGCGGAAGTAAGGTTACAGATAGAATGAGGGCTCAGAGAGTAGTAGGCAGATAGTTAGACATGAGCAGGAAAGGGAGCCCCTGGGAGAGAAAGCTCTGGAAAATCTCATGCCCTAGAGACCACCTGAAACATGCGTGCTAAATATAAGCAGAGGGGAGGGACAATACCTATGTGGAAAGGAATGCCCAGAAACATCTCTTAAGACACTCTGTAATCACTTATTCTGTGGCTTAATTGTCATAATGTAGCTATCTCCATGCTGATAAGTGGGAGAAAAGGGACATTCCTAAGAAATATGTAAGTACAATAAGTGCAGATTTGACCATTGTATGATCTTCCTGAGGAGGCAGTAATGAGAGTGCTGCCATTGGGTAGGATTTGTATTGATCTCAGGGCCCTTTGAATGTGCATTAACTGACAGTAAGGGAGAATCTCACAAACCTGGGCAGGGACTAGGTGGGGACAAAGCAGAGACTGAAGACAGAAGTGGGAAGCTAGATGAAGACAAAGGTGGAGACTTAAGATAGAGGAAGGAGCTTAAAGAAAAGTCCAACATAACAAAAACTGCAACACAGAACTCTCAGGGCTGTTTCCAGCCCATCCAGCCATCTACTCTCTTGGAGGCTACTTAATTTTCCTTCAATAAACTCTGCTGACTTTGCTAAATTGTCTTTTGGCTGAATTCTTTCTTCCAAGAAGCCAGGAACTGAGGACTACACACTTTCCAGTAACATGATCATGGCCAAAACCAGGTTATGGTGGAAAATTTGGCTATAGTGGCAAGACAGGATATGGGAGGGAGAAAGGAGAAAGCTTGTTTATTAAAGGTGGTCTTGTTCTGGAAATGAAACCTCACAGGTAGCAGCCCACAGAGAGAATAATGGTAAATGTTTCTTTCAGAACTTTAAAGGTGTCAGGTTCTCAGTTAATCTTTCCTAGACCTGGATGAGGAAATGCCTCAGAGAAAGCCTGGCTACATCAATGCAGATGCAAATTTTCCCCCACAAGACAGCTTTGCAGGGCTACTTGGGTTTGCTGGCTTTCTAAAGAGCCATATCAGAATATGTCAAAAAATATGATTTTAGAATAAAATATTCTGATTTTCTTCACTGCAAAGGGACAACATGGACTTGTTCACCTCAGTAAAATTATTCTATATCATAAAATTATTCTATATCCTAACTTTGTTTGTGGTTACACAATTATATGCATTTTTCAAATTCATAGAATTATATGCTATATATTTGTTGAGACATACTTTTACTCAACATAAACTATGTCTCAACAAATAAGGCAGAAAAAAGAAATTAGACCCTTATCTTCATCATACACTAAAATTAACTCCAAATGGGTTAAATACTTAAATGTAAGACCCAAAACTAATAATAATGTTTCTGCATGTGGATGTCTAGTTTTCCCAATGTGTCCGGAATTGGTTCCTTCTTGGG
This sequence comes from Homo sapiens, assembly GCF_000001405.40. Lineage (NCBI taxonomy): Eukaryota > Metazoa > Chordata > Mammalia > Primates > Hominidae > Homo > Homo sapiens. Next base: position 94,389,739 of record NC_000023.11, read on the forward strand.
GGTTCTTGGTCTCACTGACTTCAAGAAGGAAGCCGCGGACCCTCGCTGTGAGTGTTACAGTTCTTAAAGATGGTGTGTCCAGAGTTTGTTCATTTAGACGTTCAGATGTGTCTGGAGTTTCTTCCTTCTGGTGGGTTTGTGGTCTCGCTTGACTTCAGGAGTGAAACTGCAGACCTTCGCGGTGTTACAGCTCTTAAAGGTGGCATGTCCGGAGTTGTTTTTTCCTCCCGGTGGGTTCGTGGTCTCGCTGACTTCAGGAGTGAGGCCACAGACCTTCACAGTGAGTGTTACAGCTCATAAAGGTAGTGCAGACCCAAAGAGTGAGCAGCAGCAAGATTTATTATGAAGAGCGAAAGAACAAAACATCTACAACGTGGAAGGGGACTTGAGCAGGTGGCTGCTGCTGGCTTGGGTAGCCAGCTTTTATTTGCTTATTTGGACCCACCCACATCCTGCTGATTGGTCCATTTTACAGACTGCTGATTGGTCCATTTTTTACAGAGTGCTGATTGGTGCATTTACAAACCTTTAGCTAGACACAGACCGCTGATTGGTGCATTTTTACAGAGCGCTGAGTGGTGCGTTTACAAACCTTTAGCTAGACACAGAGTGCTGATTGGTGCGTTTTTACAGAGTGCTGAGTGGTGTGTTTACAAACCTTTAGCTAGACACAGAGCACTGATTGGTGTTTTTACAATCCTTTAGCTAGACAAAAAAGTTCTCCAAGTCCTTACCTGACCCAGAAGCCCAGCCGGCTTCACCTCTCACCAACATAATTTATGAAAAAGATTGTCCTTTCCCCATTGCATGTTCTTGGTAACTTTATTAATAATTAGTTGGCTGTAAATGCCTGGATTTATATCTGGGTTCTCTTTTATTCCATTAGTGTATGTATCTATCTTTATGTCAGTACCATGCTCTTTTTGTTACTATACGTTTGTAGTATACTTTGAAATCAGGTAGTGTCATGACTTTAGCTTTGATTTTGTGCTCAAGATTGCTTTGACTATTTGGGGTCTTTTTTGGTTCCAGATAAATTTTAGGATTTTTTTTTTTCTATTTCCATGAAGAATGTCATTGGTATTTTTATAGGGATTCCATTGAAACTGTAAATTGCTTTGTGTAGTATGGACATTTTAATAATATTAATTGTTTTAATCCATGAGCATAGAATATCTTTTTATTTATTTGTATCTTCTACATTTTTCTTATACCTCCTTGGTCACGTTTTCTCATAGGTATTTTTTGTAGCTACTGTAAATGGGATTGTTTTATTCTCCTTTCAGATAGTTAGCTATTGTACACAAATGCAACTAATTTTTGTGTGTTAACATTGTAACATAATTTTATGGAATTCATTTATTAATTCTAACAGCTTTTTAGTGGAGTGCTTAGAGTTTTCAATATATAGGGTTATGCCATCAGCAAACAGGAACAATTTAACTTCCTCTTCTCTAATTTTAATGCCTTTTATTTTTATCTCTTGCCTAATTTCTCTGACTAGGACACCAGTTCTCTGTTGAATAGAAGTAGTGAAAGTGGGCATCCTTATATTGTTTCGAATCTTAAAAAATTTTCAACTTTTTCCCATTCATTATGATGTTGGCTATAGGTTTGTTGTATATGGCTTTTATATCTCACCCCAGTTAGAATGTAAATTAGCACAGCCATTGTGAAAAACAGTATAGGGGTTTTTCAAAAAATTAAAAGTAGAACTTTTTTCTTTTTTTTTTTTTTTTTGAGACAGAGTTTCACTCCTATTGCCCAGGCTGGAGTGCAGTGGCGACATCTTGGCTCACTGCAACCTCCACCTCTTGAGTTCAAGTGATTCTCATGCCTCAGCCTCTGGAGTAGCTGGGATTACAGGTGTCCACCACCACGCTCAGCTACTTTTTGTATTTTTAGTAGAGACAGGGTTTCACCATGTTGGCCAGGCTGGTCTTGAACTCCTGACTTCAGGTGATCCACCCTCCTTGGCTTCCTGGAGTGCTGAGATTACGGGTGTGAGCCACCACACCCCGCCAAAAGTAGAACTTTCATATAACCCAGTAATCCCACTACTGGGTATATATCCAAAAAATTGAAATTGGTCTGTCAAAGAGGCATCTGCACTCCCATGTTTATCGAATAATAGTCAAGATATGGAAACAAACTGTCTATCAGTGGATGAATGGATAAAGAAATGTATATATACACAGTGAAATATTATGGCCTAAGAATGTCATTTGTGATCACATGGATTAACCTGAAGGACGTTATGTTAAGTGAAATAAGCAAGGAACAGAAATACAAATACCACATGCTCTCACATGTAGGCTCTAGAAAAGCTGATCACATGGAAGTAGAGAGTAGAATGATGGTTTGTAGAGGCTCAGGTTGTTAGTTGGGAAAAGGAATGGGGAGATGTTGGTAAAAGGATACATAATTACAGTTAGATACGTTTGGCCAGATGTGGTGGCTCACACCTGTAGTCCCAGCTACTTAGGAGGCTGACGTGGGAGGGATGCTTGAGCCCAGGAAGTTGAGGCTGCAGTGAGCTGGGATTGTAGCACCACACTCCAGGCTGGGTGACAGGGAAAAAGACTGACACACACACACACACACACACAAACACACACACACACACACAAAGAAGGAGCAAACAAACAAAAAACTAATGATATCTACAGTTAGATCAGGAGAATAAATTTCAAGAAATGTTATCATGAACAACATGGTGTTTTAAAGTACATATACATTGTGAAATGGTTAATTTTGGCTAATTAAAAAATATATTACCTCACTTGGTTATCATTTTGTGGTCAGAGTAACATCCACTCTGTTTACATTTTTCAAGAATACTATATATTATTATTGATCATAGTCACTTTTCTGTACATTTTGTAGTGGTCCAAATGCTATCCTTGCATATATTTTATTTTCTTAAATAAATCTACTTTTGTAGAAACAGGGTCTTGCTGTGCTGCCCAGGCTGGTCTTGAAATCCTGAGCTCAAGAAATCATCCTGACTCAGCCTCCCAAAATCCTGGGATTACAGATGTGAGCCACCATGCCCAGCCTCCTCCATATATTTTCAATTTGACTTTTTAAAACTTTATGCATAGAAAATTGTAGTCTTTCTGGTATACAATCCTATAACTTTCAACAAATGCTTAGAATCATGTATCCACCACCAATGTTCCATATAAAACATTTCCATCACATCCAAAATTCCTTCGTGCTGCTTTCTTCTAGTCAACCTCTACCCCTATCCCACAGCCCTTGGCAAGCACTAATCTGTTTTCAATTTCCATAATTTTTTTTCTAAGGTGTCATATGAAGAAAATCATATAATATGCAGCTTTTCTAAGTCTGGCTTTTCTTTTTACTTAGCACAATGCATTTTAGATGAATTAATGTTGTTGCACAAATCAATAGTTTATTTCTTGTATTGCTAATTATTATTCCATTGTATGGATGTACCCCTGTTTATCTATGCACTGGTCATTTTCATGTTTTTGTGACTATCAATAAAGCTGCCATAATTTTTAATGAAATGTTGTAGTGTGAATATTATATTTTTCTCTTAGGTAGATATCTAGCTGTATCATTACTGAGTTATATGGCAGATGAATGTTAAAATTTATAATAAGTAGGTGAATTGCTTTGAAAAGTAGCTATGTTGTTTTGTCCTTTCATTAGAACTTCCATTATTCTTCTGCATATGGACATCTAGTATTATCAGCACCTGTTATTGAAGAGACTGTCCTTTCTCCAAAGTATCTTCTTGGCACCTTTGTTAAAATGATGTGCACTTCGAATAGCTGAAAATATAATCATGCAGTATGTTGTAGATTTTGTCCTTTGTCCTTTTTAAAAATTTTTGACAGTACATAGTAGATGTATATATTTATGGGATACATGAGATATGTTGGTACAAGCATGCAATGCATAATAATCACCTTATGGAAAAATTAGATATCCATTCCCTCAAACATTTATCCTTTGTGTTACAAACAATCTAATTATATTATTTTGCTTATTTTATAATGTACAATTAATTATTATTGATGATAATCACCTTGTTATGCTATCAAACAATAGACCTTATTCATTTTCTCTAACTATTTTTTAGGCCCCTTAAATATCTCCACCTTCCCCCAATCACTACCCTTCCTAGCTTCTAGTGACCATTCTTCTATTCTCTATCTCCATGAGTTCAATTGTTTTAATTTTTAGATCCTACAAATAAATGAAAACATGCAGTGCTTGTCTTTCTGTGCCTGGCTTATTTGACTAAACATGATGACCTCTACTTCCATCCATGTTGTTGCAAATAACAGAATTTCATTTTTTATGGATGAATAGTACTTCATTTTGTATATGTACCACATTTTCTTTATTCATGTGTTCATGGCCCCTCAGTTTGCTTCCAAATCTTAGGTGTTGTGAAGAGTGCTGCAACAAACATGGGAGTTCAGTTATCTGTTTTATATACTCATTTCCTTTTTCGGGGGTGTATATACCCAGAAGTGGGATTGATGGATCATATGGTGGCCCAATTTCTAGTTTTTTGAGGAACATCCAAACTGTTCTTCATAGTGGTTGTTCTAACTTACAATTGCACCAACAGTATACAGGAGTTTCCTTTTCTCCACATCCTAGACACCATTTGCTATTGCCTGATTTTCCATAAAAGCCATTTTAACTGGGTTGAGATGATATTTCATTGTATTGTTGATTTGCATTTCTCTGATGATAAATGATGTTAAGCACCTTTTCATATGCCTGCTTGACATTTTTATGTCTTCTTTCTGGAAATGTCTATTCAGGTCTTTTGCCTGTGCTGTAACTAGATCATTAGATTTCTTTTTCTATAAAATTGTTGAGTTTCTTATATATTCCGGTTATTAATTCCTTATCAGATGGTGATATAGTTTGGATATTTGTGCCCACCCAAATCTCATGTTGAAACATAATACCAAGAGCTGGAGGTGGGCCCTAGTGCGAGGTGATTCGGTCATAGGGGCATCCTTATTAATGGTTTAGCATTTGAGAGAATTGATGCTGTCCTTGAGGCAGTGAGTGAGTTATTGTGAGACCTGGTTGTTTAAAATTGTGTGCCCCCCTCATTTGTTTTTGCTTTCACTATGTGATATGGCTGCTCTGCCTTTGCCTTCTGCCATAATTGGAAACTTCCTGAGGCCTCCCCGGAAACAGATTCCTCTATCCTTTCTGTACAGCCAGCAGAACAACAAGTCTATAATTCCTCCTCTCTTATAAATTACCCAGTCTCAGATATTTCTTTATAGCAATTTGAGAATGACCTAATACAGATGGGTGGTTTCCAAATATTTTCTCCTATTCTGAGGGTTGTCTTTTCACTTTATTGGTTGTTTCTTTGCCATGGAGAAGCTTTTAACTTGATGTGATCCCATTTGTCCATTATTGCTTTGGTTTCCTGTACTTGTAGGCTATTGCTCAAGACCAATATCCCAGAGAGCTTTCTCAATGTTTCCTTGTATTATAGTAATTTTATAGTTTAATGTCTTAGATTTAAGTCTTCAATCCATTTGTATTTGATTTTTGTATACTTTGAGAGATAGGGGTCCAGTTTTATTCTTCTGCATATGGATATCTAGTATTACCAGCACCGTTTACTGAAGAGACTGTCCTTTCTCCCAAGTATCTTCCTGGCAACTTTGTTAAAAATGAGTTCAGTGTAGGTGTGTGAATTTGTTTCTGGGTTCTTTATCCTGTTCCATTCGGTTATGTGTCTGCTTTTATGCAAGTACCATGACATTTTAGTTACTATAGCTCTGTAGTGAAGTCAGCTAATATAATTCCTCCTGTTTTGTTCCTTTTGCTCAGTATGTCTTTGGCTATTCTGGGTCTTTTGTAATTGCATATAAATTTTATTATTTTTTCCTCCCATTTCTGTGAAGAATGTTACTGGTGTTTTCATAGGAATTGTGCTGAATCTGTATATTACTTTGAGTAGTACAGACATTTAAACAATATTGATTATTCTAATCCATGTATATGGAATCGCTCCAGTTTCTGTGGCTTTTTCAATTTATTTCATCAGTGTTTTATAGTTTTCACTGTTAAAAATCATTCACTATTTTTGGTTTCTAATTATTTAATTTTATTTGTGGTCATCGTAAATAAGTATGCATTTTTTAGTTATTTTTCAGATTGTTCACTGTAGCTTATAGAAATGCTACTGAGTTACCGCAGCATGTAATTTTTCAGATCGTTTGCAGTAGCATATAGAAATGTCACTGATTCCTGTGTGTTGATTTTGTATCTTGCAACTTTATTGAATTTGTTTTTTCAGTTCTGATTGTTTTCTTGTGGGGTCTTTACAGTTTTTCAAATATAAGATCATATCATCTTAAAAGAAGGATAATTGGATTGCTTTCTTTCCAATTTGGATGTCCTTTCTTTTTCTTTTTTTTTTTTTTCTTGTTTGAGTGCTCTAGCTACCACTTCCAGTACTATGCTGAATAACAATGATGAAACATGCATCCTTGTAATGTTTCAGATCTAAGAGGAAAGGCTTTCAGTTTTTCCCCATTCAGCATGATAATGGCTGTGGGTCTGTTGCATATGGCTCTTATTATATTAAGGTATGTTCCTTCTATATGCAGTTTTTTTGAGGGTTTTCATAATAATGGGATGCTGAACTTGATCAAATGCTTTTTTAGCATCAATTGAAATGAACATATAATTTTTATCTTTCATTCTGTTTTTAATTTATTATTTTTTAAAATTCTTTTGTATCATTCTGTTGACATTATATACTACGTTGATTGATTTGTGTATGTTGAGCCATCCATGCATCCCTGGGATAAATCACACTTGGTCATGATGAATGATCTCTTTAATATATTGTAGAATTTGGTCTCCTAATATTTTGTTGAGGGTTTTTATATCAATATTCATCATTGATACTGACCTGTAGTTTCCTTTTTCAATGTGTCTGGCTGGTTTTGTTATTAGGGTAATGCTGGCTTTTTAGAAAGAATTTGGAAGCATTCTCTTCTCCTCTATTTTACAGAATAGTTTGAGTTGGATTGGCATTAGTTCTTTAAATGTTTGCTAGATTTCAGCAGTGAAGCCATTAGGTTCTGGGCTTTTCATTGCTGGGAGACTATTTATTATAACTGTGATCTCATTACTTGTTGTTGGTCTGGTTGGGTTTTAGATTTCTTCATGGTTCTATCTTTGTAGGTTGTATGTGTCTAGCAATTTATTCATTTATTCCAGAGTTTGAAATTTATTGGCACATAGTCGTTCATAGTAATCACCAAGGATCCGATGATCCTTTGAATTCCTTTTTTTTTTTTTTTTTTTTTGAGATGGAGTCTCACTCTGTAACCCAAGCTGGAGTGCAGTGGCACGATCTCGGCTCACTGCAACTTCCACCTCCTGGGTTCAAGTGATTCTCCTGCCTCAGCCTCCTGAGTAGCTGGGATTACAGGCGCGCACCACAACGCCCAGCTAATTTTTGTATTTTTAGTAGAGACGGGGTTTTACCATGTTGGTCAGGCTGGTCTCGAACTCCTGACCTCGTGATCTGCCTGCCTTGGCCTCCCAAAGTGCTGGGATTGCAGGCGTGAGCCACTGCACCCGGTCAATCCTTTGAATTTCTGAGGCATTAGTTGTAATGTCTCCTTTTCCTTCCTTCCTTCCTTCCTTCCTTCCTTCCTTTCTTCCTTCCTTCATTTCTTTCTTTTTTCTTTCTTTCTTTCTTATTTTAGACAGGGTCTCACTTTGTCACCCAGGCTGGAGTGTGTGGCACAATCTCAGCTCACTTTCAGCCTCAATCTCTCAGGTTCCAGTGATCCTCCCACCACAGACTCTTGAATAGCTAGGACTACAGGTATGCACCACCACACCCAGCTAACTTTTGTAACCTTTGTAGAGATGAGGTTTTATCATGTTGCCCAAGCTGGTCTCCACCTCCTGAGCTCAAGCAATCTGACCACCTCAAATGTCTTTTTTTTTCCAAATCTGATTTTATTTATTTGAATCTTCTCTCTTTTTTATTAGTTAATGTGCCTAAAGGTTTGTCAATTTTGTTTATCTTTTCGAAAAAACAACTTTTTGTTTTGTTATTTTGTATTATTTTATTCATGTCAAATTTATTTATCTCTGCTCTGCTCGTTATTATTTCTTTCCTTCTAATTTTGAGTTAAGTTTTCTCTTGCTTTTCTTATTTTTTCAGGATGCACCATTAAAGTTCTTTATTTGATGTTTTTATTCTTTGTTGATGTAGGCACTCAGCTATAAACTTGCCTCTAACTACTGTTTTTGCTGTATCTTACAGGTTTTGCTATGTTGTGTTTTCATTTTCTTTTGTTTCAAGAAATTTTTCAATTTATTTCTTAATTTTATTATTGACCCACTGGTTATTCAGGATCATATTGCTTATTTTCTATGCACTTGTATCATTTCCAAAATTCATTTTATTATTGATTTCTAGTTATGTTCTATTGTGGTCAGAGAAGATGCTTAATATTATTTCAATTTTTTATTGTTTTAAGACTTGCTTGGTGACATAACATAAGGTTTGTCTTTGAGAATGATCCATATGCTGAGTAGAGGAATGTGTATTCTGCAACTGTTTGATGAAATGTTCTGTAAATATCTATGAGGTCCATTATTTTTTAAAGTGCAAATTAAGTTTGATGTTTCTTTGCTGATTTTCTGTCTGGAAGATTAGTCAAGTGCTGAAAGTGGGTTGTTGAAGTCTCCAGGCTTTATTATATTGGGGCCTCTGTCTCTTTGGTTCTAATCATATTTTCTTTACATATCTGGGTGCTCGTGTATTGGGTGTACATATATTTACAATTATTTTATCTTCTTGCTGCATTGACTCTTATCAGTGTATAATGACTTTTCTCATTTCTTCTCACAAGTTTTGTCTTGAAATTTTTTTTGTTATAAATATAGCTATGCCTACTCTTTTTTGGTTTCCTTTGGCATGGGATATCTTTTTCCATCCCTTTATTTTCAGTCTATGTGTACTTTTATAGGTTAGCTATGTTTCATGTAGGCAATAGATCACTGGGTCTTGTTTTTTGTTGATTCAGCCATTCTGTGTTTTTTTAATTGGAAAATTTAGTCCATTTACATTTCATGTTATTACTGATAAGTAAGGTCTTGCTGCTGCCCTTTTGTTATTTGTTTTCTGGTTGTTTTTCAGTCTTCTTTCTCTCCTTTGTTTCTGTCTTTTAAATACAGTTGATTTTCTTTGGTGGTGCACTTTAGTTTTTTGCTTTTTACTTTTTGTGTTTGCTGTAATTTTTTAATTGGAAGTTACCATGAGGCTTGTAAATAATACCTTATAACCCATTATTTTAAACTGAAGGCAACTTAACCCTGATTGCATAAACAAGCAAACACACACACAAACACAGAAACACACACACACACACACACACACAACTAATAAAAACTCTACACTTTGACTTTATCCCTCCACTTTTTAACTTTTTGTTTTTTCCATTTATGTCTTATTGTCCTATGTCTTGAAAAGTTGTTGTAGTGAGTATTTTTATTGGTTTGTCATTTAGTCTTTCTACTTAAGACAAGAATAGTTTACAAACCAGTATTACAGTGTTATACTATTCTGTGTTTTTCTGTGTGCTTACTATTCCCGGTGAGTTTTCTATTTTCAGATTATTTCTTTTTGCTAACTAACATCCTTGTCTTTCAGATTGAAGAACTCCATTTAACATTTCTTGTAGCATAGGTCTGGTGTCAATGAAATCTCTTTTGTCTGTCTGGAAAGGTCTTTATTTTTCCTTCATGCTTGAAGGGTATTTTCACCAGATATACTACTCTAGGGTTACAGTTATTCCTTCAGTACTTTAAATATGTCATGCCACTTTCTCCTGGCCTGTAATGTTTCCAAATGAAAGTCTGCTTTCAGATCTATTGGAGCTCCATTGTGTATTATTTATTTCTTTTTTCCTGCTGCTTTTAGGGTACTTTCTTTATCCTTAACCTTTGGGAGTTTGATAATTAAATGCCTTGGGGTAGGCTTTATTGGGGGATAAATCCATAACATTCTTGTACTTGAATGTTGATATCTTTCTCTAGACTTGGGAAATCCTCTGATATTACACCTTTGACTAGACTTTCTACCTCCATCTCTTTCTCTACCTCTTCTTTAAGGCCAATAGCTCTTAGATTCACCCCTTTAAGGCTAGTTTTTAGATCCTGTAGGCATGCTTTATTATTTTTATTTTTATTGTCTCCTCTAACTGTGCCTGTCTTCAAGCTCACTAATTCTTTCTTCTGCTTGATCAATTCTGCTATTGAGAGACTTTGATACTTTCTTCAGCATGTCAGTAGCAGTTTTCAACTCTAGAATTTCTTCTTGATTCTTATTTCCATCTTTTTGTTAAATTTAGCTGATAGAATTTTGAATTTCTTCGAGTTTCCTCAAAACAGCTATTTTTAATTCTCTATCTGAAAGATCATATATCTCTGTTTCTCCAGGATTGGTTCCTGGTGTCTTATTTAGTTTATTTGGTGAGGTCGTGTTTTCCTAGAAAATGTTGATGCTTGTAGCTGTTAGTCTGTGTCTGGGCTTTAAAGAGTTAGATATTTTTTGTAGTCTTCAATGTCTGGCCTTTTTTGTTCCCGTCCTTCTTGGGAAGGCTTTCCAGGTATTTGAAGGGACTTGGGCCCCAAGCTCAATAATGCTGTAGTTTTTGCAGACCTGTAGAGGTATCACCTTGGTGTTATTGGATAAGATCCAGAAACATTCTCTGCAATATAAGCAAAGACTGTTATTCTTTTCCCTTACTTTTTCCCAAACAAATGAAGTCTCTCTCTCTCTGTGCTGAGACACCTAGAAGTGGGGGTGTGGTGATGCAAGCTCCCCAGTGATCAACACCACTGGGATGGTGCTGAGTCATACCTGAAGCCAGCACAGTACCAGGTGTTTCCCAAAGCGTTTCCTTTCAGGGCAGTGATTTCTACCAGGACCGAGGCATGTCCAGACATGCTGCCTTGGAGCCAGGTATTTAGGTCAAATACCTTAGCAGTTTACTGGGTGTTCTGGTGTACTGTGGCTGATTTGGCACTCAAACTACAATATAAAGTCATTCCTACTCTTCTCTCCCCTTTCTACAGGCAGAGAAGCCTCTCCCTGTATCCACCACCACCACTGATCCATAGGGAGTTCTGCCAGGCCACCACTGATATTCCCCTAAAGCCCAAGTGCTCTTCAGCCAGCTTTTGGTAAACGTTGTCAGTCCGGGGACTCACCCTTCAGAACAGTGGGCTCCCCTTTGGTCCAAGGCAGGTTCATAAATGCTGTCCAAGAGCCTAAGCCTGGACTTGGGGACCCTAAAAGCCTGTTTGTTGCTCTACCCCACTCTGGACAAGCTGGTACCTAAGCTGCAAGACAAAGTTCCCTTTATTTTTCCCTCTGCTTTTTTCAAACAGGAGTCTTTCAACATAGTCACCACAGCTGGGAATGTGCTAGGTCACACCAGAAATCAGCATGTCTTAGTGCCCTAGGCCCATGGCATACTACCTGGGTATTGTTGATGGTAACCCAGGGCCCAAGGGCTCTTTAGCCAGTAGGTGATCAACCCTGCAAAAACTGTATCCTTCCCTTCCTTTTTGACCCATGGTGTGTTCATAAATGTCATCTGAGAGCTAGGGCCTAAAATGGGGGCCTCACAATCCTGGTCAGTGCCCTGTCCTGCTGTGGCTGAGCTGGTATCCAAGATGCAAGACAAAGTCCTGTTACACTGTGCTCCTCTACTTACACAGATAAAAAGGAGCCACTTTTGTTGCTGTGACCTGCACTACCTGGGTTTCGGGGAGAAATGGAACAAGTACTCTCTTAGCAGCACCAACTGGTGTTTCCATAGGTCACATGCCACCCTAGCCTGCTGGCTCTAAGCCAAACCTAACACTAGGAGTTGCCCAGGAATTGGAGTTCTTGTGTTGTAGGCTGTCTTTCAAGTTTACCTAGTACGCCAGAGAATTTTAGCCCACAGTGGAAAGGCTTGTTGAGAAACTCAAATTCTGATCACTGGGATGGGTGAATCCCCTTTGACTAAGGTGAGTCCAAATGCTCCCTACATGCACAGCCACTGGCTGAGCCCAGCAAGAGTTCATTCTCTGCTGTGACAGGGCAGCACTGAGTTCAATGTATTGTCCCACAGAGAGTGTCACTGCACTCTCCCCAAAGTGCACAGATTCTTTCTCCTTACTACTCAGCTGTTGCCTAGACATGAGGGATGGGTGGCATCAGTGATTCAAGACTATCTCTCTTGTCCTCCCCCACGCCTCCTTTAGCTATATGAAGTTAAAACTAGAAAGTATGATTGCTCACCTGATTTTTGTTTGTTGTGACGGTGTGATGGTGCTTTTCTGTGTGCAAATGGTTGTTAAAATTTGGTGTTCCAGTGCGGTGGGGGAGTGGGGATGAACAGTGTAGGCTTCTCTTCTGCCATCGTACTCTGCCCTCTTTGGCTTACATTTTTAATCTTAACCTAAATTATACTTGTTTATGAGTACCTGGTGCAAATTACATATACATATAATTACTACACAAGTTTTAAAAATTGTAAAGTATTACATTGCTTAGATTAACGATGGATTGATTTTGTATCTCTGAACTATCCACTTTGGAGGTATATGTATGAATCAAACTTCCTTTTCACAGGGAATGATACTTATCCAGATACACTTTTAGGAATCATAAAAAATTATTTAACTTTCAACTCTATGTTTATAAAATTAAAAAAAAAAGTTACTTATGCAAGCCAGAATTGCAGAAAAATAATAAAGTTTGCATAGCGACAAATATCTGTGTTCTATAGCTTTTCAAGTCAGGTGAATCATTTACTTAGGAAAATTGATGAATCATGTTTAGAAAAATTCTGAAAGGGAAAATGTGACAAAGACATCATTTTTAAGTGAACAGTTGCTACAGTGTACATATTTTCTATGTAACATGGATATATGCAATTAATTATACCAGAAGGCACAAAAAATGTCTAAATTAGGAAATAGAACCTTCCTTTAGGAAAAGGCAATCAAATGATTTTATCTGTAGTGTTAACACTTCTACTAATAGGAAAATAATACAGTCTTACAAACAAGATGTTATTACTTCACTTTACCTCCAAATATTTAACAGTTCACACTCAACATATATGATCACATGCAACATAATAATATGGAAATTGAAACATCTAGGATGGTGTGTTGGAATTATATACAGCTGTAAAATTGCATGATAATCTTAGTTTTCTGTATTTTTATTCTTTATCTTGGGAATAAAAATAATGCTTTATTTAGAAGATTTGTTTATATAGCAAAAGAAATAGTGAATTAAAAATGATCTATATAACTTTTAGAGTTTCTTTTCTGAAGCAATATATAAATCAATATTTATCCTTCATGAAATTGTAATTAGTCTTAGCAATATTTGTTGATTTTTGATGGTTCCCTAATAATTTCATCTAAAAGAAATTATTTAGTCCCATAATAGTTCAATTATATGGAGCTGAAATACGCAATGAAATTCAAAGTCCCTACAAGTACTCTAGTTTCTATGTAGCTTGTCACTGAAAGTCTCCTATTGAGTTTCTCTATTAGATTTGTTTCTAGGGATGACATCCATGAAGGGAAACAAAATTATTTCAAATAGAATATAAAACATAAGTACTTTGCAAAAATGCATATACATTGACATTTTATGAAATGTAAATAGAAAGAAGACTACATATATTTCATTAAAAAGAGAAAATATTTGAGTTTATATTTTCAATCCTACTGAAATACACCTTAGCATTTTTTTATTATGCTAAAGTCTAGGTAAATAAACAGAATTTTACTGCCATTCATAAACTAGAGCAAGGATATAGAATACGAAACATGGGATATATTAGGTATTTATATATAATGTTGAACAGTATACATGTCTGTATTTGACTCAGCATATATTCTATGTACACATACTTACATGTACAATTTACCACAATACATCATGGATATGTGTATACCTCCTGTTATATTTAATTTAAAAACATAAAATAACATGCTTATAATTCATATGTAAGTTTTTGTTCAGATCTGTGATCTATTATAAAGGAAGTATGAAAGATAAATCCTAAAGAGATGCAGAAGAGAATGGTGAATTCTTACTTAAATAAGCTGATAGAATGTCAAAGCAGAAAATGCATTTTATTTTTAATATGTTTAGCACAATAATACCTTTCAATCAGGCTGTTTCACAATCTTTGGGAAAAACATTAAACAATTAAGAAATTATTCTCTTTCAAGGATTTCCATATTAATCAACACAAAACAGTCAGTTTTTGTTCAAAAACATGCAATATTAAACAACATATTATTTTGTGATATGAATCAACTAGGTACACCTACAATGAATAGCAAATTTCAGTTTGGTTTCTTAGTTGGAGACAAAGGGGATGCAATTGGAGAACACGTATGAAGTTTTTAAGGTATTGACCATGTTCTATTTCTTAATTTGGCTTGTAGGTACATCATTGTATTAATTAAGATAAAGGCTAAGGTACTGTACTATGACTAAAGCTAGAGTTAATTTATATCTCATATAACAGTTCAAAGGCAGGCAGGGCCTTACACAATTATGGTCTATGTAGATTCTTAAGGTAATTCAGTGGAATTTTTATCCTTGTTTCCCTATGCACAATTTTCCCCCTCCCTGTCTTCTTTGAATATTTTCTTTCCCTAGTTTTCAGCAGTTTAACTATGATATGCTTACATATGTGTTGCTTCATTTGTTCTGTTTCATGGTTCACTAAGAATCTTTAATCTCCACGTTTGTGCTTTGCATTATATTTGGCAGAATTTTGAAGCCTAAAAAATACAGTTTGAAAAGCATTCATCTAGATCATCCATTTCATTTTTAAAAATTTGGAATAAATATACCTAGAGAGGTAAGTAACTGCCTACTCAAGACTAAATAGAAAACATCCTAAGTTCAAGGCACAAAAAATGAGATATTTGGCTTAAATTTAAAATTAAAAGAGCTGAACCTTTTTTGAAGGTTTGAACCTAATTGAACCTGCCCAATTTTTCCATAAAACTAATCTTTACTTCTTCTTAACAAGGTCTCACTCTGTCACGCACGCTGGAGTGCAGCAGCACAATCATAGCTCACTGAATCCTTGGACTCCTGTGCTTACACAATCCTCCTGCTCAGCCTCCTGAGTAACTGGGACTACAGGCCTGCCACAGTGCTGAGCTAATTATTTTTTTTAATTTTGTAGAGATAGGGTCTTGTTGTGTTGCCCAGGCTGGTCTCAAACTCCTCCCGCAATCCTGCTGCCTCAGCCTCCCAAAGCTCTAGGATTACAAGCTATTTTTAAAAATAATCATAGAAATTGACCCTGCAAGGTCTTAAAACTTGAAAGGTGCATTGGTCTCATTTGAGTTCCTTCTTGAGAAAACTAATCCTCAGGCATAGAATGGAAACTCATCAGATGACCACATCCAGGCCCTGAGACATCAGACCTCTTATCCATAATTATTGCTTCCTTATCCTTCCCTAATTTCCTGCCTTCCTCACTATTATAAACCCCCCAATTTTACTCAGTTGGATGATGGATTTAAGACTATGTCCCTTTCTCCTCAGCTGCAGCACCTGGTTAAAGCCTCCTACCCTGACAATACTCATTGTCTCTGTGATTGGCATTATGTGCAATGAGCAGCAGAACCTAGATTGAACCCCTAGTGTTTTAGTAACATAATTGAGTTAATAAGACATTGTAGGATGAAGAGAAGAAAGGAGAGTGTAGAGTCACTAAATCAACTATTCCCAAACCATCCATATACAATGTAGTGCAGTAACCGGTAATTTCAGAATAACTCTTTACTTAATTTAAATTAACTTTAGTAACTGTAATGGCTTAACTTTGATATTATTCAATGTTATGGGTCTTTTAGAAGATAATGATCCTGTCCTCTTTAAGCAGACAAATGATTAATTTATCAAGATATTCAGTCACATGTATTTTCATTACCTTCAAAAATTAAATTTATTTTCATTAAGCATGTAAATAAGAGGAAAAGAATGAAAAAGGACAGGATAAAAAAACATTTATCACCACTTAGAAAATGTGGTATTATTGTTTTCATTCATACAGCAATACCAAAATATAGTGCAGTCTAATTTGAACTTTAAAAAGAACACTGTCTGCATTTCAGAGAATGAACTAGAGCACAGCAGTACTGCAGGCAAGACAACCAGTTGGAAGCTGTTGCTGAAATCAATGATAGATACGGGGATTTGTTGAAACATTCTTAGTGGTCTCATGGATAAAGCTGGTAGAATCAAAAAATATTAAAAATAATCCAAAGGATTTAGTTACCACATTTTCTAATACTGTATTTAGACATAACTCTAAAAAAACTGAGAAATTACTATGTTTAGTAGTTGATATGGTTTGGTTCTGTGTCCCCACCCAAATATCACCTTGAATAGTAATAATCCCCACATGTCACGGGAGGGACCCAGTGGGAGGTAATTGAATCATGGGGGTGGGATTTTCCCATGCCATTCTCATGATAGTGAATAAGCCTCATGAGATCTGATGGTTTTATAAAGGGGACGTCCCCTGCACATGCCCTCTTGCTTGCCGCCATGTAGGACATGACTTTTTTCCTCCTTCGCCTTCTACCATGATTGTGAGGCCTCCTCAGCCATGTGGAACTATGAGTCCATTAAACTTCCTTTCCTTTATAAATTACCAAGTCTCAGTTATGTCTTTATTAGCAGTGTGAGAATAGACTAATATAGTAGTGTATATACTCGTCATAATTATCTGAAAATTAAGTATTTTCTGAAAATGGATAATATATTTTACTAATGTTTATAGAAATGTGACCAACATTTATTCATTCAGATAAAGATTATTCTCATTTTTGAGGTGACTTAGATTAAGGTATTTTATTTTCTGTCAGAAGAGCAACCATTGAGGATGAATTAAGGCTTGACTATTACAATATTATAGTTAGAAGATGAAACTTCTGTTCAATGATAAAAAATACTTATATATCTATAGTTTTAGTTAACCAGGCTAACTAACAAAACTGTTTGCATTACTAATATTTTGTTAGTTTTCACAATTTAAGCCTAAATTTTGAAAGCACCACTGCTTTTGGTAGGCTAGCTCAGGTTCTTGTCTTTGCCACCCTAAAGAATTTGAAGGTGACAATAAAGTGAAGGTGTAAAAGATTTATTGCAGAGTGAAAGCAAGTACACACTCAAGAGAGGAGTTCAGAGGAGTTCAGAATGAGCCATGTGCAACATGGTCAGGACTCATATCACATATTGATAAGCATAATGCAGCCATGAAATATTATATAATAAGGGAAGGTGTTTTCTGGAAAATGAGCAGGTAATTCCTGGAGTCAGGATGCCACTCTTTGTTGTTGTTGTTGTTGCTTTTGTCGTTGTTTGACTAAATATGGTTAATCCAGAACTGTCATGGTGTCAGGTGCAGGATGGGAGTGGGAGGCTTCCCCATGGAATTTTTATGTTAACAGAAACATAATGCAGCTGAGGGTAAACAGTTGTTCAAGATTTTGGCCATCTTGGATTTAACCAGTTGTGGCCAGTTTCTGCTTTGTTACATTCTTATCTGTGCCTAAAGTAGGATGTTTGCAATCTGTCTTCATTGTTGTGACCTATTGTAACAGTTCCCTTCTACTAAGGGATGGATTTATGTTCTAACCTGTTTGGCTCTGTTCGTGTTGCTTTGAGCCACCTGAAAGTACTTATGTTCCATTTTCTCACCAATTTGCCCACCTCAATATGAATAATTTTTCTTCAGTTTAAAAAATAAAATCACCAGGTGTATTTGTTGAAATTACTTCCCCAAGCTGCTTCTTAAATATTTGCTGATGTGATGAAGTATTTTATTAAGGTTGCTTACTTTACTGACTTAAAAAAGAGCAAAAGAAGTGACTGGATAAATTCTAATATGTTTGTCTTCTTGAAACTCAACTTATAGCAATCAAATAGATTTATGTGTGATTGTATTTATAGAAAGAAAATGAAAGAAAAAAACTATGACCAATAAACGTTAGAAAGCTAATGTCATAAATTTCTATTTCTGGTAATAGAGTTTAACCAAACAAGTGGACTTATTCTACCACTAAAAATAACTAAAAATGTCAGAACAGTAAAGTTTTACCAGTATTCTCAAACACATCAAATATCTGTTAATACGATAGAACCTTATCAGGTCACATTTAAAAAGAGGCTGGAAACAAAGTGCTAAGAAAAACGCTAAAGCCGCTTTTACCCTGAGGACTTTTGCCTGAACTAGAGACTTGGAGTTTTTAACTGTATGTTCCTATGGGTCAATGAGAATGAAAGACGAAGACTATGTTCCAGCCAAGTTTGGAAATTTAATAGCAGATCTTTCCCCATCAATCTAGGATTCAAAAGGACTATCTCATGAATGTAAATATAAATCAGAATTAAAAGCAAATGCCCACGACTTCAGTCATAGAGAATAGCATAAAAGTACGATTGTTTTTCAGAGGAATAAGGCAGAAAAAAACTACTGCATAAATGCAATTAAAAGTTTGCCAATCACATGCAACAGATCACCTGGGTGCTCCAAAACGTTTAAATAAATACAATTAATTTAAAATAGCCCTAGATCTCTGGCATCTTCAGGAACAAATGAAAATATTCTGTGAGAGAACACAGCTTCAGCCCAGGCCTCAGTGATTCTCCACAACTAATTTTCCCCAAAAATGTACAATTCAAAGTTAAAAATAAGTAAGAAGCAGCCAAACAATATAAGGTATATATAGATCCTTAAAGGCATCATATATAAGAATCATCAAATATAACACTTAAAATAAACATATTTAACATATTTAAAGACATAAAAAGTTTGAAAATGTCTTTAGTAATAGAAAAATATTTATTAAAATATTTAGGAGATAAAATCTAAATTTTAATAAGAAATATTTCAATATTTGAAATTTAAAGGAAAATAGGTAAGATCTGCACTTGCATGGTGCTCAGCCTAATCACCAACACACAGGAAATTGACTATTGTCTATGAAAGCCATGTTGCAATGGGGTGATGGGATTTTCCTCTCTGGAAAATTTGGTCACAAATCAACAACAATAAAAGCAATTGGAAAAATTACTTAAAACCACAAAAATACCAAAAGGAAATGAAACAACATCAAACAATCTTAATCTGAAATGAAACAAGTCAAGACGGCTTTACAGATTTAAATAAAATAAAAAGTTTTAGAGCATCATGACAGATTCAGAAGCTCAGGTATAGGTCACGAATCCTGATAACAAAAAACAAAAATTGTCACCATGCCTTACATATTTTACATGTATTAATGAAATGAAGCATCACCTATGTTGTGGCTGTACCGCTTTCAATGATATACAAATTACATGTACCATTCAGAAGATCCATTTTAGTAATAACTATATGCCAAAAAGTTATGTGATGCAATACTTTAAAGAGATATTGATAAGGAAGATTTTGTCAATCAATCTTTCCTCTGTTACTTCATAAGACTACAATACCACTTGTATATCATCTATATGAGGAATATCTCCCCTTCTTACTAAATATGTCACTATTCTAGAGTTTGCAACTCAAAATAGGATTCTAGTACCAATAGAAACAACAGAAGCAATTCTCATTTCACCAGAAAAAGTTTGATATATTTCCAGACCAGTAGCATTATGAGAAATTCATAAACACTCACCAACCCCTTAAGCACCAAAAGGCCATGGAATTGGTGATTGGTGATAGTTACTGAGTCTTGTTTTACATTCTTTTCTAAAGAGACGTTTGCAGCAGCAACCTTTTTTCCTTTTTCTTTCTTTTTTTTTTTTTTTGGTCTTTAAAGTCTCACCTAGAAGCATTTGTTAACTGCAACAACTAATAGTGTCATTTTCTCAATGATTCCTTTTTCTTATGGAAGACTATTAAATGCCATGTTGAGCATTTTATTCTTTGTTCAAACTGATGTTGTAAATACATGTACAGTTGCAATTTGGTAGATAATTTTCATCTTTACCCAAGGTTATAAAAAATAATTTGAGACTACCAGTTTGAGCCAAGATGAAATAACAGGGGTTAGATTTAACCTGAAACAACTAAAATGCAGAGCAATATATAGGAAACAACAGGTCTCAAGACATGAAACTTCAGATAATGAAGGACTGTGATCTCTGAGAAAAGGGAAGCAAACAAGATGAGCCCTGTTATTGCTCCTTCTTACTGTATTAAGGGAGTTTTTAGGCCTACACTTTTCAGGCACAGAATCTAGACAGAGCATAGCAGCCTTCCTGAACTGAACAGACATAATTGAGAGTCTGAGAAAACCAAGACAGCTACAGTTTGAGAAAGAGGATACCATACAGGAAAGAAATACACAGAAGTCAAATTGCAGAGACACAGACATTCTGATCACTGTGTACATGTGATGAAACTATAAGAGGCTGGTGAAAGAAGTATAGAAAAGATTAGCAGAAGAGGTTTCAGAGCTTATGCAGTGCTAGGAACAATAACTTTCAACCAGTGAAATTAAAGACTTGATATTTCACAAGGAATTCATTAGAGCACCCAGAAGAGGGGTCTTGCCTCCATAGTGGTAAATAATTTGCCCCAGACTAAAGGCTGCACTGGTCTTGCCTAACATACATTAAATTCAAGAACCAAAAGCACCAAACTATCTCCTAGTGACTTAACTATGAATCAGAACACAGCTCAAGACAATTAAAAGAATACAAAATTACCTAGCATCCCAAAATGTAAAATTTATAATGTGTGGCACCCAATAAAAAATTATCAAGTATGCAAAAAATGGAAAAATAAATAAATCTGGATGAAGAAGAAAGTGAATCAATTTAAACTAATCCAGATTTGAAATAGATATTAGATTTGACACACAAAGACATTAAAGCAGTTACAATATTGGAATTTGAAATTTTCAAAATGTTAAGTAAAACCCGGAAAGTTATGGAAAACATTCATCTCTTTCATTTCAAGACACAAAAACAACAGTGTATTAGATTAATATTATACTGGAGTCTTCTAATGGAAGATTAGACATTTGAGGACTAAGCTCGAACTTTTTATCTTGCCCAAATTCCTACCTAAGGTGTCTAGGGAGTCATGCCCTACAAAACATAAATTCTCAGCAAATGGGTTTTAGTTGACCCTATATATAGTGAGTTACTTTTCAGTTTGACTCTGGCATAACATTACAAGACAAGGAAAAAACATTTAACCCTAAAATATATTTTCTTGCCATACCTTGAAATTGCCCTGCAAAGTCTCTTGTGGGAAAAATCCACAGCCTATAGAGAATCCCCTTTCCCCTTTGTCCTTCCTTTCCAGATCCAGAAGATAATCAACTAAGAGCCAGACACTCTTTTAGGTCTAATAAAGATTTTACAACCTGCTGTCTCTCTGAAGTCTGCTATCTGAGAAATTTCTCTGCACAATAAATCTTGGTCTCCACAATCCTTTATCTTAACCTGAACATTCTTTTCCATTAATCCCAGGTCTTCAGATAAACTCAACCAATTGTCAACCAGAAAATGTTTAAATTTACCTATAGCCTGGAAGCCTCCTGCTATGAGTTGTCCTGTCTTTCTAAATCAACCAATGTATTTCTTAAATGTATTTGATGCCTTATGCCTTCCTAAACTATACAAAACCAAGCTGTACCCTGACCATCTTGGGCACATGTTCTCAGGACCTCCTGAGGGCTGCGTCATGGGCCTTGGTCACTCATATTTGGCTCAGAATAAATCTCCTCAAATATTTTACCGAGTTTGACTCTTTTCGTCGACCTCCACATCTTGTCCCACTGGATAGTTTTTAGGGCCAAGAACACACCTGGAGCTGTCATCTCCTATGATAACAATGCCTTCTGGAATTCTTTCTGAAGGACCTGCTTGAGACTGTTTTACAGCTATTTTGTTATAAATAGAAGGAATACGCTCCAAAATAATGATAAAAAGTATAGTATAGTTAATACATAAACTAGTAATATAGTTGTTTATTATCATTATCGAGTATTATATACTATGCGTTATTGTATTTGGTATACTTTTATATACCTGGTAGACCAACAGGTTTGTTTACACCAGCATTACCACAAACATGAGTGATTTGTTATGCTATGACATTATAATGGCTACGATGTCTCCAGGTGATAGGAATTTTTCAGCTCAATTATAAACTTAGGGGCCACCATGGTATATGCTGCCCATTGTTGACCAAAATGTTGTTATGCAGTGCATTACTGTATATATATTTTTTGAGCCATTCTAATAGAAGTATTGATTATATGTATTTTCTATGAAAACTACATTGCTTTTTTTATATTTTAGTGCTAGAAGAGGAAGTGACTAATATTATTCCTTGTATGCCAATATTAGATAAAATTGGTCATTGCATTATCTTTACGTATATATCCGAAATAACATTCTCTTTTTTTTTTTTTTTTTTTCAGACGGAGTCTCTCTCTGTCGCCCAGGCTGGAGTGCAGTGGCGTGATCTCAGCTCACTGCAACCTCTGCCTCCTGGGTTCAAGTGATTCTCCTGCCTCAGCCTCCCCAGCAGCTGGGACTACAGGCGCCCGCCACCACGCCCGGCTAATTTTTTGTATTTTTAGTAGAGACGGGGTTTCACCGTGTTAGCCAGGATGGTCTCGATCTCCTGACCTCGTTATCCGCCCCTCTAGGCCTCCCAAAGTGCTGGGATTACAGGCATGAGCCACCGTGCCCAGCTCCGAGATAACATTCTTTACATTGTGTTCATTCATTAAGCTCATTTCTTTCTGGCCTTATCCGTATTTCTTTCGCAGCTGTTCTTCAAACTGAACACTTCCCAAATGATTGTTATGCATCTACTTTTATTTTATTTCCGGTATCAGTACAATTGAAACAAGAGAAACCAGATCTTCTTCAAAAAAATATCTAGAATCTAATACATGACTGAATGAAATATATTCAACATTTTCCTATTTTGTGCAAAATTCTCCAGTTTGTATTTTGATATTTTTAACACTATTCAGACTACACACATAATATGACTCTAAAAAACTGATACCAATTTTCCAGAAAAAAAGCAAAAATTCTCCTTGGTCCTTTAGAAGCATTCATCAGTACCAATTATTTGAAAATATTAAAGTGGTAGATTGGTTATTAAGACAGAAGCAAGTCTTTCACTTTACACAGATCAAACTAACTGAAGCTTCTTTAAAAAGTTTTCTGTATCAGATCAGCACACATTCACATCTGTCAAAACTTGACATTCCTTATCAGGAAATATTCAGAGAAAATTTGCTTTTTGTTCTCTTGTGTGAAGTTCCTCACTTCTTCTTCCATTTATCTGGCATATGTTGAGGCCCTTTGAAACATGTCACACCATTTTTTCTAGAAAATGACTATTTTTTCTATCTGAACGGATATGAAAATTTGCAAATGTTCAGTACTTATTTTATTGGTGTTTGTTTTAAGCAAACATATTTACCCAAATATTTGTGATAACAATATTCAAGTTTTCCACAAGCTTTAAAACTGATTTTAATTGTATTTGCATGATTGATAATTGCTTATTGCCCCCAAAAGTTTAATGTAAATCTTAATAGGCAGTAAAATTTTATTCAACACTCTTAAGCAAAATATAGAAAATAAACCCAGAAATAATTAAGTTTCATGACGATATCAAAGAATCTTGACATACAATATCTTAATTGCAAGTATAGTAATCTGCATTCAGACAAAGGAGATAGTATGTCTGCCTATTAGACATCTAAGAACTATTTTTGAAAGACTTGAAATTAAGTTTTTTAGCTTTCAATGATTTACTTCAATTCAAACAAACTAGCATAATTCGTTAGAGCCCTTTTAATAATGAATTATGTTAATTACAAAGTAAAATATGGTTGCCACTAATTTATGTATAATTAATTTCTTCCTTTAACAGTGGCAATAGGTTCTCTAGTCATATCTACATATAGAGCGAGTGAATCAATTGTATGTAATGAAAAATTCATTCTAAAAATTATACCAGTTTCTTTCTGCCAAACTGATGCTAAATCAGCAATTTAGCCAAATCAGTATTATTGAAATTCTCCTCTGCTGTGGCCATCCTTTAGTGAACACTCACAAGGGACACAAATATTTTCACTTTTTTTGTCCAGTGAGCGAGGTCTGTCCACATATATCCTCCCCAAATTTCCTTGTCATCAATTATTTAATCACGTCCCTTCAAAGTCCCTGACCATCCAGACATTTCTCTTTTCAAAATAAGTAAACAACCAACTTTATGGCTCAATGTTCTGCAAACTGGTAGGTTCTTTCTTTTACTACCGTCTTTTAGGGATGGCCCAGAAATAAGCTCTAGTGCTGTAGCTGTCTGCTTTTGGATAGTGTCTGAATATTTTGCAGAACCATTTGAAACCAGAGCTAAATCTTCCCTTCTGTCAACTGATCGTAGGAAATTCCCTGAGAGGCCATAGATACAGGTTGGGAGAGAGTAGGCTACGTAGCAGGAACAGGGACCATGTGCATTTGGTCCACTTCATGTAGCTTACTTGTGCCCTCAGGACCTGTCTCAGCTTGATCATATAAATACCACTTCCATTTGATGTTAGAATACTACAGTGCATGCCCAACTTCATAGCTTGGTAGGTAAGATAATGTCCTCCTCTTTTTTTTTTTTTTTTTTTTTTTTTTTTTTTTTTGAGACCGAGTCTCTTTCTGTCACCCAGGCTGGAGTGCAGTGGCGTGATCTTGGCTTACTGCAACCTCCCCCTCCTGAGTTCAAGTGATTTTCCTCAGCCTCCTGAGTAGCCGGGACTACAGGCACACACCACCATGCCCAGCTAAATTTTTTGTATGTTTAGTAGAGACGGGGTTTCACCATGTTGGCCAGGCTGGTCTCGAACTCCTGACCTCAGGTGATCCGCCCACCTAGGCCTCCCAAATTGCTGGGATTACAGGCGTGAGCCACTGCGTCTGGCCCTGTAATGCCCTCTATATTGTGGGAAGCTCAAGTCCCATGGTAACCTGATGGCCCATGGTATAAGCCTTCAGCTTCTACTAAAGCCTAGTATCAGAAAAATTGCTGTTTTTCTCCTCTCCTTTCTCCTTTTTCTCCTTTCTCCTTTCCTTTCCTTTCTTTCCTTTCTTCTTTCCTTTCCCCTTTTCTTTCTCGTTCTTCTTTTTTTTTCTTTTTCTTTTTTTCAAGCTCTCGCTCTGTCACCCAGGATGGAGTGCAGTGGCACAATCCTGGCTCACTGCAGTCTCCTGGACTCAAACCATCCTCCTGCCTCAGCTCCCTGAGTAGCTGGGGCTACAAGCACATGCCACCATGCCCTGCTAATGTTTGAACTTTTTGTAGAGTTGGGGTTTTGCCATATTGCCCAGGCTGGTTTTGAACTCCTGGGCTCAAGTGATCTGCCCACCTCAGCCTCCCAAACTACTTGGATTACAGGTGTGTGCCACTGCACCCTGTCAAAAATAGCTGTTTTTTTTTTTTTTTCAAAAGAGGAGTAGATATCCACAGAGGATGGCATGGCTTTGCTGAAAATCCTAAGGGTATGTACTATGAGGCAACTATAGGTATCTGCCAAAGATTTCAAATGGCATCCCTATCTGCCAACGAAACTTTAAGGATTATTGGATGTGCTAGATCATATGACTCAAGTGGCAGAGTAGCTTGCACAGCAGCCCAGACCTGTTGCAGTGACTTCTTGGGCCCTACTCAAAACTATCAGCTTCTCGTGTCATTTGGTAGATGAGCTAGAGTAACATATCAACATGATTGATATGATTCCTTCAAAATATCTCCAGAGATGCAGTATTGTTTTTAGTATACTATCTTCCTGTGAGGAATCTGTTCTATTAGCTTCCACTTGCCCTTTCCCACCATAACATTACCCCACTCCACAGTTCAGGATAGCAATGTATGGATTCTGCCAGATGCTGAGTGTGCCTACTCTAAATATGCATTCAGGAACTGGGGAAATGACCACTGGATGATTTCAGGAACACACAGGGCTCAATGTAAGATGAACCTGAGCTAAAACTCCACTGATTTCCTGACCATTACAAGCCTCCACTTTGACTAGTGGCCTATAGTAATGTTTTGCGTCTCCTGGAATTAGTGCCAGCTCAGAGCCAGTGTCCCTGAAAGATAGTATTATTTCCTTTTCCCCAAATGCACACTTACACTGGTGAAAGACTGTAGATCTCTTTAGGGAAGGCTGAGAGAAATTAACAGTATGTATTTTTGTCAATGTACTAAGGACCCAGCCACCCGTTCATTCAAGGTGTTCTGGGACTATTAACATAGAGAATAAGCCAATATCAAAATTACATTACAAGGGAAAATACTACCATTTCATTTCCTACTCTAGACCTAGAATCTTTTAACAAACCATTGTAGTGGTTATTTTGTTTGGTTTTGGTTCTGTTTTTGTGAAGCAGATTCTCAAAGTAAGACACACTCACTGTAGAAATGTGGAAGACACATTATGCATTTCAAAGATAATCACTACTCTGATTTTCAAAATTTTAATACCTTTTCAAAAAGTATTTATAAAAATTAACTATTAATATTTGCACATATGTTTAGAATATACAATTTAGAGCAACTAATTTCAAATAGATTCCTTTTTAATTCATGGTTTTTAAATTTAATAATTATTTTTAATCTAAGATTTATTTAATAGATTGAGTCCTCAGATTATGTAAAAAGTTTCATTAGATCTAGACAATTTTTGGTAAACAATCTCAGGTCTGTGCTTCTGGAAATTCAGAACTATAAAGAAGTTAGTACACTGATAGCCTTTAATTATAATCTTTGCTAAATTTTAAGAGGAACTTATAATTCACACAACAAAAATGGATTGTGGAAGTAAAAATAAAATGTGTCAGAAGTCATAACCTAGCAAGCTCAATTTGGAGTGTTCCCTTCTGATTCTGCCAGTTATTTTTCTTTCCATAAAGAAGAAAAATAAACACTTTCTATGGCATGTAGTTTTCTACTCCGTATAGTTTATCATCTAAGATCCCATAAGCAACAGTAGAGTATCTTCAGAGCTGTGGCACCCTCAAGTCTGCATGTATTCTTTGTCTAATCAGGACAGGAAGGTTTTCTTTTTTCTCTGTGACTCCTCTTATCATTACTTGTCTCAATATCGGAAGTCCAGCAATAACGTAAATATGTGGTAGAAATAAATAGTCAAGATTTAACTTTAGTTACTGAGTTTTGGCATGGTTTGAACTTAGAGTTCTACTTTACTTGTAGGAAAATGGTAGAATTCCAGGAAGAGAATTAGGTAAATGTACACATAAAAATCTAATAAATATTCTGAAATACATACATACATATATACATATATATGTATAAAGGTATTCTGGTATCTTTTGGATTTTTTATTATAGTAAAATACACATAACATAAAATTCACAATTTTAACCGTTTTCAGTTGTACAGTTTTTGGCACAGAGTATATTCACATAATTATGCAATCATCACCATTGTTCATCTTTAGAACTTTTTTATCTTCAAAAACTGAAACTCTTTACCAATTAAACAATAATTCTCAATTCTGCCTTTCTCCAGCCACTGGAAACCACCATCCTACTTTCTTCCTCAATAAATTTGACCACTCTAGGTATCTCCAATAAGTGGATTCATGCAATCAATATTTGTGCTTTAGTGTTTGGCTTACTTCATATAGCATAATGTCTTCGACATTGTGCTATATATGTTGTATGTTTGTAACATGTATCAGAGTTTCCTTCCAGTGGATATGTATGTATGTATATAACAAATATGGTTTATCCATTCATCTGGTGATGGATATTTGGATTGTTTCTACCTTTGGGCTTTTGTAAAGAATGCTTCTGTGAACATTGGCGGACAAATATCTGTGTGAGTCCCTGCTTTAATTCCTTCGGGTATGCAACCAGAAGTAAAATTATTGGATCAAATGTTAATTCTATGCTTAATTTTTTGAGACTTTTTTTGTCAAAAATCATTTGGTCATATATATAAGAGCTTATTTCTGAAATCAGTATTTTATTATACTTGTCTATGTTTTGGACTTTATGTCCATACCCCACTGTTTTGAATACTACAGCTTTGTGGTTAATTTTCATATTAGGAAGTGTGAACCTTTCAAATTGTTATTCTTTTTCAAGCTTCTTTTGGCTATTCAAGGTCCCTTGAAATTTCGAATAAATTTTAGAATGAGTTGTACTGTTTCTGCAAAAGTGTTGGGATTTTGACAAGTATTGCATTGAAGCTGTAGATCTTGTTTTGATTATATTAACATTTTAACAATATTTTCTTTCAATACATGAACATGGATGTCTTTCTATTTATTTGTGGTTGATTTATTTGACCAATGTTTTGTAGTTGTTAATTTAAATGTCTTTTGCTTCATTGTTTATGTTTATTCCTAAGTATTATATTCTTTTTGATGATCTTGCAAATTGTTTTTTTTTCATAATTTCCTTTTTCAATTGCTTAATTTTAGTGTAGAGGAACATAACTGATTGTTCATGTTGATTTTAAATCCTGTAAATTTGCAAGATGTAAAATTTGTTTAAGTGCAACAGTTTTTTGTGGGTTCTTTAGGATTTTCTACATATAAGATCATGTTATCTGTGAACAGAGGTAATTTACTTCTTTCTTTCCAATCTGGATGTGTTGTATCTTTTTTTTTTAATTTTTGCCCAATTTCTCTGGCTAAAACTTCTAATACTATGTTGAACAGAAGTAGTGAAACCAAAAATCTTTGTTTCTGATCTCAAAGAAAATGCTTTAAGCTTTTCACTACTGAATATAATGTGCACTTTGGGGTTTTTTCAGCTATGGCTTTTATGATATTTAATTAATTTTTTCTAGTCCTAGTATGTTGAATGTTTTTATCTGAAAAAGATGTGGAATTTTGTCATATGCTTTTTCTGCATGAAGTAAAATGATCACATGGTGTATACCTTTCATTCTGCTAATGTGAATGAGTTCCAAATTGTCATGTTGTATAATATTTTAATAGGCTGTTAAATTAAGTTTGCTGGTATTTTTAAAGAATTTTTGTATAAATATTTTTAAGGGATTTTGATCTGTAGTTTTCTTTTCTTGTAATATCTTTGTCTGTCTTTGATTCCAAGGTAATGCTAGTTCCAAGAATGGGTGCTGACGTGTTCCATCTTTTTCAAGGTTTTGGAAGAGTCTGAGAAGAATTGTTATTAATTCTTTAAATGTTTAGTAGAATTGATCAGTGAATCCTTCTGATTCACGTCATCACTTTGCTGGGAAGATTTTGATTACTGATTTGTTCTCCGTACTACTTATCATTCTATTCAGATTTTCTATTTCTTCATGATTTGGTCTTGTTATATTATGTGTTTCCAAGAATTTATCCATGTCATCTAGTTTATCCAATGTGTTGGTATACCGTTGTTCACAGTACTCTCTTATAATCCTTTTTATTTCTGTGATATTGGTAGTAATATCCCATTTTCATTTATGATTTCAGTAATTGGCATCATTCCTCTTTTATTGTTAGTGTAGCTAAAGCTTGTCAATATTGTAGAACTCTTTGAGGATCAACTTTTTGGTTCTGTTGATTTAATTTATTGTTTTTATATACTCTATTTATCTCTGCTGTAGTCCTCTATTACCTTATTAATGTTAGTCTGGTTGTTTTATTCACTATTGCAAATGAGATAATGAAGTCTCTGACTTACTGTGAGCTGTGAATTTCTATGTTTCATTATGTCAATGTTTCCTTCATACATTTTCAAGCTCTGAGTTTTGGTGTATATATGTTTATAATTTTTATACCTTTTTGGTGATTTGACTCTTTTATCAAAGTATAATATTTTTCTTTGGCTCTTATACCAGTTTTTGATTTAGAGTTTATTTTGTCTAAAATAAGTATAGCCGCCCCTGCTCTCTTTTGTTTACTATTTGCATGTTATATCATTATTTATTTTTTTCAACCTACTCATCTTTTAGATCAAAATTATCCTCTAGCAAACTGCGTATAATTTAATCCATTTTTTAATTCATTCTGCAAATGTATGACTTTTGATTGGGGAATTTAACCCATTTATCATGAAAGTAATTACTAATATAGAAAGACTTACTTTACCTTTTTTATTATTTATTTCTTTTCTGTATGTCATATCTTTTTTTTTACCTTATTTCCTCCATTAGTACCTTCTTTGCTATTCAGTTGATTTTTTGTAATAACACACTTTTAATTTTTTTATTTCCTTTTGTGCATATTCTATAGATATTGTTTGAGGTTACCATGAGAGTTATGTATAACATCCAAAGTTACAACAATCTATTTTGAATTGATAACAAGTTAGTTAATTGATAGCAAATCACTTTCTTAGTTAAGTTAATTCCTAGGTGTTTCATTTTATTTGTAGCTATTGTAAATGGGAGTACTTTTTATATTTTTCTCAGATTGTTCACTATTGGTATATTGAAAAACTACTAATTTTTGTATGTTGATTTTGTATCCTACAACTTTACTGAATTTGTTTTTTGTTGTTGTTGTTGTTGAGACAGAGGTTTGCTCTATCACCCAGGCTGGAGTGCAGTGGCGCAATCTCGGCTCACTGCAAGCTCCGCCTCCTGGGTTCACGCCATTCTCCTGCTTCAGCCTCCCAAGTAACTGAGACTACAGGCACCTGCCACCAAGCCTGGCTAATTTCGTTTTGTAGTTTTAGTAGAGACGGGATTTCACCATGTTAGCCAGGATGGTCTCGATCTCCTGACCTCGTGATCCGCCCGCCTCGGCCTCCCAAAGTGCTGGGATTACAGGCGTGAGCCACTGGGCCCGAACTGCTGAATTTGTTTATCAGTTCTAAAAGTTTTTTTGTGATGTCTTTAGGTTTTTCCAAATATAAGATCTTAACATCTGCAGACAAGGATAATTTGATTTCTTTCTTTCCAATTTGGATTCCACTTATATCCTTCTCTTTTCTGATTGCTCTAGCTAAAACTTCTAGTACTAGGTTGAATAATAGTGGTGACATTGGGCATGTTTGTTATTTTCCAGATCTTAGAGGAAAAACTGTCAGTTTTTTCACATTTAGAATGATACTGTGAGTCTGTCTTACATGGCTTTTATTATGTTGAGATATGTTCCTTCTATCTGCAGTTTTTGGAGAGCTTTTATCATGAAAGGATGTTGAACTGTCTAAAATGCTTTTCCAGCATTAATTGAAATGGTCATATGTTTTTGTCCTTCATTCTGTTGATATGATGTATCACATCGATTGATTTGCATATGTTGAACCGTCTTTGCATCCCAATGATAAATGCCATTTGGTCATTATGAATGATCTTTCTAAAACATTGTTGAATTCCATTTCCTAGTATTTTGTTGACAATTTTTGCATCAACACTCTTCAGAGATATTGGTCTGTAGTTTTCCTTTGTTGATGTGTCTTTAGTTTTGGTATCAGGGTAATACTGGTTTTATGAAATGAGCTTGAAATAATTCTCTCCTCCTTTATTTTTTGGAACAATTTGAGTAGGATTTATATTAGTTAGTCTTTAAATGTTTGGAAGAATTCAGCAGTGAAGCCATTGGAACACAGGCATTACTTTAGTGGAGATTTTTAATAAGGCTTTTATCTCATTACTTGTTATTGGTCTGTTCATGTTTTGGAATTTTTTACTGTTTCAATCTTGGTAGGTTTCATGTGTCTGGGAATTTGTCAATTTTTTCAAAATTTTTCAAATTATTGCCATATAGTTGCTCATAGTAGCCATTAATGATCTTTTGAATTTCTTCACTATCAGTTGTAATGTCTCATTTTTCAATTAAGATTTTATTTATCATCTCTCATTTTTTCTTAGTCTGGCCAAAGGTGTGTTTTTTTTAACTTTTCGAAAAATCACCTTTTTATTTTATTAAACTCTTGTACTTTTTTCATTTCAATTTCATTTATTTCTGCTCTGATCTTTAATATTAACTTTCTTTCAGTAATTTTGGGTTTGGTTTGTTCTTGCTTTTCTAGTTCTTTAAGATGCATCCTTAGATTGTTTATTTGAAATTATTTCTCTTTTTTGATGTAAGCGCTTATAATTATAACCTTCCTTGTTACTGCTTTTGCTGTATCCTATAGGTTTTGGTATGTTGTGTTTCCATTATCATTGGTTTCAATAATTTCTTTTCTATTTTCTTCTTAATTTCTTTACCCGCTGGTCATTCAGGAACATATTATTTAATTTCCATGTTTTTGTATAGTTTCCAAAATTTCTCCTATTATTAATTTTTAGTTTTATTCTATTGTGATCAGAGAGAAGGCTTGAAATTATTTCAAGTTTTTGAATGTTTTAAGACCTGTTTTGTTACCTAACGTGTTATATCCTTGAGAATAATCCATGTGCTGAGGACAACAATGTGTATTCTGCAGCCATTGGATGAAATGTTCTATAAATATCTATTAGATACATTTAGTCTATGGTGCAGATTAAGTCCAATGTTTCTTTATTGATTTTCTGTCTGTGTAAGACCTGTCATGGAAATCTCCAGCAATTATTGTATTGGAGCCTATCTCACTAGCTGTAATAATATTTGCTTTATGTATCTGGGTCCTCCAGTGTTGGGTGCATATATATTTAAAATTGATATATCCTCTTGCGGAACTGACCCCTTTATCATTATCATTATATAGTGACCTTCTTGTCTTCTTAATGCTTTTGTCTTGAAATCTGTTTTGTCTGAAATAAGTATTGCTAGTCCTGCTCTTTTTTGTTTCCCATTGGTATGGAATATATTTTTCCATCCCTTCATTTTCAGTCTATATGTGTCTTTATAAGTGAGGTGTTTTTCTTGTGAGCAACACATCAATGGGTCTTCTGTTTTCATCCATTTAAAAAGTATGTCTGTTTATTATAGAGTTTAGTCCATTTACATTCAATGTTATTAGTAATAAGTAAGGACTTACTCCTGCCACTTTGTTATTTATTTTCTGGCTATTTTACTGTCCACCCTGCCTTTTCTTTCCTTCCTGTCTTCCTCTAGTGAAAGTAATTTTCTCTGGTGATATGATTTAGTTTCTTGATTTTTAATTTTCTGTGTCTCCATTGTATGTTTTCTGGTTTGAGGTTACCATGGGGCTTGCAAATAATATATTATAACCCCTTATTTTAAGCTGATAGCAATTTCACACTGTTTGCATAAGTAGACAAACAAACAAAAGTAACACTAATAAAACCTCTACATCTTAACTTAATTATTTCACTTTTTAGCTTTTTGTTGTTTCTATTTCTAAGTTTTTAATTTAATTTATTTCTAAGTTTTTAATTTAATTTAATTTAATTTTAATTTAAGAATAGTTTACACAGCACAGTTGCAGTGTTATAACAATTTGTGTTTTTCTGTGTTACTATTCCAGTGACGTTTGTATCTTCAGATGATTACTTATTGCTTACTAACATCCTTTTCTTTCTGATTGAAGTACTCCCTTTAGCATTTCTTGTAGGACAGGTCTGATGTTGAAGGATATTTTTGCCAGATGCACTGTTCTAGGGTAAAAGATTTTTACCTTCAGCACTTTAGATATGTCATGCCAATCCCTTCTGGCTTATAAGGTTCTCACTGAAAAGTCTATGGCCAGACATATTGGAGATTAATTGTATATTATTTGTTTCTTTCTTCTTTCTGCTTTTAGAATCCTTTCTATATCCTTGACTTTTGGGAGTTTGCTTATTAAATGCCTTCAGGTAGTCTTTTCTGGGTTAAATCTCTTGTTGTTCTATAACCTTCTTGTATTTGGATATTGACATCTTTCTCTAGGTTTTGGAAGTTCTCTATTATTATCCCTCTAAAAAACATTCTACCCATAGCACTTTCTCTACATCTTCTTAAATTCCAGTAACTCTTAGATTTACTCTTTTGAAAATATTTTCTAGATTGTGTGGGCATGCTTTATTGTTTTATTTGTTTTGTCTCCTCTGACTGTGTATTTTCAAATAGACTGTCTTCAAGCTCACTAGTTCTTCTGCTTGATAAATTCTGCTATTAAAGGAATCACACATTCTTCAGTATGCCAGTTGCATTTTCCAGCTTTAGAATTTCTGCTTAATTCTTTTTATTATTTTAATATTCTTCCTCAATTTATCTGATAGAATTCTGGACTTCTTCTCTATGATATCATAAATTTATTTGAGTTCCTTCAACACAACTATCTTGAATTCTCTCTCTGAAGGGTCACATATCTGTTTCTCCAGGATTGGTCTCTGGTGCCTTATTTAATTTGTTGGTTGAGGTCATGTTTTCCAAGATGGTGTTGGTGCTAGTAGATGTTCTTTGGTGTCTGAGCATTGAAGAGATAGGTATTTATTGTAGTCTGTATTATCTGGGCTTATTTGTAAACTTCCTTTTTGGGAGGTCTTTCTAGATGTTTGTAATGACTTGGGTGTTGCTATCTATGCTGTAGCTGCTTTAGTGGGCACCCCAAGCCCAGTAATGCTATGCTTCTTGCAAACTTGTAGAGAGGTACCACCTTTATGGTCTTTGACAAGATCCAGGGGAATTCTCTTTATTACCAGGCAGAGATTCTTGTTCTCTTCCCTTATTTTCTCCCAACAGAGTCTCTCTGCTTGTTCTGAGCCACCTAATGCTGGAGGTGGAGCAACACAAGCAATCCTGTGGACACCACCACCACTATAACTGCAATGTGTCAGACCTGAAGCCAGCACAACACTGGATCTCATCTGAGGCCTGCTGCTGTAACCACTCCCTGGCTACTGCCTATGTTTGCTTTAAGCCTTGGGGCTCTACAACCAGCCAGTGGCAAAGCCAGCCAGGCCTGTGTCCTTCCCTTCGGGGCGGTGAGGTTTCCCAGGTCTTAAGTGAATCCAGAGGTGCTGTCTGGGTGTCAGGGACTAGAGTCAAAAACCTTCAAAGTTTACCTGGTGTTCTATTGTACTACTGCTGAGCTGACTGTCAAACCACAAGATGCAGTCCTTCCCACTCTTCCTCTCCTTTCCAAAGGCAGAGGAGCCTCATCCCATAGCCGCCACCAGCCCTAGTATGAGGAGTACTCAGACTACCACAAATATTCCCTTACGGCCCAGGTCTCTTATGTTATGCTGTTTTTTCCAACCTGAGCTTCAAGTTAGGTGAAACAGAGACCAGTTCTGTAAGCAGCCCCCAGACGGGTTGGAATGTTGCAAATAAGATCTGTTCTGCTCTCTGTGATTTGAGAGAGGGATTTTGAACAAGGCTGCTTCTTTTTTCCAGAGAAAAATCACATTGTTCTGTGGAGGAGGTGAAATAAAGTTGAACAAAAATACCATAAAATTTTCTACCAGTTTGAATGTGGCATGTGGCTTTTTCTTTTCTTTTTTTTTTCTTTCTTTTCTTCTTTTTTTTTTTTTTTTTTCAGATGGAGTTTCACTCTTGTTGCCCAGGCTGGAGTACAATGGCGTGACCTTAGCTCACTGCAACCCCCCACTCCTGGGTTCCAGCAATTCTCCTGCCTCAGCCTCCTGAGTAGCTGGGATTACAGGCATGCGCCACCATGGCGGACTAATTTTGTATTTTTAGTAGAGACGCGGTTTCTCCATGTTGGTCAGGCTGATCTTGAACTCCCGACCTCAGGTGATCTGCCCGCCTCGGCCTCCCAAAGTGCTGGGATTACAGGCATGAGCCACCAGGCCCAGCCGTGGCTTTTTCTTAACTGGATGTTTGCTTGATTGCTGTAGGACTTTCACTGAATTTTTTTGAGCAATGTTTTGTACTTTGTCATTTACAAGCCCTTTGCCTCGTTGTTTATATTTATTCATAAGTATTTTATTATTTTTGATGGTCTGTAAATTGAATTTTTTCATAATTTCCTTTTTGAATTGCTCAATTTGAGTGTAGAAAACAAATCTATTTTTTT
This sequence comes from Homo sapiens, assembly GCF_000001405.40. Taxonomy (NCBI): domain Eukaryota; kingdom Metazoa; phylum Chordata; class Mammalia; order Primates; family Hominidae; genus Homo; species Homo sapiens. Next base: position 94,425,704 of record NC_000023.11, read on the forward strand.
GTATTGACGTTACATCCTGCAAATTTGCTGAATTTATTTAAATGTAACAGTTTTTAGTAGTCTTTTCAGAATTTTCCACATATAAGATCATGTTATCTGTGCACAAAGGTAATTTATATCATTTCCAATTTGGATGCCTTGTAACTACAGTTATCGAAGTCAGTCTCTAGTTATTGTTCTTGTTACTGATTTTTTGTGTTTCCAAGAATAATGTGGGACTGAATCACCTACTCTGCCATTTTACTGGTGTCACTCCCTAAATAATTTTTGGAAATTATTATTTTCACACATCTTCAGCTATCATTAGAACTTAATTTTGCTTATTTAGTTGAAAATATATTTTATAGAACCAGAGGGGAAAAATGCAACCAACAAAAACAACAGTAAAAACAGCAAAATTATCTATACTTATCATTGAAAAACTAATTTGATTTTCAAATGTAATGTATATTAAGTAGGTTATTGGTAATTTGAAATTAACGTAATATTTTTGATTTTATAGAATTTCTTAAAGGTCATTATGTTAAGGCACACATTGAAAATAAATAGCTTCATTTTATATTCTAAAAAACTATCATTTGAGATCAAATCCACATAGTAACTCTCTACCTTAAACTTCTCATTTTTAGAAATTCAAAGCCATCCCAGACTAACAAAAGAGTTGATATGCCAGTAAACTAACGTTTTCCTCCTGAACCTTTGAGAGTACATTGCTGATATGATGCCGTCCCATTCTGAATATTTCAGTATTTTCTATAAAAAGGACATTCTCTACTAACCACAACACTCAACATCAAAAAATTTGATATAGATAAATTACTGCTATCTAATGTTTGAATACCATTAGAGATTTTCCAGTTGCCCCCAAAACATATTTTAAAACCCAAGGTTCCAGTTCAGAATGGTACTTTGTATTTTGTTGTCAGATCTCTTTAAGTTTCCATCAATCTCCAATAGTTCCTTAGCCTTTCCATGATTTTAATGATTTGTATACTTTTGGAAATTGCAGGCTAGTTTTTTTAATAGAATGTTTCTTAATGTGGCTAGATCTGATATTTTGTCATGGTTAGAGTTATGTTATGCATCTTTGGCAGCAATATTACATAAGTGATTTTCTTTTCTTATTGCATCCTATCAAGTGTCATATTATTTAAATTTGTTCTATGACCAATAATGTTAACTGCTATCACTTGATTAAGATGATGACTGTTCACTACCCTTTTCCACTGTGGAGGTATTCTTTATTCATCTGTAATTAATAAATATTTTATGGAGAGCTATTTTCAGAATATGTAAATATTCTGCACCAGTCTTGCAATATATTAATGCAGTTTTCTATATCAGTATAAATTTGTGGTTTCCTGTTTTATATGATGAGTTATAATCCATTAGTTATTTTATTATGATGCTAAAATTGACCAAGATTTGGCTGGTGGAAGTCTTTGCAAGCTGGTTTTAGTGGTTTTTTTTTTTGACATGTCAACATCATCTGATGAGCACTTTTTTCTCCTTGCCCAAATTATTGTTCCACCATCATCTTCAACTTTTCCTTCCCCAATCCTATATATATACACACACACACATATATATGATATATACATACATATATGCTATATGTATGTATATATCATATATATTATATATACATGATATACATATTATATATACATGATATACATATTATATATACATTATATATATGATATACATACATATCATATATATCTAGTAACCTGTATGATTCTACCTAGAAAATTGCATGCTTCCATATATTCTCTTTCTCTTAGCTCTTCCAAATTTATTGTTTTTTTTTTTAAAGCTATGAAATGGAGATGAGGGGTAGCAGAGAGATCATAATCTAGATGTAGCTATTTGGTCAAAGCATAAAATGTTTATAGTTAGTAATCACACTTACATAAAATTTGGCTTGTTTGTGCATAGGTTATAAGGACATACAAATGGTTACTTTTGTGGTTCATTTCTATTGCCATTAAAAGATGTACGTGTGCTTCCACAGATGAATTACTTATAAAGATTCAAAGGCAATATAATTTCCAATGATCAAGGAGAACCAATATACAATTAAAAATAAAACTTTTCCCCAAACTTCAAAAATGGTAGAACACACACGTACACACTTACAATCAGAAGTGATGACTCTGACTTCACTTATACAATGTAACTTATTTAGCTGTAAGGTCTGCTTAAGTCAGTAATGGCAATTATTTTGCATGTTCCCTGACACTTCACATCTATAGCCATAGCTCCCATCTACTCAATCATGGCTTTCTTTCCTAATGAGAGTTGCTGTCATTGCACATTTGCTGTCTGCACAGCACTCCAGGCAGCCATTATCAGATGATCAGAGTTAGCATATGTGGCAAAATATATTTACTCTCTTTGGTCTATCAGCTTCAGCCAGGCAGTTTGGTGTTCAGATATTTTGGCTCAGATTATTGCTAGCTTCCAATTCAGCCACAGTAGTCACTGTTGTACAGATGGTTTGCAGGTGTTTGCTTTCTAGGAACCATCTGTTTAGATGCCATAGAATACTAATCTGTGCTTGTTGGTGTGTTTTGTCCTATTATCAGCAAATCATGCGTATGAATGATTTGATTCTTCTATTAGAAAATGAAGCCATTTTAAAACTTAGAAAAGGGAGGTAATGATAGGGAAAAGTATTACTTTATAATTCAACCTTAGAGATAAAGCTGAGTCACAAATTTGGTTTCCTGTTTTTGAGGAGGATAAAGCTGGATGTTGTGAGAAGATGACAGGGTTAAATCAACTGACTTATCTGATTTAAGTCCAATTGTTTTTATAGGGTTACTGTGCTCATTCTAGGGTTATAGCAGAAAAAAGCTAAAGCTAAATAATCTTGCGTACAGGGTAAAAGGCAAAAGAATAATCATGATGATATACGGAAAGTCCTTAATTGTTATTCCAAGATAAATATGTTACTAAAGGTGTATCAAAAATTTTCCTAGATGAACATTTTAGCTAATTTCTGTATTTTAAAGCTACAACTATACCATGAAATGGAACTAAACATTCAAAACTAAAAAATAAATTTCTCTTGGCCAAAGTATCTTCTTTAATAATAGGGAATAACCTTTTTCTTCCTCTCTGCACCTACTATAGTTCTCTACCCAAGGGAGGAATTCATTGTTTCCTGCCTTGTGTAGGCCTGTCATTGGCCTTAAATATTCTGAGAAAGAATTTTAAAAACTACTGGCTTTACAGTTAAAGTATCTGGAAAGAGAATCAATCTTATTTAGTTAACATGGCCAAGATCACTGGAATAATAGATCAATTTGCTGATATTCACATGCAGACAGTATGATGGCTTAAAAGCACTTCGGAAAAAAGGCCCGTGTGTTAGTTTTATTTTGCATAAAAGGTGAGAGTTAGCTGTAGATATATATCACTCATGACAACGTGAGAAGGAAGTACTAAAATTAGTTATGAGGGCTGGAAACCATGCACTGGCACAATCACTGAGAACAGACTTTTGAAAACTTTTCCGTTTTTCAAATATATAGGAGAATTTTATCAAAGTATCAGTTTTAATCATATTTAGGTAGCAAGTAGATATCGGAATTTTATTTTCTCTCTTGCTCACTGAATAGGATTATAGTTAAAAACACTATTTAATGTATAACCCACGTCATGCTTTTTATTATTTATTCTAATTGACAAATAATTATGTATATTTATGAGGTACATGCGATGTTTTGATCTGTGTATAATTTTAGAAAGATTAAATGATCCTTATTAACATATCCATCATCTCATCAACTTATTTTTTGTGGTAAGAACATTGAAAATCTATTCGTTTAAAAAATTTTGAAATGCACAACACGTCATTATTAACTCTGGTTAATAATGCATAGACCACTAAAACTTATTCCTTGAGTTTCACTGAAACTTTGTGTCCTGTGATCAACATCTCCCATTTCACACATCACACTGTAAGAACACAAAAGTTTTAGAAACAGGAGCTTAATTTTTAATAAGTGCTATAAAATATAAATATATATGTAATCTCTATAAAGGAAAAACTAAAAAGCATACATTTAATTGTATATCAACATATTTATTTGAAATGAGTGTCATATTACAAAAATGTTTGTGAGAGGAGAAAGTGGGGGTGAAAAAGCAATAGTGCGAGAGAGATAACTTTGCTCTAATGTAGGCATAAATAAATTTTTTCTTTTGTTACTAATTATAGAACAATACGGAATGTTTGAAGTACCCGTGGAAGTGAGAAATAGCTTGTTTGAGCTAAATATTCACAGATATGAAATGAAATATAAACCTACCAATGAATGAAAATATCTGGGGACATTGGTAGAAAATATATTTTAATTTACTTGATTTTCTCTCCCACAGTACACCACAAAACAGGCCCTTAATTTACTTCTTTTTAGGACTTAGCAAAGAGGTAAATAGACTATCCGTTAGGTGTGATATTTTCTTTCACCAATTCCATGGGACATCCAAGACCTTATCATCACAATATTGGTTAAAGTATGGCAGCAGTAAATGTCATGTCTGTCATGCTTAGCTGTACTGAGACAATTTGTGTTAGATTTACTCTGAGTAAATGTCAGTGCCATTGGGAGTGTCTAGAAAAAGTAATTTTTTTCTACTGATAAGTACTTGACAATAAATTTTCTGGCAAGTACAATAGCAGCAAGCTAATGATTGAGTCTTGCTTCTTGTAAAGATATGAAGACTATAGTGTAGTTCATTTAATTTGTCAGTAAGGATCACAGATACTGATTCTATGTGAATATTTTATGTAGAATTGCACATCAATTTAAGGATTTCATGAAAAAAACTACTTTTTTTGTCTAATGACCTTGTTCGCAATATAATAAATGATTTCATGTAATGCCATCTATTTTCCTGCCTTGGTAATACAAGGACAGGCTACAAGTTACATTCTTGATAGCCTTCCATGCATACAGAAAAAGAAAGTAACCTGTTAATTCAATATCGCCTATCACCTCACTTGCACCTGCAATGACTATTGCCTTTTTTTTTTTTTTTTTTTTTTTGAGACGGAGTTTTGCTCTTGTAACCCAGACTGGAGTGCAATGGTGTGATCTCAGCTCACTGCAACCTCCACCTCCCGAGTTCAAGCTATTCTCCTACTTCAGCCTCCCAAGCAGCTGGGATTACAGGCACCAGCCATGATGCCTGGCTAATTTTGTATTTTTTTAGTCACCCGTCTTGGCCTCCAAAAGTGCTGGGAATACAGGTGTGAGCCACTGTGCCTGGCTGACTATTGCCATCTTTAACCATTGCTTTCATTCTTTGAAACAGTCTCTAGAGGTGACTCTAAGTATCATTTCTGTCAGACATAAGAGGACAAAAGACTAGGTGGGGTGTTCTCCAATAAGAGGATATAATGAATTGAAGGAAAAGACTCCCCTCTTCATATTAGGAAACCATAGAATTGGTATAATTTGACCCACAAAGAGAAAGAGAAAAGAAAGTGTATTGTATACAAAATACTGACAAAAATAATAAACTTTTCCTGCACCTCTCCCTCCAGAAAATAATAATTTTACACATCTCTTGACATCAACACTATGATAATTAATAGTATGGGGTTTGGAGTATAGTATGGCTCTATCACTTCCTAGCCATGCAACTTTGAGTATACTATTCAACCTCTTTGAGTTTCAAATTTCTGACCTAAAAAGCAGAAAAATTATAGTACTTACCTAAGACATTTATTTGGAAGCTTAAATGAAAGAATGTCTGTAAGCCATTGAGAACAATGTATGAAAAATAGTAGCTGTACAATTAACGCTAGGCAATATAGAGAGCTCAATAAATACCTCCTCACTTGCACACCAAATTCCAATACCATTTGAAAGATATAAGAATCATACAAATGGGGATTAAAACATCAACTATATTTTAAGCATATGTGAGAATGTGGCTTTGGATTCTCTTTCAAATGGATTTTCTAATACTTTCCTCTCTATATCTCAACCCAATATATTGATTTACGTAGGCATGGGAAGTGCTGAATTGCAGGAAAAAGGCTACCTATCCTAATAAACTTACCACACTGCAAAGAACACACAAGACTGTACCTTATCTGCAGTCAAGCACATCCAAGAAAGAGAGAAAAGAACTGAGCTCAGTTCATTAGCTAAAACTAAATAATCAGGTAAATCATTCCTTTGGTTGTTCCCTTTTTCTGAGTGAGTAAGAAATGAGGATAGGATAAACATTTCATAAGTTTATATGATCTTATAATCATATAAAAAATCCTAAAAATCTAAATAGAGACAGATACCTATATATATAGAAGAAATTTGTAGAACTCAGCATTTTCTAACCATGATCACATTGTATTTTTCTCCTTGACTCTTACTTGTCTGTTTCATTATACCAGTCCCAATGATGTGATGGTGCCAACAATTTATTTTGTCTTCATTCACTTGTGTGCATCTTTTAGATATGTACTCAGCCTTGGATTGCCTCTTTTCTACATCAAGCTCTTTTCATCATTTTTAAATTGGTTTCACAAGCAATGGAGGTGTTTGCTAGAATGGCTTTTCACCCCAACAGCCGAGAGGCAAAACTTAGACTGTTTTTCCAGACCTTTTATTCCTGAGAAACTAGTTTCCATGAGAAAGTAGTCTTAAAAGCAAAACACATAAAAGTAGAGTGTTCTGTGATGAACATATCAGAACAAAAGGTGAATGGCTCCTTCTGGCAATATAACTATCACAATGTTAACATCGGGCTCAATTTCTTGCCGTCTTTCTTGAGTCAGTGACCATGAAATGAAGAGGAAGATGCTCCAAAATTAAAAGACAAACTTCAATCGTGGAGCAGTTTCTGTGAGATAACATTTCTGGAATGCTAGAAGGACCTATTATTTTGAGAAGGAGTACTTCGGATGGGCTTATCTATTAAAGCATATCATTTCTTTTTACCACTAAAAATACACATATCTGCTCTCAAAGCAGTTCAAGAAAATCATGTAAAATGATATGGGTGCAGACTTTGCTCTCAAAACAGTACAACTAAAATTTTTTTCAAGTTTTATTTTGTTTTTAATTGACATAATAATTGTACATATTTATGGAGTATGGTGTGATATCTTGATACATGTATACATTGTGTAATAATCAAATCAGAGTAATTAGCATATCTAGCACTTCAAACACTTGTCATTTTGTGGTGAGACCATTCAAAATACATTCTTCTAGCTGTTTTGAGATGTTCATATATTATTATTAAGTACTTGCAAAAGTAGAGAGTAGAATATTGATTACTAGAGGCTGGGGCAGGGAGCAGGGCAGGGGAGAATGGGAAGAGGTTAATCAATTGGTAAAAACTTACAGTTATGAAAAGGTTCTGGTGTTCTATTTTACAGTAGGGTGACTACAGTAAAGCAAGATAATTTTTAAATATGCCATATTTTATTTAAATTAAAATTAAGAATAATGTCCAACTAAAATCAATGTTTGACTAAACTGTAAATGGGTAATGTGACCTTATTTTAAGAGTGTAATTTATTGAATAAAGAAATCTCCTAAATAGGCATGCTCATATTATTTAATTATATTAACGTATTAATAAAAAGTATAAAATCGATTTATTGAGAATACTTACTCATGTATAAATAATATGTATGCATTAGTCAATTATCACCTGACTAAAGTTGTATATATAGAAGTGGAGTACGGTTGGTATGGTGGAAAAGAGTGGAATTGCTGAAATGATACTCATACTGACATTTAAATTTTCCATGATGAAAATTTGATCTTATGATCTTTTTCAAGTACTTTTTTTTTGTTTGTCTGAGATGGAGTCTCACTCTGTCGCCCAGACTGGAGTGCAGTGGCATGATCCCGGCTCACTGCAAGCTCCACTTCCCAGGTTCAAGCCGTTCTCTGTCCTCAGCCTCCTGAGTAGCTGGGACTACAGGCCCCTGCCACCACGCCTGGCTAATTTTTTTTTTTTTGTATTTTTAGTAGAGACGTGGTTTCACCATATTAGCCAGGATGGTCTTGATCTTCTGACCTCGTGATCCGCCCACCTTGGCCTCCCAAAATGCTGGGATTACAGGGGTGAGCTACCGTGCCCAGCCTCAAGGACCTTTTTTTAAACTAATAAATATCAACAGAAAGATAGCAGAGTCATGAGAGCTGGTTTTGGGGAGACAGATGAGATGTGCAAATGAATTAAGCATGAACAAATACCAGAAAACTACAGTATAACTGAGCTTGGAAAGATAATTTTGAATTCCTCATAATATGAAAAGAGGTGCTTAATGACAGGCTATCTATTCAACTAGATTAAAGTTTGTTAATCAGATCAAAATTAATTAAAGGATATCAAGGAATGAGAGTAGAATCCCAACACTGAATTTATTGGCTAATGTATTGACCATGGCTCTTAAGTTTAATTGCTCTGTCAGCTTCATTTTGTGACTTTGGCATGACTGTCTTAAAGAAGTAGCAGCACTATTTGACATCAAGTTCTCTGTGTAGTCCTGATGTTATAAGCCCTGATGCTTTAAGGGACCATCTCCAGCCTAGTATATAAAATGAATGTAGCAGTAAGGCTTAATTTTGAATGAAATATGTCTGTACTTTATCTCAACTCTTCTTTAATCTGCTTTAACATTTTAACGTCCAGCTTTGTCCCTCTACTCTCTCCAAGAAGGCACTGATTGGCCATTACATCGGAGTTAATTTATCCATTAATTTTTCCACTTGACCGCCTACCCTGGCATTCTACATTTCATCTCATCTTCTGTAAAAACTGGCATCTTAAGCACAGACTAAGTACTCTCTCAAGGACTCACCTACAGGCCATTGCAGCAAGAGATACTTTATATCATTACAATGCTGGCTTCATAAAAACACATGTGATTAGATTACATTTTTAGAATAATATTTATTCTTGTTTCAATGATAATATAAATTCATCGTAGAAAAAAGGAAAATACAGAAAAATTTAAAACTATGTAAAAATTTTCAACACACAGATAAATATGGTTAACATATTGTTTTATATAAAATTATTTTAGACACCATTAAGTAATAATACCTGCAAGTGATATTTAAACTACTTTTCTTCAGTTAAAAATGACAAATGCCATTTTTATGAGTTTTAAGTATGTAAATATGTTACTATCTAAGTTCCCCAGCAATTAAAATAGAGCATAGTACTCTATTCAAATTTTTGTGTAGGGATATAAGGACTTGCTTAGTAATTCCTCTGTCATAGTATTTAATACATGTAAATTTGGAGCCATTATTAACAAATAATGCAGCAAAGCAGCACCAACTATTATTTTAAGTAATCATCACACATAGAAAGACCTTTTATTGAAACTGTCATTTAAACTTTCATTTAGAATAAAAGTTAGAACAAAAATGTTTTATCCTCTTCTTCTAAATATTTCATTAACATGAAAATATAAGATCTATCTTTCATCTATGTAGTATTGACCAAAAAAAGTCAAACTCTGCAAAATATTTGAGGAGATTCATTTTGAGCAAAATGTCAGGACCATGACCCATGACACAGCCTCAGGAAGTTCTGAGATCATGTGCCCAAGGTAGATGGGTTACAGCTTGGTTTTATATGTTTTAGGGAAATATTAGACATTAATCAATACATATAAGGCATACATTTTTTTTTTTCTGGAAAGGCAAGACAACTTCAAAGCAGGGGCTTATGGGTCATAATTAGATTCAAAAATTTTCTCATTGGCAATTGGTTGAAAGAGTTAAGTTATTCTATAAAGACTTGGAATCAATAAAAAGGAGTGTCTGAGTTAACATAAATGTTGTGGAGACCAAGGTTCTTATTACATAGATGAAGTCTCATAGGCAGCCACCCTTTGAAGGAGTAGATGGCATATGTTTTCTATTCAGACCTTTAAAGGGTGCTAGACCCTCAGATAATCTTCTGAGGATTAGGTAAAGACCTGGAGAGGGAAGAGGATCCTCTAAAGAATGTAAATTTCTCCCACAAGAAAGAGCTTTGCAGGGCCATTTCAAAATATGTCAAAGAAATATATTTTGAGGTAAAATACTTTTATACTTTCAGGGCCTGCTCTCTGTCATGTGATGCTACACTAGAGTCAGAATGGAATTTGGTATTTTATTGCTACAAAGAACCTGTTTCATCAATTTTAAGGTATCTGTTTCAATTTTAATGATGGACAGCTGTGCCTGAATTCCGAAGGGAGGATAGCATAATGAGGCATGTCTGACTCCCTCTTTCCACCGTGGCCCGAACTAGTTTTTCAGGTTTCTTTGGAATTCCCCTGGCTGAGAGGAGGGATCCATTCAGTCAGTTGGGCAAGGTTAGAATTTTATTTTTGGTGTACACTATGCTTCTGTTGATTGATCAATCAACCAATATATAAACCTCTAGTTGTAATGGGAATAGGAGAGGAGACGAGAATGGATTATGCTATAGAATTTGTACTTGACTCAGAAGCGGAAAGGAAGACAGAGGTATAATATCGAGAAGTGAGCCCTTGCACTTTACAGAATCCTTCAAAGACACAGTGTTGAAGGTACCAGGTAGCAGGTTGGATTGAGGGATGGAAATAAAATGGAAAGATTGGATTTCAGTAGAGGACATGAAACAAATGGCTTCATAGTCTCTACAAATATTGTTAAACTTTGTGGCACAATGATTGCCGACCCCGTATATTGGTTCGAGGAGCTAGATTTCCTTACTGTTATGCCGTTAATAGGGTCAAAAGTGTTACAGTTTAATTTTGGTTTCTGTTTGGGTCTCTCTTTCTGTGCAGATGTTTCTACACATTCAACTTGGCTTGGCCTGAGATACAAAAATAAAAAGTAAAGTACTGGCAATTAAGGTCCGTTTGGGGCCATATATTACATGAGTACTGCACTCATGTTTTTGTAATTTATAAAAAGACTCTTTCAAGTTAATCTTCTTTCTGATTCCTTTTACCACTATTCAATTTGAACTGGCATGAAAGGTTTTATTCTAGTTAAATGAGCAAATAAATAATCAAATGTGGCTGGTACCGTATTTCACACCTGTAATCCCAGTACTTTGGGAGGCTGAAGTGGGAGAATCATTTGAGTCCTAGAGTTTGAGACCAGCTAGGCAACATAGAGAGACCATGTCTCTATAAAAGTAAAAAAATAGCCGGGCATGGTGGTGCATACCTGTGGTCTCATCTACAACAAAGATTGAGGCAGGAGGATCACTTGAGGTGGGAAGTCAGGGCTGCAGTGAGATATGATCATGCCACTGTACTCCAGCCAGGACAACAGAGTAGGACACTGTCTCAAAAACAAAAAAGTCAAACGTTTCAAAATTATTCTTGGAAAGAAAAGTGAACCAAACAAATAAAAAGGAGCCAGTATGGACCATTACACTCTCCCTCTCCTTTCCTAAAGGAGAGGGCTCATTTGACTAGAATAAAACCTTTCATGCCTTTACAAAACATTATATACAAAATGTTTTGTATATAAATAGATTTACTGCCTCATTGGATTCAATATGGCATGTTATCATTTTTAAGTAGCTAAAATGTCCTACTCCAATAAAAATGTCACATTACATCATACAAATCTATAGGTTAAAATGGAAAGCCTCACGTCTTTATTGTCATTTTGCTAAATGTCTTAAGTACTTCCTTTTTTGTATTTTGAGTAAGTGAATACTAAATCATGATAGTAGATTAAAAGTTACTAAAAGTGTAGTCTTTTATATTTTTAATAGAAATGTATTGCCATCTTTCCCTTGCGTTAAATTGTATCATAGAATCAACCTAATATATTGAGATGAAAATATCATTCTTTATTATTAATGTCCTATTATAATTGTTCAATGCATAATTAATGGTTGAGATCACCATGTACCTGTGAATGCAGAAGAAGTGTCAGGCACATGCCTGACACAGATTGGGCACTCAATAAATATACGTTGAAAGAATGGTTACACGTATAAGGAAATGAATAGATAAAAGATGTATCAGACAAAGCATGTTCTTGACTAACTTCTTGACTTCTTTTTGCTTAATGTAGTGATTGCAGTGATTGACTTGAGATTCTAGAAGAGTTACTTTAAAACCAGGAAGAACATACCATCATTCAAGAAGACACATAAGAATACTTGGAATGTGCATGGGAGCAAGTGTAATTTCAGAAATAAGTATTTCATTTCAGTTTGATATTTTATTTAACAATTTAAATAATATTAAAATGAACTTGTATATTCCCAAGAAAAATTAAAACATGCATCTACACCAAAACTTTTATACAAATGTTCATAGCAGTATTATAATATCCAGGAAGTCAGAACAATTCAAATATCTATCAGCTGATAAATGAATGAACAAGTTGTAGTATATTCATATAATGAAATATTATTCCACCATTAGAAGCAATGAAATAGTCATTCGAGGCCGGGCGCAGTGGCTCAGGCCTGTAATCCCAGCACTTTGGGAGGCTGAGGCCAGCGGATCACAAGGTCAGGAGATGGAGACCATCCTGGCTAACACCGTGAAACCCCGTCTCTACTAAAAATACGAAAAAAAAAAAAATTAGCCGGACGTGGTGGCAGGTGCCTGTAGTCCCAGCTACTTGGGAGGCTGAGGGAGGAGAATGGTGTGAACCCGGGAGGTGGAGCTTGCAGTGAGCCTAGATCGTGCCACTGCACTCCAGCCTAGGGGAGAGAGCGAGACTTCACTCAAAAAAAAAAAAAAAAAAGAAAAAAAAGAAATAGTCATTCGAGTAACAATGTGGATAAACCTTGAAAACATTATGCTAAGTGAACGAAGCCAGTCACAAAAAATAGCATATTATATGGTTACTTTTATATGAAAAGTCCAGAATGGAAAAATTTATCAAGACAGGATGTAGAGTAATGTTTCATCAGGCTGGAAGAGGACTGAGTGGATTGCAACTGCTAATGGTGAAGCAGATACATTTTTTGGGGTAAATATCCAGGGTTTGTCAGTCTCATGCTAGGAAAATTCAGAACACCAACACACATGAGGAGTTTAGGAGTGGAGGTTTAATAGGCAAAAGAAAGAGAAAGGAAAATAGCTCTCTCTCTAGTGAGAGAGAGGGGACTTCTGAGAGGAACGACCGGCTGGCAGCGGACGGGCCAGATTTAATAGTCAGGCTTGCAGAGGTGGTGTCTCATTTACATAGGGCTTATAGGATGATTCGATCAGGTATGACATTTACATAGCGAATGGAAAAGGCTAATCTTATTATGCAAACAAATTTTCCCCCTGTCTGGCACCATCTTTTTTTTTTTTAATACTTTAAGTTTTAGGGTACATGTGCACAATCTGCAGGTTAGTTACATATGTATACATGTGCCATGCTGGTGCGCTGCACCCACTAACTCGTCATCTAGCATTAGGTATATCTCCCAATGCTATCCCTCCCCCCTCCACCCACCCCACAACAGTCCCCAGAGTGTGATGTTCCCCTTCCTGTGTCCATGTGTTCTCATTGTTCAATTCCCACCTATGAGTGAGAATATGCGGTGTTTGGTTTTTTGTTCTTGCGATAGTTTACTGAGAATGAGGATTTCCAATTTCATCCATGTCCCTACAAAGGACATGAACTCATCATTTTTTATGGCTGCATAGTATTCCATGGTGTATATGTGCCACATTTTCTTAATCCAGTCTATCATTGTTGGACATTTGGGTTGGTTCCAAGTCTTTGCTATTGTGAATAGTGCTGCAATAAACATACGTGTGCATGTGTCTTTATAGCAGCATGATTTATAGTCCTTTGGGTATATATCCAGTAATGGGATGGCTGGGTCAGATGGTATTTCTAGTTCTAGATCCCTGAGGAATCGCCACACTGACTTCCACAATGGTTGAACTAGTTTACAGTCCCACCAACAGTGTAAAAGTGTTCCTATTTCTCCACATCCTCTCCAGCACCTGTTGTTTCTTGACTTTTTAATGATTTGTCTGGCAGCAGCTTGTCTGCTCCTTGCTCTACACGTGGCTGACAAAGAGAAAGGAAGATGGAGCCGCCATCTTGAACATGATTAGCACAACTGCCGGCATCTATGTCTGCAGCTCAATGTTACAGGCTGCTGTTTGTTAGAAAGAAAAATAATTTGGGGCTGCTTTTCATTAAAAGAAAAACCTTACTAATGACTTCTGTATTCTCACTATCTGCCTAGGTAATTTCTTGTTAACTCCGGTATCATTCCCCCTTCTGGAGTGGTAACCCTAACTGCTGTTAAGGAATGTTGGATGAAGACTCTTTCTGGCTACTTCCTGCTGAAAAAAAGGCATTGTGTGGGGAACAGCAGCTAGGTCTCTTCCTGAGGTCTATCTAGGGGTCCTTGGAAGAAAAGCGTGTCCATACTCTGTCTGCAGCATCATTTAAAGTTTGATTGCCGTCAGCAACTTCAATGTGTTGTAATACTGGCTTGCCTTCACCAGATGTTGCTGAAATGTTAATATGAAAGTAAGATTCCTTTTAAAATAAGTGGTATTAGATTTGGGTGGTTAGAGTAACTTTAGTGTTAACCTTGGCTAAATCTTTCCTGCAATTATTAATCCCTCTATGACTTCTACATCTCATGTAAGCCTTGCTTAATCTTTCTGACTTGTCCTAAAGATCCTTCTTTTTAAACAACCAACTATTCTTTTTAGGACAAGTATTTTCCATTCTTATAACCCTATCATGTCTTTCATGATCCATCTATGACATCTTTAAACTTTCTAACTTGCCCTAAACATCCCTCTTTTTAACAACCAACTATTCTCTTTAAGACAAGTATTTACCATACAAGACCCTTTCTTATATAATATATCTTCCCTTTATAACCTTCTTTGCATAGCCAGGGTGTGAAATATTACCAAACCCAGTAAGAAGTTTTAGCAGACTCTGTGACAGTAAAATTTTTATGACTCCTTTTTGCTGGTAACTATTATCCCTGCCATAAGGCTAATAATTAAGCAAAATACTACAATGATAGAAACTATGTCCAATATTTCAGTTAGAAGGTGCTACCATGTATAGCTCTACTACAAATAGTAGAGTGAGTATAGCAATTCCTTCAAGGGTAATGTAGTAGATTATTTCCATCTAAAATTTTACTTGCCAAGATATAGAATTTTTCTTTTGAGGGTCTATAACATTTCTTGGTTTTATTTTTCTAAACAAAGAAAGTTATGGGTTGTGGGCACCCTACTCACTTTCATTACCTGGCAGAATTTGCAGGATAATTGCCCAGAACTAACATATTGATCCAGATTTTTACATTACCCATCCCTTTTTTTTTTTTTCCAAGGTGCAAGAGATCACCACATGATTCACAAGAATAAGCAGGATTAGTCTAAAATGTAGGCAAAAGCTTAAAAAACAACCAATGAGACTAGAATTTAATGACAAATGTATGATAAGCTTTGGAGCACAATTTCTCTCTCCAGTCCTCATTTTTGGTAAAAACAAATTATGATAGGATTGTGTTGCTGGTAGAATAAAGTTTAGTCTTATACTTGGCCTGATTATTTGCATAAGTACAGAAAGATTAATTATTTCTACATAGAACTTTTGGATTGGCTTTGATGGAACTCTGTTCCACAAAGAGTCTTAGATAAGACCTTTTAAAGTTGAGCCCAGCCATGGGTTTGTATCCTGAAATACCTGTGAGTTTATTGATCTTTTTTTCTTAAGGTCCCAGGATAAACTGGGAGCTCCTGGACCTGTTAGAAAGTGACATTCTTTACTGACCACAGGTCGGCAACCCTGTATGGGGACTGCATAGACAAGTTTGAGGCCAGTAGTTTCCAAGGGGCTCTTATTGCCTCTGCACATCAAGCTTGATTCCTTAAAGGGAAACACACCTTTCCAGTCAAACCTTGGTAAAATAACCAGTTTTTTGCTAATAGTGTCCTGTTGCAAAAGAAAAATGGATTCTTATTGCATTGATGCAAACAAGTATATTGCCATAAGTTAAGAATACTCACAGTTAGTTTCCAAATTTCAGAGAAACCAGGCAAAAACAAACATGCTCCAAATTTTGTTCACAGGAGTATAACTTACTCAATTATTAAAGACCATAAATAGGAAATGAGGAAATTACAATAGAACAGTTGGAGATCCTGTTGCCAACACCTCATCAGGTGGTCAGAGGCTGGGGTCAGTCTACCAGCCTTTGAATAACACCAGGGAATAGCCCCAGCCAGAAATCCTCAGTTTCTTCAGAACCTCTTCCAGCCCCACGTGATGGCTACATCCTCCATGAAAGGAAGCTGGTTCAAACATGGCCAACATACCCAGCAACCCATGGGCACTGAAGGATTCTCCATGTTCTCCCCAGTAATTCTCTCATCTGAGCCTTTAAGAATGGCAGCCAGGCTCATCGTGTTTATAACTGGCTGATGGATGCCTATTGTTGATTTGATCTGGTTCTAAAATGGAGGCCAACAGCCTTGAAACGAAAGGACAGAGTTGAAGTCTGCTCCTCTACTGACCGTTTTGGTGAATGTTGTACCTTGGTATCCTGGAGGAGCCCCCAATATGAAACAGCCACATTGTCTGGGGTAAATACTCAGGGTTTGTTGTTTCACACCAGGAAAATTTAGGACACTAACAGACCCAAGGAGTTTAGGAATGGAAGTTTAATAGGCAAAATAAAGAGAAGGAAAGATAAACAAAAAGAGATCTCTCTCCAGTGATAGAGGGGAGACTTTTGAGAGGAAAGACTGGCTGGCAGCAGATGCACCAGATTTTCTAGGCAGGCTTGAAGAGGCAGTGTCTGATTTACATAGGGCTCACAGATTGATTTGATCAGGTATGACATTTACATAGTGTGCTGGGAAGGCTGGCTGCCCCACCCTAATCTTATTATGCAAATAAACTTTCCCCTTGGCTGGTGCCATCTTGTCTGCTCCTTCCTGTATACATGGTTGACAAAGAGAATGGAAGATGAAGCTGCCATCTTGAAGATGATTGGCACAACTGCCAGCATCTGTGTCTGCATCTCAATTTTACAGGCTGCTCTTTGTTAGAAAGGAAAATAATTTGAAGCTGCTTTTCATTAAAAGAAAAACCTTACTGAGGACTTTTGTACCCACACTATCTGCCTAAGTAATTTCTTCTTAATTCCTGTGTTAATGGGATAATGGAAATATTTTAATGTTAGATTGTGTTGATGTTTGCACAACCCTGTGAATATACTAAAAAACATCAGATTATACACTTAAAATGAATATATTGTATAATATGTGAATTATGTATCAGTAAACTGTTAAACATTTAAAAATAGATACAAGATTTTTATGTTTACTGGAAGGTGGTTTTTTTTGTTTTTGTTTTGCAAAACATTAGGGAAATTATATGCTATGTTAAAAAACAAAGAAAGTTAGCTGACACTTCAGAGTACTACATTTAAAATGAATATACATTTGGGAAAATGACTCAAATTCTTATTGTCACTTCCTATATTTCCCATTCCACTGCTAACTCAGATGGAATAGAAAAAATATTACACTGAACAATTTGGGCTTTTTGTAATACTTTCTAAATTTTTTTTCATTTCATAAATTACTTTGACTCTGAAATACTTCACTTCTTGATATTTATAAATATTTATAAATTTTTAAATGTAAACATTGCAGAATTTCAAAAATAATCTTCCCAGTATAATACAATATCAATCAGAGGGGAATACATCACACAGTCAGCTGATGATAGAGAACTGCAAAATTAGCTCATAAACATGAATTGAAATATGTTTTATCCTTTCAAAGCATATGTCAATAATATATTCAGTGAAATGTTAATATCAGTGTTTAGAAATAGAGCTAGTGTCTACCTCTGAATATTCTGAATTATATTCTGAATATAATTATATTCGGAATATAATTCAAAAATATTTATTGAAAAAAATTTGTTGAGTACTTACTGGGAACTGCACACTGGTCTTGGTACTGATTAGAAAGAAAAATAAGACCTTTAAGTTTCTGCCTTACCAATATAACTGAGATCATTTTAAACATGTGATTTAAGAAGCTATGGAAAGGACTTTACTCCAAAAGATGAAGAAATATTATCAGTACTGAGGGTAAACTAGAATGTAAATAAAGAATGCTATACTGTAATTAATCATATCATCACATCTCTTAAAGATGTTTGATAACAGAAGGGTGTTAAGGTTTAGACAAGGGGAACTGAAAAAAATAGATTAGCTTTTAGTCATAACTTTTTAAATGAAATGACCCTTTATCTCTACAATTCTAAAGTTTAGGGAGACTCATTCTACTGTGGCTCAGATTAGTAATAACAATATTCAAAATGTGGATAAATTGCCTCCCAAGGGTAATACACTTTGCTCTGATCTTATAATCATTAATTTGTCTTTTGATTATTAACTCAGTTGCCTACTTAACCCTGGTTCTGGGATTTTTGTGTCCTTAATATGGTATTCTGATTACTGAAAAAAATTTTCACAAATGTAAATTACTAAATCAACATTCTGTTATAAACATTGATTTTTTATAAGTTCAGTCAATGTCAATCATTTCCATTTTCATCATCCTTGAAACAAAAACAGCTTTTAGTAGACTGACAAAGTAAACTTTCTAGTTCTGCAAACAACAAATTTAGGTGATTGGAATGCCAACAAAAGACTGCTCACATGAGAAAGTTCCGGTTAAGCATGTAGTTTCCTTCACAGACTTCTATTTTATTTTTTAATTTAACTTTGGAGATGCCTAAAAAATACCAACACAACTGGTTAAAATTTGAATAGCTAGTCAAATCACATATTTGAAAATGCAGGTCTGTAAGCATTGTACATTTTTATATATGGGGTAAGTAAAAATTAGCAGTACACAAATAGATCTTGATAGAGAGATGGGAGGAAGTAAATGTCCAAAAAGAAGTGTCAGCATGTCTATGTCCCATTTCTGATTGCAACATATTAAGCTAGTAATTTCAGAGCTAGCAGTCCAACTCCAATGTGAAGGTTTAAGTGATTCAGTATAAGAACAATACTACATAAAATAACACCAGCCTAAGATAAAAAGAAAATAAGATGTGACAAATTTTAAGGTATGATTTGTTTTACTATGGCCTGCATTGGATGGGAGGTTGGACCACATGATTTCAAAGGGTACTTATACTTCTGTAAGTATGCTATATTTCAAATAAGATGTGCAAGAGATAGCCTATAATTGCCTTTTTCTGACATTAATAACTTAGTAAGGTAAATGACTTGAATTTAACTTCATTCCTTCTACTTGTTCATTTTCTGAAGAAAATTAAGGTTATAATAAGTAAAGAGCCTAAATGCACAGCAACAGGAAAGAGCAACTGTGAATAATTAGATTCCTAAGATCAAGGTTTGAAATACTTAATTTTATGTATCAACTTGACTGGGCCATGGAGTGCCCAGATGTTTGTCAAACATTATTCTGAGTGTGCTTATGAAAAGGTTTCTGGATGACACTAAAGTTTTAATTGGTAAACTGAGTGAAGCAGATAGCCCTCTCTAATGGATGCAAGCCTCATCGTCATCCAATCACTCAAGGACTTAAATAGAACAAGAAGGTCAAGTAAAAGGAAACTCCCCTTGCCTGACTGCCTGAGATGGCACATTGATCTTTCCTCACATTTGGACTCAAACTAAAAATTCAGCTCTTCTAATAACCCAACATATTCTGTGATTATTACTCATTTCCAAAATCCATAATTGGAATATACCTGCTTAGCATGTGGCAGAATTCCCACATTTCTTCTTTAATCTGATTTGTGAAGGCACTTATGATGGGAAAGGCAAGTGGAAGCCAATATTATTAGCCCTACCTAGTAAAACATTAAACGCCATGGAATACCACATTCCTGGAGAGATTGTGAGATTGGTGCCACCATGGGGGACTTGAATAATGCAGGTGCCATGATTCCCATTACATTCCTATTCAACTCTTCTATTTGGCTTGTGCAGAACACAGATGGATCTTGGAGAAGGACAGTGGATTACAGTAAGTTTAACGAGATGGTGAGTCCAATTGTAGTTGTTGTGCCCATGTGGTTTTGTTGCTTGAGCAAATTAACACATCCTCTGATATTTGGTATGTAGCTACTGATCTGAAAAATACTTTCTTCTTGATACCTGTTAGTAAAGCCTACCAAAGTGTTTTGCTTTCACCTGGCACAGCCAGCAATACATCTTCACTGTCCTACTTCAAAGATATATCAACTCTCCATCCTTTGCCGTTATTACCTTGCAGGGATATTTTTCACTTTTCTCTTCCATAAGACATTATATCAACTCACTTGTTACATTGATGACATTATGCTGATTGGACGTGGTAAGCAGGAAGCAGTAACTACTTTAGACTTATTGGTGAGACATTTGCGTGACAGAAGGTAAAAAAATAAATCCAACTAAAATTTAGGGTCCATCTATGTCAGTGAAGTTTCTAGGGGTCCAGTGGTGTGGGGCATGTTGAGATATCCCTCCAAAGGTGAAGGAAAAAGTTGTTTCATCTAGTTCCTAGTATACCAATAAAAGAGGTGCAATGCCCAGTGGGCCTCTCATACTACTCATTTGGGTGTGTTAATCTGGCCTTTCTGCCAAGTGGCACGAAGAATTCCTAATTTGTGTGGGGCCCAAAACAGGAGAAGGCTCTGAAACAGGTTCAGTCTGCTGTGCAAGCTGCTTTGCCACTTCCATATGACCCAGCAGATCCAGTGGTGCTTGAGGTGTCGGTGGGAGATAGGGATGTTGTTTGAAGCCTTGGGCAGGCCACCATAGGTGAATCACAACAGAGGCTTTTAAGATTGCAGAGTAAGGCCCTGCCATAATCCATAGATAATTACTCTCCTTTTCAGAGACAGCATTTGGCCTGCTATTGGGCCTTAGTAGAAACTGAACGCCAAGTTACCATGTTCTGAGATGTCCATCATAAACTGTGTGTTGTCTGACTCACCAAGCCATAAAGTTGGGTATGCACAACGCCACTTAATCATCAAATGGAAGTGGTATGTATGTGATCAAACTAAAGTAGGTTCTGAGGGCAAGAGTAAGTTACATGAAGAAGTTGCCCACGGTCAAGTGTTTAAAACCTTTGAAAAAAACATGATTGAAAAATTAGTGACAGGAAAATTTGGGAAAGAAACATGTGGACAGACATCTCTGAATGGGCAAAAAAAAAAAAAAAAAAGTGAAAATATTTGTGTCCTATGTAAATGTTAATCAAAGAGCTACCACAGCAGAAAAGAATTTTAATAATCAAGTACATAGGACAATCCATTATGTGGATATTAACCCCTTTCCCTAGCCACCACTGTTATGGCTTCTGGCACTGCTGAGTGCACAATCTGCTAGTAGCAGAGAACAATATTGAGTACTCTCTATGGCTCCCTTCCACAAAGTGATCAGCCAGCTACCTGGTGGCAGGTTGATTATATTGCATTCCTCTTATCATGGAAATGATAATGTTTTGTTTTTATTGTAATAGACACTCTGGATACAGATTTGCCTTCTGTTCACACAATACTTCTGCCAAAACTGTCATTCACAGACTTACAGAATGCCTTATCCACTATCATAGTATTTCCCGTAGAACTGCTTCTCATCAAGGAACTCACTTCATAGTAAATAAAATGCAGAAATGGGCCCATGATCATGGAATTTATCAATCTTACCGTACTTCCTACAATTCTAAAGCAGCTGGTTTGACAATTTGGTCTTTTGAAGACTCACAGAACCAGTTCAGTGTGAATACTTTACAAGGCATAAGAAAAATTCTCCCGAAGGCTGTATGTGTTATACATCAGAGTCCAATATATTCTGTTTCTCCCATAGCCAAGATTGATGGGTCCGGAAATCAAAAGGTGGGAATGAGAGTGTCACCACTAACTACTCTCCCTAGTGATCTACTAGCAATTTTTTTTTTTTTTTTTTGCTTCATATAGCTGAGATGGCTAGATGTCTTTGTTCCAAAATGATGAATACTTTCACACAACAATGATTTCATTGAAAAGTAAGACTGCTTCTAGGTCACCTTGAGCTCCTTGTGCCTCTGAATCAACAGGAAAAGGAGGAAATTACTATACTGGCTGTGGTAACTAATGCCATCTACCAAGGGGAAATTGGAGTATTACTCCACAATTAAAGTAAAGATGTCTAGAATACAGGAAATAAATCCTTTAGGTTATTTCTTAGTATTATCATGCCCTGTGGTTAAACTCAATGGAAAGCTAGAGCAACCTGATATAGGCAGGACTACTAATGGGTCACTCCACTGGTTAAAAATCACTGCTTACTGACATGCATGCTGAAGGCAAAGGGAATGCAGAATGGGTAGTGGATGAGGGTTTTTATAAATACCAGCTATGACCACATGACCAGCTATAGAAATGAGGACCATAATTGTCAAGCATATTTCCTCTTTATTTTGTTATATGTTTATGCATGTATGTATCAAGCAACTATCTTTGTATTCTTATATTTCCTTATCATGTAACATAAGATGTATTGACTTTAAATTATGTAAGTATTGTTAATTTTAAATTATGTTGTTTAAGTTATGGGGTATCAAGAACAGGAGAAAACATTACTCAAAGTAAACATCACTCAAAAACTACCTCTTCTGGGTAAGAGGTTAGTTGCATTTTCACTTGTATGCAGTATAGTTGTATTATATTAGGCAGAATTATAACCTGGTTATTATCTTTATTTAGAATTTGCACATGGTTTAAGGAGATGTATACAGGTGTCAAATTGACAAGGGGTCAACTTGGGATGGCTGATTTGAGGTGTCAACTTGACTGGATCACAGAGTGTCCAGATATTTGGTCAAACATTATTCTGAGTGTGGCTGTCAGGGTGTTCTGGATGAGACTGACATTTGAATAGGTAGCCTGAGTAAAACAGAATGCCTTCCCTGATATTGAGGGGCCTCATTCAGTCAATTGAAGACCTAAATACAAAAAGACTGAGTAAGAGAAAACTCTTCATCTATGACTGCTTGAGCTAGGAATTAGTCTTTTCCTGCTTTCTGATTAGAATTGAAAATCAGCTCTTGGGTTTCAAGCCTACCAGATTTTGAACCAGAACTTACACCACTGGCTCTCCTAGCTATCAGAATTTTGGACTCAGATTGGAAGTTATTCCACTGTCTCTCATTGTTTTCAGGCCTTTGTGCTCAGACTGGAACTACATCATTGGCTCTCCTCATCTTCAGCTTTCTGACTGTGGATCTTGGAACTTCCCTGCTTCCATTATTTAATAAGCCAATTTCTTATAATAAATATATTTTTCTCTCTAAATATACAACCAATTGGTTCTGTTTCTCTGGAGAAGCCTGACTAGTAAAGCATATTATGAGGTGATTGGAAAATTTAGTTGCATGAAAGCAAAGGCTCTGTAACTTTCCCTCAATATTAATAGAATAATGAACAAATCAAAATTTCTTTTTCAGGAACAATTTTAGCAGTATATTTTGAACGAAATTTTTTGAGAGCATTGTGCATCATGTATTTAGCTGTCAAACAAATCTTCATATAATTACTGTCCTTCATCGCTTATTTGTACTTGTTCTCTCACAAAAGGTGTTATAGACCTATAAATGTTCCCTAAACATAGGAAAGTAGTTGACTTTTAGCCTAATAAAAATACATGGTTGAATCCTACTTGGGTTGTATATTTTAATACATTTCATCTTCTTGATTATAACTAGGTTCTATGCATTTGATTTACCTATTTGATTTGTTATTGTGGTAAAATATACATAATGTAAAATATACCATCATAACCATTTTTCTGTGTACAGTTTTATGACATTAAGTGCATTCACATTTTTTTACAACTGTAACCACCATAAATCTCCAGAACGTTTTTACCTTTCACAACTGAACCTCTGTAACTACTATTAAACACCCCATTCCTCCTCCCTCTATCCCATAGAACTGTGGTTTTCCTAAACGATGAAGATGCAAAGACATTAGAATGATATCATGGACTTTGGGGACTTGGGGAAAGTGTGGGCCAGGGGTGAGGGATAAAAGACTTCAAATTCGGTACAACATATACTGCTCAGGTGATGGGTGCACTAAAATCTCACAAATCAGCACTAAAGAACTTACTTACATAACGAAAAACCACCTGTTCCCCAAAACCTGTGGAAATAGAATAAATAAATAAATAAGAAGAAAATAACTAAAAATAGGGTTATTATATAGTTGTGCAATCCCACTGCTAGGTATATATCCAACAAAAATAGCATACCAAAAAGATATCTGCACTCCCATGTTGCAGCACTGTTCACAATGGCCAAGATTTGGAAGCAACTTAAGTGTCTATCAACAAATGAATGGATAAAGAAAATGTGGTACATATAGAAAATGGAATACTACTTAGCTATATAAAAGAATGAGATTTAATTTACCTCAGTTTTATTCTCCAGAACACTACCATCCAAGAGATCATAGCATGAAATATTTAATTTTCTAAAGGAAAAAAGTTTACAAAGTAATAATGTAATATGATAACTAGGCATATACTCATTTTTTAGTGAAGGCAATAGACCATCTATATGATGCAAAATCATTTAAAAAGACCAATTGCCTAATGACAATCTTGAACAAAAACAAGAACAAAAGAAAATTTTCTCTAGTTAAGGAATTAATTTTAATAAAACACAAATAAATGACATAAGGATACTGATGATATGACAAAGGTAGCTACAAAGACTGAATTTTTTAAATAAATAAAGTCACAATACAGAAATGAGATAATTAATCAGAAAAGTGACTGTAAAATGTTTATTTTGCTCTACTACACCAGACTAATTAAACAAATCAGAAAGGGAAGAAATAGCCAGGGCATGAAACTGGTGCCTTTCAGGTCATAGGTAGATTAAAAAATTTCCTGATTGGCAATTGGTTGAAAGAGTTAAGTATTGGCTGAAAAGTTGAATTCAGCATAAGGAAATGCTTGAGTTTGATAACGGAGTTGTGGAAACCAAGGTTCTTGTCATGTAGATGAAGCCTCCAGGTAGCAGGTTTCAGAGAAACTAAATGGTGACTGTCTCTTATTAGACCTTAAAGGTTGTCAGACACTCCCTAAAAGACCTAGTAAGGGAAGGAGATTCTCTACCAATTGCAAATTTACGCCACAAGAGACAGCTTTGTAAGGCCATTTCAGAATATGTCAAAGAAATGTATTTTGTGGTAAAACATTTTGATTTCACTTAGGGTCTGCTATTAGTCATGTGATGCTATATTAGAGTCAGGTTAAAATTTGGTATCTTATTGCTACAAAGAGTCTGTTTTGTTAGTCTTAATACCTCTGTTTTAATGTTAGTGCTGGTCAGTTGTGTCTAATCTCCAAAGGGAAGAGGGCATATGAGGCATGTCCAACCCCTACTTACCATCATGGCCTAAAGTAGTTTTTCAGGATTCTTTGGGATCCGCTTGGCCAAGAGGGGTTTCATTCAGTCAGTTGTAGGACTTAGAATTTTATTTTTGCTTTACAAACAGAGGCAAATATCTTCTGTGGCAGATAACTATTATTTATCACAAACATTCAATGCCCTTCTCTGGGTAAGGATTACTTTTTCACACTTCTTGGATATTAGGCTTGGATATATAATTTTCTAATTGCAAGTCAAATTATTTTAAAAATTTTAAGAGTCAGTGAATCGTTCTCTTTGTACTTAATCTGCAATGTCTCTAGACTAGCAGTATTTTAGGTAAAGGCTTCCTCATCAGCCTTGGCCCAGGAATGAAGAAGACTTGGAAATGTGATGCAGTCCACGAGCAAAAGACTATACATTGAGTAAAAACAAACAGAAAACCTTAGTTCATAATGCCACTAAAATTGTGTGGTTACATGTTGTATTAAGTGTATCTAGCTTATCCTGACTAATATTCCATCTAATCATTAAAAATTTTAAAAATGACAATA
Organism: Homo sapiens; assembly: GCF_000001405.40. Lineage (NCBI taxonomy): Eukaryota > Metazoa > Chordata > Mammalia > Primates > Hominidae > Homo > Homo sapiens. Next base: position 94,451,651 of record NC_000023.11, read on the forward strand.
ATACGAATTACTGAAACAGTAAAACATATACATAATAGAGAATATAATCCATATTGGAAAAATAAAACCAAACACGTCAATTATGAAAATAAACATAAATGATAAAAAAAAAATCCAGTGAATAGGAAATAATTCATTCTAGGATTAAAGAGAAACGAATCAACCACATACTGTTTATAAGAGACCATATAAACAAAATGTGGTTTAAAAGTAAGCACTTGGCAATACATGCCAAATTAAACACAAAACAGAACAGGATGTCATTGTCAGACACATAGCATTCAAGGCTAAAATAGTACTAAAACCAGGATAAGAAAATTATTTTTATTGAGCAATGTTTTAATCCACAATGAAGAACAATGTAGGAGACTCTTAAATAGGAAGTTGGGAAAAAATATAAAATTTCATTTAATTATTTTTAGGTAATATAAGTAACAAGGAACCCATTCGCTACTTAATCATATATCTAGTTCTTACCTGATTCTTGGGTCCCATCTAATCCTTACCTTACAGGGAAGGATTAAAGTGATGCGGGACATAATCCTTAAGAATATTTGCTTGATATATTATTTTGTAATAAGAAAAGTTGAAAGGTCAATAATTCAAATGACAAAGGTTATAAATTTATAGTCCTGATACAGCAGTGAAGAATGGGAAAAATAAGCCAATTAATGAAAATATGCTTTTCAAAATATAACAATATAAATATGTATCAAAGCACACCCTTACTTTTAAAATAATTGAATAATAGCAAATAAAATAAATAAAAATTATACTGGAGATAAACTATAAAATAAAATTAGAATAATTTAAAAGTTAAAGGACATATATTCATAGCTTAGCAATATATTTGTTAAATAAATTGAATAAATGAATAATAGACAACCTAAGTATAATCAATCTTATTAAGAAATATACATGTGTCTGTATGTTTGTGTGTGGTATATATATATACCACACATTTTATATATATGTATACCACACATTTTATATATATATATATCATTATATATACATAATGACATGCAGTTATATGACAAAATTTGAACATGTTTGTTAAGTATATAATAATTTATAAGTTAATAAGGTTTAAAAAATTAAAAGTCTCAATGAACTTGTTTAAGAAACAAATTTAAATTTTTACCTAATAATTATTTGAATAAAAGCATTAGGCCAAGATAGTTTTACTCCTAAGTTCTTGCAAATGTTAAAGACATACATCAATCTTATATTATTTAAATATTTTCAGAGTACATAAAAAGTAATAATTCCTCTTTGTTATGAAGGTAATAGATTTCTTAGCCTGAAATTCAACATAGATAATAAAACAAAGTAATACAATACAAAACAAAACTGAAAATCACCTATGAATGTACATAGTAGTGTGAATGTTTGGAATATTATTTCCAATTTTTTTCTCCTTTTCTGTTATAGAACTATACATCTATGCCCCTTGTCATATGGCCTTTCAGTACATTACATTAAAGTATTTGGATTATATTTTCTGACCTCATTAATGATAGGCTTGGCCTTATGAGTCGCTGAACCAAAGACATGAACAAGAAGAGACTTTTAATCTGCTTGTTTGACTTGCTTGCTTTTCCTCTCCTCTTTTGGTTCTAAAATATGCCAAGTAAAAAGCATGTTTCTGGTAGCTGTTGCCTCTGCAGGCTTGGCCTGAGGCTAAAGATATGGAGTTATCCTGAATCTGATCATAAACCTGGAGTCCAGCCTGGCCTAGCCAAGCCCATGAGGATGAAAATAACTGTTTTCATTGTAGAACACTGAGAACTTAAGGCTGTTGCTAAATGACAGTAACCATCCTCGTGAAGCGTCTTGGTTGCTCATCACATTCCCCTTACCCACCCCCTCATCACTGATACAAATTCCTACCCCAAATCATGAACAGATACATCATAGTTCAAATAATATAACCTAAAATGGTACCAATAGTTCTGTGAGATGATCCACTTATTTTAACTTTACTCCTTGTTTCTTTCTTTAAGATATCATTTCTAGCTTACCCCTTACTGGCTAAATGACCTTGGGCAAGTTATTTGAATCTTCCATTGCCCAAGATTTCCCAGCTGTAAAATGGAAATGTAATTATACCTAATTCCATATATAGTTGCTATAAAGATTAAATGCATTAATATATATCAATTCCTTAGAACAGTACCTGGCACCTGTACATTCTTAGTTGTATTGCTGGTGTTAACTATTATTGTTACATTGACTCAGAGCAAATATAAGTACAATTTATATGTTACAATTTGCATACTTTGTTTAGTGTTGTAAACCAAAAAGTATTTGGGAAAAGTCTCAATCAATGGATGAGTTCATTTTGCCAAGGTTAAGGACATGCCCGTGATGTAGCCTCAAGATATCCTGATGAAATGTGCCCAAGGTGGATGGGCTGCAACTTGGTTTTATGCATTTTAGAGAAACATAAGACATCAATTAATACAGGTAAGATATACATTGGTTTGGTTTGGAAAGGCAGGACAAGTGGAAGTAGAGGCTTCCAAGTCACAGTCAGATTAAAAAATTTTCTGATTGACGGTTGAGTTACTATCTAAAGACCCAGAATCAGAATCAACAGAAAGAAATGTCTCGGTTAAGATAAGGGATTGTGGAGACCAAGGATTTATCATGCAAATGAAGCTTCCTGGTAGCAGGCTTCAGAGAGAATTGATTGTAAGTGTTTCTTATCTATCTTAAGGAGTCTGTTCTGTCAGCCTTAAGGTCTGTGTTAAGTTAATGGCAATGAAGCATATCTGACTCTCCCTTCCCATCATGGTCTGGACCAGTTTTTCAGGTAAACTTTGGAACGTCCTTGGCTGAGAGGAGGGGGTTCATTCAGATAGTTGTGGGGCCTAGAATTTTATTTTTGGTTTATATGTGTGAAAGAAAAATAAATCTCTTCAAAATCACTAAGCTAAAGGGAAAAGGCAAGCTGGGAAATGCATGGGCAAGCCTGCCTCCCATTCTACTTTTAAATAAAATAGCTACAAGGGTTACAAAAAAAAAAAAGCTACATACCTCTTTCACAGTTTGCCCACAAGGAAATTCCTTGTGGACAAAGGACAGGCAGAACTCAAAGTCTTCCCTCTTCTCACATAAGACAAATGCATACCTGATTGCTTCCTTTGCCCCATTGTTTCACTAAGCCAGACTAAGGGGTAAGTGACTATTCCTGCAAATTGTTCATTCAATGAAAGGCTAATCAGAAACTCAAAAGAATGCAATGCAACCGTTTGTCTGTTATCTACCTATGACCTGGAAGTGCCCTCCCCACTTCAAGTTGTCCTGCCTTTCCTAAACTGAACCAATGTACATCTTAAATATATTGATTGATATATCATGTCTCCCTAAAATATATAAAACCAAGTTGTGCTCTGGCCACCTGATGTCACATGTCATCAGAACCTCCTGAGGTTGTATCATGGGTGTGTCCTTAACCTTGGGAAAATAAATTTTCTAAATTGATTGAGACCTTTCTTGGATACCTTTGGTTTACACAGTGTATAATCAAATTCTATTGTTTTTAGATTTCTGACAGTTACAACTCTCACTATAACATTGAATCATTATATTGTAATGTGGGGAGGGTGTTTCAGTCTGAGGTGTAGGGAATATTGGGATTTTATGTTATCAAGTGTATTTATAAAATTTGAACTGATTATCAGAAAATCAAAATAAGCCTTGTAATAAAAAATAATTTATAATAAATAATTGGATGTATTGAAAGAATACAAAAGTGGTTCAATAATAGAAAATACATTACAATAGTTCATTATGTAAATCAAGTGAGTTATTTTGAAAAGACAGCTTTGTAAAAGCTGGCTTACAACTCTTAAGGACTGGTAAAAACAACCAAAGAGGGAAACATCAGGAAAATAATCTCCATTAACACTACAACTAGGGAATACTGACAATAGCAGAAACTATGCTTTGAGTAATTTTTATCACATGCAGTATAATTTGGAAAAAAACGATGAAAGACAATGAGAATGAATACTCCAATTTCCCTATAGACTAGTACAATGTTTTCAGAAGCAAGCAGTGTAGGAGCCAAGGAAAAACTTCCCCTTTGCCCTCTAAAGTTTTGCTGAAAAATCAACTCACAAAAGGCAGATTAATTAGAGAAAAGGCATACAATTATATTAATGTGCATAAGAGGGAGAACCAGAGTAATTATCCCAAGCCCCTAATGAGATTCAGAAACTTTTGTACCATTTTGAGGTTACAGAAAGAATGAGGATCCTGAGCATGGCCCAAAATGGATTAAGGTGGTAAATCAGGTTAGCGTGACAAGACAGTTTATGGGAGGGAGAGAAGAGGAGACTTGGCTAGCAAAGGTGGTTTTGTTATGTAGATTAAACCTCACAGGTAGCAACCCTCAAAGTGAATATATGATAAATGTTTTTTTTTCAGACCTTTAAAGGTTTCAGGCTCTCAGCTAATTCTTTTCTAGATCAGGACTAGGGAAGGCTTCAGAAAAAAACCTGGCTGCATCAATATAGATTCTCTACAGTTATAAATCTGGCCCCAAAAAGAACTTTTGCAAGGTTAGTTCTGTTTGCTCTTTCTTTCCAGAGCCATCTCAAAATATGTCAAAGAAATATATTTTGGGGTAAAATATTTTGATCTTCTTTGGTGGAAAAAAATCTGTTAGGACCTATTAGCCTAATAACACACTTTAATTTGGGTGAAGAATATATAGAAGCACAGCTGGGGTCTGAGACACATGAAAAGGTCACATATATAAATGTGCTAATTTCATTATTTTTTCTCTAGCCCAGTGCCTTAAAAGTGGCAAGAGTATCTGTGATTTGGTGGGGAAATTTACTAATATACCCAAATTAGATTTAGAGGTAGAGAAGATTAGGAGAGAGATTGGGGAAATTTACATGTAACTATCTTCATAGAGGCACACAACAGTAGCAAAGGTGACTGTTCAGAAAAGGAAAAAAAATATGTATCTTTACCAATATAAAACTAGAATGTCTCTGGAATTTATTCTAAACTAAGAGGTTGCAAATGTGTTCTCCAGAGTTACAGATTACTTTAGAGCTGATTAAGGAAACACTACAAATATTCATGATAATTAATTTTCAAGATCTCTAGTCAATATTTTTCATAACAGCTTGTCCCTGTGGAGAGTAACAAATATACTCACATCCTTCTCCTCTATCATCTTCTTATAACATCTCTTTACTCTGTTTGTGTTTTTTCTGTTGTAGGTCCTTGTTCTGAAGTTTATTTATTATATTTTTATTTACAAATCACTGCATGTTTTTGACAAAAAAGCAAAACTATTTAAAATATTTGAAGAGGTTTATTCTGAGTCAAATATGAGTGACCATGGCCTGAGACACAACTGCAAGATGTCCTAGGAACATTTACCCAAGGTGGTTGGGTTACATCTTGGTTTTATGCCTTTTAGGGAGACATAAGTTACAGGCAAAGGTATCAATTAATACATGTGAAGTATACATTGGGGTTTGGCCCAGAAAGGTGGGCCATCTCAAAGTGGGAGCTCACAGATGGATTTAAAGATTTCCTGATTGGCAATTGGTTGAAAAAATTAAGATCTGCCTTCAGAGTTAAAAATTCAGCAGATAAAAAAAAAAGTGCTTCAGTTAAGATAAGATGGGGCTTGTGGAAGGGAAAGTTCTTATTATGTAGACAAAGCTTCCAGGTAACAGGGTTCAGAAAGAATAGATGGTAAATATCTCTTATCAGGCTTTTAAATCCTCGATCCAGGAGACATTTAATGAAGTGTCAGACTCTTTCTTAAATGTCTCCTGGATCAAGAAAACACCGGGAAAAGGAAGATTAATATCTACAGATTGCAAATTTCCCCCACAAGAGGTGGCTTTGAAGGGTCATTCCATGATATGTCAAAGAAATATTATTTAGGGTAAAATACTTTAATTTTCCGCAGGGTCTGCTATCTGTCACGTAAGGCTATACCAGAGTTTGTTTGGAATTTGGTATCTTATTGCTATGTAGAGTCTGTTTTGTCAATCTTATGTTCTATATTTTAATATTAATGCTAGTCAATTGTGTCTAAACTCCAAAGGTAGGGAGTATAATGAGGCATTTCAACCTCCCTTCCCATCACAGTCTGAACTAGTTTTTCAGGTTTTCTTTGTAATCCCCTTGACCGAAGTGGTGTCCATTTCATTTGGTGGAGGGCTTAAAATTTAATTATTGGTTTACAACATTGAGTGCTGTCCCAAATATTTTATAAATGTTGAATGATATTTATAATTGTACATATATATGTAGTATATATGTATGCATATGCACGTGTATATTCCTCAATACTACCCCGAGAGGTAATTACTACTGTTAATCCCATTTTATAAATTGGGAAACTGAGACACAGAGATATAGAGAAACTTATCAAGGTTCACACAGCAATTAGCAGTGACAAGATTTGAGCCCACATGCTCTGGCTCCCAGAGTCCTTGTTCTTAAATATCACAAGATGCTGCTACTCTTTGGGGTTTCACTTTCGTGGTGGTGGCTTTTCTGAAATATTGGGAAAATCTCAACAGTGTGATCATTTTTTATTTTTTGTTTTTGAGATTCCTTCTTTGCTAGTATGTGCAAGCTATTCATTTAATTAAACATGCATTTGAAAGAATGGGAAATCCATCTGAGTAGGAAAGTACCAGTGGCCAGCATTCAGTGTATGGCTTTTTGCCATTCTTTCTGAGTGTCAACAGCTACTCAGGGCACTGCCCTTTTCATTGGGCTATATATCCTCAATTATTGCTTCCACTTGGTACAGTAAGGGGGTTAGATATCTCTGCAACTCCTTACTTGGAAGAAAAAGAGGTTGCAGTGGCTTAATTGACTAATGAAGAATTTCTTTTGACTATGTAAAACTTCACAATTCCTTTATAGAAAAAAATACATCATAAGTTGAATTAACAAATAGTAAATTAGAAAAATACATTTGTAATGCATATTCATAGTTAATATTGAATAGCCTTAATAAAAAAAATACACCTTACGAATCCATAGACAATGGCAGATGTCAAAGTAGAAAAATGGTAAATGGTCATAAAAAGAAAATGCAAAAAAAGGATATCCTTGAAAATATTTTGTATTTCCTACTGAGGAAGTATAATATAAAACACATCACTTTTGCAAAGGTAAAAAAGTTAGCAGTGTGCAGAGTTAATTAAGATATCTCATATAACATTGCTGGGCATATAAATTGATACAACTTTTCAGATTTTCCATTTGGCAATATGTACCTCAATCAGTTAGGATTAAGTTCAGCTACAGCAGAAACCTCAAAATAAAAGAATACTTAAAAATATTAAAGTTTTTCTCTCACATAAGCATTTTTAAACCAAGATTAAATATACACTTAAGAAAGAGAACTTATTAAAAGATTCATAATATACTTAAGAGGATGAAAGAATATCTGTCCCATGAAAAAGAAATATACTGTTATGAAAATGATTTCTGATTTTATTCAAAACATCAGAAGATCCATTAATAATGAGCCAGAATGTCTGCATGAGATTAATCTGTGGAATTAAGTAGCAGCCATCACCTTTAGAAGGGGGTTATATTCAATAAAGTTAAAATGATTAAATAATTTATGATACATCCATTTAATGAAAATGTGCAACCACTGAAAAAAATGAGGTAGAAATAACTGTATCAGTATCAATATTTTTTAAAAAGTAAAACTCGAAAGTTGTATGTATAGAGTACATACAGTGTAAATTCATTTATGTAAATATATGTTTGTGTATCTACTTGTAAATAAATCACATATATGTAAAAAATCGGAATATATATATTTAATTGGTTTTCTCTGAGATTTAGAGGATTATTTGCTGTCATTTAAATTTTGAGGTGATATTTTCATATTTATATGCATCTGTTATTTAATTTATTGTTTAATGGATACTATCAAATGCCTTAAACAGCTACTGTGTGCCAGGCAAAATAATTTATATAAATGTCATACTTTCACAAATAAACTAAAGATATTTCCGTTAAGATAAAATTAAATATAGTAACCAAAATAAATGAAGAGTCTAAGTCTGATCCTTCTGGGAAACCCTTTTAGTGAAATAAAATCTGAAGAAAAGATAAAAATTGGCAAATATTATCCAGTGAGGCCTATAATCATAAAGCATTAATAGTCATCCTCCAGTATCTACTTTGTAACTAAGAAATACTTTATTTGTTCTGTGAGTTTTGGTATAGTAGTTTATTCTGAGACAATAAAGAAACTGAACATTATTAATATCCATTTATGGGAAATTATATTTCATTTTAGTTAAAATGAATGCATCCTATTAAAATGGTTTCTACTTAATGACAATTTCTAAAATATGATTGCCAAGAATTTGAACAACTATCTTTATTGTTTCTATAAATCTTGACAAGGTAAAGTGCATGAATATGGGCATGTGACGGCTGCAACAGGCTGAATGATGACAAATTATACAGAAGCTGTGAGAAAATATAGATTATCAAGTGCTAACTATGGAATGCACAGATATTCATATATCAGAAATACTCTGATATGGTTTCTTTCAAATTGTCATTGATTTGAAAATTCTTTAGCAAATTTGAAACTAATTTAGGCTTAATGGCTCTTTTGCAATCTGAGAATGATACGTTCTACCATTATCATTATTATATAATAGCCTTTCTATTTATTGATCTATTTTACTTTTATTAATTTTTAAAACAGTAATTCAAGTATGAATCACTTACACTCATCTTGATAATGCACAAGTTTTGTTGCAGTATTGAAAATTGACATTATTGTATTATTTTAAAATGACTCATTGATAATATTTATGTAGTATTTCCTCACATACTTTGAAAGTGCTGCCTCAGAATCGACAAACATGAGCACTTGGTAGAATCATGACATGAATGTTTAACTCTCATTTAGGTTAGTCACACTTTGCTAGTAATACAAATGACTCAATTATGCAGCAATGGTCTGCGAAAGTGAGGATTACTATACTATCACCAAGTTACAATATTGCTTTGGACCAATACTGCAGAATGCAGTAATGGTTTTTCATAAGTAACACTGTGGTGAAGATGAGACAGCAACAGTCAGGATTAATTTTTTGCATTATATATAAACTACTGAGAGCATTCAAGACTTTAACACTTATACTTTAACATTTATTTTTAATTGAAAAATAAAAATTATATAAATTTATTATGTACATTATTTTTGAAATATGTATACATTGTGAAATAGCTAAATTGAGCTAAATAAAATATCAATTCCTTCACATACTTATAATATTTTAATAGTGGAAACACTTGAAAATTTCCTATCTTAGCACTTTTCTAGACTAAAATATTTTGTTATTAAGTATAGTCACCATGTTGCACAATAGATCTCCTGAACATATTTATACTTACATTTTAAAATGACACATTATTTCATTAATATTTTTTATTTAATTACTATGGAATTGTGAGTTTTGTTCAAGTGAAAATTCTGAAATTTGCTTTCTCAACTATATTCTTTTATAGCTACAAATTCCCTAAAAGGACACACATTGGAAATGAATGTATAGCCTGGTAGAATTGTCTCATTCCTATTTCTCATTAAAGTAATAATTATTGATGATTACCTTCTTTTGTCAAGTATATCCTTAGTATAGGATAATCAAAATCTACTTGGATCAGAACAACTTCATCTTAAATAAAATTTTGGAGCTTTACTTTTAGTATTTCCTGAAGTCAAAGAAAAGACATAAACACAGCCACATTAAATGTCTGAAGTAAAACCTGGAGTAGTAGAACAGAAGAAAAGTATGGTAGGTTAGGAACAAGGTAAGAAAATTGGTATACTTCATGGCCCGGCGTGGTGGCTCACACCTGTAATCCCAACACTTTGAGAGGGTAAGGCGGGCAGATCACCTGAGGTCAGGAGTTCGAGACCAGACGGCCAACATAGTGAAACCCTGTCTTTACTAAAAATACAAAACTTAGTCAGGGGTGGTGGTGGGCACCTGTAATCCCAGCTACTCAGGAGGCTGAGGCAGGAGAATCACTTGGACCAGGGAGACGGAGGTTGCAGTGAGCCGAGATCGTGCCACTGCATTCCAGCCTGGGCGACAAGGTGAGAAACCATAAAAAAAAAAAAAAAGATATATTTCCTAATGGGTCACAAAAACATCTAATTCCACCATTACAAGCCAGGAGAAAAGTTTTCAACTTCGATTGCCTTTGAAACACATGTCTGTTCCCTTCTATGATGACAGAGGGTTTGAGAACATGTTGTGTATCAGTATCTTGAAAGTTTTCAGTACTGGAATGGTAAGTTAAAGGAAAAACAACCCTGTACTGATCATACTAAATATTGGTGCAGAGCCATAATATTTTGCTAATGAGGAAGCAGATTAGATTTATTTTATTTAATTAATTAATTAATTTATTTATTTTTTGAGATGGAGTCTCACTCTGTCGTCAGGCTGGAATGCAGTGGCACGATCTCGGCTCACTGCAACTTCCGCCTCCCACGTTCAAGCTATTCTCCTGCCTCAGCCTCCTGAGTAGCTGGGACTACAGGCTCGTGCCACCATGCCTGGCTCATTTTTTTTTTGTATTTTTTTTAGTAGAGCGGGGATTTCAACATGTTGGCCAGGATGGTCTCGAACTGCAGACATCGTGATCCGCCCGCCTTGGCCTCCCAAAGTGCTGGGATTACAGGCATGAGCCACCGCGCCCGGCTTCAGATTAGATATTTTTAAAAGACAAAAGTTGTTTGACTTCGTGCAAAAATCTTCCAAATAGGATCAGAACAGGGTGATTGAAGAGAATTAACTTTTAGCGAGCTTGATAGGTACTGGCTAAATAATTTTAACTATTTTAAATTATTTAGTTTTCAAAATAATCTTATGAGGTGCTACACAAATTTTGTCTGAGGTTCAGACAAACTAAAATCCTTGTCCAGCAGGTCAAAGCTTGATCAAAATTAAGCCTGAATTCAAAATTAATTTTGTTAACTCCCAGTTAGCCTCATTTTTGTGAATGAGGCAACTAATCTTTGTGATGGAATCTGATTCAGTAGCAAGATAAACAGTGTGAAAACAAGAGTTCTGCAAGTTTCTAGGTCATGTACTACTTCTGGTGATAGCCATAAGATAATTAAAAAAACTAAATAGAGTGAGATAAACATCATCTTTTCTCTGGTTTGACTCTGTTACAGAAACACACATGGAAAGTCAAACTACGCAAGTGTTGTTCTCCCACCTCAGTGAACAGCCATAAACCTATTCCAATAGCAACCTTCAGTAGAAAAATATCGCCATGTTAGGTTGGAGATACCTAAAACAACAAACAGTCAATAGCAGCTTTTCCTTTGACCTGAGAGAATGAATCTATACCAGGCCTGAAATTAAGGTTTAATATTAAGTGCTACCACAACATCCAGCATGCATTGGAAGGTCTGTGAATAGCCTAACTGCAAATTTCCCTCTGCATCTTTTATTATTTTATTACATCTTTATATCCTATTTATATATTTTATTCCCACAGAAAAGGTCACCTAGCCTAACAATACTCCTTAACAAAAGGATCAGGAGGAGTTCTTACTTCCCTGAGTAATAGGTTTTAGTCCCCTGCCAGCTAGTGAAATTATTCAAACAAACTGATCTCTTCTGCCAGTGAGAACCAAGAGGCACCTCACTTTCTTGATACTACAAAGCACTCATTCTGCTCCAGAATGCAGTCCCTGTGTAGACATGACTGATGTGTGATATCTTCTTCCCCTGGGCTGTGAGTACATGTGGTGAATAAACTGCTGTCAATCACATCTGTCCAGTGTCATATGTCCTGCAGTTGGTTATCTCCGTAACCCTAGGGCAGAAATCCTTTCCTCAACAATGAGTTAAATAGGAGGCAATTAAAAAAAAAGAAAAAAAGAAAACAGTACAGACATTTCATTTACATGGTGAAGAAGCAGAAACTCTACATGAGATGTGCTAAGTAAATATGCATATTTACATATGTGTCTGTGTATTTTAAATATATTTCTTGTGTTACTACTATTTACCAGGCATTGTGCTACTACTAAAGAGATAGTGAAAAACAATAGTCACAGTCCTTGGCTTTCAGAGAGTTAATAATTGTCAATACTACAAAGTTTACTGATTCATTATTCTTCCATCATGTCACATAATTTAGTTTTTGTATTCCAACTAGATTTTGGGTTCTATAAGATGTTCCTGTAATCACTTCTGTAGAGTTTATGTTCAATATATCTAGTTGATTGATTCATATGTACTAAATATTTACCTAAATATGTCTAGTGACATCATAAAGGTGTATGGTGAAGTTTGCTACTATAAAGGAATTAAACTATAGGGTTGAATTGAATTTCATTTTTTCTCACTGTTAAGATATGTTCAATTAATTTTAATAATAAATGAGAATAAGAGTTATGTTTTGAATAACTACTTGTATTTTAACATATTTTAGGTAAACTTGTTTGAGTGGTAAGTCCCTTTATTTTTCCTGTCTGCTTTCAAGTATTTACATGGTAGAGATATTTAACATATTCCAAATAGTTTAGTACTATAGTAAAGACATGAGAAAATGATAAGCATTCCTATAGTCAGCCTGCCAGTAGTGCTTAATGCTACTGCATAATTATGGACAAATATCAAAGAGGTGAACAGCCCAATCCCTGACATAAAGAAGATTGAAAATACTCAAATTATCTCAGAATGTCCCACCAGAAGCTCTATGTCAACTTGAGTACTACCTATTTACTTAGAATTAGGTCATATTAGCATTTCAACTCAGCCTATTTCTTTCATTCATCACAAAACAACTCAAGTGGGACCTTCTACTTCTTAGCTCTTCAAAAATATATTTATATGGTAACTATTAGGCTTGATCTAAATTTTACTGGATCCACATTGCTTTTAAAACTCTAAATAAGGAGAATAAAAAATACATATCACCAAGAGAATCATAAAGCATCTGCTTCTCTTAAATAGTTTCCCATTTAGGATCCAGTCTAGAAATTCCCTGCCAAATCCCTAAACCATTTGCTCTCTGGCCAGGCTCCCTGAAATTCAGATTTAAGAAATTCATCGTCCCTTCCTTTTTTATTTAGTCTATATATTACCACACACTTTTGAAATTGAATCACATGATATTCCTTTTCTATAATTGCCAATTATAGCTGTTGGCTGGAAAGAATAAACTGCCAGTTTTATTTCAAGTTGCTCATCTTTAATTCAGGCTTTAACTCAGACTTGAATGACTATTGGCTTAGAGACCCCAAACCACAGCCAGACTTACATTTAGTAGAATTTTCAGAAACTTCAAGTGTTCCTTATCCCTCCCTGACTCAAGGCAATAATATATCTGTCTTAATTGAAAGTTTAAGACTAATTCATCTTCACTATGACATGTTTCTTACGTTTCAGTGCCTTTCCCATCAAAAAGAATTGTTAATAAGAATTTAAAAAAGAAACTATTCAGTTCCCATAAAAATATTTATGCCTTAAGACAAGGCACCACTCCTATTCAATATGGTACTGGAAGTCCTAGCCAGAGCAATCAGGCAAGATAAAGAAATAAAGGGCATTTAAATAGGAAGAGGAAGCCAAATTATCTCTGTTTGCAGACAACATGATTCTATATCTAGAAAACCCCATAGTCTAGGCCCAAAAGCTCCTTTAGCTGCTGAACAAATTCAGCAATGTTTCAGGATACAATATCAATGTACAAAAGTCACTAGCATTTCTATACTTCAACAACAGCCAAGCCAAGAGCCAAACTGGAAAGACAATCACATTCACAATTGCCAAAAAAAGTGTAAAATACCTGGAAATATAGCCAATCAGGGAGGTGAAAGATCTCTACAAAGAGAATTATAAAACACTGCTCCAAGAAATCAAAGAAGACACAAACAAATGGAAAAACATTACATGCTCATGCATAGGAAGAATCAATATCATTAAAATAGCTATACTGCCTGAAGCAATTTACAGATTCAATGGTTTTCATATCAAACTACCAACAACATTCTTTACAGAACTAGAAAAAACTATTTTAAAATTTATATGAAACCAAAAGATCCCAAATAGCAAAGGCAATACTAAGCAAAAAGAACAAAGCTGGAGATATCACATTACCCAACTTCAAACTACACTACAGGGCTACAGTAACCAAAACAGCATGGTACTGGTACAAAAACAGAAACATAGACCAATGGAACAGAATAGACAGCCCAGAAATAAGGCCACACACCTATATCCATCTGATGTTTGACAAAGCTGACAAAAACAAGCAATGGAGAAAAGACTCCCTATTCGATAAATGGTGCTGGGAGAACTGGCTAGCCATATGCAAAAGATTGAAGCTGGACCCTTTCCTTACACCATATACAAAAATTAGCTCAAGATGGATTAAAGACTTGAATGTAAAACACAAAACTATAAAAACCCTGGAAGACAACCTAGGTTATACCATCCTGGACATAGAAACAGGCAAAGGTTTCATGACAAAAAACACCAAAAGCAATCACAACAAATGCAAAATTTCATAAGTGGGATCTAATTAAACTTAAGAGTTTCTGCACAGCAAAAGGAACTATCAAGAGAGTGAACAGATAACCTACAGAAAGGGAGAAAATATGCATCTGACACAGGTCTAATATCCAGCATCTATAAGGAACTTAAACGAATTTAAAAGAGAAGAACAAACCACCCCATTAAAAAGTAGGCAAATGACATGAACAGATAACTTGTCAAAAGAATATATACATGTGGCCATGAGTATATGAAAAAAAAGCTCCAGATTACTCATAATTAGAGAAATGCAAATCAAAACCATAATGAGATACCACCTCACACCAGTCAGAATGGCTATTATTAAAAAGTGAAAAAAAAAATAACAGAGGCTAGCGAGGTTGCAGAGAAAGGGGACACTAATACACTGTTGGTGGGAGCATAAATTAGTTTAACCATTGCAAAAACCTGTATGGTGATTCTTTAAAGCACTAAAAGTAGATCTACCATTTGATATAATTCCATTACTGGGTATATACCCAGAGGAATATAAATCATTCTACCAGAAAGACACATGCATGCAAATGTTCATTGCAGCACTATTCACAATAGAAAAGACATGGTATCAACCTAAATGTGTATCAATGACATAATTGGATAAAGGAAATATGGCATATACACACCATGGAATACTATGCAGCCATAACAAAGAATGAGAGCATGTACTTTGCAAGAACATGGATGGAGTTGGAGGCCATTATGCTTAGCACACTAATGCAGGAACAGAAAACAAAAATCAGCATGTTCTCATTTATAAGTGGGAGCTCAATTATGAGAATTTATGAACACGAAGAAGGAAACAAGAGACACTGGGGTGTACTTGAGGGTAGAGGGTGGGAGGAGGAAGAGAAGCAGAAAAAATAACTTCACAAGGATGTGAAGCAAGAATAACTCATTCACAGAGGATTTTTAGAACAGTGAAATTATTCTATATGATACTGTAATGGTGAATTTGTGTCAATGTACATAGAATGTACAACTCAAAATCCATAGAATGTAGGGCACCAGGAATAAACCCTGGTGAAAACTACAGCTTTGGGTGATAATGATGTGTCAACATAGGTTCAACAATTGTGACAAATGTATCATTGCAGTACAGAATACTGATGGTAGAGGAGGATGAGATGGAGAACGGGTGGGCAGGGGATATGTGGGAACTCGCTATACTTTCTGCTCAATTGTGTTGTGGACCTAAAACTACTCCAAAAACAAAGTTTATTTTAAAAAAAAATTATGCCTAAATATTCAACTACCTACCATTTAATTAAAAACAAACAAACAAAAAAACCATGGACTTACTTTTATGACCCAAATTGTTTTAAGAAAATATACCTGTGTAATTCAAGTGAGTTACTTATTGGCTAATAAAAATGCCAATGTATCTATTGTAGAAATCTCATTTTCACCATTCTGGCTATTTAATTTCAAATATCCTATGTTTGCATTGTGTAGATAGTTGAACTGACAAAACAGACACTGTGCAATTACCAGAAAAATATTTTGTAATAAATATTTAGAACATACACACAATTCTAAATGTTTTTATAGAAGCATTCCAACTAGAATGCACTAATATTTCACTTTAGGATGACTATAATCCCATTATTTCATCAGAATATATGTATCTTATACATACTATTTTCCACTTTACCTTCATAAGGCAATTGAATTTCTAAAAATATTCCTGTAAAACACATTAATCTCTCTCTTAACAGGTCTCTGTTGTCAAAAATTAATTCTGTATCTGATGAATAATGCATTTAATATGTAGATGCACAGTACATTAAATGAACAATATCTATTACTAAGCAGTAGTTCATGGTTAAATATAGACTTAGCATAATAAAGCCAATGTTTAAAAGAATCAACGCATATTATAATCATATAAGTAATAAAAAATTAGAACAATACTCAGTCTACTATCTATATCATGTTCTATTATCATTTAAGGGGGAAACTCACCTTCATTATAAGCAAGTTTTGATGTTTTATTAGAGAAAAAAGGTCTGTCATATTTTCTTTAAAATGAGAGGTAAAAAGTAGTATTATGTTGTAGATTTTTATATTAGACATGAGGTAGCATAATGTTATTTGGTAGTAAATTGGAATAAGCTAAAGATAAATATGTAAAATCCTAGAGCAATCTTTAAAAACAATAATAAATAGGCACAGCTAGTATGCCAATATTATGGATAAAATGATGAATCAGTTTTTTTTCAAGAGCACTCTCAGGTTTGGGATGCACTAGAGGTACTCTCAGGACTCAGAAGTTTTTAAATTCTGGATAAGACTTATTAGTGAAGGAAAGTAAGGTCTAATAAAGGAAAATAAGACCACCAGGCAGTGTCTGGAGAATGCCAGGCATGAGTTTCCAAAAGTCAATGAAGTCATAAAGGACATATTTAATCTCCCAGAAAGGCATCACAATCACATGTTTGAAGTGTTTTCTTCCAGAAAAGTTCTTTTGAGTCTAAAAGTGCAGAGTTTTTACTGGGGGTTGGTCAAGTAGTAGTATCTTCGTGACTGACCTCAGTTATAGTCATTCCAAACCTCACAGAAACAAAGCACATGTTCATCAAAAGTCGCATTGTTTGCACAAACTTTATAGAGAAACTGGAACAGCATGGTTTAAAATTTTAAGACTACCAAACACCCTTATCAATTAGTAGCATAGGGGATATTCCAAGACCTCAGTTTCTAGCCGCTGACCAATAGCTAATTATGCAAATAGGCCCATCTGCTAAATGTGCAGGATTTAAGCAACTCAGACCTGCTGGGTTAACACTTACCAGGACAAATGAATTTGTAAAATAAAATCCTCAATTGATCTAAAAGAAAGCAAAAAGAAAAAAAAAGTGGAAAAACTGAATAAAAGATAAGAATAGAAAACAAAAAGAAAGGTAACAAACATAGATACATTGATGATTATATTAAATGTGATTAAAAGTCAGTGTTTTCACACTGAAAAGAAAGAAAAAGAAAAGAAAAGAAAGAAAAGCAAAAGAAAAGAAAGAAAGGAAAGATTAAACCTACTGCCTATAAGGAACATATCTAAATATGAAGGCATAAATAGTTTCAAATTAAAATGATAGAAGAAATATGGCATTCCAACACTAATCATAAGAGAGCTGGAATTGCAACTTAATATTAAAGTAAGTATAGATTTGGAACAGGGCATATTATCAGGAATAAAAAGTATATTGTATAATGATAGAAAGTCTAATAAGTTAGGTATGAAATCTTAAATGTCTATGCACATAAGAGCTTCAAGATAAATTAAGCAAAAGGGACTGAATGATAAACATACACAATCATACTTGGAGTTTTCAACACTGCCACATCAATAATTGACAATACAAATAGACAGAGTGTCATTAAAGATATAGATTTCCCCACTATCAACTATATTAACCTAGTTGATATTTATAAAATGTAAAACCAAACAACACCTGAATAAACCTTTTTTAAGTGCAAAATGTACAGTCATCAGGAGAGAACCTGTGATATGACATAAACCAAATTTCACTGAATTTAAAAGGTTTAACATCATAGAGTATAATCTCTGTCCATAGTGAAATTAAAATGGAAATTAATAATGTAAGATATTTGGATAATACCAAAGTATTTGAAAATTAAATGACACTTCTAAATAACCCATGGGTCAAAAAAAGAAGCCATAAGAGAAATATTTTGAATAAACAGTGAATGGAAATGAAACACTATAAATTAATGTGTCACATGCAATTAATATAGGGCTTGAAAAAAATATTTATAGCTTAAAATGCTTCATATAGGCTGACGTGGTATGGCTGTGTCCCCACCAAAATCTTATATTGAATTCCCACATATTGTGGGAGGGACCCAGTGAGAAGCAACTGAATCATGGGGGTAGGTCTTTCTAGTACTGTTCTCATGATAGTGAATAAGTCTCATGAGATCTAAAAAAAGGGAGTTTCTCTGCACAAGCTCTCTTCTCTTATCTGCTGCCATGTGAGATGTGCCTTTCACTTTTTGTCATGATGGTGAGGCCTCCTCAGTCACTTGGAACTGTAAGTCGATTAAACCTGTTTCTTTTGTAAATTGCCCAGTCTTGGGTCTGTCTTTATCAGCAGCATAAAAACAGACTAATACAGTAAATTGGTACCAGTAGAGTGGGGCATTGCTGAAAAGATACCCAAAAATGTGAAAATGACTTTGGAACTGAGAAAATGGCAGAGGTTGGAATAATTTGGAAGGCTCAGAAGAAGATAGGAAAATGTGGGAAAGTTTGAAACTCCCTAGGGACTTGTTTAATGGCTTTCACCAAAATGCTGATAATGATATGGACAATGAAATCCAGGCTGAGGTGGTCTCAGATGGAGAAGAGGAACTTGTTGGGAACTGGAGCAAAAGTGACTATTGTTATGTTTTAGCAAAGAGACTGCCCTAGAGATTTGTGAATCTTAGAACTAGACAGAGATGAATTAGGTTATCTGGCAGAAGAAATCTCTAAGCAGCAAAGCATTCAAGAGGTGCTGTTAAAGACATTCAGTTTTATAACAGACTTGGGTGCTGTTAAAGGCATTCAGGTTTATAAGGGAAACAGAGCATAAAAGTTTGGAAAATTTGCAGCCTGACAATGCAACAGAAAAGAAAATCCCATTTTCTGAGGAGAAATTCAAGCCAGTTGCAGAAATTTGCATAAGTAACAAGGAGCCGAATGTTAATCCCCAAGACAATAAGAAAAATGTCTCCAGGGCATGTCACATGTCTTCACAGCAGCCTCTCCCATTACTGGCCTGGAGGACTAGGAGGAAAATGTGGTTTTGTGGGCCAGGCCTTGGGTCCCCATGATGTATGTAGCCTAGAGAGTTGGTACCCTGTGTCTCAGCTGCTCCAGCTGTGGCTAAAAGGGGCCAGTATAGAGCTTGGGCCGTGGCTTCAGATGGTGTAAGCCCCAATCCTTGGCACCTTCCACGTGATATTGAGCCTGTGAGTGCACAGAAGTCAAGAAATGGTGTTTGAGAACCTCCACCTAGATTTCAGAGGATGTATATACATGCCTGAATGTTCAGGCAGAAGTTTACTGTGGGGCGGAGCCCTCAGAGAGAATCTCTGCTAGGGAAGTGTGGAAGGGAAATGTGGGGTTGGAGCCCTCACACAGAGTCCCCACTGAGGCACTGCCTAGTGGAGCTGTGAGAAGAGGGCCACCAACCTCCATACCCCAGAATGGTAGATCAAGGAGCAGCTTGCACCATGCACCTGGGAAAGCAACAGACACTCAATGGCAGCCTGAAAGGCAGCCAGGAGGGGTCTATACCCTGCAAAGCCACAGGGGTGGGGATGCCCAAAGCTGTGGGAGCCCACATTTTGCATCAGCATGACCTGGATGTGAGATATAAAGTCAAAGGAGATCATTTTGGAGCTTTAAGATTTGACTACCCTGCTGGATTTTGGACTTGCATAGGGCCTGTAGCCCCTCTGTTTTGGCCAATTTTTTTCCATTTGTAATGTCTGTATTTACCCAATGCCTGTAACCCCACTGTATCTAGGAAGTATCTAACTTGCTTGTGATTTTACGGTCTCATTGGCAGAAGGGACTTGTGTTGTTTCAGATGAGGCTTTGGGCTGTGGACTTTTGAGTTAATGCTGAAATGAATTAAGACTTTAGGGGCTGTAGGGAAGGCATTATTTGTTTTGAAATGTGAGGACATGAGATTTGGGAGGTGACAGGGTGAAATGATATGGTTTGGCTGTGTCACCATTTAAATCTCAACTTGAATTCCCATGTGTTGTGAGAGAGACCCAGTGGGAAGTAATTGAATCATGGGGGCAGAGGGGCAGGTCTTTCTCATGTTGTTCTCACAATAGTGAATAAGTCTCATGAGTTCTGATGGTTTTCAAAAGGGGAGTTTCTCTGAACAGCTCTCTTCTCTTTTCTGACATCACGTGAGATGTGCCTTTCACATTCTGCCATGATTGTGAGGCCTCCCCAGCCATGTGGAACTCTAAGTTGACTAAACTTTCTTTCGTAAATTGCCCAGTCTTGGGTATGTCTTTATCAACAGTGTGAAAATGGACTAATACATAGGCTGATATGGTTTGTCTGTGTCTCAGCCCAAAATCTGATCTTGAATTATAATCCCCACATGTTGGGGGAGGGATCTTGTGGGTGGTGATTAGATTATGGGGCAGTTCCCCCATGCTGTTCTCATGATAGTGAGTGAGTTCTCAAGAGATCTGATGGTTTTATAAGGGGATTCCCCACTACCCCCTTTGCTCTGCATTTCTCCTTCCTGCCGCCATGTAAAGAAGAACATGTTTGCTTTTCCTTCCACCACGATTATAAACTTCTTGAGGCCTCCCAAGCCCTGTAGAACTGTGAATTAATTAAACCTCTTTCCTTTATAAATTACCCATTCATGGGCAGTTCTTTATAGCAACATGAGAACAAACCTAATACAGTAAATTGGCACTGTAGAGTGGGGGGTACTGCTATAAAGATACACAAAAATGTGGAAGTGACTTTGGAACTGGGTAACAGGCAGAGGTTGGGACAGTTTGGAGGACTCAGGAGGAGACAAGAAAATGTGGAAAAGTTTGGAACTTCCTAGAGACTTGTCTAATGGTTTTTTACCAAAATGCTGATAGTGATATGAACAATGAAGTCCAGGCTGAGCTAGTTTCAGATGAGGATGAGGAACTTATTGGGAAGTGGAATAAAGGTAATCCTTGCTTTGCCATAGCAAAGAGACTGGCAGCATTTTGTCCTGCCCTAGAGATCTGTGTAACTTTGAACTTGAGAGAGATGATTTAGGGTATCTGGCAGAAAAAAATTATAAGTAACAAATCATTCAAGAAAAAGAGCATAAACGTTTGGAAAGTTCTCAGCCTAATGATGTGACAGAAAAGAAAAAAACAATTTTCTGGGGAAAAAATCAAGCCAGCTGCAGAAATTCATATTAGTAACAAGGAGCCAAATGTTAATCACCAAGACAATGAGGAAAATGTCTCCAGGACATGTCAGAGACATTCATAGCAGCCCCATCCCATCACAGACCCAGAGGCCTACAGGGGAAAAATTATTTCATGGGCCAGGCCTGGGACCCCCATGCTGTGTGCAGCCTAGGGAGTTGATGCCCTGTATCCCAGCATGCTAAATGTAGAACTCAGGCCTTTACTTCAGAGTGTGCAAGCCCCAAGCCTTGGCAGCTTCCATGTGGTGTTGAGTCTGCAGGTGCTCAGAAGTCAAGAATTGAGGTTTGAGACCCTCCACATAGATTTCAGAGGAAGTATGAAAATGTCTGGATGTCAAGGCAAAAGTTTGCTGCAGGCATGGAGTCCTCATGGAGAACCTCTGCTAGGGCAGTGTAGAAGGGAAATGTGAGGTTGGAGGCCCCACACAGAGTCTCCACTGGGGCACTGCCTAATAGAGTTGTGAGAAGTGGGCCACCATCTGCCAGACCCCAGAATTATAGATCCACCTACAGCTTGCACCATGCACTTGGAGAGCTACAGACACTCAATGCCAGCCAATGAGAGCAACCTGGAGGGAAGCTGTACCCTGCAAAGCCACAGGGTTGGAGCTGCTCAAGATTGTGGAAGCCCACCTCTTGCGTCAGTCTGACCTGGATGTGAGACATGGAGTCAAAGGAGATTATTTAGGAGCTTTAAGATTTAATTACTTCCTCACTGGATTTTAGACTTGCATGGGGCCTGTAGTCTCTTTGTTTTGGCCAATTTCTGCCATTTGGAATGGGTGTATTTGCTCAATGCCTGTACCCCCATTGTATCCTGGAATTAACTAATTTGATTTTGATTTTTACAGGCTTTTAGGCAAAAGGGATTTGCCTTGTCTCAGATGAGACTTTGGATTTGGACTTTTGGGTTAATGCTGGAATGAGTTAAGACTTTGGGAGACTATTGGAAAAGCATGATTGTGTTTTGAAATGTGAGGACATAAGATCTGGCAGAGGACAGGGGTGGAATAATATTGCTTGGCTATGTCTCCAACCAAGATCTCATCTTGAATTGTAATGTGAATTAAAATTCCATTATCTTGGGTGACGGATCTTGTGAAAGGTAATTCGGTTATGGGGTTGTTTCCCCCATGCTGTTCTCATGATAGTGAGTGAGTTCTCATGAGATCTGATGGTTTTATAAGAGGTTTTTCCCCCTTTGTTCTGAACTGCTCCTTCCTGCCATCATGTGAAGAAGGACATGTTTTCTTCCCCTTCCACCATGATTGTAAGTTTCCTGAGGCCTCCTCAGCCCTGTGGAACTGTGAATCAATTAAACCTCTTTCCTTTATTAATTATGTGCTCTTGAGCAGTTCTTTATAGCAGCATAAGAATGAAGTAAGACATAAGCATTCTCAATACAAATAAGATAAGTATATAAAATAAAGCATAAGTTAATTAGCTGAATTCAAACATTCCACAATGTATACATGTTTCAGAACATTATGTTGTACATGATAAACACATACAATAAAAGAAAAAACAGGAAAAAAAAAACCCTTAAAATCAATGAGCTAACCCTGCCCTATCTCTAGGAATCTAGAAAGAAAGAACATTTTGAATCCAAAACATAAAGTAAGTATAGGAAAAAAAAAAAAAAACAGTAAGAGTGAAAATCAACAAATAGGGAAAGAGAGTAAGAGAATGTAACAAAAAGAGGGTTTAATGAACGATTAACAAAATTGACAAAATTCAAGCCAATGTTATCATTAATAAAGGAGAGAAGAAAAGGTTACCAATATTATGATTAAAAGTATAATAAGAAAATATTCTAAAAACTGCATACCAATACTCATGGTAATGTACAATTAAAATAGGTGTATGTTATGGTATGTTAAATGTTCTTTATGTTAGTTTAAAAACTAAAAAAGAAAACTTTAAAAAATGTAATTATTTTAAGTAACAACTAGGAAAGAAACATTATTTATGATCTGGGATAGCAGCATATGTAGGTAAATCGATTGGCCAGAGATAGCTTTTTTACTGATTCAAGAGAGAATCAAGGGGAAAATGTATGAAGAGGAAAAAAAGAGAGATGGATGTCCTACCTTTAGAATCAGGAGAGGAAATTTTATAATCAAATGTGATAAACCACTGGCATTTGCCATTAGCTTCCAAAGGTATAATAAATCCATACTGCAGCAGCCTAATAATTAAGGTAGGTGTTTGGGAAGTATGAAACATTAGGTGTCTAAATGTGAGAATAGGATTAAATTTGGGAAAGAGTACTGAGAAGAGAAAATAAATAAATGCTAAAGGTAATCATAATATCAGGGCTTGCTCTTATCTGTAAATTTTCAAATTTAAGGTAAAATCTTTGCTATTCACCTCTTCATTATATATCTTTTGCCTAGAATCTCTCCTAAATTAATTCGTTTCTCATTTCTGGAAGCTAATGTTTGCCACATCTTGGCACTCTACTGGTATTCAACAGCTAATTAGAAAGAGAATTCAGCTACAGTAACTTCTACTGTGTTCATCTATATCATTGTCTGCCTTGCTTGGGACAAAGCAGAAGCAGAAAGAGGAGAGGTTGCTGAGGTTTAATTGAATCAGCATCACCAAAGCTATTCATTTTTTTAATATGTTTTGTCCCCATCTCATGCCAAGGGAGTTCCCACATTTGAAATTATAGAAGCATAGTGTTTGCATACAAGATATTTGGAGCCATAAATGGGTGAACTGGAATGAGTGGGAGGCTGAAGGGTTATTGCATATCATTAGTTACTGCCACAGTGTACCACATGATGTTGACCTGCTCTCCTTCTAGAAGGAAGCAATCAGAGCATTCATTTCTTCAGGTAATAATAAATTATTTATCTTAAAATAAAAATGAAAACAAAAAAGTGCAGGAAAAAATTACACGAGTGTTTATATTTGAGGGCGAAATGAAGTGGTTAGAATACATTATAATTACGAAGGAGAAATGTGCAAGTAAATTAGATCTCCTAGACTCTAGGACATGAAGTTGAGATCATATGAGTATTTCTAGGGGGAGGAAAGAATCATATCTACTGTTCAGGGAACTTAAAAAGGGCTGCTTTTGTTTAAATTTGGTACTCCAAATCATCTGAAGCTGGTGTCTAGGCAGACCAGGTTCTCTAGATAACTCAGCAAGTACTCTCTCTTTTCCTGCTGTGAAGAACTTTTGAAAGGCATTTAATATGGGTCTGTATATCCTGAGTCAGAATAACAAGTTGATGTGAGAGAGATTCTGCTAGCCCTTGCTTCCTGGGGCCCTTAATCAATTCAGTTCCTATCTAGAGTTCAAGCAGTTTCAATCACTTCCCAAAAGTCCTGACCACAGGACTTAGCTTCCATCTTGGCCTGCCCAGAAGATCCGTGCAAGCCCTAAGGCCCACCAGGTTGAGTGCTGACCCAGGGTGAAGTACAACTTCCTGTTCTCCAGGGCTCTCCCTGTGGAGCAGGTTACAGAGTCTTATTTGAAAACCTGGGTTTATGAACCAGGCTTTAACCATGTTTAGATAAATAAATTTTAAACATTTAGGCTTATGATATGTGGGTATTTTTACTCTTTACTTGGCTTCACTCTGAAAATGTTACTTTCTAATCTTGGGAGGGTGGAGGAGGAGCTTATGATATTTTCTTTTGTTTACACCTTCTGGAAATCCTTTTTTCAAACTGTACTATGAAATAAGAAATACATATAACTAGAATTTAAACTAGCACGCATAGTTGAGCTGACATATCCCTTTCCAGCTGAAGAGGATAATGTCTGTTAGAGGCATAATTGTGACTTTAATGAGTACAAAATAATTAAAGTACTGTTATAAGGGGAAATGACTAAAGCATTGAATCTAGAGTGAAAAGCCAATTATAGTTTTAACACTACCTATGCATAATTTTGCTGGAACATAATCTAAATCTAATGTAATTTTATTAGGTTAGGATTATTTGAAGTATACATTTCTACACATGTGACCAGAAATATCCTTTGTGATATTCTGTATTATCTGTTTTCACACGTTTTGTTTTCACAGGTTTAGACTTGAAAAATAAGCAATGGGGTTTAATACTTTTTAAGTATTTCCTTTCAGAAAAAAACATATATTTCCAATATATGTATATTTATTTTAAAATACTACTACACTCACATATAACTGATAGTATATATACACATATGTATATATGTATACACAAAAAAAGACAGAAAATATAATGAAAAACATTTTGATGTCATTTTATGTATGACTAAGATTATGAAATTGCTTCTCTTATTTATGAAATGAATGTTAACTAAAGTTAGGTCCTGAAGACACAAGTAAGTTACATGAGGAAGTGGCTATAATGCCCATGGTCTCCACTCCCGGCACCCTGCCTTCTTTCCCCCAGCCTCCACTTATGGCCTCATGGGGAGTTCTCTATGATTAGTTGACAGAGGAAGAGAAGAATAGGGCCTGGTTTACAGATGGTTCTGCACAATATGGAGGCACCAACCAAAAGTGGACAGCAACAGCATTACAACACAATTTTTGGACATCCCTGAAGGACAGCAGTGAAAGGATATCTTTCCAGTGGACAGAATTTCAATCAGTGAACTCAATTCTGCACTTTGCATGGAAGGAGAAATGACCAGATATGTGATTATATACTGATTCATGGGCTATAGCCAATGGTTTAGCTGGATGTTCAAAGACTTGGAACAAGCATGATTGGAAAATTGGTGACAAAGAAATGTGGAGAGGAGGTATATGGATGGACCTCTCTGAGTGGTCAAAAACTGTGAAGATATTTGTATCTTATGTGAATTTCCATCAATGGGTGACCTCAGCAAAGGAGAAGATTAATAATCAAGTGGATAGGATGAATCGTTCTGTGGACACCACTCAGCCTCTTCTCACAGCCAGCTCTGTCATTGCCCAATGGGTCCATGAACAAAGTGGCCATTGTGGCAGGGATGGAGATTATGCATGGGGTCAGCAATCTGTACTTCCACTCACCAAGGCTGATCTGGCTATGACCAATTTGCCAGGAGCAGAGACCAGCACTGAGCCCTCGATATGGCACCATTCCTCAAGGTAATCAGCCAACTAACTGGTGGCAGACTAATTATATTGGCCCTTTTCCATCATGGAAAGGGCAGAGGTTTGTCCTCACTGGAATAGACACCAACTCTGGATATGGGTTTGTCTATCCTGCACACAATGCTTCTGCCAAGACTACCATCCTTTGACTCACAGAAAGCCTTATCCACTGTCATGGTATTCCACACAGCATTGCCTTTGACCAAGGCACTCACTTTACGGCTGAAGAAGTGTGGCTGTGGACTCATGTTCATAGAATTCACTGATCTTACCATGTTCCCCATCATCCTGAAGCAGCTGGACTGATAGAATGGTGGAATGGCCTTTTCAAGTCACAATTACAGTGCCATCTAGGTGACAATACTTTTCAGGGCTGGGGCAAAGTTCTCCAGAAGGCCAGGAATGCTCTAAATCAGCATCCAATATATGGTACTTTTTCTCCCATAGCCAGGATTCACAGGTCCCAAAATCAAGGGGTGGAAGTGGAAGTGACACCACTCACCATCACCCCTAGTGATCCACTAGCAAAATGTTTCCTTCTTGTTCCTATGAGGTTACATTCTGCTGGCCTAGAGGTCTTAATACCAGAAGAGACACATGTTTCAATTAAACTGGAAGTTAAGATTGCCTCCTAGACACTTTGGGCTCCTCCTACCTTTAAGTCAACAAGCTAAGAAAGGAGTTACAGTGTTTGCTGGGGTCATTGACCCGGACTATCAAGATGAAATCAGTCTACTACTCCACAGTGGGGGTAAGGAAGAGTATGCACAGAATACAGGCAATCCCTTGGGGCATCTCTTAGTATTACCATGCCCTGTGATTAAAGTCAATGGGAAACTATAACAGCTCAATCGAGGCAGGACTAACAATGGCTCAGACCGTTCAGAAATGAAGGTTTGGGTCACTCCACCAGGAAAAACAACCATAATATGCTTGAAGTCTGTATATAAATACTTGCATAGATTCATAATTAAATTAACTAAATTTCCTCATTTGAAAATGTTGTAATTCTAAGATAAGCTATGTTTTGCATATATATTTTAACATAGTTCACCTATCTCATTTTTTTAAATGAGAATACATAAAATTACATAAAGAAAAGAAACCACATGAAAAAGCAAATGCTTTCTAGGCCAAGGAATAAGTCTAACTTTATCCAATAGTGAAAATGAAAAGTTAATTAGGTGATTTAAAGCACTGGAAATTTGACAGTAGCTATTTGAATAAAACACCCACATCACAATCAAAGGTGAAATCAAATAGGAACATGAAGCTATGTTCTAGAAAAACATTTTCTCCAAATTATTTTAAGAAATTGCATGCTTCTTCAAAATATGATTTTTGTTTTATAATTCCCTTGCATAATTTGATAATTGGGAAATGTAAAACATTACATTAACATTAATATAGATAAAAGTGAATTTTTATCACCACATTGGTTTTAACTTGTCTTTGTTTCTTTGTAATTTGTGTCAAAAGAAAATAAATCTTGGGACCCAAAAATGACTAAGCTAAAGGGAAAAGTCAAGCTGGGAACTTCTTCAGGCAAACCTGCCTCCCATTCTAATCAAAGTCATCCCTCCGAGGCTCACCTGAGACAAATACATGTTTGATTACTCCCTATCCCCTATTGTTTATGTATAAATGCAGATTCAGTGAGCCAGACTAAATTGTGTATTCAGTGGAAGGCTGATCAAAGACTCAAAAGAATCCAACCTTTTTTCTCTTATCTACTTCTAACTTCAAAGCCCCACTTCATGTTGTCCCACCTTACTGAACCAAACCAGTGTACATCTTACACATATTGATTGATGTTTCATGTCTCCCTAAAATGTATAAAAGCAAACTATACCCCTGACCACCTTGGGCATATGTCTCAGGGCTTCCTGAGGCTGTATCACAGGTGTATTTTTGACCTTGGCAAAATAAACTTTCTAAATTGACTGAGACCTGTGTCAGATATTTTGCATTCACAATCAGTAACCACAGAGGGATTCTGAGGGGAGGTGCCCCTGACTTTGACGAATCTCCTATAGGTGCTTGGTACCAGCTTGAGCTTTTTTATGGCTCAAACCAATAGGGCAATTTGCTGAGGCCTGTAAGCTCCCCCTCCAGAAAATCCCTGATCTCCCCAAATTTGGTTAAGATCTAAAGCTTATTTTGCTGTACAACTCCTCCTTTTGGAGTTTCACTTGCTTCTTACAGGGAAGGCAAGTTTTCCTGCTTCCATGATGTTGGAAGGAAGGTAAGTCCTTTCTGGAGTTTGAGCAAACTTCCAAAAGGGAAGGCAAGTCTGAGTTTTTTCCTGCTTCTAGGATGGTAGATAGCAGTCTTCAGCCTAAGACCCATTCCTAGGTAAGTAGCTGAATTGTTTTTTTTTTATTTTTATTTTTTGTTTGTTTTTTTGTGGGCTAAAGTTAAGATTAAAAATCAGCTGGTGTTAATTTATCTTTACCATTAGAGTGCTCAGTATTCATATAAATTGTAATATTCATTTGTTTTGCTTAATTGTTTTTTTTTGTTGTTGTTGTTGCCTTTGTAATTGTTTCTGTTTTTGTTATTGTTTCAGTCTTTTTCCTACTGGGTTTGATCAACTCTATCTGACATGATGAAATCTGAAGGAAAGTTCCAATTTATGGGAACAAGGCCTCTGAAGTGTCTAAATTCCCACAAAATAAAAAGGGGAGAGATTTTTTTCTTTTGACTAAAAAAGGGACTTTATTTGTCTAACAGGGCCACATTTTGCTAGCCAAGCCGAATGGTAAGAGCAATGGCTGTTGCCCCACACTGCAGATCCATTGTTAAGGTTCTGTCTTTTTTTTTCTTTTTTTTTTTTTTTCCACTATGATAGCCTTGGTTTGGCTCCTAAATCAAATCCTTTCCAATTTGATACTGGTTACTTTTAAAATATGAGCAATTTGTACTAGCTGGCATGAGATGGAATTTCATTGTGGTTTTGATTTGCATTTCTCTAATGATCAGTGATGTTGAGCTTTTATTTTTCATATGTTTCTTGGCCACATAAATGTCTTATTTTGAGATGTGTCTGTTTATATCCTTTGCCCACTTTTTCATGGGGTTGCATGTTTCTTTCTTGTAAATTTGTTTAAGTTCCTTGTAGATTTTGGATATTAGACCTTTGTCAGACGGGTAGATTGGAAAAATTTTCTCCCATTCTGTAGGTTGCCTGTACTCTGATGATAGTTTCTTTTGCTGTGCAGAAGTTCTTTAGTTTAATTAGATCCCATTTGTCAATTTTGGCTTTTGCTTCAATTGCTTTTGGTATTTTTGTCATGAAGTCTTTTCCCATACCTATGTGCTGAATGGTATTGTCTGGGTTTTCCTCTAGGGTTTTTATGGGTTTGGGTTTTACATTTAAGTCTTCAATAGATCTTGAGTTAATTTTTATATAAGGTATAAAGAAGGGTTCCAGTTTCAGTTTTCTGCATATGGCTAGCCTGTTTTACCACTACCATTTATTAAATAGGAGATCCTTTTCCCATTGCTTGTTTTTGTCAGATTTGTTGAAGATTAAATGGTTTAGGTGTGTGGTGTTGTTTCTGAGGTCCCTGTTCTGTTCCATTGGTCTATATGTCTGTTCTGGTACCAGTACCATGCTGTTTTGGTTACTGAAGCCTTGTGGTATAGTTTGAAGTCAGGTAGCATGATGCATCCAGCTTTGTTCTTCTTGTTTAAGATTATCTATCTTGGCTATATGGGCTCTTCTTTGGTTCCACATGAAATTTAAAGTAGTTATGTCTAGTTCTGTGAACAATGTCAATGGTATTTTTATGGGAATAGCATTGAATCTATAAATTACTTTAGGCAGTTGGCCATTTTCATTGTATTGATTCTTCCTATTCATGAGGATGGAATGTTTTTCCATTTGTGTCTTGTTTTATTTCCTTGAGCAGTGGTTTGTAGTTCTCCTAGAATAGGTCCTTCACATCCCTTGTTAACTGTATTCCTAGGTATTTTATTCTTGCAGCAATTGTGAATGGGAGTTCATTTATGATTTGGCTCTCTGCTTGTCTATTGTTGGTAGAAAGGAATACTTGTGATTTTTGCACATTGATTTTGTATCTTGAGACTTTGCTGAAGTTGCTTATCAGCTTAAAGAGTTTTTGGGCTGAGATGATGGAGTTTACTAAATGTAGAAGCATGTCGTCTGCAAACAGAGACAATTTGACTTCCTCTCTTCCTATTTGAATACGCTTTATTTCTTTCTCTTGCCTGATTGCCCTGGCCAGGACCTCCAATACTATGTTGAATAAGAGTGGTGAGAAAGGGCACCCTTATCTTGTACAGGTTTTCAAGGGGAATGCTTCCAGCTTTTGCCTATTCAATAGGATATTGACCATGGGTTTGTCATAAATAGCTCTTATTATTTTGAGATATGTTCTATCAATACCCAGTTTATTGAGAATTTTTAACATGAAGGAATGCTGAATTTTATCAAAGGCCTTTTCTGCATCTGTTGAGATAATCATGTGCTTTTTGTCTTTGGTTCTGTGTATGTGATGAATTATGTTTATTTAATTTCATATGTTGAAACAGCCTTTCATCCCAGGGATGAAGCCGACTTGATCGTGGTGGATAAGCTTTTTGATGTGATGCTGAATTTGGTTTGCCAGTATTTTATTGAGGATTTTTGCATCAATGTCCATCAGAGATACTGGCCTGAAGTTTTCTTATTTTGTTGTGTCTCTGGCAGATTTCTTATTTTGTTATGTCTCTGCCAGGTTTTGGTACCAGGAGGATGCTGGCTTCATAAAATGAGTTAGGGAGGAGTCCCTTCTTTTTCAATTGTTTGGAATAGTTTCAGAAGGAACAAAGAGGAGGTACCAGCTCCTCTTTTCACCTCTGGTAGAATTTGGCTGTGAATCCATCTGGTCCTGGGCTTTTTTTTTTTTTTTTTTTTTTTTTTTTTTTTTTTTTTTTTTTTGGTTTGTAGGCTATTAATAACTGCCTCAATTTTAAAACTTGCTATTAGTCTATACATGGATTTAACTTCCTCCCAGTTTATTCTTTGGAGGATGTTTGTGTCCGGGAATTTATTCATCTCTTCTAGATTTTCTAGTTTATTTGTGTAGAGGTGTTTATAGTACTCTCTGATGGTAGTTTGTATTTCTGTGGGGTCAGTGGCAATATCCTCTTTATCATTTTTCTATTTTCTATTCTTCTCTTTTTTCTTCTTTATTAGTCTAGCTAGCAGTCTATCTATTTTGTTTTGTTTTGTTTTCAGAAAACCAGCTCCTGGATTCATTGATTTTTTGGAGGGTTTTTCATGTCTCTATGTCTTCAATTCTACTCTGATATTAGGTATTTCTTGTCTTCTGCTAGCTTTAGAATTAATTTGCTCTTGCTTCTCTAGATCTTTTAATTGTGATATTAGGGCATTGATTTGAGATCTTTCTAGCTTTCTATTATGGGCATTTAGTGCTATAAATTTCCTGCTTAACACTGCTTTAGCTGTGTCCCAGAGATTCCAGTACATTGTCTCTTTGTTCTCATGGGTTTCAAATAACTTCTTGTTTTCTGCTTTAATTTAATTATTTATCCAGGAGTCATTCAGCAGCACGTTATTCAATTTCCAAGTAATTTTGTGGTGTTGAGAGAGTTTCTTAATCCTGAGTTCTAATTTCATTGCACTGTGGTCTGAGAGACTGTTTTTTACTATTTCAGTTATTTTGCATTTGCTGGGGAGTGTTTTACTTCCAATTATGTGGTCAATTTTAGAATAAATGCCATGTGGCAATGAGAAGAATATATATTCTATTGATTTGGAATGAAGACTTCTGTAGATGTCTATTAGGACCGCTTGATCCAGAGCTGAGTTCAAGTCCTGAATATCCTTGTTAATTTTCTCTCTCATTGATCTGTCTAGTATTGACAATGGGGTGTTAAAATTTCTATTATTGTGTGGTAGTCTAAGTCTGTTTGTCAGTCTGTAAGAACTTATTTACATATTGGGTGCATAGATATTTAGGATAGTAGCTCTTCATGTTGAATTGATCCCTTTACCATTTTGTAATGCTCTTCTTTGTCTTTTTTGTTCTTTGATTAAAATCTGTTTTGTCAGAGACTAGGAGTGCAACCCCTGCTTTTTTTGTTTTCCATTTGCTTGGTAAATTTTCCTCCATCCCTTTATTTTGAGCCTATGTGTGTCTTTGCACATAAGATGGATCTTCTGAATACAGCACACTGATGGGTCTTGACTCTTTATCCAATATGCCAGTCCGTGTCTTTTAATTGGGGCATTTAGTCCATTCACATTTAAGGTTAGTATTGTTGCATATGAATTTGATCCTGTCATCATGATGCTATTTGGTTATTTTGCACAGTAGTTGATGCAGTTTCTTCATGGTGTCATTGTCATTTATATATTGCTGTGTTTTTGTAGTGGCTGGTACCAGTTTTTCCTTTCCATACTTAGTGCTTCCTTCAGGAGCTCTTTTAAGGCATGCCTGTTGGTAACAAAATTCCTCAGCATTTGCTTGTCTGGAAAGGATATTATTTCTCCTTTGCTTTGTTTATGAAGCTTAGTTTGCCTGGATATGATATTCTGGGTTGAAAATTCTTCTCTTTAGAATGTTGAATATTGGCCCCCAATCTCTTCTGGCTTGTAGGGTTTCTGCTGAGAGGTTGCATGATATTATGTTTCTTTTCCATGGGAGCCTCTAATCACCGCTGCTACTAGTCGGCATCTTGGCCTTGCCCCTGTTTCACCACCAGACTCTTTCTCTCTGTACAATGGTATGTAAATTTTGTTATCTGATTTTTTACCTAAGAGTTTCTTTAATATGCAAATTTGGGGCTATCTTGCTGACAACTGCCTAGAGTAATAAAATAGGTTATCACGAAATTGGAAGTGTAAAATAAGAGGAAAATAGGGGTCTTATGAATCTGTAAGATCTACTTCTATGTGTCTAATAAGTCTGTGTTTATGTGCTGTGTATATGATATTTCACTACTAAACATGTATAAAACAGCTGCAACTAATTGGCTTTAAAAATAACTTAAATCTTAGCCAGGGGTGGTGGCTTATGCCTGTAATACCATCAATTTGGGAGGCCAATGTGGGCGGATCACTCGAGGCCAGGAGCTTGAGACCAGCCTGGCCAACAAGGTGAAACCCCATCTCTACTAAAAATAGGAAAATTAGCCAGGCATGGGGGTGTGCACCTGTAATCCCAGCTACTCGGAAGGCTGAGGTACAAGAATTGCTTGAACCTGAGAAGCAAAGTTTGCAGTGAGCCAAGATCACACCACTGCAGTTCATTCAGCCTTGGCAAAAGAGCAAGGCTCTGTCTAAAAAAAAATGTGCTTAAATAAAATACTTTATCAGAAAAATAGACCTTAAGCCAAATGCTTTTTCATGTTCATGTTACTTAAGCAAATTTTTAATAAATAAGCTGGCTTTAAAATTTTTGGTGAAATAGAATTAGAAATGACTTCAGGATTGCCAACATGTATTATTTATCTCTGCTAGATATTAAAATTTGGCATGAAGGTTAAAAGGCTATGAATGCAGCCCAAAAGAGAATTATCTTTGTTTATGTAATATTTAATAAATAAGGCATTTAATATTTGCTGACAAAAAGAGTCAAACTTTATAAAATATTTGAAGAGATTTATTCTGACCCAAATATGAGTGACCATGACTTGTGACATAGCCCTCAGGAGGTCCTAAGAACATTTGCCCAAGGTGGTCAGGGTGCAGCTTGGTTTTATACATTTGAGAGAGGCATGAGACATTCATCAAATATATTTAAGAAATACATTGGTTTGGTCCAGAAAGGTGAAACAACTCAAAGCAGGGGTTTTCAGGCTATAGGTAAATTTAAACATTTTGTGGTTGACAATTGGTCACATTTTTCTAAAAACCAGGGATCAATAGAAAGGAAAGTCTGGGTTAAGGTAAAGGATTGTGGAGACCCAAGTTCTTATTATATTTGCAGGCGAAGTTTCCAGGTAGAAGGCTTCAGAGAGAATAAGTCATAAAATGTTTCTTATCAGACTTAAAGTCTGTGTTGATGTTAATGCCAGAGAGGTATAATGAGGCATGTCTAACCCCCATTTCCCATCATGGCTTGAACCAATCTTAAATTTTAAAAGCCCTGGACGAGGAAGAATTCCATTCAGTTGGCTGGGGAGCCTTAGAATTTTATTTTTGGTTTATATATTGTTCAGTTAATGAAAACAGCTAAATCCTGAGTTATTGGCAACAAAAAAACAAACAAAATAACACATTTATCTAACCTTAAGGTTCTTCCTTAGAAAAACCTGAAATTCATGTTATAAAATTGGTTAAAAAGGAAATGACTTTAAATGAAAATTATCACAGTTTTCATAAAGAATGTGAGTAAACTATTAAAAAAAATTAGGTAACTATAATGGAATAGGTGCTTGTAGATAATCTTGTCATATAACTTAAAATCTAAAGTTATATTAAGCTAAATAACAAGTATTTATTAAATTTCTGGGTCATTTCCAGTTTTTTTAAATTATAGAACAACATTTTTCTAAAAAATCTGTTCTTATTTAAAGGAAATTTTTTTTTCTAATTCAAAGGTTATTTAAAAGTTATTCGTGAATTTAAGTATAAGTAATCAGTGAATAAGAACAATTTAAATAAATTTATAAAAATAAAGAGGTATTTTTTGGCAAGAAAAGTTAAAAGGAAAATAATTTTATATAAAAAGTAATCTTGTAAATTTTTATCCAAAAATAAAATAACTTGTTATTTAAGAAAGAAGGATGTCTGGGATAAAACAGAATGTTCAAGAATGTCATAAATTATTTTTATCACATTGTCTATAATTAAAGGAAAATTATTTATAATAGTCTTCCTAAAAATTGGGTTTTGCTATAGCAAAAAAGCAGGTGCACACTAAAGAATTGGTTAGAACAATGAAATTTTATTAAGAGATTGATTTACTTTTAATAAATTATAACAGATTTTAATTTTTTAACCTGAACTTTAACTTTTATTGTATCTCACCATTATGGTTTTTGCTCCCCTTTTAAAAGGTGAAAAATATTAACACTCTTCTTTAACTCATTTTCAGTTCATGTAAGTTTTTTTCCCCCTTGGGTTCTAGCTGTTTGTTATAGCCTGATGCTAAAAATGTTTCTTTAAAGGTCTAACAGAAATGTTTTTTTCCAACATAATGGTCTGTGCACTGCAGAAGGTCTTTTCTTTTGCTTAGTTGCAACTGGCCTAACAGATTTTATGTTTCTGCAAAATAATCCCCATGTCATTATTAAGTTTTGGTTTGCTTAGAAAAAGGCAGACTAAAAAGTATTTTTAATTACGGTAATTACATCCATGTGACTTTCTGTACGTGCTTTTAAAGTCCTTATGCCATTGAGTCACAGGGCTTTTACTCCTGGGTCTAAAAAGGACAACGAGTCCTGTTAAATCTAATACACTGACAGCTTAAATTAAATTCTCATCTTCAGACCCAGTAGAAGATGCCAATCAAAATGAACTTTGTGGGACACAGGGCCAGAAATTAAAACTATTCAACATCTCAAGGCCCATGGAATATCTAGGAAAAGGTGAACACATGAGATTGTAAGGGCTAATTTTAAGATAGAAAATTAGTTCAGTTTATCTAGAAGTTAACCATTAATATCATTGGCACACTGACACAAAACCAACATCTGGGCCCCTGTCTCAGATTAACAAGGTTTCCTTGGCATGTTAACTGACTCCATAATACAAATTATAAAGGTTACAAGAAGGTTTATGGAAATAATCTTATGGTCAAGATGATTAAAATCTTGTAGATTGTTTATAAGATATTGAGAGACAGATTTAATTGGCCTTGCACTGTCTTTAATAGAGGTCATTGTTTGTGAAATTGTCTGCTCTCAAAGAATAAAGGTTTTCACCTTTTTAAAAAAGAATCTTTATCACTTTGGTTAAATTAATGACTTATTTTATAATGATCTGTGATCATATTTTGTGATATCAAGCATTTTAAACTTTTTATGTTTGGCAAACTTTCCAAACTCAAATTCTAACTTAGGTCCTCATTAATTTTCTGATATTAATTTTCATTATTTCCTGATATTAGTTCCTTAAAGTCCAAATGAGACATATTCAGCTTATTTGTAAAAATCACATAGGAAGCATTGTCAAATATAAAATAATGTTTGGTTTTCTTTGGGCTATATTTATATAAATGTTACAGTTATATGTCCCAAAATTTTGGGAAACTCATAATTTTAATATGACTTATTGTATGTTATTAATAATTATAATTGTTATGTGAAATTTTTGTATGCCACAGAAGTCATGAATTTCTAGTCAATTGTGATTTTAATAATGGCTATCCTAAGATTTGACATCCACAGACTATTGTTGTCTTGTTTTGATACTCTTCAAAAGGTGATTTCTAATCAATGTGTAGGACTTTGTTAGGTGCTCTTGAAAGCAGTTTTCTAATAACTTTGGACATTGTGACATTAAATGAAGGAAAACACCTTCAGAACTCATAGAGAGCTGAAATGTTCATGAATATCAAAAAAGAGTTAACTTCATGAACTGAATTAATAGAAGACTGAAGTAATCTTTTTGACTTTTTGCTTAAAACGTTGCTGATCCTTTTTTTTTTTTGGAGTCAAGAAACTTGTCTTTTAAGCTATTTACAGATTTAAACAATGGAGTTAAATATATTTCTGTGAACAAAATTTGGAGCGTATTTCTTTCTACCTAATTTCTCTAGAATTTGGAAACTTTGTGAGTATTTTTAACTTATGGAAATATAGTTATTTGCATAAGTGCAATAAGAAAGTTTCCTTTTGCAACAGGACACAATTGGAGAAACTGCTTGTTTTACCAAGGTTTTTACTGGAATGTGCTTTCCTTTAAGGAATCAAGCTTGACTTGAAGATCCAATAAAAGCCCACTGGAAAAACCAGCCTGATGCCTTGTCTGCAGAGTTCCTGTATAGGATTTCTGACCTGTGATAACTAAAGAATGTCACTTTCTCACAAGTCCAGCAGCCCCAAGTTATCTTGGGACCTCAAGAGGAGAGGAATTTGCTCACCTCGTAGGTATTTGAGGGTACAAACCCATGGCTGGGCTCAGCTGAAAAAAGAAGTCTTATTTGAAAGAGTTCCATAAAAGCGGATTTAAAAGCCTATGTGAAAAATAATTATCCTTGCTTCACTTTATACAGATAATAATGCCAAGCATAAGAATAGAGCTTGTTCTTTTACAAATAAATTGGTGCTATTAATATTTTT
The DNA here is from genome assembly GCF_000001405.40 of Homo sapiens. Classification (NCBI taxonomy): domain Eukaryota; kingdom Metazoa; phylum Chordata; class Mammalia; order Primates; family Hominidae; genus Homo; species Homo sapiens. The sequence goes on from NC_000023.11 coordinate 94,489,559, forward strand.
TAATAAGAATAGGAGACTGAAGAGAGAGAAATTATATTTCAAAACAAACTATTACACCTATTATATTCTACTCTTGCCTAATGTTTTTCAATTTTTATTATTTTCAGCAGTTTGAACTGAATTCTAAAATGTTTCCTGGCTACACTTCTCCAAAGTCATGTCTCCAAATTGTTTTCTTCTTTCTTTTCCCACTTTTTCCCCATTTTTCCTAATTTGAAATAACTGTAAACTAAGCTGTGCTTTCTTAAAGCCCTGCAAAATAAAGCTACACAACTTAAACTTTAGAAGGAAATAACAGCAACCTATTTACATACATAAGCCAATCTCATACACGCCTAATGATATATGAACTTCAGAGTAATATGGCCTATATTGATTTTCCAAGATTGTTCTTTTTTGTTTGTTGTTGTTTTTCTCCCTTCTTCCCCCCATTTGCCCTTTGTAGGAAATGAGACTTCACAACCTGCTAAAAATGAGCTTTCCTCGTAATGTGAGACCTACCTGTCTATTAATAAACTATTCCAACCATGAGAGATAAGACAAAACCTGAGACCAGAGACTCATTGTTTTTTCAAAAATGCTTCTTCTGAAAGATTTTATTAAGAAAACAGGGGAAATGTGAAAGGAAAATAAATCTTGGGACCCCAAAATTACTAAGCTAAAGGGAAAAGATGAGCTGGAAACTGCTTAGGGCAAACCTGCCTCCCATTCTATTCAAAGTCATCCATCTGAGGCTCACCTGAGACAAATGCATATTTGATTGATCCTTTGTAGGGGTTCAGTCAGGATGGTGGGAAAAATTGTAAAATAAACCATCTTGGAAGGCCAGAAGGTTTTTGCAAAAGCCTCAGGATAGAGTTATGGCTGAAGGCAGCCTAATCCTCTTCGAGCTATAGCAAGGGTAATTTTTTTTTATGTATATACTTTAAGTTCTGGGGTACATGTGCACAACATGCAGGTTTGTTACACATGTATACATGTGCAATGTTGGTGTGCTGCACCGATTAACTCATCATTTACATTAGGTATATCTCCTAATGCTATACCTCCCCCTTCCACCCACCCCCCAACAGGCCCCGGTGTGTGTCTATATCTCTGTTTTGGTACCAGTACCATGATATCAAGCATTTTAAACTTTTTATGCTTTTGGTTACTGTAGCCTTTTAGTATAGTTTGAAGTCAGGTAGCATGATGTCTCCAGCTTTGTTCTTTTGGCTTAGGATTGTCTTGGAAATTTGTGTTCTTTTCTGGTTCCACATGAACTTTAAAGTAGTTTTTTCCAATTCTGTGAAGAAAGTCATTAGTAGCTTGATGGGGATGGCATTGAATCTATAAATTACCTTGGGCAGTATGGCCATTTTCATGATATTGATTCTTCCTATCCATGAGAATCAAATGTTCTTCCATTTGTTTGTGTCCTTTTTTATTTCATTGAGCAGTGGTTTGTAGTTCTCTTTGAAGAGGTCCTTCGCATCCCTTGTAAGTTGGATTCCTAGGTATTTTATTCTCTTTGAAACAATGGTGAATGGGAGTTCACTCATGATTTGGCTCTCTGTTTGTCTGTTATTGGTATATAGGAATGCTTGTGATTTTTGCACATTGATTTTGTATCCTGAGACTTTGATGAAGTTGCTTATCAGCTTAAGGAGATTTTGGGCTGAGATGATGGAGTTTTCTAAATATACAATTGTGTCATCTGCAAACAGGGACAATTTGACTTCCTCTTTTCCTAACTGAATATCCTTTATTTCTTTCTCCTGTCTTATTGCCATGGCCAGAACTTCCAACACTATGTTGAATAGGAGTGGTGAGAGAGGGCTTCCTTGACTTGTACCAGTTTTCAAAGGGAATGCTTCTAGTTTTTGCCCATTCAGTATGATATTGGCTGTCGGTTTGTCATAAATAGCTCTTATTATTTTGAGATATGTCCCATCAATTCCTAGTTTATTGAGAGTTTTTAGCATGAAGGGCTGTTGAATTTTGTCAAAGGTCTTTTCTACATCTATTGAGATAATCATGTGGTTTTTGTCTTTGGTTCTGTTTATGTGATGGATTATGTTTATTGATTTTCATATGTTGAACCAGTCTTAGCAAGGGTAGTTAACATAGGAATGTAGATGCTCTCTACTCGGGGTGGGGGGGCAGCAATGGTAATTACCTTCAAGTGGTGTTTACTTGAGACTTTTGTCATTTAATGTGTGCTGAATAAATGCTGGAAAGGCCAGTGAGTTGGGTCCAAGGTTGCAACTCTTACAGCACTCTCCTGGGAGTCTGTAAGCAGCCTGGACTCTTAGCCAGACTGAAAAGCATAATATCTGTGTCAGTGTACGTTATTCATTCATCCTTGGGTCAGGGTCTGTGGGACTCACCCCCGCAGCTGGTGCATGTGTGAGGAACGTTGTGAAAGAAGCACAATGGACCCCCCAAAAACGGAAGTGAAAAGGACCATGCGGTCAGTGAGTAATCAGTAAGTCATTGGTGTCCACTAGGGATTTCCAAGTTTGGTGGGGGATTGTTCAGGCTAAGGTTTCATCATGGGACAACAGTTATCAGCGCAACAGAATCAGTATATAAAAGTATTGAAACAGCTGCTTAAGGCTAGTGGAGCCTCGGTTTTGCAGGCTCAATTAAGGGACTTAATGCAAACTGTTGTAAATCATAATCCATGGTTCCCAAAGGAAGGAACGCTAGATGTAGAGCTCTGGGAACAAGTAGGGAGAAATCTTAAACAACATGATGTGCAATGGCAATGGGTCCCAGTATCATCTTTAACACTATGGGGTCTAGTAAGGATGGCTTTGGTCCCATTATACACAGAAGAGCCTAAAAAGAGGAAGGAGGAGGAATAGTCACCTACTTTACCGCCTCCTTGTCCCTCAGCCCCAATATCACAGGGCCAAAATAACAAAGAGGAAATGGAGGTCTTGCCTGTGCCTCCTCCTCCAATAAATAGAAAAAAAGGCGAGAGATACATTACAGCTATGCAACCCTGTCTTAAGCAAGCGGCATTAGAAGGGGAGCTCTTAGCCTGCCTGGTAATGCAAAATCAATGAGCCAATCAGGTACATAAAGAGTTAAGAAAAGGCATTAGAGAATGGAGCTGTGGGGCCAAGTGAGCAGTAGATAGAAAGAAAGGCTTGGCAGCAGGGAAGCTCACAAACTCAAAGCCAGCAAAAGCTCCCGGGAACTCAGCCTGCATGGTGGGGGGAGGGAGGGGAACACACAAGTGAGAAGCGGCACAGGTGAAAAGCAGCGCAGACAAAAAGTGGCTCGTTTGCAAGAGCAACGTGGCCACCGCCCCGGGGTCCACCTGCTCAGCTCTCCAGCTTTGCAGGCGGCCCACGGCAAAATTTCATGTGTTCCTTGTATACAAGTGACATCCCAGATTATAATTCTCTGCTAAGATTTAAGTAAAATTTAAGAATTTAAAATACCTCTTTCTGATAATGGCCACAGCTGTTATGTCTCTCCTACCCCTAATGCAACTCTCTCCAAATCCAATTTAAGTAAAACAGTAACCTCTGAAAGGAGAGAAATTACAGAAAGCCCACAACTGCGGCAATTCTTCAAGATTGGCCTATAATCATTATTGACTTAAAAGACTGCTTTTATACGATTCCCCTAGCAGAACAGGACAGAGAAAAATTTGCATTTACAATACCAGCTATCAATAATGACAAGCCAGCTTGTCAATTTCATTGGAAAGTGCTTCCTGAAGGAATGCTAAACAGTCCTACCATGTGTCAGTATCATGTAAATCAAGCTTTGCTCTCTAGTAGAAAAGAGTTTTCTGATTGCAAGATTATTCATTTTATGGATCATATTGTACTAGCAGCCCCAATGGAGCCAATGCTTTTAAATTTATACACCTCTGTTGTAAAGAATACACAGCTAAGAGGTTTAATCATTGCACCTGAGAAAGTACAGATGTCTTCTCCTTGGAGATATCTTGGGTACATACTAACTTCCTGGTCAGTAAGACCTCAAAAGGTTAAATTAAATACTAGCAACTTACACACCTTAAATGATTATCAGAAATTACTAGGCGATATTACTTGGCTCCGCCCCACCTTAGGCATATCTACCGATAAGCTGCAAAACCTGTTTTCTATCTTAAAGGGCAATCCAGCTGTGGATTCTCCCAGATATTTAACCCCTCCAGCAAAAAGGGAAACCAAGGTAATAGAGCAAACCGTCTCTCAGAGGCAGCTAGATCACGTTGATCGATGGTATTCAATTCAATTGTTTATTTTTCCCACTAAAGACTCCCATACAGGATTAATAGGACAGATGGCCCCCGGGCTACACTTCCTAGAATGGGTTTTTTGCTCACATACCGGGACTAAAACACTATCTCCCTATATTTGGTTACTTACTAAAGTCATCTATTCAGGCCACAAATGATGCAATCAGTTACTAGGTTATGACCCTGATGTCATCAGGATTCCTTTAAGTAAAACACAATTCGAAGCAGTATTGCCAGTATCTATCGATCTGCAAATAGCTTTCTCTGATTACACAGGACAAATAAAACATGTCCTCCCTGCTGATAAAATCCTTAATTTCTTATCTCATACTCTGGTAATCTTGTTCACAAAAATAGTTCACTCCCCCATACCTAATGCTTTAACACTGTTTACTGATGGTTCTGGTAAATATGGAAAAGCAGCAGTCTGGTAGGGACCACATAATTCAATCACTCAATCTGGGTTTGCTAGCACTCCAAGAGCTGAGACTGGGGCTCTGATATTGGCCTTGGAAACTTTTTCCACTCAGCCCATAAATATTGTGAGTGACTCAGCTTACTCTGTTTATTTATTGCAGAACCTTGAAACAGCCTTAATTAAGTCCACTCTCGAGCCCACCCTGTGTGCTCTTTTTCTTTGACTTCAGCAATTGCTAGATCAATGTACACATCCTATTTTTATCACACACATTCGAGCCCACAGCTCTCTGCCTTGCCCATTATTTTATGGCGATAATCAAGTAGACCTTCAGATTATCACATCACTGCTTGACCAAGCCACACAATTGCATCAATTTTTCCACCAAAATTGGAGAAACTTATCTAAACAGTTTCAACTTACCCAGAGGCTGGGTAAACAAATTATTCTACAATGCCCAGATTGCCAGCTCACAGGCAAGTCCCCTCCTTCCACAGGTGTTAATCCTAGAGGACTAGAACCTAATCAATTATGGCAAACAGATGTTACACACATCCCTGAATTTGGAAAACTTAGATATGTACATGTATCCATTGATACCAATTCTCACTTAATTAGTGCCCATGCTTTGCCTGGATAATCAACCCGGTATGTCATTAAACATCTTCTAACTTTTGCGTTTATGGGACGGCCCACAAAAATTAAAACTGATAATGGTCCAGCTTATGCCAGCTCACAATTTCAACAATTTTGTCACATGTGGAATATACAACATTCCACAGACATCCCACATAACCCCTAAGGACAGGCCATAGAAGAATGTGCCCACTCCACACTTAAAAATATGCTCAAAAAACAGAAAAGGGAGAGTATGGGTAAAGACCCTGCAACACTATTGGCACAAGCCTTATTTACCCTTAATTTTCTAAATTTAGATGACAAATTTCAATCAGCTGTAGAAAAGCGCTTTGCTAAAACCACTCAAAGCATAAAACCTTCAGTTTTATGGAAAGATGTGAACAGTAACGTATGGTGTGGTCCAAGTGAATTATTAACATAGGGAAGAGGGTATGCTTGTGTTCACACCCCCTCAGGTCCCCTGTGGATTCCAGCACGACACATCAAACCATACCATGGTGTGGCTAGGACCCAACCTGATAGCAGAGATGAAGGAACCAACCCTACCGGACCCGCAGCCCTGGACGATGCAGCTTCCACGGACGACACAAGCCCCGGATGTTACCTGGGGGATGCCGAAGAGGACAACTCAGGAGGCTGAACAAATTCTGCTTCAGACACAGACACCATTTACTCCAGGTAATTTGCTCCTTGCTATGCTTTCTGTTGTACATTGCAACTCACGTAGGGTATTGATCCTTTTTATGCTCTCGCTTTGTCTGCCACCTGCACCTGCTACACTCTATTGGGCTCATTAGATCTGCCTTTCTTTTGCCCTGTCACCTGGGCAGACACCGCCTTCCCAGCCTATAATAATGTGACTGCTTGGCTAGGAGGGATAGATTTACCCCCAGTGGGTCCCTCAATAATGGCACACATTGGACTAAGGTACCAGATAACACTACATATCACCACTATCCTCCCACTGTGTGTAAGTTATAAAGGCTCTAACCCTAGTGCAGTGGCGCGATCTCAGCTCACTGCAAGCTCTGCCTCGCAGGTTCATGCCATTCTCCTGCCTCTGCCTCCCGAGTGAGTAGCTGGGACTACAGGAGCCCGCCACCACGCCCGGCTAATTTTTTTGTATTTTTAGTAGAGACGAGGTTTCACCGTGTTAGCCAGGATGGTCTCCATCTCCTGACCTCGTGATCCACCTGCTTCAGCCTCCCAAAGTGCTGAGATTACAGGCGTGAGCCACCGCACCTGGCCCTTTTTTTTTTTTTTTTTTTAAAGATGGAGTTTCACTCTTGTTGCCCAGGCTGGAGTGCAATGGCACGATCTCGGCTCACTGCAACCTCCGCCTCCCAGGTTCAAGCAATTCTCCTGCCTCAGCCTCCAGAATAGCTGGGATTACAGGCTTGTGCCACCACACCTGGCTAATTTTGTATTTTTAGTAGAGACGGGGTTTCTCCACGTTGGTCAGGCTGGTCTCGATCTCCCGACGTCAGGTGATCCACCCACCTCAGCTTCCCAAAGTGCTGGGATTACGGGCGTGAGCCACCATGCCCGGCTAGGCATCTACTTTTTGTACATTAATCTACTCCTATCCCAGTTGGACCTGCAGGTGTTTTCAGTTTTCCTCAGTGACCCAACTCTTATTATGGCTACATCATGGCAAAGGAAATGCCTTAACAGCCTTAGCTGCAGGTAGCCTAAAACCAGGTAATGCAATAAATGCTGCTTTCCCAAACATTCTTTCCTGTGTTAAAGGACAAAGCCGGGAAAGTAATTGATTTCACTTTAGCTAGGAGGTCTGTCATGGGGGACAAGCCTGTAGCCTCCAGTTAGGCAATTATAACATTTTAGACTGAAGCCCCCACGGCCATTTGCAGGGCAGCCTTACTAATGTCCTCATCCATCATGGCATCAATCACAGTTTTGTAGCCACGTCCTGTTCCCCTATGATTTGGGCCAATGAGGGGATGGGATATCCCAGACCCCAAGTAAAATCCATGCCACCCCAAGATATTTTATGGCTCCTGGGACATCTTGGCACCTCCATTGACACCTGGCATGGGACATATCATAATTCCAGTAACAACTATACTATAACCTTTATTCATAATCACACTGATTATGAATTTGATTATGATTATGCCTAATTTGTACTACCCATCCATATGTTTCCTTATGGGAACCAATATTTCCATTACACCCCAAAACTCCGCGTTTGTGACCCAGGTGCAGGGACAGGCTTGGTTTGTGTTATATATCACTAATTACAATATATCTGATCTAAATGTTACTAGTGTCATGGTATTAAGGAGACAATCTGAGGCATTCCTACCAATTTGACACATGATTAGCAAGGTTCCTCTGCCCTTGCCACCTTAGAACATGCTCTATACCAGGTCAGACACAAAAGATTCATAGTTACACTTACAGCCTTTATAGTCTTTATAGTCTATAGTCTTTATAGCCTCAGCCATAGTCATCCTGGCGACTGTTAGTATTGCTGTGGCATCTGTTACTGAGTCAGTACAAACAGCTGCCTTTGTACATACTCTGGCCAAAATGGGTCTAATTAACTTCTCTTACAGCAGGGTATAGATCAAAAAATTCTTGCACGTCTGCAAGCCCTCGAGGCTGCTTCGGAATATGTGGGGGAGCAACAAGATGCCCTGGCATTCCAACAGCAATTAAACTGCGACTGGGAGCATAAACATATCTGTGTCACTTCTCTATGATGGAATCAATCAATACCTAGTTGGGATGAGGTGAAACAACACTTCTGGGGAACCTTTCATGATAATTTAACAGCAGACATAAAGCAACTTAAAACTAAAATTTTAGAATTCCTTCACACTATAGATCTACACACCCAACAAACGGCCATATGGAAGGATGTGCAAGATCACCTCTCCGGGTTAGACCCCCACTCCTGGGGTCACTCTTTGATTGGAAAAGAATGTTGCTAATTATACTTATGATTGTCTTATTTTATTTACTAATTCTAGGATGCAAAGCCAGAATAAGAGCAATGACCACCACGCCTGACAAACCTGCTGCTGCATACATCTGTGCTCTCCAATCAATAAGACCTGATGCAGAAAACAGAAAAGGGGAAGAGTTAGGGATTCAGTCAGGATGGTGGGAAATTTTGTAAAATAAACCTTCTTGGAGGGCCAGAAGGTTTTTGCAAAAGCTTCAGGATAGAGTTAATGGCTGAAGGCAGCCTAATCCTCTTTGAGCTATAACAAGGGTAACTAACATAGGAATGTAGAGGAGTCTATCTAAATAGCTTGTTTGCTCATGTGGTCCTAAGACTGACTTTTGACCATCCACGGGTGCATGATTGCTCTCTATTCAGGGGTTGGCAATGGTAATTACCTTCTAGTGGTGTTTATTGAGACTTTTGTCATTTAATGTGGGCTGAATAAATGCTGGAAAGGCCAGCAAGTTGGAGCCACGGTTGCAACTCTTTACAACACTCTCCTGGGAGTCTGTAAGCGGCCCAGACCCTCAGCCAGACTGACAAGCATAATATCTGTGTCAGTGTACATTATTCATCCATCGTTGGGTTAGGGTCTGTGGGACGGACCCCCACACTCCCTCTTTCCTATTATTTATGTAAAAGTGCACATTCAGTGAGCCAGACTGAATTCTGTATTCAATGGAAGACTGATCAAGGACTCAAAAGAATTCAACCTTTTTCCCTTATCTACTTCTAACCCAGAAGCTCCTGCTTGGAGTTGTCCCACCTTACCAGACCACTTAACGTACCTCTTACACATATTGATTGATGTTTCATATCTCCCTAAAATGTATGAAAACCAACTGTACCCCTGACCACCTTGGGCACATGTCTCAGGGATTCCTGAGGCTTTGTCACAGGCAGGCACATCCTTAACCTTGGCAACATAAACTTTCTAAATTGACAGACATGTCTCAGATATTTTGCATTCACATTTGTAATTAGTACAAGGGTCTGATTTTTAAAAATTTAACATTTGAAATATAATCATAGCCAACAGTGGAAAATAATTGCAGTATCAAAATAACAATTACTAAGACCGAGGTTTGTAATAGAATATTCTCTATTATATTCTAACTTCAATTTCAGTTTTTCTCATTCTCTTTTTATTCTCCAATGTCTGAACTATTTCTAATGTTCTTTGTTGGAAATCATTTATCAGTTTAATGAACACATTCAAGGAAGGCTAAGCATAGAGGAGGAGTATGGAAGATTTGATTCTTTTATTGCACACACAGTATAACTACCCATCTCTCATATAGCTGACACACACACTTCAAACATTAAATTAACTAGAATGAAAACCTCATTCTGAACTCTGATTTTCCATACATAGCAAGCAGCCTGTGAAATACCTTAAATTTTATGTCCAAATCCATTACACACTGTGGAGAGGAGGATAGCAAATGCATGGTTGAACATATGCTCGTAGACAGCTTCCATATTTTGTTAAATTCATAGCTGAATTGATCCACAGGATTCAAGGCCAGACACTGAGTATATTAAAAAGTGTGGCATAGTTGGGAATGGAATTGTATTCTGGATTAAATTGCAACATTGGAAAAAAGCTCAGAAACAGAAGCATTTTCTATTTTGTAATCTTTCTACTATTTATGTGAATTTAAGTATGTGGAGCCCACTGACTCAAATGTTAATCTCTTTTGGCCACACCCTCACAGACACACCCAGAATCAATACTTTGTATCCTTCAGTCCAATCAAGTTGACACTCAGTATTAATAATCACAAGCATTTATTAAACTCTTCAATCTTTTTCTTATTTTCTTCATACTTTAACAAGTTTCAGTGATATAGGGAGTTTTTATTTTTTGTCTTAACAAAGGACCATATATGACTATCTAAAAGTCAGCATCAGGAAGTTAATGGCAATGAACTAGAATAAAATTAAATGTCACCACATCTTATATTTTCTCAAACTTCTTAAGTAGATAAGACATGTTCAGAAAGCTGTAAAATGTGCCCTTTACTTACAAGGAAAAGGTCACTTCTGTGCAAATTGTAATAGGTTACTCATAAATGATTATATCAGTGACCAAAATACGATGTCTTGCATGCATTAAATACTGCTAACAATTACTTTGGCCTTGACTAATGATTTTTTTTTTTTGGTATCACATATGTAGTATCTTAAAGCACTTAAAGATTACATAAGTGAATATAAATTCGTAAACCAATTAAAATAATTCTTAAAGTCAACAAAATCATATTTTGGTTTACCTATACAGCTTATCTTTCAAGTGTACATATTTAACTTTGCATGACTATGGACCTGAAAATTATTATACTGAGGAGACATACACCACCTTTGGACAACAACAGATGTGAAGGACAGTTGGGAAGTATACATAGAAATGTTACAATAGCATGCTTTTTAAAATACATTATTCTGAAATATATATATCTATATTGCAAAGCAGCTGTCATGAAAGGGCAGCTTGAAACTACATGTACATCCTCAGCTACAGAAAGAATTTAAAGCTGATTTTTTTTGTGCTATAATGACTGCAGTGGAGGCAGGAGCATTAATGGGTCATTAGAATCATCCTCACTCCTGTATCTTTAGTTTTTGTTTTAAAACCGTCTACTGATTATTTTAAAGCTTTCTGAATATATTATTTAGAGCTTTTTCTTATGCTCATGGAAAATATCCAACTTCCTACTGATAAAAAAAATATTTCAAGGTCTTTCAAATGATAAAATACAGCTCATAAATGTACATATTAGTCACTAGGATTGCAGCAAAAATAGAAGGCATCAAGTCATAAACCCTGGATATTTTTATGGTAAGCTAATGACAAACATTATTGGCTGTAAGTCCTCACATACTCCTAAAGAAGTAGTTTTTAAACCCAGAGCATTTGTGTGATTATAAAAACAAGTTCTGATTCCACTAAATTGGAAATGGCTAATGGCCACTACAGTTCATAAATACAATTCCTGTCCATATCCCCAAAGCATCTCCTACAAAGAAATAATCTGATATTGAATTAAAATATCAGAGGTTCATGAGGTTAAAAATAAAAGCACAGTAACACATGGCATCATTTGGTTACTACTCAGCTTGTCTAAGAGGTTAGATGCCAACTTTTGAACAAAATTACCTGTATGGAAAGCAGCACATCTTAATCTTTGAATAAAATTTTGTACAATGTGTTGAGAGTATTTTTGAATCTTTATTTTTACAATGCTTTAAAAATACAGAGGTTTTTGACATACTCTTTCCTGTTTTCCTCTCCATTAGTACAAAGAACTCAGACAAGTTCTCATCCTGTAACTTGAAAATCATCAGTGATTTCTAATTACCTACAGAATAATGTCCCATTTCCTTAGGTTGTCATACATCTTCACTCATCATCTGAGCCTAAAAAACCTTTTTTAGAAAAAGCCTTAAGTATATATGGCATTATTTGCTATAACCGAATAATTACTTCTCCTCAGTCACACCATTCATTTTTATCTTTGTATAATTTTGCTCACGTTATCCTTTCTGCCTGGAATGCTCTTTCTACCACTTTTCTCCTGGAAGTATCCTTTCTTACTTTTAAGACTTATACAAATATAACTTTCTCTGTGAAACATTTCAAATTACTTTTAAAATTGTATTTATTTATGTATTAAACAAATATTTATTGAATGGTTACAATGAGACAGGCACTTGTCTATGGGTGATATTTTTTGAACATGAAATAAATAGTTTTTGCTCTCAAGGAGTAGACAAGAAAGTAGACAAGAAGAAATTAATCACTTTCTTCTCTTTACTCCCATAGGTGTTTGTTCATGTTAATATTAGTTACTATAATCTTTGGTGTTTGCTTCTGTCTTCTTCATTAGTATGTGAACACCTTAGGCGGGTCAGAAGAAATGCAGTATTCCTTTTTGAATTCCCACCGAATTATTCAGTAACTACTCATAATGGTTTCTGGGTGAAGGACTGTAAAATTAATGAATAAAAATTTGATAATAAATATTTACCTGAAGTAGATTAGGTTACTCTCACAAATTCAGTTAACCTAATATATTCAATAAGGTCACATTAAAGCAAGTATCAACAAGATTATATAGACCTGAACTAAAAAGAATATTATGTCTTATCTTAGATTCCACCATAGTGCCTAGAATAGTTTGCAGAATCAAGGGCTAAATAAAATTTGATTGAATGATAAGAAAATTTATTATTTTCCATTTTTAAACAATTTCATTTATTTACATTTTTTTTTATTTTACTCTAAGTTCTGGGATACACATGCTGAACATGCAGGTTTGTTATGTAGGTATACATGTGCCATTGTGGTTTGCTGCACATATCAACCTGTCATCTAGGTTTTAAGCCCCACGTGCATTAAGTATTTGTCCTAATGCTCTCTCTCCACTTTCCCCCCTACCCCTTGACAGGCCCCAGTGTGTGATGTTCCCCTCCTTGTGTCCATGTATTCTCATTGTTCAACTCCCACTTATGAGTGAGAACATGCAGTGTTTGGTTTTCTGTTCCTGTGTTAGTTTGCTGAGGATGATGGTTTCCAGCTTCATCCATGTCCCTGCAAAAAAAACCACGAACTCTTTCCTTTGTATGGCTGCATAGTATTCCATTGTCTATATATGCCACATTTTCTTATCCATTCTATCATTGATGGGCATTTTGGTTGGTTCCAAGTCCTTGCTATTATAAACAGTGCTGCAATAAACATATGTGTGCATGTGTCTTTATAGCAGAATGATTTATAATCCTTTGGATGTATACCCAGCAATGGGATTGCTAGGTCAAATGGTATTTTTAGCTCTACATCCTTGAGGAATCACCACACTGTCTTCCACAATGGTTGAACTAATTTACACTCCCACCAACAATGTAAAAGTGTTCCTATTTCTCCATATCCTTGCCAGCCTCTGTTGTTTCCAGACTTTTTAATGATCGCCATTCTAACTGGTGTGAGATGGCATTTCATTGTGGTTTTGATTTGCATTTCTCTAATGTTGAGTGATGGTGAGCTTTGTTTATATGTTTTTTGGCCACATAAATGTCTTCTTTTGAGTAGTGTTCATGTCCTTTGCCCACTTTTTGATGGGGTTGTTTGTTTTTTCTTGTAAATTTAAGTTCCTTGGAGATTCTGGATATTACACCTTTGTCAGATGGATAAATTGCAAAAATGTTCTCCCATTCTGTAGGTTGTCTGTTCACTCTGATGATAGTTTCTTTTGCTGAGCAGAAACTCTTTAGTTTAATTAGACCCCATTTTTGTCAGTTTTGGCTTTTGTTACAATTGCTTGTGGTAGAAAATTTATTTTCTTAGGATAGAGTTTCATAACAGGGAAGTAAACTTTTAGGTCAAAGTAAGAAATTTTCCTCAAATTATTGTTCCCCTTGTAATTCATTTTCTGCATAGTATTTCCTTTAAAATATTATGGATTAATCTCAATTTAACTTGAAGAAAATATAACAAATGTATGAATAGTTTCAAAAAATGAAAAAAATGACAAAATTTTATGGCACATTTTATAAAATACAAACATTAAAATGCTCATCAATTCTCTAGTGAATATTCAAGGAAAAAATGCTGTTATTGTAAAAGAAAGAAGGGGAAAATTAAGATATGTGGTATTTTCTTCAATAATCCAATCATGATTTTCTGAGTTTTTAAAATGGCATCCTTACACCACTTTCTCAATTTTCTTATAATATTCAGGAGACACAAAAATAGATAAAAAAACATTAGCTCCTTTTTCAAAAACCTAAACAAGGCTGATATACTACCTAGTAGTAGAGTTGGAAAGGAATGTTTACTCATAACAAGAGCAAAAGAGCTGAAACAAATTTCACAATGAGCAATATAAATAGCAGTCTTGCCAGACAGATGGATATTCAGAGTATTATTCTCGGAAACACAGCTCACCCTTAGAACTGTTTTTTTATTTACTCTCAAGAAAATACAACTGCGTTTGTCAGTTCAGACTTCTATGACAAAACATGTTATACTGGGTAATTTATAAACAACAGAAATTTATTTATCACAGTGCTGAAGGCTGGAAAGTACAAGATCAAGGCTCCAGAAAATTTGGTGTCTGGTGAGGGCCCATTCCCCACAGATGACACATTCTTGCTCTGTCCTCACATAGTGGATGAGCAAAAAAGGGCTAGCAAGCTTCCTCAAGCCATTTTGGTAAAGGCACAAATCCCATTCATGAGGACTCCAGCCTCATGACCTAATTATCTTCCAAAGACCCACCTCTTAAAATCATCATCTTAAGGATTAGGTTTCAACATGTGAAATTTGGAGAGACACATACATTGAAACCATACTAACAACTATCTCTCCCTCTATTCCTAATGCAGCTTGAAGCCAAATGAATAATGGTAGCAGTATATTGCATACTAGAAAGCGCAGAAAAGTACATAGACAAAAAAGAATTCTCTGTTGGTTTGTAGGTACTGACCAATGGACCATCTAGAGTTTATGCTAAAAATTTAAGATATTTTCAGAAACTCCCCAGGATTAGAGTGTTATAGAATGTTTAAACAGTTGTCATAGATAAATAATTTTAACATAGTAGAAATTGAAATATAATATAGTCATATCAACTTTCTTCATCTGTTGTTTTGGGAAAAAAATACCAATACAGTCAGTATCTAAGAGTAAGCACAGTAGCTCCTCATGTTTCTTACTGAGCAGTCAAGAATTTAAGCATTGTATCTGTGAAAAAAGAATGTGCCATGAAAACCTGTAAAGTGTTCCTTCTCAATCATGAAACTCATTGAATGAAGAATTCTGATTTTCCACTTCTATTAAAATTATATGACATTACTTGGGCCAATTCAAATGATATTATCTCATGGAAAACACTGCATACATCTCTCTTATGATTCCAGGATACTTTAGCAGGAACAAAAAAGTCTTATAAGGATTCTTTGAAATATATGGTGGGCCTAGGGAAATGAACCTGCTTCTGAAGTCTTGCTTAACACATCGTCCTGAAATTATTCATAGAAGTATAACTACTAAAAAGAAATCTGACTGGTATTACCAATGAGACATTGGAAAACATGCCCTCCATGAAAAAGAAAAAGCAAGTCATAAATGTAAGATAAACATCCTTAAGCTGCCAAAAAATAAAAATTAAACGAGTGAGTAGTTTCTATGCAGATCAAGAAAATGGGTATTCAACTTAAGAATTATAGTCCCACCTTATTCTTTTGCAGCAGTGATGGTGGCAGCAGCAGTTAGCAGTGCCAACTTGAGGCTGCACCCCAGGAAACCTCCAAGGTGGTGATCAGCTGAGACGGTTCTAAGTTCCCCGAAGGGGTGTGTTTAGTTAGGTTGAGATGTGGTGAGGTTGGATCAGCCAGTGGCCATGGAAACCCCCACGCACATGTCCCCCACACTCATCCCTTTTGTTTTGAAGTCTGCCCCTCTAAGAGCAGAGGCAGTGAGGGTATGTATGTGCCTCACAATAGTCCACATAAGGAGAGCACTGGGGACTGATTCCCAGCATCACCTTCTGGTCTTCCCTCCAGAGAAAACAGGAAAACTAGCATGAGCTACCAAGAACTAGCAAGTGCTTAAACAACAGACACCTGGCTCAAATTGGAAGGCTTTTCATTTGTCTATTGCTTCATTCCGGAAACTGTGATGGCACCATCTGACTAAGAAAAAACAAAAACAAAAACTTCTGAAAGAGAGAAAACAAAAAAAACCCAGAATTCCTAATAAAACAATGGTGGATTAGAGGCTTTGGGCATGCCCCAGCCACTTGGAAATAGCAAAATAGTGCATAATTATCAACTCTTTGAGATTTCATTCAAGAAGGAAAATGGGAATCCAATGTAACAATGAAGGGCAATCCAGATATTGGGAAGTAGAAGGTGGGCAAACACTCCCTGCAATGGCATCTAGCTGATAAAAGTCTGGGGTGGGAGGAAAGCTTCTGCAGCCATGGTTCCTCCTGGGTTACCAGCTTGGTGATGTGGATCTGGTCTGAATGTGTTATTGCTGCAATCACATTATCTGACTTCACACTATATTATAAGGTTATAATTTAAAAAATTAGCACGATACTGGCACAAAAACAGACACATAAACCAATGAAACATAAGAGAGAACCCAGGTAAAGTTGCACACCTACAGCCATCTGATCTTCAAGAAAGTTAAGAAAAATATGCAATGGGGAAAGGACTCCCTATTCAACAAAGGGGGCTTGGGTAACTGGTTAGCCATATGCAGAAGAATAACACTAGACCCCTGCATTTCAGCACATACAAAAATTAACTCAAGATCGATGAAGGATTCAAATGTAAGTTCTCAAGCTATAACGATCCTGGAAGAAAACCTGGTTTCCTAGTTTCCATTTTGTACACTGGTCCTGGCAAATAACTTAGGACTAATTTCTCAAAAGCAATTGCAGCAAAAACAAAAATGAACAAGTGGAATCTAATTAAACTAAGGGGCTTCTGCACAGCAAAATAAACTAACAACAGAGTAAAAATACAACCTACAGAAGAGGAGAAAATATTCACAAAATACTCATCAGAAAAAATCTATTATTCAGAATCTATAATGAACTTAAACAATTTAACATGCAAAAAACAGCCCCATTAAAAAGGACAAAGGATATGAACTGCCACCTTTCAAAAGAAGACATAAAAGCAGCTAACAAAGATTTGAAAAATGCTCAACATCCCTAATTATCAGAGAAATGCAAGTCAAAACCACAATGAGATACCATCTCACAGCAGTCAGAATGACTATTATTAAAAAGTGAAAAAAAAAAAATAACTGATACTGGCAAGGCTGTAGATAATAGGGAGCACTTATGCACTGTTGAAGAGAATGTAAATTAGTTCAGCCACTGTGGAAAGAAGTTGTGAAATTTCACAAAGAACTCAAAGCAGAACTCCCATTCAACCCAGCAATGTCATTACTGGGTATATACCCAAAGGAAAAGTATCATTCTACCAAAAAGATACACATACTCACATGTTCGTTGCAGTGCTATTCACAATAGCAAAGACATGGAGTAAAAGCACAAGTGCCCATCAATGGTGGATTGGATAAAAAATGTGGTACATACACACCCCTGAATAGTATGAAACCATTAAAAATAACAAAATCATGTCATTTGCATGAACATGGATGTAGCTGGAGGCCATTATCCTAAGTGAATTAATACAGGAACAGAAAATCATACCACATGTCCTCACTTATAAGTGATATCTTATCACTGGGAACAAATACACATAAATATGGAAACTATAGACACAGGAGACTATAAAAGCAGGAAGAGAGGGAACAGGCTAAGGTCTGAGAAACTACCTACTTAGTACTATGTTTAGTACTTGGGTGTTGGGGTCATTCATACCTCACACCTCAGTGGCACACAACATACCCAGGTAACAAACCTGCACATTTACACCCTGAATTAGAAATAAAACTTGAAATTATTTTTAAAAGGAATTACAGTTATCTCTGGACAACAAATCAAAACAATTGCAAATAAATATTCAACCCTATAGCTGTAGATTTTTACCAAAGTTGAAAAAATTCATGTGTATGCAGACTGATGGGTTCCATACTGAATAAGGTGAGACCCACACCTATACGCAACTGCAAATGTGTTCAGATTACAAAGGAAAATTTAAGTTTTTAAAAATATAACAGGAGAAAACTATATAACCTAAAAACATAGGATATAAGGGAATTGACATCACACTTCAATACAACCTTACTTGACAAAAACAACAACAACAACAACAAAAAACAGCCATATGTTTTTCTACCTTTTCATCACTTACGTGCTGAACTCACTCCCATTAACAGCAGCATTGCCTACATCAAGAGCTGGTAATTATGGCTTAGGGTTTGAAAGTTACCTACCTATTTCAGCATGCTATTTCATCATACCTATTTCATCATATGTCCTCAATGATTAAGAATTACCTTTCTGTAGAGTATTAAGGAAAAAAAGGTGACCAAGAATTTTATGCAAAAGTAGATTTTTTTTTTCAGGTATAAACACAACTAACATATTCTAATATGATAAATCCCTAGAAAACTAACCCATGAATATACTCTTCTTGAAAGACACAAGATTGCACTTTCACGAGTAATGAAGTTAATCAAAAAGAAGGAATGGACTCCCCCGAAAAGAGGGGTTAAAAAATTTAATTTTTTTTTATTTTTTCAAAATTTAGTTCAAAACTTTGATGTAGAGACCCAGGAATTTCAGTTAATTTCAGTCATCATGGAATCAAACCATAAACTCAGCAAATCATATTCAAACTAGTGAAACGAAAAATGAATTGTGAATCTTGAAAGCAGGCAGAGTTCATAACATCACCTTGAGAGAAATAGTGATAGAAATAATGGCTTCCTTCTCATTATAAATAATCAAGTACACACACACAAACACCACAATGGAACAGTACTTTTAAAATGCTGAAGATAAAAAAGGATCAATCCCTAATTCTATAACTAGTTAAAATATCCATAAAGTATTAAGGAAAAATACATTTTTAGATAAATTAAAATGAAGAATTTATTACTATGCAACTTTCACTTAAAGTAATGTTAAAGAAACTTCTTCAGAATGAAGCATTATATCACCAGATTAAATATCATATCTACACAAAGGACTGAAGTGTGACACAAAGAGTAAGTGCATAGGCAAATATAAATATATGTTTTCTCAATTTTAATTTCTTTAAGCAAATTGTTTACAACAAAATATGTATAGTAGATTTTCTGATACCTAAAGATGTGATCTATATGACAGCAATAGCAGCAAAGATCTGCAGGTAAATGTAATCATGCTATTCTCAATTTTTATGTTTTCTGTAAAGTGGTAAAATACTAGCTCTAAGAAGACTTTGTCTGATTATAAATCAAGAATATAGATTGTAATCACTAGCAATCATTATAAAAATAATCCAAAGAGATATAGCTAAAATAATTTAGGTACAAGAACAAACATGGATAGTTAGGTGACAAATTCAGAATGTTCTTCACCTGTCATGGTGTAGGAATTTACTGGATGAAGACCTAAAGGAATTCTGGGTGTAGTGGAACTATCCTATATCCTAATTAGGGTGATACTTACAGAGGTACACATATGTATCAAAATTTATTGAATTGTACAAATAATACCTTTGTATTTTCTTCTATAGGGATTTTCTTCACAAAATAATAACTGCAAACAAATATTGAACATGTTTTATTAAATTTTCTTTTAACAATGTTATGGGTTAGTGTTTCTGAAACTACTTCCTGTGTAAGCTAGGCTTGAGCAAATAAGTAAATACATTCAGTATAGATTCAGCATTCTCACTTTTAGAGCTGAAAATAATAAATAGTGAAAAAAGACAATTTGAGCTAGAATGCATCCATTAATCCTGTAATATCAGATTTTTATTGGACATGTTAGTATAATTTTCTACTGAGAAGAACTAGAATCAATGATTCCCCAGTAGGAATGAGCAAGGCTAGCAATCAGATTTTCATTTATGAATACCATTACCCAATAAAAGATTCCAGAGCTCCTTGGAGAAATAGCCAATTACAGGTCTGGAGCAAAAAAGTACATGATGGTCCTGGAAAAACTTGTTGTGCTAGAAATTTAGAGACTACTTGAAGAATGACAGGAATACGTCAAAGAGACCTGGAAAGTAGTTTGAATGAATCCCCACTGGTCGAAACTAAGGTGATATTACATCAAATTTCATTATTGTAGGCTGGGAATTATGGCTCAAGCCTGTAATCTCAGCACTTTGGAAGGCCAAGATGGGAAGATGCTTGAGGCCAGGAGTTTGAGACCAGCCTGGTCAACATAGTGATACCCAATCTCTAAAAAAATTTTAAAAAATTTAAAAAAAAACAGTTTAAAAAATTAAAAAATAGAAAAATAAATAAATAATTATATTAATGGGTTATAATTTTCTGAATATTATATAATTTATTAGTTCAAACTGATATAAATGACTAAATACGTAAATATGAAGGTGCAATGAGAAGCTATTCCTTATTTTTAATGATAGCCAATAAATGCAGAAGGAATAACACAGTTAGAAAATTATAAATAAATGTTAACACTAGTGGGTGGAGGGATTCATGTGGAAAAATATATTTAAATAGTCTCTAAGTATCTCCCAAATATTACTTATTACTTACAATAAAAATCATAGTATCTTTACCATGGAGAAATCTTGTAGGACTGCTTAGCTAGGTGACCAAAGTTAATATCACCAACACTGATATAAACCAATATTCACATTCATTTTGGTAAAATGCACCGAAATGAACACATCACTTCTGGCTCATTCTTGCCTTATATGATTTTTTTCATTTCATAATAAATAATAAATTAATTATATAATCAATAAAATATATTAATTATATAATAAACACAATATGGGTTGTGATTAGATTTTATATGAATATTAAATTCCCAGAGTGAAATAATTTTACTGTGGTTACCTATTTCCTTTTCTTAATAAATACATGCTGAGTTTTTCAGGAGTAAAGGGGCATGAGGATTGCCACTTACTCTTAAATATTCTGGAAGTGAGAGAGAGAGAACGATAAAGCGAATTGGACAAAATACTTTTAACTATCCTGAATCTGGATAAAGAGCTCATGACAGTTCTTTGTACTATTCTTCCAACTTTTTTGTAAAAATAAGAGCTCCTCTCTGCTAAAGGTACTGTCAATAGAATAAAAAGACATGCCACAGACTGGGAGAAGTATTTGCAAAAAAAGAGACATAGCTGATAAAGGACTGTTATCCAATACAGATGAAGAACTTTTAAAACTCAAGAATAGGAAAACAAAAGACCAAATTAAAAAATGGAACAACCACCTTAACAGACAAGTCACCAAAGAAGATATACAGATAAAAATAAGCATATAAAAAGATTCTCGATCTCATATGTATCAAGAAAATGCAAATTAAAACAACAATGCAATAATACCACACACCCATTAGAATGACCAACATCAAGAACACTGACACCAAATGCTCATAAGGATGTATAGCAACAGAAACTTTCATGCATTGTTGGTGGGAATGCAAAATGATACAGTCACTTTGGAAGACAGCTTGGTGGTTTCTTACAAAACTAAACAAATTGGCTGGGTATGGGGGCTCATGCCTGTAATCCCAGCACTTTGGGAGGCCAAGATGGGCAGACCACCTGAGGTCAGGAGTTCGAGACCAGCCTGGCCAAAATGACGAAAACCCATCTCTACTAAAAATACAAAAATTAGCCTAACATGGTGGCATGCACCTGTAATCCCAGCCACTAGGGAGGCTGAGGCAGGAGAATTGCTTGAACCCAGAAGGCAGAGGTTGCGGTGAGCCCAGATTGCACAGCTGCACTCCACCCTGAGCAACAGAGCAAGACTTTGTCTCAAAAAAAAAAAAAATCCTTTCCATATTATCCAGCAATAACACTCCTTGTTATTTACTCACAGAAGTTGAGAACATGTCTGTACAAAAAACTGCGGGATATTTTCAGCAGCAATTTTATTTATAATTGCCAAAACTCAGAAGCAACCAAGATGCCCTTTAGTAGGTGAATTATGGATACATGGACTGTAGTACATGAAGAAAATAAAATATTATTCATTGCTGAATATAAATAATCTATCAAGTCATGAGAAGACATGAAGGAATCTTAAAAGGATATCACTAAGATAAGCCACACTGAAAAGGCTACATAGTGTATGACTCCAAATATATGGCATTCTGGAAAAGGCAAAACTACAAAGGCAGTAAAAAATCAGTCATTGTCAGGGGTTTGAGAAAGGAGGGATGACTAGGGAGAGGACAGGGGATTATTTAGGTCAGTAGAGCTACTGTTTATGGTGCTATAATAGTGGATCCACGTCATTACATATTTGTCTAAACCCAGGTAATGTACACCACCAAGAGTGTACTGTAAAATAAACTATGGACTTTGGAGGAGAATGACTTGTCAATGTTGGTTCGTTGATTTCAACATATGTACCTTTCTGGTGGGGAATGTTGATAATCAGAAAGATATGCATGTGTAGGGCAGAGGTTGTATAGAAAATCTCTGTACCTTCCACTCAATTCTGCAGCAAACCTACTGCTGTTCTAAAAGTAAAGTTGAATAAACACACATACACACAAACAAACATTAATATAAAAAAAGTAAATAACAACATGATACCAAGGACTCCATCCAAGCCCCTCTGCACACATACACATTAAGAGAGTTGATCAAATCTATCATGACTATGTTACTAGGATGACTCTAGCCGCTTAAAAATGCCTGCCTGAGAAATCTCAATGATACGAAAATAATTTAGTCTTTGTTCCAGTCAAAACCTGACTGTAAACCCCTGACTTACCTTTCCTTAGGGAATTTACTTTAGAAAACTTGCAACTGTAAATATTTTCTCTGCCTTTCAGATGGAAATCTTCTACAATTCAGAAATGGACTTACATTTGCCATTTTGTTATTTGTTTTCTGTACAGTTTTTTCTCCTAATTTGCTCCATAGTTTCTCCTAATTTGCTCCATAATTTTTCATAGTGACAAATTTTTATACCCTTCTCATTTCCTTCTGAATATATTCTATAGGTATTTTATTTGTGGATAGTATGTGGATTGTATATAACATCTTAAAGTTAAAACCGTCTACTTTTAATTGATATGGTCTAACTTCAAGAGTATACAAAACTCTACTTTTTACAGCTCACCACCCCCACTTTATGTTAATGTACAAATAACATCTTTATACATTTTGTGCACATTAGCATACATTTACAATGATTTTTTTTCTGCATTTGTCTTTGATTTTCTTCATTTGTCTTTTCTGCATTTGTCAGAAATCCTGTGGTAAAGGAAAAGCAAAGTTATCAACAAAATTTGCATATATATATATATATATATATATATATATATATATATATATATATATATTTGTTGCTGTTGTTTGTTGGTTTGAGACAGAGTCTCCTCACTCTTTCACCCAGGCTGGAGTGCAGTGGTGCGATCTCGGCTCACTGCAAGCTCTGCCTCCTGGGTTCATGCCATTCTCCTGCTTCAGCCTCCCCAGTAGCTGGGACTACAGGCACCTGCCACCACGCCCGGCTAATTTTTTGTATTTTTAGTAGAGACAGGGTTTCACCGTGTTAGCCAGGATGGTCTCGATCTCCTGACCTCGTGATCCGCCCGCCTCGGCCTCCCAAAGTGCTGGGATTACAGGCATGAGCCACCGCGCCCAGCCACAATAATATTTTTATATTTGTCTATGTATTTGCTTTTCCTACAGATATTTATGTTTTCCTATGGCTGTGTGTTTGTCTAATGTCCTTTCATTTCAACTTGAAGAACTTAATTTAATATATTTTTTTAAATAAGGAAGCTCTAGAGGTAATGAATATTCTGAACTTTTATTGATATGGGAATGTTTTAATTTCTCCCTCATTTTTTAAAGACCCTTGATGTCTATCCAGTGTTTTGCTATATATAGTATTCTTGATTTACAGTTTTCTTGTTTTGCTAGATATAGAATTCTTGATTTACAGTTTTCTTCTTTTAGCACTTTAAATTATCATCCCAGTACTTCTGGCCTCTAAGGTCCTCACTGAAGAATCTACTGGTAATCTCGCTAGGAATTCCTGTGCAGTAGTCTTCCTTTATCTGCATTTTCACTTTCCATGGTTTCTGTTACCCATTGTCAACCATGGTAAAAATTATTAAATATAAAATTTCAGAAACAAGCAATTTATAAGTTTTGAATTGTGTGACATTCTGTGTAGTGTGATGAAATCTCACCCTGGACGTGAACTACTCCTGTTTCCAACTTATCCATGCTGTATACACTACCCACTCATTAGTCACTTTGTGGCCATCTCAGTTATCGGATTGACTGTTGTGGTATTGCAGTCCTTGTGCTCAAGTAACCCTTAATTTACTTAATACTGACCTCAAAGCACAAGAGCAGTGACACTGGAAGCTTAAAATATGCCAAAGAGAAGCCAAATATATGCCAAAAAGAGGTCACTTACTGTGCCTAATTTATAACTTAAACTTTATCATAGGTATATGTGTACAGGAAAACTTATAGTATACTTTGGGTTTGGTACTATCCATGGTTTCAGGTGTGTACTGTGGGTGTTGGAATATATCCCCCACAGATAAGGGAAGATTACTGTACTTGAGTCACTTCTCTCTTACTGTTCATCAAGATTTTGTGCCTTTTGGCTTTTGGGTATTTGATTATGTCTCATTGTGGGTCTCTCGGGGTATATCCTACTTGAAGCTCATCATGCACCTTGGATTTGTATATCCACACCTTTTTTTTTAAAGATTTAGAAAACTGTATGGCCATTATTTTTTCAAATAATCTTTTTTGCCATTTTCTCAGTTTTTACTTCTTAGAACCCCCGTAATGTGTCTATTTATCTGTTTGATGCTATCTCATAAATCCCTTAGGCTCTGTTAACATTTCTTTATTTCTTTTTTCTGCTCCCCAGACTCAATAGTTTCAAATATCCTATCTTCAACTTTGCTGGATCTTCCTCTGTCTGCTTCAGTCAGCTCTTGAACCCCTCTAGTGATATTTTTTTTATTAAATTATTGTACTTTCCACCTTTATTTATTTGTTGATACTCTTATTTTTGTTCACATATCATTTCTCTGTTGAGCTTTCTTTGGTTCTCTGTGCATGTTTTCCTTAAGCACTTTGCACATATTTAAGACAGTTTTCACATCTTTGCTTTGTATAACAAATGCCTTTGTTTTCCAAAGGACAATTTCTGCCACTTAATTTTCTTTCTTTGAATGGACCACATTTTTCTGTTTTAAAAATTTTCTTGTTTTATTTTGTTGAAAATTGGGCATTTGAAAAAAAAAGAGCCTTCTCTTAGTATTTACAGACTGGCTTATTTCTGGGGAAGCCCTTCAGTAATTATCAGGACATGTTCTGATCCTTGGGATTAGCCCAGGGTGAAGATTTCTGGAATTCTCAGGTTTTACCTGGTCATGCATCTTGCCTAATGTACATGTATTTTGGTGTGTGCATGTTTATTTTATTCCTCTTATACAAGGCTGCTTTTCAAGGTCTTAATTTACCAGCTTACTCCAGCTACTTCTTGGGGCCTTAGATGTTTTATTATATTTATCTACAAGTAATCTCTTGCTCTGAGGTATCTGAATGTTTGTAGTCCTCTTCAGCTTTGATGAAGACTGCTTGCTCTTTACATTGTCTTTTCCTAACCTGAGAGCTGAACTATGCTGCTTTCCCCCTTTGAGTTCTGAGTTAGACAAAACAAAGACCTTCCGGCATTCCACAGGCAGAATAGAACACTGCCTTCTCCTACTCTCTCAAGGGTGGCCATTGGGAATTGAGCTGTTGCTTCCTCCTGACTACAGTGTGTTTTGTGGTATGGAGGCAGGGCAAGGGCAAATCCATATGCCATGAAATTTCCTACTTTTAAAAATGTGACTTTTTCTTTATGGGGCATTTACTTGGTTTCTTTACATCTTTGACTGTCTTATAGAGTTCTTACAAAGTTATTTTAGCCAACTCTAAGTACTTTTTAAATGTTTCCATCGGGGGAAAAGAGCTTAAAACTTCATAGTTCTCTATCTTGCTCAGGTTGAGATCATCTTTATGGTCCTAAGTATACCAAAAGTCAAAAACAAAACAAAAAACACTGCATGCTGTTTGATTCAGCAATGTAACTTTTTAGTTTTCTTGAGCTGAATGATCAAGAATATTTACAAAAACATTATTCTAAAAGACCACAATTTTAAAATAACAAAGCATATGAAATGACATATGTATTTGAAATTAGGGGCTTGATTAAATAATGAAGCAGTCACACAATAAAATACTAGATAGCTATAAATTAATGTAGCATATTTATTTGTACAATAAATGCAGGATACTAAGTGGAAATTTTACCCTCAAAGTGTATGTAAAATATGTCATATTTTAGTTAAAAATACACATATGTGGATATATATATATATTACATATGTATCTATAAAGAGCAAAAACTACCAGAAACAATTTTCTCTGAGTCATTTGAAATGTGTGAATTTTTTTCTTCTAAATTCTTAATCAGATTTAAGAATGAATACATTTTAATCATTGATATGTTGTAGTTTTTCAAAATGTATGGAATTAATATGTTTTATTTTTGCAAATGTATAAAATGTGAATGTTACTAGAAAGGTCAATGACTTTGGGAACACTATATTATTTAGAGTAACTTAACCCAAAGACATAATCAGTGATGACCACAATGATGTATGTATAGGGGTTTTAGGGATTTGGGAGCATATCAAGAAAAAAGATCTGACTACTCATAGGCAGTAGAACACACAGATTTTATTGGGCAATGCCTTGAAATGTTTGCATGTGGGGGAAGTTCCTCACAGTAAGAATCTCAACAGAGGCTATAGCATGGTTCACCACTTAGAAGGGTCAGGAAATTCCCAGGGCACAGAGGAATTGGAGGGGAAGGGCTCACATGTATAGGTGATATTAGGCAGCAGCATAGTGCAATCTTTGTGTCATAGAGTTCTAAAGGGCAGCAGTGGCTTGGAGTCTTTATTGTCTGGGATTTATCTTATTTATGGCTAGTAGATGTTTAGTGCATTTTCATAGGCTATGAAAAAGGCAGAGTCTACATTGCTTTTAATTTAGGGCTAGGATTAAAACAATTTGATGGTAAAAATTTGACTTGGTGGTGGTGTAATTTTTTTTAAACTAATCCATCACATCCTGCTGTGAATAAATAAAAATTTCACACACTACATATCAATACACAGCAATGATCTTTGGCTTCTGCATATAATACTATCATTAATTATATTCATTAGTAGGAATTTTTAATAGCATAGTAAAATACATAACATCTGTAACAATTGTAATGCAGAAGTTAAAATTCCTGCTTTAGAGAAATATTTAGCATATAGGTAACACTTCATCATATAATAGTAACTAAAAAATGGGGTATAAACTATATAAAACACTTTTATTATTTTATAAATATATCTCTGACTATTCACTTATAAGAAACTGAAATTAAAACAAATCTGTTTATTTAGTAGCTTTGAAACCTTCTAATATATTCCTGGAAAATTAAAGGTGCTGTACATGTTAAAGACTAGTACATACAAAGGGCTGGTTCCACGCCCAGGAAAGATCTAATAAAAGACCCTAAACAATCACACCAGCCTGACCCTTAGATGTTGAGTTAGCACAAAACAAAGGCAGAATTACAAACTTCCTGCCTTTTACAGTCTGTTTAGGCTTCTTTAACAAAATTGCCATAGACTGGGTGGCTATAAATGACAGAAATTTATTTTCCAAGGTTGTAGAAACTGAAAAGTCTAAATTTAAGGTGACAGCAGGCTTAGTGAATACATTTCCTAGTTCATAAATGGCCTTCATATTACCGTGATGGCCTTACTGTGTCCTTACATGCTGAAAGTATGAGGGAGCTCTTTAGCGTCTCTTTTCTAAGGCCACTAATCTCGTTTAGGAAGGCACTACCCCATGACCTAATCACCAACCAAAGGCCCGACTTTCTAATACCATCATGTTGGGTGTTACAATTTCAACTTGCAAATTTTGGGGGACAAAAACATTAAGTCTATATAACTGCCTCAGCATTGAAGGTGTGCCACAACATACACACAGAGTAGACCTTAAAGAAATGAAAATGGGCCGGGTGCGGTGGCTCATACTTGTAATCCCAGCACTTTGGGAGGCCAAGGCGGGTGGATCACCTGAGGTCAGGAGTTCAAGACCAGCCTGGCCAACATGGTGAAACCTCATCTCTACTAAAAATACAAAAATTAGCTGGACACGGTGGCACATGCCTGTAATCCCAGCTACTTGGGAGGCTGAGGCAGGAGAATCTCTTGAGCCTGGGAGGCGGAGGTTGCAGTGAGCCGAGATTGCACCATTTCACTCCAACCTCAGTGACAGAGCAAGACTCCTTCTCAAAAAAAAAAAAAAAAAAAGGAAATGATGTAAACATGTTGAACGTAAAAGGATAGAAAAAGAAATGTTATATAAGCAAAATGAAAGCTTGATTGGCTAAACAAATATCAGACAAATGTAATGTTAAGACAAAAATTGTCATAGAGAAAAAAGCAAAACATTTATTAAGATAAAGGAGTCAATTCACCAAGAAGATAAAACAAATATGAATATATACGCACCTAGTAACAGAATACACAACATGCAGTAAACAACTGACAGAATTAAGGTAAGAAATAAATATTTAACAATATTATTTTTAGAGTTTAATTTTTCAGTTTCAGTAATGAATAGAATGACTAGACAGAATGTTAGCAAGGAAATAGAAGATATGAACTACGTTGTACATCTATAGATGTTAACTCTATTTTACATACAATGTAGTTTATGTCTTCTATTTCCTTGCTAATCTGACATCTATAGACCTATGCATCAATAACATCAAAATTCCCATTAAATGCTCATGAAACTTTTTACAGAATGTAACATATTTTATGTCATAAAACAAGTCTACATTGATTTAAAGGATTAAAATTATAAAAATTATGTATTCCCACTAAAATGGAATGGAATAAAAATCTATAATAAAGAAAATTTGGGAAATTCACAAATATTTGACAGTTAAAGAACACATTGTTATATAATGTATTAAGGTTCTCCTGAGGGACAGAGCCTATAGGATATATGCATATGTAAAAGGGAGTTTATTAGGGAGAATTGGATCACATGATTACAAGGCAAAGTCCTATGATAGGCCATCTGAAAACTAGAAAAAGAGGTAAGCTAGTAGTGTGGCTCAGTACAAGTCCAAAAACCTCAAAACCAGGGAAGCCTACAGTGGAGCCCTCAGTCTGAGTCCAAAGACCTGAACGCTTCCAAGAGGCTGCTGCTACAAGTCTCAGAGTCCAAAGACTAAAGAACTTGGAGTCTGATGTCAAAGAACTGGAGGAGAGGAAGCAAGTATCAGGTGTGGGAAGAGACACAGTGAGTAGACACAGCAAGCAAGTTACTTATTCCCCCCTTTCCCACCAGCTTTGTTATAGCTATGCTGGTAGGCAATTGAATGGGGTCCCACAACACTGAGGGTGGGACTTCCTGTCTAGTCCACTGACTCAAAGGGCAATCTCCTCTGGCAACATTCTCACAGAAACACCCAGGAACAATGCTTCATCAACCATCTAGGCATCTCTCAATCTAGTCAAGTTGATACCTAATATTAACCATTATATAAGACCAATATATCAAAGAATACATCATAAGAAAAACACAGAAATATGTTGAGAAAAAAATTAGAACAGTAACCAAATTTTATGAGACATAGTAAAAACAGTGCTTAAAGGAAACTTTATGGTTGTAAACACCTGTACTAAAAAGAAGAAAGATCTCAATTTAGTGATCTAACCTTCTACCTTATGAAATTCAAAAGAGAAGAACAAAAAATAAACTCAAGAAAAACAGAAAGAAGGAAATATTAAGGAATGAAAATAAATGATATAGCAAATGGAAAGCGATAGAGAAAATCAACAAAGCCCAAAGTTAGTTTTTTGAAAAAATTAGTAAGGTTGGCAAAACTTAGTTAGGCAGATCAGTTAAAAAAAAAAAAAAAGAAAGAAAAAGAAATTATTAAAATCGAGAAGGAATGATGTGGCATCAGCACCAACCTTACAGAAGTAAAAAGGATTATAATAAAATACCTTAACAATTGTATGCTAACAAATTAGGTAACCTATATAATAAAAATACCCCCCAATGTAAAATTTCCTAAAGTTAAAAACTATTGAAACTAACTCAAGAAGAAATTAAAAATCAGAATAAGCCTACAACAAATAAAGATAATAAATTAGAACCAAAGATTTCGCACAAAGAAAATTCTAGGACTAGATGGTTTCACGGGTGAATTCTACCAAACATTTAAGGAAGAAATCCACATTCCTTGACAATCTGTTCCAAAACAAAAAAGTAAAGGTAAAACTCTTCAACTCATCTTATGAGGTCAGTATGACTCTAATGCTAAAAACAGACAAATATATCACATGAAAACTATAGACCAATCATTGTTATAATATTGAGGCCTAAATACCCAACTAAACACTTAAATAACAATTTAAGCAAAATAGAAAAATGATTGCAGACAATAATAAAGCCAGATGAATCTCAAGAATAACCTTACATCAACAGGAAACTGACTTTCAAGAAGGGTGACAACATAACTCAGTGAGTTCAATAAAATATTGGCTTTTCAGCAGATGAATTTGAGACAACTGGATATCCATATGCCAAAGAATAAATTGGGTCACCTACTTCACAACATATGCAAAACTTAACTTAGAATACATAATTGACCTACATGTAAAAGCTAAAGTTTTGAAACTCTTTAAGTCAAGAAAAAAATCTTTGCTGCAAATGACACACCATCAAGAAAATAAAAAGGCAACCAATAGAATGTAATACTTATGTAATAAAATATCTAGTATCCAGAATACATAAAAATGTATAATTTGACAATAAAAATACAAATATCCAAATTATTTATTTGTTAGAGGATTTGAATAGATATATCTCTAAAGAAGATATACAAATGATCAATAAGCACATACATACATGTTCATTATCTTTAGTTATCAGAGAAGTCCAAGCTAAAAGCCCAATAAGATATTATATCACCCACACTAGGCTGACTGTAATGAAAAAGACAAACAATAGCAAGTATTGTCAAAAAATGTGGAGAAATTGGAACCCTCATATATGGCTAGAGGAAAGGTAGAGTATAGCTGCTTTTGGGAATGGTTTGACAGTATCTCAGAAAGTTGAACATAGAGTTACTACATGACTAAGCAATTTCACTTTTAGGTATATACTCAGGATATATAAAAACCTATATTCACACAAAATTGATACCTAAATGTTCATAGCAGCATTATTCATCATAGCCAAAATGTGTCAACAACACAAATGTCCATTATTTGTTGAATGGGTAAGTAAAATGTGGTATGTCCATACAGTGGGAGTTTATTTATCTATAAAGGAAGAAAGTACTAATGCTGCACCATAGATAAACCTAAAAACATTATGTTAAAAGAAAGAATCTAGACACAGAAGCCCACATATTGTATAATTTTAGGTAGTAGTTTTCAGGAGCTATGTGGAGTAAGGAATAACATATGACTGCCAATAGGTATGGAAGTTTTTGTGGGAAAATATAAATGTTCTACAATTAGATCATAATTAGTATTGTATAATTTTATGAATATAGTAATCAATAAAATTTCACATGTTAAATTTGTGAATTATATAATATGTAATTTCTATTTCAATAAAGTTTAACAATAGAGGTCAAATAAAACTTTTTCTAATTAACAAAAGCTGAGAGAAATACATGAATAAATCTGTGGTAAAAATGAATTCCTTTTAGACAATTAAAAGAAAACATACGCCAGAAAAAAAAAACTGGATCTATAAAATGAAGGTATATGGATTGCCAGATATAATAAATATGTTAGTAAATATACTAGTTTTTTATTTTTAATTCTGATTAAAAATTATTGCCTTATGAAGTACAAATAATAAGAAAGTGTATATGTAAAATGGATGAGTAAAACAACATAAAGAATGGAAACAGAAAATAGAAGTATATTCTTTTTAAGTTTTAGACTTGGGTCACCAAAATTATGGCTGGATAAGAGGCTCTTAACTATTCCTCCTTCCAACTATACACTGAATAAACGTCTACACATAGATAAATATCCTCTGAGAGAAAGCCAAATACTAGTTGACAGACTGCTGCATACTGACCAACTGAGAAGATGGCCACATCAAAATGGGTAGAAAAAGGTGACCCACGGTTATACTCAAACTCCATCCCAGGCACAACACTTGACAATGAGGAAGGAATTCACAACTCCAAGATTCTCCTTGAGGCATAAAAAGTGTGAATCACAGAAAGCACCCCAACTTTTATAACCTCTATTAAGAGTCTGGCTCTCAAATTACCCAGCACTGAAAGCAAAAATATCTCATCAGTTGTGAGTCTCCCTAGACCACGGAGAACAAAGTGTGGCTTTAAGTGGGTATGTACTTCCAAAAGCTGTACCCCTGAAAACAGTGCAGATAAATTGGGCGAAAATGCATATATACCAGTTTTACCCTGGGAGGGGTGTGCCTGCCTACTTTTCCAGTCGTTGCTCAAAAATGGAGTTTTGAACTAAACTGACTCTGGGGTGCAATGAGGCAGATAAACAATAGGCCTCTAGGAGCCTAAACAAGAATGTGGACACACTTCTCTTGACTACTGCTCCACCATTTACCTTCAATAAATCCAGGTATGTAATTCTCCTTGAAAGGAGATTGTGCACACATTTAATGGACCAACTTTTATAGCTCTTACGTAAGGGCTTGTCTTCTCAATCACCTAGCTCTGGGAATTGATAGGCCTCTGCATTCATAAGTCTCCCTATATTATGAAGACCAAAATGGTGAGTTTTAAATAGATGTGCAAACACTTCCAGTGGCCATTTCCCTAGGCTTTGCGGGTGGTCTGAAAAACAATGGAAGTAAATAAGAAAGAATTACAAAATACCTCCAAAAACCCAGTTTTTCCAAATGGCATCTCCAAAAACTGGCTTCTATCTCACCTGTCTTAGGATAATGACAGAATTTCACACAACCAAATATCCTGGGGGTCACTGTGAAAAAGATAGCAGTTGGGATAAGAATAAAAATTTAACAAGCACCCAGAATCTCTGGTAAGCTGGTGTGTGATGAGCATTGCCTACAAAAAAAAGTCAGTGTGACAAGGCTAGATGATATTGTTTTATTATTTCATGTACAGACACCAACACAGAGTCAAAGAAAATGAAGAAACAGGGAAAGATTAATATGTTCCAAATAAAAGAACAAGATACATCTCCAGAAACTGAACCTAATACAATAAAGATAGATAATAAAATAAAGATAGTTAATGTATTAGTTTGTATTAGTTAGGGTTCTCTAGAGGGACAGAACTAAATATATATATATATATATATATATATAAATGTACATATATATAAATGTACATATATTTTTATATATATAAATGTACATATATTTTTTAATATATATAAATGTGTATATATATATATATATATATATATGTTGTGGAACCTTGTGATTTTGTGAGTAATACTTAATAAAATCATATGATTTTATTAAGTATTACTCACAAAATCACAAGGTTCCACAATAGGCTGTCTGCAAGCTGAGGAGTAAGGAGAGCCAGTCTGAGTCCCAAAACTGAAGAACTTGGAGTCCAGTGTTTGAGGGCAGGAAGCATCTACCATGGGAGAAACATGTAGGTGGGAAGTCTAGGCTAGTCTATCCTTTTCATGTTTTTCTCCCTCTTTATATTCTAGCTGCACGGGTAGTTGATTATATGGTGCCCACCCAGATTAAGGGTGGGTCTGCCTTTCCCAGCCCACTGACTAACATGTTAATTGTTTTTTGGCAACACCCTCACCGACACACTCAGGATCAATACTTTGCCTCCTTCAATCCAATCAAATTGACACTCAGTATTAACCATCAATGGTATAATTTACCCAACAGATAATTCAAAAGAATGCTTATAGCTATGCTTACTGAACTCAGAAGAGCAAAGCATGAACCAACTAATAATTTCAACAAAGGGATAGGTAATATAAAAATATAAAGAACTCAAACAGCTGAAGGACACAATAACATAACTTAAAAATAAATAGAGGAATTCCATATCAGATTAAATCAAGTAGAAGAAAGGAACAGTGAACTCAAAAACAGGTTATTAGAAATCATTTAATCTGAGAGCAAAAAATTTGAAAAGTAAAGAAAGCCTAGGGGACTTACGAGACATCATCAAGTACACTAATATAAGCAATTTCAAGTCTCAGAAAAAGAAGAGAAGAGAAAAAGAAAAAAACAGAAAAAAGTATTCAAATAAATTATGGCTGGAAACTGTCCAAACCTGAAAAAAAAATAGAAATTCACGTCCAGGAATCCAAAGATGAATCCAAAGTGACTGATACTAAGACACATTATAATAAAATTGGGAAAAATTAAAGTCAAAAAGATAATTCTGAAAGTAGCAAAAGAAAAGTGATCTATTAAACACAAGGGAAGATTCATAATATGATCTGCAGGTTTTTCAGTAGAAATAATACAGGTTAGAAAAAAGTGAGATAATATATTCAAAGTGCTGACAGAAGAAAAACAACCCTATCAACCAAGAATACTGTACCAGCAAACATGTTCTTTATTAATTAAGGAGAGATAAAAACTTTCACAGACAACAGCTGAAGGAATTTATCACCACTAGACCTGCCTTACAAAAAGTGCTACATGAAGTTCATCAAGTTGAAATGACAAGATAGAAAACAGCAACATGAGAGCAAAAGAAAGTGTGACACTGGTTGGCAAATGAAAAAATATCGATGAAAAAAATTTAGTGTTATAAAAGTGGTGAATGAATCTATTGTAATCCTACTATAAAAGCCGAAAGACAAAAATATTAAAACAACTATAACTAAATTATATAGTGGATACACACAATACAGAGTTGAAAATTCTGACATAAACAGAACACACTGTAAGTAAAATAGATGTAAAAGAACAAAGTCTGAATGCAAGAAAAGTTATGCTGTTATCAGCTTAAAGTTAACTTGTAACCATAATATAATTTATTTAAGCCCCTTGATAACAACAAATAAAATAGTTACTGTAGTTACACAAAGAAAATAAAATACAAGAATCAAAACCTAGTAATGCAAAAGGAAAAGCACCAAAACACAAAATGAGATAGCAAAAAAAGCTACGAGGGACAAAGCAATCACAAGACAAATAAAAAACAGATAACAAAATGGCAATAGTAAATCCTTACTTATCAGTAATTTTAATGAAAATGGGCTTGACATGGGATTTAAGAAGGGCGACTAGAAGCATCTATTACTTACCCCCTTTACAAAGAAGATATCTAAATGTAGATGGTCACAATTTGAATAGATTACCTGAGAGAGAATGCTGGCTGCTACTCCCAGGGCTGAAGCATGAACCCTTGGTAGTGACTCCTGGTAGCAGGGCCACCACATATTTTAAAGCACCCTGAGGAGAGGCTGCCTTGCTTTTAGCTGCCACTAGGGGTCCAAGCATGCACTCCTCAGCTGCCTGTTTTTAGATGCTGTCACTGAAATCAACCTTGCCCTCCCCAGCAGCAGAGCCATAACACAACCACTGCTCCTCCCACCTAAGCATTCTACAATGAGCCTGGAAATTACCTGACCCAGGCAGGCTTACCACAACCAGCACCAGCGTGCACCACTGGGGATCCTGAGGTCAGGTCTGCCAAGCTGAGGTTTACCCAAGCCCCAGTGCCCAAGTATGTCATCC
The DNA here is from genome assembly GCF_000001405.40 of Homo sapiens. Taxonomy (NCBI): domain Eukaryota; kingdom Metazoa; phylum Chordata; class Mammalia; order Primates; family Hominidae; genus Homo; species Homo sapiens. The sequence goes on from NC_000023.11 coordinate 94,525,304, forward strand.
AAGGGCCACACTAGCTATAAAATAAAATAATTAAATTAAATTAAATTAAATTAAAAACCTAGGGATAATTTTAACCAAAAAGAAATACCTAGGAATACATTTAATCAAGAAGGTAGAAAACCTCTCTAAGGAAACCTACAAAACTCTGTTGAAAGAAATTAAAGAGAAAACAAATCAATAGAAAGACATTCCATGCTCATGGATTGGACTAATTAACATTGTTAAAATAACTATACTACTCAAAGCAATCTACAGATTCAATGCAATGCCTATCAAAATACCAATGCCATTTTTTCACAGAAATAGAAAAAGAAGGTAGAAAATTTATATGGAACCTGAACAGACCCTAAATAGCCAAAGCTATCTTAAGCAAAATAAACAGAACTGGAGGCATCACACTACCTGACTTGAACATATGTCACAAAGTCGCAGCAACAAAACAACGCATAGAAAACAACATTATAAAACAACACATAGAAAAATAGGACATAATAATGAACACAGAAATAAATTAATGCACTTACAATGAACTCATCTTTTGTAAAGGTGCAAAGAACGTACATGGAAGGAAGGACAGTGTATGTATGGTTCTGTGAAAATGAAATATTTGTATGCAGAAGAATGAAACTAGATACCCATATTTCACTACATACAAAGATCAACTCAAAATTAATTAAAGACTTAAACATAAAACCAAAATAAATAATTGGCCTAGGCAAAGATTTTATGACTAAGAACTCAAAGGCACAGGCATTAAAAAAATAGAAAAATCAGACTATATTAAACTAAAAAGTTTCTGTATGGCAAAGGAAAATATCAACAGGATGAAGAGAAAACCTATTAAATGGTAGAATACATTTTTAAAATTTTAATCTGACAAGGGATTAATATCCAGAATATACCAAAAATTTAAACAGCTTAACAGTAAAACAAAATGAAACAAAACCAAGAATTCTCATTAAGAAGCGGGCAAAGTATCTAAATAGACAGTTCTCAAAAGAAGAATGTATTCGTTTGTTCTCATGTTGCTCTAAATAACTACATGAGACTGAGTAATTTATAAAGAAAAGGGGTTCAATTGACTCACAGTTATGCAGGAGGTATAGGAAGCATGGCTGGGGAGGCCTCAGAAAACTTACAACCATGGTTGAAGGCAAAAGGGAAGCAAGCACATCTTCACATGACCAGCGGGGTGGGGAGAGTGCTTCACACTTTTAAACAACCAGATTTTATTAGAACTCACTCACTATCATGAAAATAGCAAAGGGGAAATCTACCCCCATAATCAAATCACCTCCCACCAGGTCCTTCCCCCAACATTGGGGATTACAATTAAACATAATATTGAAGTGGGGATACCAAACCAAACCATATTATTCCATCCCTGCCCCTCCCAAATCTCATGTCTTTCTCACTTTTCAAAACCAATCATGCCCCAAAGTTTTAACTCGTTCCAGCATTAACCCAAAAGTCCAAGTCCAAAGTCTCATCTGAGGCCAGGCAAGTCCCTTCTGCCTATGAGCCAGTAAAATTCAAACAAACAAACAAACAAAAAACAAGTTGGTTACTTTCAGATACAATGAGGATACAGGCATTGCGTAAATGCTCCTGTTCCAAAATAGATGGATAGGCCAAAACAAAGAGGCTACAGTCCCCATGCAGGTCTGAAGCCCAGTAGGGTAGTCATTAAATCTTAAAGCTTCAAAATAATCTCCTTTGACTCCATGTCTCACATCCAGGCCACACTGATGCAAGGGTTGGGCCCCCAAGGCCTTGAACAGCTCCTCCCCTGTGGGTCTGCAGGTTACCGCCCCCACCACTGCTATTATGGATTGACTTTGAGTGCTTGCAGCTATTCCAGGTGCACAGTGCACCTGCTGGAGTTATCATTCTAGGGTTTGCAGAATGGTGGCCCTTTTCTCATAGGTCCACTAGGCAGTCCCCAAGTAGGGACTGTGTGTGGGGGCTTTGACCTCATTTCCTCTCCACACTGACCTAATAGAGGTTCTCCATGAAGGATCCAACCCTGCAGAAGATTTCTGCCTGGACATCCAGGTGTTTTTATACATCCTCTGAAATCTAGGCAGAGGCTTCCAAAATTCAACCCTTGACATCTTTGCATCTGCAAGCCCAACACCACATGGAAGCCAGCAAGACTTGGGACATGCTCTCTCTGATGCAATGGCCTGACTTGTACCTTGGCACCTTTTAGTGACAGAAGAAGCTGGAATGGCTAGGACACAGGGCACTATGTCTTGAGGCTGCACAGTGTAGCAGGGTCCTGAGTCTGGTCCATGAAACAACTATTTCCCTTCTAGGCATTTAGGCCTGTAATAGGAGGGGCTGCCACAAAGTTCTCTGAAATTCCCTGGAGGCGTTTTCCCTATTGTCTTGGGCTATTAACATTTGGCTTATTTTTACTTATGCAAGTTTGTGCAGCCTTAAATTCTTCCCCAGTATTTTTTTTTCCTACCACATGATCAGGCTGTAAATTCTCCAAACTTTTCTGCTCTGCTTTCTTTTTAAATATAAGTTTCATCAGAAAATCTATTTGTGACCTCCTCTGAGTGTACACTGTTAGAAGTATCCAGGCCACATCTTGAATGCTTTGCTGCTTAGAATTTTTTTCTGCAAGATTTTGTAAATCATCTCTCTCATGTTCAAAGTTTCACAGCTTCTTAGAGCAGGGGCACAATGCCACCAGTCTCTTTGCTAAAGGATAGCAAGAGTGACCTTTACTCTAGCTCCCAATAAGTTCCTCTTTTTCATCTGATATCCTCTCAGCCTGGACTTCACTGTTCATATCACTATCAGCATTTTGGTCACAATGATTTAGCTAGTCCCCAGGAAGCTCCAAACTCTCCCTTATATTTCTCTCTTCTTCTGGGCCCTCTAAACTGATCCAACCACTGCCCAATACCCAGTTCCAAAGTCACTTCCACATTTTCAGATATCTTTATTGCAATGTCAATTTTTTTCCATTTTCTGTCCATCCCTGTTTCTAATAATCACTAATATACTCTCTATTTCTATATATTAACTTTTATTTAGATTTGAAATATAATTGAAATCCTGCAGTATTTTTCTTTCTATGCCTGGCTTATTTTAAATAACATAATATCCTCCATGTTCACCAATTTGTCACAAATGGCAATATCTCCTTTTTTAAAGTTAGTAGTATGGTATTGTGTATATATATTACAATTTCTTTAAATATTTACCTTTCCATGAGTACTTCCCTTGATCCCAATATCTTGGCTATTGAGCTTAATATTGCAATGAACATGGAAGTTCACATGTCTCTACAAAGTCCATATTTTATATTCTTTGAGTTATACCCAGCAGAGAGGTTGCTGGATCTTATGGTAGTTCTTTTTAAATATTTTTTGAGGAAAATGAACATAAAAATCACCAACATGCTGTTTTCTATAATGGCTGTACCATTTTACATTTAGTCCAACAGTGTTCAAGAATTTTCTTTTTCCCATATCCTCACCAATACTTATCTCTTGTCTTTTTGATAATAGACATTCTAGTAAGTGTGAAACAGTATCTCATTGTGATTTTGATTTGCATTTCCCTGAAAATTAGTCATGTTGAACATCTTTTCATATACTTGTTGACCATTTTTATATCTCTTTGGAAAAAATTTCTATTCAATTCCATTGTTCATTTATAATGGCACTATTTCTATTCTTTCTATTGAGTGAGTTGTGTCATTTATTTATATATTTTAAATATTAGCTCCTCATCAGATATATAATGTATTAGTTTTTTCTCATGCTGCTAATAAAGGCATAGCCAGGACTGGGTAATTTATTAAGGAAAGAGGAGCTTAATGGACTCACAGTTCCACGTGAGTGAGGAGGCCTCACAATCATGGTGGAAGGTGAAAGGCATGTCTTACATGGCAGCAGGCAAGAGGGGATGAGGACCAAGTGAAAGGGGAAAAAAAATTCTTCTGCCAGATACCCTAAATCATTTCTCTCAAGTTCAAAGTTCCACGGATCTCTAGGGCAGGGGAAAAATGCTGTGAGTCTCTTTGCTATAGCATAGCAAGGATCACCTTTATTCCAGTTCCCAACAAGTTTCTCATCTCCACCTACCGTAAGATCCAGCAATGAGCCGAGTTCGCACCACTGCACTGCACTCCAGCCTGGGTGACAGAGCGAGACTCCATCTAAAAAAAAAAAAAAAAAATATATATATATATATATATATATATATATAGTTTAGATTACAAAACCCAACTTCTTTTATGCATTAGGAAAGCCTTTCTAAGAAAGACAGGTACAAATAATCCCACACAGCAAAGTCTACAATAAATATCTAACTCCTCAATGCCCAGACATTAAAAAACATCTACTAGCATCAATACCAGCCAGGAGAAGGTGACCTCATCAAAAAAACTAAATAAAGCACCAGTGACCAATCTTGGAGAAACAGAAATATGTGACCTTTCAGAGAGAGAATTCAAAATAGCTGTGTTGAAGAAACTCGAAGAAATTTAAGATAACACAGGGAAAAAGTTCAGAATTCTATCAGATAAATATAACAAATAGATTAAAACAATTAAAATAAATTAAGCAAAAATTCTACAGCTGGAAAGTGCAACTGGCATACTGAAGAATGCATTAGATTCCTTTAATAGCAGAATCAATCAAGCAGAAGAAAGAAACAGTGAGCTTGAAGGCAGGCTATTTGAAAACACACAGTCAGAGGAGACAAAAAAAAAAGAATAATTAAAAAAATGAAGCACGCCTACACGATCTAGAAAATATCCTCAAAAGAGCAATTCTGAGTTATTGGGCTAGGGGTGGGGCCAAGATGGCTGACTAGAAGCAGTGCTGTTTGGAGGCTCGCATAGGAAAAAACACAGTAAGCATGTGAATCCTTCACTGGCAACCAAGGCATCCAGGTTCTATCATCAAAATTGACTAGAAGGCTGGTATGACCCAAGGAGAGAAGGAAGAGCATTGTGATGTGGCAACCCACCTGAGAGCAACATGGGGAAGGGGAACACCCTTCCCCCACCCAAGGGAGGTGGTGAGTAAGCGTGCTACCCAGCCAAGAAAACTGATTTTTCCCTGGAACTGTGCAACCCATGGATCAGGAGATCCCACTCATAAATGCATGCAACCGGGGCCTAGTGTCCTAACCCTGGAACATGCAGATTCTCACAGCCTCTCAGCAGGAATCTGCTTAAGCCTACCAAACTCCTGGGTTGGGGGGTGACCAGCACTGTCTGTGGCTGCCTGCTAAGCCATTTGAGCCCCTTGGGGGAGGGGCAGCAGCCAGCACTGGGACTTGCAATTGCCTAACATGCTAAGCTCCCTGGGCAAGAGAAGGGTGGCACCCATTTTTATAGCTCCAGGCTACACTTTTTCCCTGTTGGAGCCAGGGATGCTGGACAGCTTGGTCCCAAGACTTGCTCCCACAGCCCAACACACCAGCTGTGGGAGTCTGCAGCCAGAGTGCCTCTTCAGGTCTAACGCTGACCCATCCTTCCTCAGTGGGTGGTGCTTCCCTGCAGGATCTCCAATAATTCCAGCCAGAGTCTCAGGAACAGAATTTGGATCTCCCTAGGCCTGAGCCCCTAGGAGGAGGAGTGGCTGAAATCTCTGTGGACCAGCAGACTTAGCCTCTACTCCTGGTAGTTCTGAGGAATCTGGGCAATGAAGATGAGTGGGTTTCCCTCCCAGCAAAACACAGCCTCTCCACCAAAGGACAAAGTGCTTCATTAAATGGGTCCTGCTCCCCATGCCACCCAACTGGGTGAGACCCTCCAACAGGAGTTGTCAGGCACCCTATACAGGAGCAATTCTACTGGCATCAGTTTGGTGCCCCTTGAGGTCAGAGGTCCCAGAAAAAAGAGCAGGTACCCATCTTTGCTGCTCTCCAGCCTCCTTTAGTGACATCTCCAGGTACAGGAGCGAATCAGGTGAATAAGGCCTGAAGTGAACCCCCAACAAACTGCAACAGCCCTACAGAAGAGGGACCTGACTATTGAAAGAAAAACAAGCAGAAAGCGATAACAACAGCATGAACAAGAACAACAAAAATGTCCCAACAAAAACTCCATCAAAGGGTCGGCAGCATCAAATACCAAAACTAGACAAACTCACGAAGATGAGAAAGAATCAGGAATAAATGCTGAAAACCTAAAAGACCAGAGCGCCTTTTCTCCCCCAAATGATGACAACGTCTCTCCATCAAGGGCACAGAACTGGATGGAGGATCAGATGGACAAGTTGACAGAAGTAGGCTCCAGAAGTTGGGTAATAAAAAACTATAATGAGTTAAGGAGCAGGTTTTAGAAGAAAAAAATGTTAAGGGCAGCCAGAGAGTAAGGCCAGGTCACAGGCAAAGGGAAGCCCATCAGACTACAAGTGGACCTCTTAGCAGAAACCCTACAAGCTGGAAGAGATTGAGGGCCAATATTTAACATTCTTTAAGAAAATAATTTTCAACCCAGAATTTCATATCCAGCCAATCTAAGCTTTATAAGTGAAGGATAAATAAAATCCTTTCCAGACAAGCAAATGCTGAGAGACTTTGTTACCAACATGCCTGCCCTGCAAGAACTGCTGAAAGAAGTACTAAATACTGAAGGGTAAAACTGGTACCAGCCACTGCAAAAACAAACCAAAATATAAAGACCAATGACACTATGAAGAAACTGCATCAACTAGTGTGCAAAATAACCAGACAGCATCATGATGACAGGATCAAATTCACACATAACAATACTAACCTTATATGTAAATAGACTACATACCCCAGTCAAAAAACACAGACTGGCAAATTGCATAGGGAGTCAAGATTCATCAGTGTTCTGTATTCAACAGGCCCATTTTATGTGCAAAGACACACACAGGATCAAAGTAAAGGGATGAAGGAAAATTAAAAAAGAAATTGAAAAGCAAAAAAAAAAATAAAATAAAAAGTAGGAGTTGCAATCCTAGTCTCTGACAAAACAGACTTTAAACCAACAAAGATAAAAAAAGACAAAGAAGGGCATTACCTCATGGTAAAGGGAACAATTTAACAAGAAGAGTGAACTATTCTGAATATATATGCACCCAATACAGGAGTACCCAGATTCATAAAACAAGTTCTTAGAGACTGACAAAGAGACTTAGTCTCCCACACAATAATAGTGTGAGACTTTAACACCCCACTGTCAGTATTAGACAGTCAATGAGACAGAAAATGAACAAGGATATTCAGGACTTGATCTCAGCTCTGGATCAAGTGGACCTAATAGACATCTACAGAAGTCTTTATTTCAAATCAATAGAATATACATTTGTCTCAGTGCCACATGGCACTTATTGTAAAATTGACCACATAATTGGAAGTAAAACACTCCCCAGCAAATGCAAAATAACTGAAATCATAACGAGCAGTCTCTTAGACCAGAGTGCATTCAAATTAGAACTCAGGATTAAGAAACTCACTCAATGCCACACAATTACATGGGAATTGAACAACCTGCTCCTGAATGACTACTGGGTAAAGAATGAAATTAAAGTAGAAATCAAGAAGTTCTTTGAAACCAATGAGAATAAAGAGAAAATGTACCAGAATTTCTGAGACACAGTTAAAGCAGTATTAAGAGGAAAATTTATAGCACTAAATGTCCACATCAGAAAGCTAGAAAGGTCTCAAATGGACACCCTAACATCACAATGGAAAGAGCTAGAGAAACAAGAACAAACTAATCCAAAAGAAGATAAGAAATAACTAAAGTCAGAGCAGAATTGAAAGAGGTAGAGATGCAAAAAAAACCTCAAAAAAATCAGTGAATCCAGGAGATGGTTTTTTGAAAAAATTAAGAAAATAGATAGACTCCTAGCTAGATTAATAAAGAAGAAAAATGTGAAGAATCAAATAGGCACAATAGAAAAATGATAAAGGAAATATCACCACTGACCCCACAGAAATACAAACTACCATCAGAGAATACTATAAACACCTCTACACAAATAAACTAGAAAATCCAGAAGAAATGGATAAATTCCTGGATGCATACACCCTACAAAGACTAAACCAGGAAGAAGTCAAATCTCTGAATAGACCAATGGCAGTAATTAATAGTATATCAACCAAAAAATGCCCAGAACCAGAAAGATTCACAGCTGAATTCTACCAGAAATACAAAGTGAAGCTGGCACCATTCCTTCTGAAACTATTCCAAACAATTAAAAAGGAGGTACTCCTTCCTAACTCATTTTAGGAAGCCAGCATTATCCTGATCCCGAAACCGGGAAGAGACACAAAAACAACAAAAAAGAAAACTTCAGGACAATATCCCTGATGTACATCGATGCAAAAATCCTTGTTAAAATACTGGCAAGCCGAATCCAGCAACACATCAAAAAGCTTATCCACCATGATCAAGTTAGCATCATCCCTGGGATGCAAGGCTGGTTCAACATATGCAAATCAATAAATGTAAACCACCACATATACAGGACCAAAGATAAAAACACATGATTATCTCAGTAGATGAAGAAAAGGCCTTTGATAAAATTCAACATCTCTTCATTTTAAAAACTCAATGAGCTTGGTATTGATGGAACATATCTCAAAATTATAAGAGCTATTTATGGCAAACCAACAGCCAGTATCATATTTAATGGGCAAAATCTGAAAGCATTCCCTCTGAAAACTGGTACAAGACGAGGATGCCCTCTCTCCCCACTCCTATTCATGATAGTATTGGAAGTGCTGGCCAGGGCAATCAAGCAAGAGAAATAAATAAATCATATTCAGGTAGGAAGAGAGAAAGTCAAATTGTCTCTGTTTGTGGATGACATGAGTTTATATTTAGAAAACCCCATCATCTCAGCCCAAAAAACTTCTTGAACTGATAAACAACTTGAGCAAAGTCTCCGGACACAAAATCAATGTGCAAAAATTATAAGCATTCCTTTACACCAACAATAGGCAAGCAGACAGCCAAATCATGAAGGAACTCCCTTCACAATTGCTACAAAGAAAATCAAATACCTTGGAATACCACTAACAAGGGATGTGAAGCACCTCTTCAAGGAGAACTACAAACCACTGCTCAAGGAAATAAGAGAGGACACAAATGGAAAAACATTCCATCCTCATGGATAGGAAGAATCAATAACATAAAAATGGCCATACTGCCCAAAGTAATTTATAGTTTCAATACTATTTCCATCAAACTACTGTTGGCATTCTTCACAGAATTAGAAAAAAACTTTTTAATCCATCTTGAATTAATTTTTGTATAAGGTGTAAGGAACGGATCCAGTTTCAGTTTTCTACATATGGCTAGCCAGTTCCTTACACCTTATACAAAAATGAATTCAAGATGGATTAAAGACTTAAATGTTAGACCTAAAACCATAAAAACCCTAAAAGAAAACCTAGGCAATACCATTCAGGACATAGGCATGGGCAAGGACTTCATGTCTAAAACACCAAAAGCAATGGCAACAAAAGCCAAAATTGACAAATGGGATCTAATTAAACTAAAGAGCTTTTGCACAGCAAAAGAAACTACCATCAGAGTGAACAGGCAACCTACAGAATGGGAAAAAATTTTTGCTATCTACCCATCTGTCAAAGGGCTAATATCCAGAATCTACAATGAACTCAAACAAATTTACAAGAAAAAAACAAACAACCTCATCAAAAGGTGGGCAAAGGTTATGAACAGACTCTTCTCAAAAGAAGACATTTATGCAGCCAAAAAACACATGAAAAAATGCTCACCATCACTGGCCATCAGAGAAATGCAAATCAAAACCATGACGAGATATCATCTCACACCAGTTAGAATGGCAATCATTAAAAAGTCAGGAAACAACAGGTGCTGGAGAGGATGTGGAGAAATAGGAACACTTTTACACTGTTGGTGGGACTGTAAACTAGTTCAACCCTTGTGGAAGTCAGTGTGGCGATTCCTCAGGGATCTAGAACTAGAAATACCATTTGACCCAGCCATGCCATTACTGGGTATATACCCAAAGGATTATAAATCATGTTGCTATAAAGACACATGCACGTGTATGTTTATTGCGGCACTATTCACAATAGCAAAGACTTGGAACCAACCCAAATGTCCATCAATGATAGACTGGATTAAGAAAATGTGGTACATATACACCATGGAATACTATGCAGCCATAAAAAATGATGAGTTCATGTCCTTTCTAGGGACATGGATGAAGCTGGAAACCATCATTCTGAGGAAACTATCGCAAGGACAGAAAACCAAACACCACATGCTCTCACTCATAGGTGGGAATTGAACAATGAGAACACATGGACACAGGAAGGGGAACATCACACACCAGGGCCTGTTGTGGGGTGGGGGAGGGGGGAGGGATAGCATTAGGAGATATACCTAATGTTAAATGATGAGTTAATGGATGCAGCACACCAACATGGCACATGTATACATATGTAACAAACCTGCACGTTGTGCACATGTACCCTAAAACTTAAAGTACAATAATAATAAAATTTAAAAAAAAACTTTTTAATTTCATATGGAATTAAAGAAAACCCCATATAGCCAAGACAATCCTAAGCAAAAAGAACAAAGCTGGAGGCATCATGCTACCTGACTTCAAACTATACTACAAGGCTACAGCAACCAAAAGAGCATGGTACTGGTACCAAAACAGACATACAGACCAATGGAGCAGAACAGAGACCTCAGAAACAACACTGCACATCTACGACTATCTGACCTTCTCAACAAAAGCCAAAATTGACAAATGTATTCTCATTAAAAGAAGGAGCTTCTGCAGAGCAAAAGAAACTATCATCAGGTTAAAAGGCAACCTACAGAATGGGAGAAAATTTTTGCAATCTACCCATCTGACAAAGATATAATATGCAGAATTTATAAGAAACTTAAGCATATTTACAAGAAAACAAACAACCCCATTAAAAAGTGGGCAAATGATATGAACAGACACTTCTCAAAAGAAGACATTCAAGCAGTCAACAAACATAGAAAAAAAAAGCTCAACATAACTGATCACTAGAGAAATGCACATCAAAACCACAGTGAGATCCCATCTCATGCCAGTCAGAATGGCAATTATTAAAAAGTCTGGAAACCACAGATGCTGGCAAGGCTGTGGAGAAATAGGAATGCTTTTAGACAGTTGTTGGGAATGCCAATAAGTTCAGGAATTGTGGAAGATGGTATGGCAATTCTTCACGGATCTAGAACCAAAAATACCATTTGCCCAGCAATCCCATTACTGGGTATATACCCAAAGGAATGTAAATCATTCTACTATAAAGACACATGCACACGTATGTTTATTGCAGCACTATTTACAATAACAAAGAAATGGAACTAACCCAAATGCCCAAAAATGATAGACTGGATAAAGAAAATGTGGTACATATACACCATGGACTGCTACGTAGCCATAAAAAAAGAATGAGATCATGTTCTTTGCAGGGACATGGATGAAGCTGGAAGTCATCATCCTCAGCAAACTAACACAGGAACATAAAACCAAACACCGCATGTTCTCACTCATAAGTGGGAGCTGAATATTGAGAACACATGGACACAGAGAGGGGAACAATAAACACCAGGACCTGTTGCGGGGTGGGGGCTGAGGGGAGGGAAGTTAGAGGACAGGTCAATAGGTGCAGCAAACCAGCATGGCACACGTATACCTATGTAACAAACCTGCACATTCTGCACATCTATTTCATTTTTTTTTTTTACAAGAAATAAAGAGAGAAAAAAAGATTTATTGGGAGTTAAGAGGATATAGACAAAGAGATATGGGTAGAAAGTTTACTCGAATGGATAATAACAGAGAACTTTGCAAACCTAGGGAAATATATCAATATCCAAGTACAAGAAAGTTATAGAACACCAAGCAAATTTAATAGAAAGAAGACTACCTCAAGTCATTTAATAATTAAACTCTCACCAGCTCCAACAGCTTGGAGTTCCTCAAAAACCTCAAAAATTGAGCTATCATTTGATTCAGCAATCCCACTGCTGATTATATATCCCAAACAAAAGAAATCAGTATATCAAAAAGTTATCTGCACTTCTTTTTGTTGTTGTTGTTGTTGCAGCACTCTTCACAACAGCTATGATTTGGAAACAATGTAAGTGTCCATAAACAGATAAGTGGATAAAGAAAATTTGGTAAATATACACAATGTAGTATCATTCAGCAATAAGAAAGAATGAGATCCAGTCATTTGCAACAACATGGATGGAACTGGAGATCTTTATATTAAGTGAAATAAGCCACGTACAGAAAGACATATGTCACATGTTCTCACTTACTTGTGTGATCTAAAAATCAAAGCAGTTGAACTCATGGACATAGAGAGTAGAAGAATAGTTACCAGTGGCTGGGATGCGTATTGTGGGTTTTGAGGAAGGTGGAGATGGTTAATCTCTACTAAAGAAATAGAAAGAATGAATAAACCTACTATTTGTTAGCACAACAGGGTGATTATATTCAATAATTACTTAATTGTGCATTTTAAAATAACTTAAAGATTGTAATTAGATTTTTTTGTAACTGAAAGGATAAATGCTTGAGGCAATGGACTTAAAAATTAAAATAAAATTAGCAAGCTTTTAGTCAAAAGTCATATTAAATAAAAATAAAAACATAAAAATAAATGAGAGGGAAAAACTTTCTGTATTAGTCTGTTCTCACACTGCCATAAAGAACTGCCCACGACTGGGCAAATTATAAAGAAAAGAGGTTTAATTGACTCAAAATTTCACAGGGCTGGTGAGGCCTGAGGAAACTTACAATCATGGTGGAAGGGGAAGCAAACACATTCTTCTTCACATGGCGGCAGGAAGAAGAAAAATTAGTGAAGAGCAGGGAAAGCCCTTATAAAACCCTCAAGTCTTGTAAGAATTCACTCACTATCCCTAGAATAGTATGAGGGTAACCACCCCTATGATTCAATTACCTCCCACCAGGTCCCCACCATGACATGTGGGATTATGGGAACTACAATTCAAGATGAGATTTGGGTAGGGACAGAACAAAACCATATCACTTTCACATACAAACAAATGCTGAAGATGATTATCACCACTAGATCTCCCTTATAATAAATGTTAAAGTGAGTTCTTAAAGCCTAAGAAGCAGAACCCTAGCCAGTAACATAACAACATATTAAAATATATGTTAAAATAAATACATATTTAGATTAAGAATACTCATACTGTAATGATGGCTTGTAGATCAGTTATACCTCTGGTATAAAGATTAAAAGACAAAACAATTAATAATAATTGTAGCTATAATAGTGTGTTAACACATACAAATTATAGAAATATATGTTAAGATATTGAAAACACAAATTGGAAGAAGAAGTGAAGTGTTAAGTTTGTTCATGTAATTAAAATTAAGTTATTATAAACTTAGAATAGCCTGTTACAAGCATAAGATGTTTTACTTAAGCCTCATGGTAGTCATCAACAAAAACCTATAGTAGATACACAAAACATGAAAAGTTTCAAAGTGTAACACTACAGTAAATCATCAAATCACAATGGGAGATAGCAAGAGAGAAGGAAAGGAACAGAGGGTGTACAAATCAACTAGAAAACAATTAAGCAAATGGCACTAGTAGGTTCTTGCCTATACATAATTAATTTGAATACAAATAAATTATTTTTTAAATCAAAAGACATGAGTGACAGAAAGGGTAACAACAAAAACAAGACCCGACTTTATACTGCCTACACGAGACTCACTTCACCTTTAAGGGCATACTTAGAATGAAAGTGAAAGAATAAAAAATTTATTCCATGCTAATAGGAAACAAAACAAGTGCAGGTGTAGCTATACTTATATCAGATAAATAGACTTTAAGTCAACAACTGTAAAAAAGAGATCAGGACATTTTATAATAATAAAGGTATCAATTCATCAACAGGAGATAACAATTATAAAAATATATACGTACTCAAAATCACAGCACCTAAAGTATAAACCAAATCTTTAAATATCTGAAGGGAGAGTTAGACTGCAATACAATTATAGCAGGAGACTTCAACTTCCCAATTTTAACAATAGATAGATCATCTAGACAGGAAACCAATAAAGAAACATTCGATGAACTACACTTTAGAACAAATGAATCTGACAAACATACGTGGAATGTTCCATCCAACAGCCACACAATCCATTTTCTTCTCAAATGTATTAAAAGATAAATTTCAAAATTTCATGAGATAAACAAAAATAGAAAGAAAACTTAACAAAACATATTGGATGTGGCAAAAAGATTTTGAAGAGGGAACTATATAGCAATAAAAGCCTACATCGATAAAGAGGAAAAAACATAAACAATCTAATGTTACAGCTCTAGAACTAGAAAGTCATAAGGAAGACAAAATATAGTCACTTTTCATTAAGTGTAAGTTGAATATCATACAGGTCTTTATCTTAATCACCTTCACAATGAGTATACTGAAGAAGTGGAGGAAGAAGGAAGTTGGTCTTGCTGTCTCAGGGGTAGCAGAGGCAGAAGAAAATCTGTATATAAGTGGACCCACACAGTTCAAACCCATGTTGTTTTAGAGTCAACTGTACTACAAATCACCATATGCCCACAAATTTGATAATTTGGAAGAAATGAATAAATTCCCAGAAACTTATAACCTACAAAGACAAAATCATGCAGAAATAAAAAATCTGAACAGATTAATACTGAGTAAAAGATTGCATTAATAATAAAAAGTCTCCCGTTAAAGAACAGCTTAAGACCTAACAGCTTCATGGCTGAATTTTACCAGATATTTTTAAAAGACTGAATGCCAATGGTTCTCAAACTCATTCAAAAAAATGAAGATGAGAGAATACTTTAAAACTTATTTTACAAGGCCAGCATTACCCTGATACCAAAGCCAGACAAGGATACTATAAGAAAAAAAATATATAAGCAGATATCTCTGATGAATTCTCATGCAAAAAGTCTCAACTAAATTCTAACAAAGAAAATTCAAAATCATGTTAAAAGGATGATTCACCATTATCAAGTGAGATTTATCTCTGGGATGCAAGGACATTCAATATACACAAATCAACGAATATAATACATCATATTAACAAAATAAAAGACAAAAGCCACATTATCATCTCAATAGAGGCAAAAAAAATCATTAGACAAAATTCCACATCCTTTCATGATAAAAACTCTCAACAAGTTAGGATAGAGGGAATATGCCTCGAACAATAAAGAACATATATGACAAGCCCACATTAAACATTATTCTTCATAGTCAAAAATTGAAAGTTTTTTTATTAAGATCAGGAATAACACAAGGATTTCCACCCTTGCCACTTTTGTTCAACATAGTACTGCCAGAGCATTTACGGAATAGAAAAAGAAAGAAACAGATCCAAATTAGAGAAGAAGAGGTTAAATTCTCTGCTTTTGGACATCATAATTTTATATTAAAAAAACAAAGACTCTACCAATAACTGTGATTACTGATTACTGAATTCAGCAAGGTTGTAAAATACAAATTCAATGTGCAAAAGTCAGTAGAGTTTCTATACACCAACAACAAATTATTCAAAGGAAAGTATTTAAGAAAACAATCTTATTCATACTAGTATTAGAAGTATAAAATACTGAAAAGTAAATTTAACCAAGATGGTAAACTATGTGTATATTAAAACCTCTAAATCATTGATGAAAGAAATTGAGAATAACACAAGTAAATGATAAGACATGCTATGTTTATGAATAGGAATTATTAATATTGTTAAAATGTTCCATTTTACCCAAAGCTATATACAGATTAAATGCAATCCCTATCAAATTCAAATTATATTTCACATCAATAGGAAAAAAACCCTGAAATTCATATTGAACCAAAAAAGAGCTCAAATAGCTAAAGCAATCTTGAGGAAAAGAACAAAGCTAGAGATAGCACACTACATTATTTCAAAATATATTACAAAAATATTATAATCAAAACAGCATGGCACTTGCACAAAAAGAAACACGTTGTTCAGGATATAATGTCCAGAAATAAATGCATGCATTTATAATCAACTGATTTTTGACATAGCTGCCAAAAACACACAATGTGAAAAGGATAGTTTTGTTCAAAAATTTTAATGGGAAAACCATATATCCACAAGCAAACAGGTAAAATTGGACCCTTATCTCAAACTGCATACAAAAGTCAACTCATAATTTATTAACAACTTACGCATAAGATCTGAAACTGTAAAACTACTAGAAGAAAGCACAGAGGAAAAGCTCCACAACATTGGTCTGGCAATGATTTCATGGATGTGAACCAAATATGGGCAATATAAGCAAAAACAGACAAATGGGATACATCAAAATAAAATGCTTCTGCACAGCATAGGAAACAACAGAATAAAGAGGCAACCCACAGACTGAGACAAAGTATTTGCAAACCATATATCTGATGGATCAGCAATAACACTTCTAGGTAGAAATTCAAGTGAAAATATTAGGGAAGGAATTTAAATCAAATCATAAAAATATAAGCATTGTTTTTTACATGTTCATTCACTAACTCTATGCCTTAATATTATGTTAGTGAAATATGTATGTCTAGTATATTAAATAAATGTTGAACATTTATAATAAAAATGACTAGACCAGCATTTGCATGGCAAAATTTTAAGGAGAAATAGAAACTTTGTTTTTTGACATTATTCACTTAATAAATCACATATTTTGTGAATCATAGAAAGAAAAGTAACTAAAGTAGATATGAATGGGAACTGTTAAAACAATAAAATTCAATACTATGTAGTATGTAATGTGTTTCACTTCTATTACACACACGCAAGCATGACTACAGAATTGTGTGTATGTAATACTTTAGATTTTCTTTGGCTTCGAATAACTACTTAATTTGAAATCCCAATACTGCGGTATACAGTGTAATTCACTGTATACAGTGAATTACATAAATCTTTTTTAAAACATTAATTTTCAAGAAGTGCTTATTGTCTAAATATAAAATGGAAGTAGTCATGTTCTGTCTTTCTAAGAAAATAGCATGCATTCTAAGAGTTATAATCTTTCCAAATATGAGACTTTGAGGATGAATCATGAATTCAAAAACAATCTCAGATTTTAGGGAAGACTTGACTAACACAGTCACACGAGTGGTATTCTCTCATATACGTAGCAAGAAATATAACTTTAAAAAAGTATTTATTTTATGTCTCAAGGAGAAGTTTTCAACTAATTTATTGATTATATTGTTGTCTAAACTTGAGTTAAACAACGAAGACAACAACTCTCAAATGAATAAATGTCTTTTTACTTGAAATCTAAGGCTGTCTAATATGGTTTGTTTGAACGGTGAACATTAAAAGTGAGTTTTAAAAAGTTTTGCTTTTTGTTTGCTTTTAGCAAAGCAATACCTTAGAGTGTCTAATGAGGATTAATATAAATATGTGATCAGTGTTTCACTAGGATGATTTTATCTTGCCCTGTTATATTCTATTCATCTATGTTTATTCATCTCTTTCCTTTGTTCTCCTTCTCCCAGAGTTTTATTTTTGAACCCATTGACATAAATCAGGCTGCTGGTGGTACTGTCTTGATAAAAGCCCCAGTCTATTCTTTTCATCATGACAAGCTTATCTAGAAAATAACGCAATATCTCATTAGAATGACAGCATGGGGTTGTTGGAAATTTGTGAGTCCTGTTATTTTCTTACCCACAAGAAAGAACATCACTGGAAAAAATTAAAATATGAATTCATTATTTGTTTATTTTTTTTTAATTTTCAGAAATCACTTCAGTATTAGAAGAATTGGTGAAAAGATGTGGAGTATTTTATAATATTTAGAAATAGAATTAATAATATGCATAAGGTGCTGCATTGAGATTGTTGTTAGTTTTTAACCAGTGCCACTTGTAAAATTCATTATACATTTTTCTGAAATCTAATGTTTGAAATCTGATATTTTAAACTTCAGAGGATTAAGCTTAATCTTCACGTTTACTTTAGAAAGACATAGAATTAGATTTTGGAATGGTTTAGCTGTTTCTGAAAGTACATTAAAAAACTATAAATATTCAAGTAGACAGCTGTGTTAAAATAATATGTATGGTGACAAATCAATGCAGCAGAATTATATTAGTTCAATTTCCCTGAAGCCCTAGCCACTACGTTCTTTTTACAATGTTATACTCCTTTAAATGCATTCATAACATTGATTTTCTACTGTTACATTGTAATGTTTTTACCATGATAATCTGTAACAAATGTACGTCTTTACTTGTTTCCTTTTTCTTATGAATAGAAAATGACTGGCAGAAAAATATTGGAAAGAACTGTGCCAACACAAATAAAACATATTGTAGGTTATGAAAGATGTGTTAATTAAATAGAAAGAAACAGTCTGTTGTCAAATATAGAAATTGCTGTATATTTTGTCAGGCAAAAATATTAATCACAATGGCACACCTCACACATATGAAGCATGTTAAAATCAAGATTAAAATATACTAATCCTTATTAAACGAGCATCCTGATTATAAAAGCTGCTTCTAATTTTCTAAATGTTATTCTCATTCACATTTACCAGAAACTATGCTTGAGTATCTAATAATGAAATACAAACAAATCTGTAAGCCAAGAAGAACCCTAGTAAAAACTAGGTTTTCTATGCTTGATATTCCCTTTTTTACTTCCCCTGAGTCCAGTATTATCATGGTGCTTGCAGTAAATGTACCTAGCTTTACCATTTCTGCACCAATCCACCTGTGCTCTAGAATCTAGAACTTCCTGACAGTTTTTTTCATCTTCTAATCTTTCTAGTTATGTTCCCTTTCCTCTGGGACCTCATTTTATGGAAAATTATTTGAGGTCTGAATGGAAGATAACAGTTTAATAGCTGTTTCTAGCCTCAAGGGTTTTGTATTATTCTGTCTTTCTGAAAGATATTTAAAACTGCCATCACTCGAATAAAAATATATTTAGATGGCTTAACTGGTAATGCATACCTTTGGTTTACCTCTTTTGATTGTGGATGACTTGCTATAAAGATAAAATGCTATTAAGAATTATTTACCTAACGTGCTTGATAAAATTAAAGTAAAATTAGGCTCCAAACTTCAGAAAAGTTGCTTGACTCAAAAACTCAGCATTAATTGACTTGAAGAGGAAAGTGAAGTGCTACTTCTTATTCTGATTTCTTCACAGGAGAGACTTTGAGCATTGAAAATATAGAAACCTCTCAACCCTTAATGTACCAACGCACACAGAAATACATAAACACATGCACAGAGAGCTTGTAATTCTTCATACATTCTATTGTTACCAATCTAGTAGAACTTACTATATTTCATCCAAAAGAAAAGATTTTCAGATACTAAGAAAATCATCCGTGGGGACCCACCGTCTTTTCTGGCCAGTGTCTGAACACAGATATGGCTTCTGTTCATAAGGCACTGTGGCTTCTGTTCATAAGACACTATTATGTGTTTCT
The DNA here is from genome assembly GCF_000001405.40 of Homo sapiens. Taxonomy (NCBI): domain Eukaryota; kingdom Metazoa; phylum Chordata; class Mammalia; order Primates; family Hominidae; genus Homo; species Homo sapiens. The sequence goes on from NC_000023.11 coordinate 94,544,810, forward strand.
TTCTAAGAAAATAAAAAAGAAAGAAGAGGAAAGAAAGAAGGAAGGAAAGGAAGGAAGGAGAAGGGAAGGGGAAGGGAAGGGAAGGAAAGAAGGAAGGAAGGAAGGAAGCAAGGAAGGAAGGAAGGAAGGAAAAACAGGAAAAGATGGAAAAAAAAGAAATAAAATCTATTACTATTTTCTGGAAAGTACGGTGAGAAAGAATGAATTAATTCCATATTTAGCCAGTAAAGTTAATAATATTACATGCATCAAAGACATGCAAATCCTGAGCAGCTGCTTAAATATATTGCTGATCTCATAAGGTTTTCAAGGGATATAGCTACAGATGGTATTCCAGGCAAATGTCCACTACCCTAGTGAGCTAAACTCTAATCTCAAGGACTCAGTCTATTTCTTTGGCATAAAATCTATCGGAGGGTTTGTAAAGCCTTCAGAGAGTAGCAGTGGCTCCTTTTGGCCTTTTTTTGCCACTTATTTTATTTACTGAAATTTAAAACAAAATATTTACTAGACAGGAATTGAAAAGAGAGGCAACTCAGAAAGCAAAATTATTATTAATTTTCTCCTCATTCAAAAGTCCCTACAAATTGTTACACTATATTCCTTAGCCTTTCACATATGGCAAACCCTTTCTCCTAATGGCTTGGTGGGGGCCATTGAGCTTTCCTAGAAGTTGAGGTGTTTTATCTATATGTAGTAATAATAAATATGATAAGTAAAAGTTAACCAGAAAAACAATAATAGAAATTCATTTAGAATCAGTCATCAATTTCTTTTTGATTACTACTATTTTATATAAATAGTATCCAAAATTTCAAACATATGTTTTCATTCTACATAATTACATTCTAAATATAAGTTTTTAACTTCTCATTATCTTTTTAAACTTAACTAGATTAATGCATCTACAAGTCATACAGTGAAATGATTATAGTAGACCAAAATTATTGAGTGTTCTTTCATTTTTATATTGAGATATAAATTGCATATGATAAAATTCCACCTTTTAAAATTATACAGTTGAGTGGTTTATAGTGTATTCACAATGTTGTGCAATCATCACTACTAATTCCAGAATAGTTACATCATATCTCAAAAAGAAATAATGAAGTGCTGACGCATGCTACAACATGAATAAATATTTGAAACATTATGCTGTGTAAGAAACTAGACAAGATACAGATTGCCAGGCACGGTATGAGACAATTTATGTGGAATATCCAGAATAGGCAAGTCTTTAATAACAGAAAGTAAAGTAGTGGTTGCCAGGGTGTTAGGGGAAAGAGGAAACAGAGATACTTTGCTTATTTGCCCTTCTTCTTTACACAGAGTAATCTTTGTTTTCCCATTTGTTTCCTCTTTCCCCTAACATCCTAGCAACCATTACTTTACTTTTTTGCCATTTATATTGTAATCTTAACTCTAAACACCATATCTTCTTCCTAGTGCCTTGAACTTCAAATCAATAATCAAAGCCTTTATTTTCCTGTACATTCGAAACATAATTTGAAATTTCCCCCAAGTCACTTTTGCCTCTAACAATACCAGACATCTTTTTATTATCACAGGTATTTTTTATCTTAATCTTAACAGTCCGAGTCTAATAATGCTATACATTCATCTCTAGTATTCATATAGATTATTAAAACCTCTTAGTTCTGCTCTCCATACCTCAGCTCTGTTCATAATATATACTTCTCTCTCTCTTCAACCTCTTCTAAATTTTAACTTTATTTGATCAGACAGCATTTAAATTTCTAATAAATATTAAATATTGGTACTGGCATAAAAGACAGGAACGAATCACACATAGACATGGGAGTATAAGGTCTGGGAAAGTACATAATCATAATAACAAATATTACAATACCAGTTTACTATGGTATAAAGGTGTCTTCTAAAATGCATGTGTCGAAAACTTAATCCTCAATGCAACAGTGTTGGGAAGGAGAGACTCATGAAAAGTTTTTAGGTTATTAGGGCTCTGTTCTCATGAATGGATGAATGCCACTATGAGAAGGGTTTGTGAGAGTGGGTTAACTCTCTTTTGTCTTTCTGCCATGTGAGGACACAGGATTAGTTTCCTTCAGAGGATGCAGCAATAAGGTACCATTTTGGAGGCAGAGAGATGCCTCACCAGATGCTGGTGGCTTAATCTCGGACTCCCCAGTCTTCAGAATTGAGAATAATGAATTTTTTTTAAATAAATTACCCAGTCTGTGCCATAACAGGGTATAACAGAACAAAACAGACTAAGACAAATGTGATACAATGACTACGTATATATAGTGCTCTAAGAGCTCAGATTTTTCAGTCTTTTCACTTTAAGCACTTTACATCTAAAGTTTGTCAAGAATACACTTATCAAATAGCTATATGTAGCATATCTTGTGAACATTTTACGTCTTTCTCTAAAATCTTCAACTTATTCGTCCATTAAATCTTCATCCAACAAATATTTATATGTTGGCTACTTTGTACATGTTGTTGGCAAGGAAGAAATATGATAAAAGATGTATTTTCTACCTTCAAGGATTACTTTGTATAAAGAAGCAGAAAGGCATGTAAACAAATACAGCACATTCTGAAAGGGTATGATAAAGGTAAACAAGGAATTCTGTGGGGCCACTCAGGGAAAACCATTAACTCAGATATGCAGTGACAGAGAAGGTTATCAAGGCAAATGAATACCTTAGCTCTGTATTAAAATATTGAAAACATTGAGCATAAGAAGGAAGTAGTAATAGCATGTTTTGTTAAAATAAAAATAGAAAGAAGAGTTGTATTAAAGTACCAGTAAGGACAAAGCCACAGGATTTGGTAGCGAGGAAAAGGAGAAGAAAAAGGCAGAAATAAAAGCTTTCTTTGGGGTTTTAGCAACTAGGAAGATGACATTCAGTGATATAGTGAGTATAGAAGAGGGAGAACATTTAGAAAAAGACAGAAATGGGGTGATTTGAATTTTCTAGATATGGAGTTTTAGATGGCTATGGGACATGCACGTAGAGACATACATTGAATTGAACTTGAATCTAAAGATGAGAAGACATCAGAGTTTGAGCTAAGCTTAAGGAGCCATCAATTTATTGACATAATTGAAACCATAAAGGCAGATGTGATTCTTCAGGGGAAGAGAGAAGCTAAAAATCCAGAACATTGATTATGGGGCCATAGGTAATAGTATCACTTACAGGTCAGATGGAGAAAAAGGTACCCATAAGGCAGTCTTCATGAAGGAGTGACAAAGTAAGTTAAAAGAGAACTAAGAAAAGAGATATCCTGTGAGCTAATAAATGTGGGAAATTGAATGAGGAATTAGTCAACTGTATCTAGTGGCAACAGTAGCAGATAATCAAAACTTAAAAGTATCAAAATATGTGCTTTTTGTTGCCTACATAATAAAATTCTCAGCTTTTAGTCTAGCATTATGGTCTTTCAAAATTTTATCTCAAGCAAATTTCCTTGCTTCCTTTGCATATATCCTTTGTTCCAACTACGTTAGACTTCATGCTCTTCCCTAAATTGTCCCTTTTCATTCCAAACTCTTCCTCTCTTCACATTGTATTTGAAATCTGTAATAAGCTTTCCACACTTATGTTTGTCAAAATTCTATCAATTATTTATATATTTGTTCAAGTTATTAATTGATAAAAGGAGAGAAAGAGAGAGAGACAGAGAAGGGAAGCACACAAGCACGGATGTAGCTAAATGTTAACTGATAATTCTGGTTTTGGGCAAGGGTATTCAGTTATTCATTGTATCATCCTTTCTACTCTCCTTTCAACTACTGTATGATTCTTTCAACTGTACATTAAAACATTTTTAAACTAAAAAGGTAAAAACCTGAGAAAAGCAAACAAAAAATAAGGTTATATATAAGGAACTATCAACCTGTCTAGCCCATATGCTAATTTTTTCATGAATCCTTCCTTGGTTTTCCCAGCCAAAGGTAATTTTTTATTTACCAAAGTTTCAGAATACTTAGATTACATCATTCTTACAGGATATTTTATTTTATTTTTTATTCTCAGTCTTTATTTAATTATACATAGGTACTTATTTTGATTCTTGAAAAACTGAATTTTTAAAAAAAAGTTAATCTCCATTGAATTATATTTTCTTTAGGTAATTATTTTGCTTCTTGAGACTATTCATTATGACTGCACTCCTCTTGATCTTTGTGCAGTGCCCCGCTTTATACATGCTAACGATGCGGTATGTTTGTTGAACTGAGTGAAGAAGCTGAAGGAGAAAGACATTTTCAGCTAGTTCATGGTAGACACTTTCATATATGTGTGGAAGTTGTTTCATTCAACAGATTTTGAGTTTAGCCATGAATATGGGGACAAGGATATTGCTAGCCTAAGTTTAACAAATAATATATTCACTGATATGTTGAAGATAATAATACTGAAGGTAGAATTTATCCACTGCCCTGTTAAGCAATGAAAAAACTTCCGTGTCTAAATCTATTTGTTGGTACAATTTCATTGTAAAGAAAATCCATACTAATTTTCTTATGTTAATTTTCCAAGTTATTACAATCACACCAATTTATTTTCTTGAGGAATGGTTAAATATAATGAAAAGTTTATTTATTTGGGATTAAAGAAAATGACCAAGATGTGAATCTCAGCTCTATTATTTACTAGATATATAAACCTAAGTTAGTTATTTAAGCTCTGTGACCCTCAGCTTCCTCATATGTAAGTTAAAGACTATATTACCTATGCAGTAGAAATGCTAGAAGCATTAAGTCAAATGTTTTATTCAAGTTCTGACCATACAATGTGTGACACATAACACATCTTAAATAGACAGCAGTATCTTTTCTCCTCTTTTCTGAAGTCATGAGATCTGCCCGTTATTATAGTTCCCAAATGTAAAGGTTTCTAATCGGAATTTAGCTATTAATTTGCTTTTAAATACTTCCTTTTTCATAATCACCTGAACAATCCTGAACTAGATTATTCAATACGCATATAGTGTTTCCTTTCACACATAGCTTGCTTAACTGTTTTTAGATTATCCTTTCATTTACATGAAAGATGGTTGTTGTGTTTGAAAGGTTTGAACAATAGGTGTTCAATTGCTTCAATTAAGAGAAAAAAAAGAAAAAAACGTACATATTAAAGACTGTGGACCCTTGCCCAAGAAAAACCTATTTTCTCTCTATTCATATTTCTCGATGAGATTTATAGTGAGAATAAAATCATCCTTAACTGGTGAAGACACTCTAAATTTGATATATAATGCATTTAGCAACATCAAAAAAGTCTAATAGCCTGGAAAGCTTAAAACTCTCTATATGTAATCGCAACCTCTCTAATAAGGAAGCCACATTTCTGGGGAGAAAAGAGATTAAACACATGAATTTTCTTGTCAGACATAACTAGATTTGAGTCTGATCTGCAGCTTACCACCTATGTGGCCAGAATAAGCAAGTATAACAATCTTGCATCAGTTAATCCTATTTTTAAGATAAAAAAATTACTGCTCACCTCAGTGTTGTTTTGCTTATATGAAATAATGTATATTAAACAATAAATACACTGCTTGGGTTATACTAAGTGCTCAAAGATATGCCTATTTATTATTACTACTATTATTTTTCTGTAAGAACCTAAACATTAAATATATTCCACTTTTGTAAAGAAACAAAAATATATAGAAATAAATTCACTTGTCTAAAAGCACAGAGTGGATTAAAAAACCTAGAACTGAAAGACTTCAGTCTTCTGACACCCAACCCCATTTAACTATGTTATTAGACCTCAAATATAAATTAAGCATGCTTCAGGGTTACCATTATCTAGAATAATGTTACTTTCAGATATAAGTAAAAAATACACTGAACATTTTGTCAAGTTGTTATGGCATTTTATGTCTAAGTTCTCCTGAATTGTAGGGTGTAAATGTGTCATTAACAATCCTAGGTTTATGGCTGAGGCCCTTATAATAGAAGACAGACTAACAAGAGAAAAGTACACACATTTATTTAATACAAGTTTTAGGTGACACGGGAGCCTTCATCAGGAAACCAAGACCTCCAAAATTTGTAAGCCTGTGTATTTTTTATACTAGTGTTGTAGTCTTACCAATGCACCAAAATGTAACAGTCTCTCATTGTCTGAGATTATGCCCAGAATTGCTTGTCTTACCTCCAAAAAAATTAAGAAGTACGGACACAAAGATGAGGTTGAAGCAAAAGTTTAAAAAACCAAAGAAAGCTCTTTGCTAGCAGAGAGGGAGTCCCGAACAGTGGTACCTCCTATGAGGTCTGTTTTGGGGTTTCTATGGACTGGAAAACGGAAGGAATGTGCTTAGGCTGTCTTGGAGAACATGTCATTCAACTTGGCCTGCGACCCTGGCCCAGGACCAATCAGAAAGCTTGGCCTGGGACCTTGGCCCAGGACCAATCAGGAGCTGAAATAATGATTCATAGCTGCGACTTAGCTTGGCCCAGGACCTATCAGAAGCTGAAGTGAAAGTTGGCCTGGGACCAATCAGGGGCTGAAGTGATGATTCATGGAAGCGTGACTTACAGTCCAAATAAAGGAAAATAGAGTGCCCACTGGAACCCACCAGAGCCCACCGTGCCCATTCCCACAAAAAGGAGAATAAATGTTTTCCTACGAGCCTGCTGACTATACAAAAGACAAAGGCATTGTTATGCCAGGCCTTGTTCCCGTAACTGAGTGAGCTGGAGGTTTGTGCAAGTTTTTATTCAAATGGGCCAGAGGTTTTTCTATCTGTGCAACCATGGGCATTTTTCTCTAGGTACAACATCCTATGTTAGTTCCCTTATCAGTGCCTGCTGCCTAAATTTTTTCTCAGGCTGCTTTTTATTTTATGTGGGAATGAGGCACTAACCCACGGGCCGGGGGTTTTCCAGGGAACCTTCCTTGCTATCTACCTAAGGCAAGCTAAATAACTCCTTTCACTAGGTTTGATAAAGTGGATAGTAGTGAGGCAAGAGAATAGAGTCTGGAGGCAGGGAACATAGACGGCTGATTCATGCTGACTGAATGTTAGAGGCTACTCCATTTTCAACCTCTCCTTTTTCCGCTTTTTCTGCGTGGCAGTTGCTGTGTGGTAGCTGCAAACCCTTCTTTTTCTGCATGGCAGTTGAAAAATGAAAGTACCTTTGATAGGTCCCCTCCCACAACCAATCAGACCGGTTGTAGGCCTACTCTTCACTCTAATTGGTCCCCTCCCGCAACCAGTCAGACTGGTCACCATGGGCCACTACTTTATTTGCATAGAGTGAAGCAATGGGAAACCACCAGAGGGTATTTAAACCCCAGAAACCTGTGTAACCAATGCTCTTAAGCCACTGGCTCCAGCCTGCTCCCACCCTGTGGAGTGTACTTTCTTTTAAAATAAATCTCTGCTTATGCTTTCTTGCTTTGTTTGTGTGTTTTGTCCAATTCTTTTTTCAACATGCCAAGAACATGGACAATTATCCTCAACTGGTAACAATAGTGGAGAAGTATGACTGAATAAAAAAGTATGATCAAGTGACAACAAACTGGAGGAAATATAACATGACCCATTTTGTTCAGATTTTTATCTGTGTCTTTTCATTTTCAGAAGTAATAATGTTCTATTTCTCTGAATATAAAGAGGGCACCTCTCACGTGAGGTTTCTATGATCTGCTTCAGAGAAACGTCAGAAAATTTTTCCTAGGTTTTCCCTTCTTCAGGGGAGAAACACAGAAAAGGGTGAGAGAATAACCTTGCTGCTTCTGTGATTTTCCTCAAATTCCTTCAGCTTAAATACATTTGGTGTAGCATATCCTGAACCATACCAGTGTATGTCATGTTACCTCACATCTGAATGACATGTCTCCTGGGGTTTTGTTCATCTTTAGCATTCTTAGATTTAAGGGAATTGCTGTTGCAATTAACAAGTGTGCCAACAAAACATGAAACTGGAATATTTGCAGAGCATCTCTGAAGTTGAGTTTCCTTTTATGATTTTTTTTAATCATTAAACTTATCTCGGTATCTATAATTCAAAGACAGTATAGAGACTTAAAGTTGAAAAATAAAATGACAGTTTACATTACAAATATATATTTATAGTGTATAAATTATTTGCATGCTGCTCAGAATTATAGGTAAATTATTTTCTGTGAGCTCAATTATATTTTTCATGCTATTATAAAACTAATAAGCCAAGTATTTTCATCTTAGAAAAATTCCTAGTGGAATTTGATATTTTTCTTCTTTCCCATATATGTTGAATATGTTATTTCTGCTGTGTCTCTAGCCACAACAAACTATTCCTAGATCCCTGTTTCTCTGACTATACATTTCCTTCTGTTTGGGCTGCTCCCTCTCTTTTCTATACTTCTGTGATTGTAGAGAATCACAGATTCTCTACAATTTTTATAGAGAATTTTTTATTTTTTTTTGTAGAGAATCTTTCTACTGTTTTTGTAGAGAATCTTTCTCGGCCCAAGTTATCACATTTTCAATAGCCAGTTGAATGAATGTACTTTGATAACTCCAGTCTGGTGAACAACTTTAGTTGAAAAAACCAACAATTTTAAACGTATTGCTGTTGCTCATGGAATTTATTATGATATGCAGTATTGGAAAACTAAGTGATAGATTAATAAGTAACCAAATATTCTCAATTGTAGGAATTCCTCAATGGAACCAGGAGTATTTGAAGGCTTTTAGAATGTTGACTGGAACTGACTGAACAATTAAGTGCTTATTTGGATATTTCTAAATATTTGCTTACATTACAAGGTTAGAATAATGCCATCTTGCATAAACAATGTTTAAGAGTTTAAAGACCCATAAAGGTCACTTGAGGGCCAAAATAATTGAAATAAAAAAGAAGGCATACATTCAAATACAAAAGAAAATGTGATGGTATAATGGTAAAGACAATGTGTTTAAGAGCTTAACTGTATGGGTTAAAATTCTGCCTTTTCTAGTTAATAAACATGTAATATTAAGAATAGTCTACCTTTAAGTTCCTCATCTGCAAAGTGGGATAATATTAGTACCTATTATATTGCATGGTTGAGGAAAAATTGAATTAATACACAACAGGCATTTAGGAGAATACTCAGTAAAGTCTAGCTACTTATGATAATTAATACTGAGTATCAACTTGATTTGGATTGAAGGATGCAAAGTATTGATTCTGGGTTTATCTGTGAGGGTGTTGTCAAAGAAGACTAACATTTGAGTCAGTGGGCTGGGAAAGGCAGACCCACCCTTAATCAGGGTGGGCAAAATCTAATCAGCTGCCAGGACAGCTAGGATAAAAACAGGCAGAAGAACATGAAAAGACTACACTGGCTTACTCTCCCAGCCTACATCTTTCTCCCATGCTTGATGTTTCCTGCCCTCAAACACTGGACTCCAAGTTCTTCAGCTTTTGGACTCAGACTGGCTTCCTTACTCCTCAGCTTGCAGGTGGCCTATTGTGAGAACTTGTGATTGTGTGAGTTTAATACTCCTTAACTAACTCTTCTTTATATATATGCTATTTGTTCTGTCCCTTTAGAGAACCCTGAATAATACAGATTTTGGTGGGCTCAGCACGGTGGCTCACACTTGTAATCCCAGCACATCGGGAGGCTGAGGCAGGTGGATGCACGAGGTCAGGAGTTCGAGACCAGCCTGACCAACATGGTGAAACCCTGTCTCTACTAAAAATACAAAACTTAGCTGGGTGTGGCAGTGCATGCCTGTAATTCCAGCTACTCAGGAGGCTGAGGCAGGAGAATTGCTTAGATCTGGGAGGCAGAGGTTGCAGTGAGCCGAGATCAAGCTACTGCACTCCAGCCTGGGCAACATAGCAAGACTCTGTCTCAAAGAGAAAAAAAAAATCAGATTTTGGTACCAGGAGTGGTTCTAGAAGAAAAGAATATTAAGGATAGAGTTCTTTAATTGGTTTTGAGGTTTCTGGAGTTGGCTGCTTAACATGATTAGATCCAAAAATGCTAAGTACTCTACTTATAATAGTATGGAGAACACTGATAGTCCTTGTCATGAACTGTTTAGAAAATTATGCAAAATACATGCATTTGGCATTCCTGATTCACTGCTCATGAGAAGCAAGGAGTTTTGTGATGATTTACATAATACCTTTGACTAGATGTGGAGAATCTAGGAACATAATGAAGTTAGTTGGTTGCTGCTAAGTTCACTGAACAAAGTCATGAAAGAAAATGATGTTTATCACTCAGGTATTCTAACTCCTGGCTTGAGAAGCAGATACTGAGCCTCAAATCTGCTAAGATTGCCCTGAGTGAGAGTTTTATGTCCTGTAGAGAAAGAGCTAAAATTGTGGAAAATCAGACACAAGCTCTTATCATGAGAGTGGCTGACCTGCAATGAAAGGTACATGCACAGCCTTGCCAGGTGTCTACTGTTAAAGTGAGGGCATTTATTTGAAAAGAATGGAACCCTGCAATTTGAAATGGAGATGTGTAGGAGGACCCTGATGAAGCTGAGTACACTGAGGTTGTAAACTCTGATGAACCTTTTTTGCCAGAAGAAACAGGTTACCTATCTCCAGTAGTGGCAACATCCCCTCCCAGACCCACACTTCCATCAGCCTTTACATCTTTGTCTGGGGAGATAAACCATGCAATGTCTGAAGCAACAGTGATGGCAGAAATGGGGACTGTAATTGCCATGAGTATTTTCTCTTCCTTTTGTTAAAAACACATTTGTGAATGTATACACTTGTACTAAGAAAATACCTTCATTTTATTTTTTTTCTATATTATGTGACATAATATTTATTGACTTTATATGAGCATTTAATTGTTAACTTTATGTAATAGCATTTGGGTTGGGGATTGGTGTGTTTCCAGTTATATGAAGGATAATTGTACTATGTTAGGCATAATTATTACCTTATTATTGTCTCTGTTTGAGGATTATATATGATCTCAGGAGACGTGTATGGGTTCAAGTGGACAAGGGGTGGACTTTCGATGGTTAATACTGTCAACTTGATTGAATTGATGGATGCAAAGTATTTATCTTGGGTATGTCCATGAGGATGTTGCCAAAGGAGACTAACATTTGAGTCAATGGGCTGGAAAAGGCAGGCCCACCCTTAATCTGGATGAACACAATCTAATCAGGAGTCAGCACAGCCAGAATAAAAAGCAGGCAGAAGGATGTGAAAAGACTAGACTGGCCTAGGCTCACAGCCTACATCTTTCTCCTGTGCTGGATACTTCTGGCCCTCAAACATCAGACTCCAAGTTCTCCAGCTTTTGGGACTTGGACTGGCTTCCTTCCTCCTCAGCTTGCAGATGGCCTATTGTGGCACATTGTGATCGTATGAGTTTAATACTCTTTAATAAACTCATTCTGTCCCTCTAGACAACCCTGACTCACTTAAAGATACACTTTGTGAGGGCAGGGCTATTTTCCTATTTTATTATCTGTTATATCCCCTGGGCATGGTAGTTATTTGAATGGAGTAGGTGTTCAACAATTTTTAGTTAGATTAGTAATTCTATTAAGAGGAAAGCTTATGGAATATGTATCAATTTCAGGTCATTTATTTCCAATGATTCTGTTAATGTGTTATCAGTTGTATTTTAAATGATAAATCTTCAAAAATAATTTGAATTTATTATTAAGAATAACAATATGTGTTATACCATCATCTGGGAAATATAATTTTAAAAAGAAAGCTTCATGCCAATGCAAATGGAAAATATATTTTCAATGGATTCTGATCATGTGGTTACCAAATTTAAATTTCAAAATCAAAAATATTAACACACTTGACAAAATTTCTAACTTTATCATTTGTATTTAGGATAGGCTATATAAGCATTTCTTAAAATATGTTTAGAAGAACAATTTTTTTAAATGCTCTCTGAAATTGGAGGGCATGGTTTAGAGTCAAATAAATTTGGAATATTGAATAGTATATCCATACCTTGGAGGTTTAAAATGTACATTAGGGTGTTAAAGTTTCTTTGAAGATGAGAAATAAAGGAAATGGTGTAACCATCTACTCTTCCAAGCTATCTGCTTACAGAACCTCTTTGAATGTTACTGATGTTAACATCCAAAACACTAGCATTTCTGGAAGTGTACTTTGGGCAGTGTTGGGAGAGAGTAACACTTCCCAGTCTAATGTTCATTTGAGGCAGGCTTAAGATCTCAGTGATGTATGAGAAAATGCCATACAAGAAAAAAAGAAATCAGTATTAGTCATTATCTAGCTTAAGAACTTTTTGGTAAATAAGTACAATCAACTTCAAATAGCTCTACATGGAATTTTTTAAAACTGATTGTTATGATAATGTAATTGGGGTCACTGAATGACTCAATGACAATTGACTATTAACTGAAATGATAGAAACATTATGTCAATTTGATAGGCAGCACAGTGATGCCAGGCAGAGCTTATCCTTAAAAATGCTTGATTTTTAAAACCATATTCACAAGAGCTTATAATGGAGATATTATAGAAAAGAAAGACTAAATGATCTTTAAAGGTCAATTACTCTGTAACGTATTACTCCTCCAAAATTGTCATTTAAAGAATGTGTTATTCACTGATTTCTAAAAGATATAATCCTAGTATCAAGTGCTTTTTAAAAGTCTTTGTGCAATCAACAATGTCGGTGCTTCTTTTGGGACAAAGAAAAATACTTCCAAGATTAAATTGTTGTTTTCAAAAGCCTCAGTCAGTCAGAAAATAAATTTAGAGATAAAAAAGCTGTGAAAAAAGTACTGGCTGTTAGATTATTTCTACCCTTTTCAGAGTTGGTTGTCAACTGTTTCTAAACTTAAAATAAGTAGTTTAAAAGATGATATAAAACTCCAGCATTTTACTGTTATTCATAATTTTTCTTAACTTTAGAGGGGCCTTTTAGGAAATAGTATATGTCATGATAACAAAGCACTTATCTTCAACTAGTCAACTCATTCGGTTTCACATCATTTATTAGGTTTTAGGTTTTTTAATAAAATAGATGAAATGTTTTTGGAAAAATACAGCTTTATAATTATGACTTAAATTAAAAATATTTATATCTGGCTATCTCAGTATATTGGTACATTTTCACACTGCTATTTAAAAAACTTCCTGAGACTGGGTAATTTATAAAGGAAAGAGGTTTGACTCACAGATTTGCATGGCTGGGAAGGCCTCCGGAAACTTACAATCGTGGTGGAAGGGGAAGCAGGCATGTCTTACAAGGTGCCAGGCAAGAGAGAGAGAGAGAGAGAGAGAGAGAGAGAGAGAGAGAGAGAGAGAGAGAGAGCAAGAACGAGGAAGTGCCACACTTTAAAACTACAAGCTCTCGTGAGAACTCACTCACTATCATTAGAACATCATGAGGTAAACTGCCACCGTGAGCCAATTACCTCCCACCAAGCACCTCCACTGGCATGTGGGAATTATGGGGATTTCAATTCAAGATGAGATTTGGGTGAGGACATAGATAAACCATATAACTCAGTATTTTTTAAACTGCATATATTAATTAAATAACGCCTAGATACATGTTTCCAAATTTCATTATGCTAATTTATGGGTAATAAAAATATATTATTGTATTTTCTTATAGTTATTTACTGTAAGCATACATTACTTTTACATCTCTAATTTAAAATAATTTTTTAAAATATGTTACAGGTGCACATAGCTTTAAAATTCAAGAGATTCACCAGGCTTGTTAAGAAAAACAACAGTACTATCCTCACACGTAATTTTCCTACTACCTAGAAATCCTCTTTATTTAAATTTTGGCTATTTAATGCAATATATTTTAAAAACATACATGGATTTTACCACTTTATGTTTCATATTTATAATTTAGCTATTAATTTTTAATTACAGGAGATGAGGATTTAGTTGTTTTTCACACCTAGCCTCCCCTACCCTGCCAAATCACAGATGCATAAACTTCTTTTCTCTCTCATCTTCTCAACATATTTGTATTGCAATTATGGTTGAATAAGTATTCAGTGTTTATAACCTGATAAATATATTAGTGATATTAATAGCTAATAAATACAGTATAATGTTTAATTTTTGCTGTACTTTTTTTAAAAAAAGTTTTGACATTTTCCTCTATTGTTTTAGATTTGTTTAGTTTAGCTCTTTATTTTTCTCCTTATACTAAATATTAAAATGTCAGTGCTTATTCTTAGAAAATACAAGCCCTCCTAACATCTGATAGAACAATTTTTAAAAACTTAAGAAATAAAAATTGTGACGTTGTTTCCCACAGTTGTGGAGATGCTGATGCCCTATTGAATTAAAATGCTGGTACCGAAAAAATCATAAATTGAATGAATTTAATAATTTACAGTAGAAAAAAATCTTATTTTGCTAGTCTGAAAACTCACATTGAAATATACAATAACCTTGTCTTTTTTTCATTTAGACGTAAATGAAAAATTTTATAGTCTCTTAAATTTTTATACAAAATATTGTGAAACTCAATTCAAAAATTGTTATTGTACCCTGGAAAATGTAAATGTAAGCAATACCCACTGTAAAATGCAATTTTCATGGTCAGAAACTATAATAGTAGCAATAATAATAATAATTGATATCCTGGGAATAATATTAATTTCTGAAATGTATTAATTTATGAAGAAGGAAAATTCTTATGAACTCGGTTTGCTACAAATGTATTTATATTACCTTCATACTTGATTGCTAATTTGGCTGGGTATAGAAGTCCAGTTTGGAAATCATTTGCCTTCACATTTTCAAGAAAGCATTCCTTTGTCAGCTACCTTCCTCTGTTGTGTTAAGATATCTGGAATCATTCAGATTCTTGCTAAAAATATATAAGACCATGTGCGTTTATTTTTCCCTTGTTCTCTTTTTGGAAGTTTATACAATCTCATTTTTCCTAGTGTTCCGAAACATTACAATGATTTGTTTTTATGTGGGTCCATTTCTATCCATTTGCTGGGTCCTCAGTAATGCTTGTTTGTCTGAAAATTTGTAGCCTTCTATGTAGGAGAAAAATTGTGAATTGTTTCTTCCATTCAGCTTTTTTAAAATTCTCTTTTTCTTTCTTATTACTTTCTCATGTAGAACTTCTATTGGAACTCTAATTTTATAGCCTTTGTTTTATTTTTTATCTCTTTGTTTTATTGCTTACCTACAGGAAAGATTTTAAAATTAAAAAAAAAATCAAGAGTTCTTCTTTTCTCCTCTGAGTGTTCCTTTCACAATTGCATGTTCTTATTTCATGAGTATAACCTTATATTTTCTCAGATATGGAAGAAACATTTTATTCTATATCTGAGAAGGAAGATATATTTTTGATATGCTGGTTTTCCTGTTTTGGGGTATCATATAATCCAGCAATATCAGTGAGGATTGACAGTTCTACTTTCAATTTGTTGAGGAACCTACATACTGTTCTCCATAGAGGAGATACTAATTTACATTCCTACCAACAGTGTCCAAGAGTTCCCCTTTCCTCCCATCCTCACCAGCCATTGTTATTGCCTGTCACTTGGATGAAAGCTATTTAAACTGGGTGAGATGATAACCCATTGTAGTTTTGATTTGCATTTCTCTGATAATTAATGATTTGAGAATTTTTTGTTATACCTGGTTGCCATTTGTATGCCTTCTTTGTGTGTCTCTCTGTGTATATATGCGTGTGTTTTATTTCAGTAGCTTTAAGGGTACAAGTGCTTTTTGGTTACATGGATGAATTGTATTGTGGTCAGGCATGTCCTTGCTCTGGAGCAGTTCTCTGGCTGCTGTGGTGATGTTTCAGAGGGAAGCACAACTGACTATGCTGCACAGAAGAATACACAAAGGGAATGGGGAGTAGCAGCTGGCAATGAGCTCCACCCAGTTCCCATGCACTTGGCAAGCCACAGTGTCCCACTAGCAGCAGCTAGCTGGGTTCCAGGTAGTCTGCACTCAGAACTCAAAACTGTCCCCAGCAATAAAGCTTCCCTGCTAAGAAAGAAACCTCCTGGTTTAATGGGGTTTTCAGGCCAGACTCCTCCAAATCCCTTCTGTGAAGCAGGGGCATCAAGTTTCTGTGCCCAAGGCTACATCACACTTTCCACTCACTTCTCATTTCTGGCCAAGGGGGTCCATTCCCATTCAGGATTATATTATGAATCTCAGTTGGTAGCTTCTCTCAATCTGTGACTCCCGCCTGAGTTAGCTGGCTGACTTCCACAAGGTCCCCTGTGAGGTAAGATCAGAATTGGCTTGCCTCCATCCCCACTGCAATCTAGGACTGCACACAAAGCACGTGCAATGTTGATCCTTCTCATATACTCTCCACCGCTTACTAAATCAGCTCAAGTGCTGGGTAGGGTTAAAGCATTTCCCCATGGCCTGGGATTGCCAGGTTCCCCAGTGAAAGTGTATGTGTGCCAGAGGCATGGTCTCCCCCTCTCACACTGTGGGGACTCGCAGTTTTCTGCCTGACTCACATTGCAGGCTGAAGCCAACCACTTTTTTCAAAGGGTCTGTGGTTTTATAAAGTTTTCCTGCTTAGTTACTGTGTTGCTTATTGGAAAATATATGTCCACAGTCTGTCTCTACACATTACTTTTTCTTTTCAAGTGGGAGAGACATGCTAAGACGTCCTCCAATCCTGAAGTTGATGGGAAAATGTATATCTTCTTTTGAGAAATACCTGTTACAATATTTTACCGAATTTTTCATTGGTTTGTTTTTTTCTTATTAGGTAGTTCGAGCTGCTTATATATTCTGATTATTAATCCCTACTCAGATGGGTAGTTTGAACATATTTTCTCACCCCGTGGGTTGTTTCTTAACTTTGTTGATTGTTTCCTTTTTGTGCAGAAGTCTTTGTTTGTTTGTTTTGTTTTTTTAACATAATGTGATCCCGTTTTTTGCTTTGGTTGTCTATGCTTTGTAGGTATTACTCAAGAAATATTTCTCCAGACCAATGTCCGAGAGATGTTTCCCTATGTTTTCTTTTAGTACTTTCATGGTTTCATCTCCTAGGTTCAAGGCTTTAACCCATTTTGATTTGATTTTTTGTATGTGGCAAGAGATATGTGTCTAGTTTCATTCTTCTGCATATGATATCCAGTTTTTCCAGCACCATTTATTGAAGAGACTATCCTTTCTCCAGTGTATACTCTTGGTAACTTTGTCAAAAATCAGTTCACCATAGATGTATAAATTTATTTCTGGCTTCTTTATTCCATTCCATTTGTCTATGTGTCTTGTTTTATGCCAGTACCGTGTTCTTTTGGTTACCAGAGCCCTGTAGTGAAATTTCAAATAAGGTAATGTGATTCTTCCAGTTTTGTTATTTTTTTTCTCAGAATGGCTTTGGATATTTTTGTTTTTTTTGTGTGTGTGGTTCCATATAAATGTTAGGATTAGTTTTTTGTTTGTTTTAGATTTCTGTGAAGAGTGTCATTGGTATTTTGTTAGGGATTGCCTCAAATCTGTAGTATTTTGGATAGTATGGAAATTTTAACAATATTGATTCTTTAAATCCATGAACATAATTTTGTGTGTGTGTGTTCTTTTCAATTTCTTTCATCAATGCTTTATAGTTTTCTTTGTAGAGATCTCTCATATTTTTGGTTAAGTTAATTTCTAGGTGTCTTATTTTATTTGTATCTATTGTAAATGAAATTACTTTCTTGATTTCTTTTTCAGATTTTTTGCCTTTGGCATGTAGAAATGCTAATGAATTTGTATGTTGACTTTGCATCTGCAACTTTACTGGGTTCGTTCATTAGTTATCATAGTTTTTTTTGGTGAAGTATTTGTGTTTTTCTAAATATAAGACTATTTCATCTGCAATTAAGGATAATTTAACTTATGTTCCAAGTTGGATGCACTTTTTTTTTTCTGTTGTCTAATCACTCTAGCTAGGACTTCCAGTACTATGTTAAATAACAGTGGTAGTTTTTTTTTTTTTTTTTTTCATTCAGTATGACACTAGCTGTGGATCTATCTAATATGGGTTTTATTGTGTTGATGCATATTCCTTCTATAACCCAGTTTTTGAGAGTTTTTACAATGAAAGGATGTTGAATTTCATGAAATTGTTTTTCGGCATCAGTTGAAATGATTATATAGTTTTTGTTCTTTATTGTGTTGATATGATGAATCACATTGATTTATTTGTATAGTTAAACCATCTTTGCATCACTAGGATAAATCCCACTTGGTCAAGATGAATGATCTGTTAATCCATTGTTTAATTGGAGTTGTTAGTATTTCGTTAATTATTTTTGCATCAATGTTCATCAGAGATACTGGCACATAGTTTTCTTTTTTTGTTGTTTCTTTTTCTGGTTTTGGTGTCAGGGTAATACCGGCTTTGTAGAATTAGTTTGGAAGTATTTTCTCCTTCTCTATTTTTGGGAATAATTTGAGGATGATTGTATTTAGTTCTTTTTAAAATGTTTAGTAAAATTCAACTGTGAAGTCATTGATTCCTGGACTTTTCTTCGATAGGAGACTTTTTATTATGGCTTTGATCTTGTTGTTAAGGTTTTGGTTTTCTTTATTCCAATTTATTGTCATATACTTGCTCTAGTAGTCACTAATTATCCTTTGAATTTCTGCAGTATCAGTTGTAATATCTCTTTTTGATTCTCTGATTTTATTTACTTATTTTTATTATCTCTTTGTTTTTTAGTTTGCCTAAGTTTGTTGACTTTATCTTTTATGAACACCAACTTTCCTTTCATTAATATTTTGTAATTGATTTTAGTTTTAATTTCACTACTTCTGCTCTGATCTTTATTATTTCTTTTCTTCTACTAACTTTTGGTTTGCTTAGTAGGTGCTTTCCTAGTTCTTTAAGATGCATCATTGTTTATTTGAAATTTTTCTACCTTTTTAATGTAGTTACTTACTGCTGTAAACCTTTTCTTAGTGATGGTTTGCTGTATTCCATAAATTTTGATATGTTTTATTACTATTTTCATTTGTTTCAAAAAATTTTAATTTTTAAATTTTTTTTATTGACCAACTAGTCATTCAGGAGCATATTGATTAATTTCCATGTGTTTGTATAGTTTCCAAAGTTCCTTTTGTTATTGATTTCTAGTTTTATTCAATTTTGGTCAGAGGACATGCTTGATATAATTTCCTTCTCTTTTTGGAATGTTTTAAGACTTGTTTTGTGGCCTAAAATGTGATCTATCTTTGAGAATGATCCACATGCTGAAGAAAAGAATGTGTACTCTGCAGCTATTGAATGAAATGTTCTGTAACTATCTATTAGCTGCATTTGGTCTATAGTGCAGGTTAAGTTCAGTGTGTCTTTGCTGATATTCTATCTAGGTAATCTACTCAAGGCTGAAAGTTGGAAGATGAAGTCTCTAGCTATTATTGTATTGGTGTCTATTTCTCTCTTTAGCTTTAATAATATTTGCTTCACATATCTAAGTGCTCCAGCATTGGGTGCATATTTAAATCCATTTAAATTGTTATATTCTCTTGCTGAATATAACAATTCACCAAGAATTGTTTTGTCACTATTTAATGACCTTGTCTCTTTTCAGAATTTTTGTTGTAAAATATATTTTACCTGATAAAAGTATAGGCACTCCTGATCTTTTTCTGGTTTCTTTTGGCATAGAATATGTTTTCCATTACTTTATTTTTGGTCTGTGTATTTTATAGGTGAGTTGAGTTTCTTATAGGCAGCACATAGTTGGGTCTCCTTTTAAAATATATTCAGGCACTTTATGTCTTTTGATTGGATATTTTTGTCTGTTTACATTTAATGTAATTGATATGTGAGGACTTTACTGACATTTTGTTATTTGTTTTCTGACTTTTTTGGTGTTATCGCCCTTCTTTCTTCCTTTATCTTCATTTGTATAAAGGTGATTTTTCTCTTATGGTGTGTTTTAATTTCATGCTTTTTATTTTTTGTATGTCTACTGTAGGTCTTTTGATTTGAGGTTACCATGAGGCTTGTAAACGACATTTTATAAATGATCATATTAAACTGATGACAATTTAATTCTGATTGCAAAAAAACCCAACTAATAAATAACTCATACAATTTATAAACTTTAACTCCATCACCCCAAACTTTCTAATTTTTTGTTGTTTCTATTGATATCTGTTTATTGCATTTACGTCTTTTTTTTAAAGTTATACTTTAAGTTCTGGCACATAGTTTTCCTTTTTTGTTGTGTCTTTTTCTGGTTTTGGTGTCAGGGTAATACTGGCTTTGTAGAATTAGTTTCGAAGTATTTTCTCCTCCTCTATTTTTGGGAATAATTTGAGGATGATTGCAAACCTGCAGAATGTGCAGGTTTGTTACATAGGTATACATGTGCCATAGTTGTTTGCTGCACCCATCAACCCGTCATCTACATTAGGTATTTGTCCTAATGCTATCCCTCCCCTTGCCCCTCACCCCCTGACAGGCCCCGGTGTGTGATATTCCCCTCCCTCTGCCCATATGTTCTCATTGTTCAACTTCCACTTATGAGTGAGAACATGTGGTGTTTGGTTTTCTATTCCTGTGTTAGTTTGCTGAGAATGAAGTGCTTTGGCACAGCAAAAGGAGCTATCATCAGAGTGAACAGGCAGCCTACAGAATGGGAGAAAATTTTTGCAATCTATCCATCTGATAAAGGGCTAATATCCAGAATTTACAAGAAACTTAAACAAATTTACAAGAAAAAAGCAAACAACCTTATCAAAAAGTGGGCGAAGGATATAAACAGACACTTTTCAAAAGAAGACATTTATGCAGCCAACAAACATATGAAAAAAAGCTCATCATCACTGGTCATTAGAGAAATGTAAATCAAACCACAATTAGATACCATCTCATGCCAGTTAGAATGGCAATCACTAAAAAGTCAGGAAACAACAGACGCTGGAGAGGATGTGGAGAAATAGAAATGCTTTTACTATTTTTTTTTTTTTTTGGTAAGTTGTGTATGTCTAGTAATGTATCCGCTTTTATACTGTGGGTGGGAGTGTAAATTAATTCAACCACTGTAGAAGACAGTGTGTTGATTACTCAAGAATCCAGAACCAGAAATACCATTTGACTCAGCAATGCCATTACAGGGTATATACCCAAAGGATTATAAATCATTCAACTATAAAGACACATGCACGCATGTTTATTGAAGCACTATTCACAATAACAAAGACTTGGAACCAACCCAAATGCCCATCAATGTTAGACTGCATAAAGAAAATGTGGTACATATACATCATGGAATACTATGCAGCTATAAAAAAGAATGAGTTCATGTCCTTTGCAGTATCTACACCTTAAAAAGTATTTTAGTTATTATTTTAAATAAGTTTGTCTTTTAGTCTTACTACTCAAGATATGAATGGTTTACACACAGCGAATACATTGTCAGAATATTCTTTGTGTACTCACTGTTACCTGTGAGTTTTTACCTTTAGATAATTTCTTATTGCTCATTAACATTCTTTCTTTTTAGAATCAAGAACTTCCTTTTACATTTCTTGAATGACAGGTCTGGTGTTTTCCAAATTTCTTAACGCTCATTGGGAAAATATTTCTCCTTTATGTGTGTGCGTGTGTGTGTTTTTTTTTTTTTTTTTTTTTTTTTGTGAAAGAGTCTTGCTCTGTCACCCCAGCTGGAGTGCAATGGCACGATCTCCGATCTCGGCTCACTACAACCTCTGACTCCTGGGTTCAAGCAATTCTCTTGCCTCAGCCTCTCAAGCAGCTGGGGTTACAGGTGCACGCCACAACACTCAGATAATTTTTGTATTTTTACTAGAGACGGGGTTTCACCATGTTGGCCGGGCTGGTCTCAAACTCCTGACGTCGTGCATCCACCTGCCTCAGCCTGCTAATGTGCTGGGATTACAGGCATGAGCCACCGTGCCTGGCCTCCTTTATGTTTTAAAGGTATTTTCACTGGATACTGACACTCCTTTGTATGTTATTTGCTTGTTTTTTCTTGCTGCATTTAGGATTCTTTCTTTATCTTTTTGTTTTGGGAGTTTGATTATTGAATGTCTTGAAGTAGTCTTAATGTGTTAAATCCACTTGGTGTTCTATTACTTTCTTAAACTTGAATATTGATAACTTTCTTTAGGTTTCAAAAGTTCACTGTTATTATTTCTTTGAATAGACTTTTACCCCAACCTCTTGCTATACCTCCTCTTTTAGACCAGTAATGATTAGATTTTTTTGAGGCCTTTTTCTAGATCTTGTTGGTTTACTTCATTCTTTTTCATCCTTTTTTCTTTTGCTTTCTCTTACTGTGCATTTTCAGTAGCCGATCTCCAAGTTCACTATTTTTTTTCAGCCTAATAATTTCTGCTATTAAAATACTCTGATGCATGTTTTCATTTTGTTAATTGAATTTTTAAACTTCTAAATATCTACTTGATTTTTCTATTATTTCAATCTCTTTGTAAATGTTTTCTAATAGAATTCTAAATTCCTTATTTGTGTTACTGTGAAATTGGTTAAGCTTCCTCAAAAAAACCTATTTTGAGTTCTCTTTTGAAAAGTCACATATGTCTCTCACTCCAGGATTGGTCAGTGGTGCCTTATTTTGTTCATTTGGTCAGGTCATGTTTTCTTGTATATTCTTGATGCTTGTTGATGTTCATGATGTTTGGGCGCTGAAGAGTTTAGGTATTCTAATCTTTGCAGTTCTTTCTTGTTTGGATTTATACTTCTCGAGAAGACTTTCCCATATCTAGAGTTGCAACTTAAGTCTTTGGTTACTGCAGCTATATCTGCACTAGGGAGTGCCACAAGTCCAGTAGTGATGCCATATTTGCATACTTGCAGAGGTATATCATGGGTGGACTTGAATAAGATCTGGGAGCATTTCCTGGAATACCAGGGAGTCTCTCATCCTCTTCTCTCACTTTTCCCCAAACAAGTGTTTGTCTCTCTGTGCTGGGCTGACTGAAATTGGGGGAGGGATGATGCAAACACTTCCAGGGCCACCAAAGTTGGGACTATGCTGGGTCACACTTGAAGCCAGCACGGTAATGGGTCTAGTCCAAGGCCCATGGTGACTACTGCCTGGCTACCACTCATGTAGCCCTATCAAGGTCCCTTTAGTCAGCATGTGTTGCATCCTGCCAAGGCTTGGTTTTTCACTTCAGGTTAGTGGGTTCCCTTCTAGCCCAGGGTGGGTTTAGAAATGTCATCCAAGACCTAGGGTCTGGAATTGGAGGTCTCAGGACTCTGCTTTATGCTTTTATTTTTTTATTATTGTTATTTTTAAACTGTGGCTGAAAGTGTATCTAAGTCACAGGACAAAGTTCTTTTTACTCTTCCTTTTCCTTTCTGCAAGTGGAAGGAGTCTCTCCTGGAGCTATGAGTTGTGCTTCCTGGAGTTGGAGAAGAGCTGATGCAAGCATTCCCTTGGCCACTCCAGCTTTTGTCTCACTGAGCTGTGGGTATCTCAATACCACTGTCTCCAAGCTCAGCAAAGCAACAGGACTTACCCAAGGACTGCAAGCCTTGAGCCTGACTGTCTTTCAAGTTTATCCAGGACCCCAGGCTACATTAATCAGGCATTGATGGAGCTAGCCAGAGCTCAGGTTCCCACTGCTGGAGTAAAAGATTACCTTTTGACTGGGGTTAGTCTAAATGCCTCCTCTGTTGGCACTGGCTAAATTCTGCCCTGTGTTGTGTTCCACTGGGACAAGGTAGCACTGAATTCCAATACAAATACCAAAGTCCTTGACTCCCCCTCCCACAAGCACATACATTATCTCTCTTTGTACTGCTGGGGGATGGAGGAGGGATGATGTAGGCAATGCAAGACTACCCTGGCTACCCTCTTCAGTGCTTCTTTTCTTGATATGATGTTATAATCAGGTACTGTGATTGCTTATTTTTTTTTGGTTTTTATGGAAGTTCTTTCTTGCATGTATAGTTATTCAATTCGGTGTTCCTGTGGTAGGGTTATCATTGGAGAGATTTTTTTAGTCATCTTGCTCTTCCTATTCCCTAAAGTGTTTTAAAACTTAAAAGAAAAAAAGAACGATAAGCAAAGTAAAAAGACAAATGAAGCACTGGAGTTTACTTAAAATCTGTATTACAGAAAAAGGACTAATACGTTTATAACACAAATATACATATATGTGTATTTGTGTGTGCATGTTTGTGAGTGTGTTTGTGTGTGTGTCTGTGTGTCTGTGTAGAGTGAGTTCCAAATATCTGAGAAAGATCCCAGTCAATTTAGAAAGTTTATTTTCCCAAAGTTAAGGACATGTGCCTGTAACATAGCCTCAGGAGGCCCTGGTGACATGTGCCCAAGGTGGTCGGGGCATGGCTTGGTTTATACATTTTAGAGAGACATGAGACATCAATCAATATGTGTAAGATGTACATTGGTTCAGTCCTGAAAGGCAGGACAACTCAAAGCAGGGAGGGGGCTTCCAGGTCATAGGCAGATAAAAGGCAAACCGTTGCATTCTTTTTTTTTTTTTTCGCAGTTGCAAGATTTAATAGAGTGAAAACAGAGCTCCCATAAAATGGGAGGGGACCCAAAGGGGGTTGCCCTTGCCAGCTTGAATGCCTGGGTTTATATCCCAATCATTGTCCCTCCCCCTGTGCTCTCAGGCAATAGATGATTGGCTATTTCTTTACCTCCTGTTTTAGCCTAATTAGCGTTTTAGT
This sequence comes from Homo sapiens, assembly GCF_000001405.40. Classification (NCBI taxonomy): domain Eukaryota; kingdom Metazoa; phylum Chordata; class Mammalia; order Primates; family Hominidae; genus Homo; species Homo sapiens. Next base: position 94,569,427 of record NC_000023.11, read on the forward strand.
GAGCTCTCTTTACTACCTGATTGGTCAAGTGTGAGCTAAGTTGCAAGCCCTGTGTTTTAAAGGTGGAGGCGGTCACCTTCCCGGCTAGGCTTAGGGATTCTTAGTCGGCCTAGGAAATCCAGCTAGTCCTGCCTTTCAGTCCCCCTCTCAACAGGAAAACCCAAGTGCTGTTGGGGGAGGTTGGCCCACGACCGCTCTAACTGCTTCCTGCTGAATTGGGGCGTAGTAGGGGTCGTGCAGTTGAGATTTCCTCAGGAGTGGCACCTTCGATGTTATTCTTTTGAGTTTCTGATTAGCCTTTCCAGTGGAGACAATCAATACATATCTATCTCAGTGAGCAGAGGAATGACTTTGAGTTCTGCATGCCCTTTGTCTGCAAGGAAATTTCTTGTGAGGCAGGTATGTAGCTTTTTTAATCTTACGAGCTATCGTTTTTAGGAATAGAATGGAAGGAAGATTTTCCCTAAGCAGTTCTCAGCTTAACCTCTTTCTTTGGCTTAGTGATTTGGGGGTCTCAAGATGTATTTTCCTTTTACATTTCCCCCTTTTCTTTTTAAAATCTTTCAGAGAAAGCATTTTAGAAGAAAATGAGTTTCTGGTCTCAGGTTCTGTCTGATCTGTCACGGAGCGGATGATTTATTCTTAGATGAATAGGTCCCACATTATTAGGAAAGCTCATTTTTAGCAGGTCGTAAAGTCTCACGTCCTACACAGAGAAAACTGGGGAAGAAGGGAAGCAAAATAACAAACAAAAAGATATTAATTCTGGAAAATTGATGTAGGCCATATTATTCTAAAATCTATACATCAGTAGGCAGATATGAAAGTGGTTTATTTATGTAACTAGATTGCTGTTATTTTCTTCTGAAATTTAAGTTGTTTAGCTTCAGTTCTCTTGGCTTTAAGAGAAGAGAGCTTAATTTTTAGTGATTTCAAATCAGAAAAAAATGGGAATAAAAGGAAAGAAAGGAAGGAAAATAATTGGAAACATTATTTTGGAGACTTGTACCCAGGAAAAATTTTAAAATTCATTCCAAACTGTAGAAAATAATAAAAATTGAAAAACATTAGGTTAGGCAAGACTAGAATCTAACAACAGGTGTACTATAGTTTATTTTGAAACACTCTCTCTCCAGTCCTGATTTTGCTAAAGACAAATCATAGGACAAATTCATTTGCAAAATAAGTTTTAGTCTTACTATACTTGGCTGGAGTATTTGCATAAAGTCAGCAAGAATAATTATTTACTATATAGGCTCCTCCTTTTTGTTAAAATTGGCTTTGCTGGAATTTTATTGAATAAGGAATCTCAGATCTAACTTTAATGCCTTAGACCCAGCCTGTGCCTGCAAATACCTTTATTAATTAGGTGAATTCTTCACCTCAAGGTCCCCAGAAAACTTGGGGCCCCTGGGCTTGTCAGAAAGCAACATTCTTTTTTTTTTTTTTAGACGGAGTCTCGCTCTGTCGCCCAGGCTGGAGTGCAATGGCGTGATCTTGGCTCACTGCAACATCTGCCTCCTGGATTCAAGTGATTCTCCTGCCTCAGCCTCCTGAGTAGCTGGGATTACAGGTGCGCGCCACCACACCCAGCTAATTTTTGTATTTTTAGTAGAAATGGGGTTTCACCATGTTGGTCAGGCTGGTCTCGAACTCCTGATCTTGTGATCCACCTGCCTCGGCCTCCCAAAGTGCTGGGATTACAGGCATGAGCCACCGCACCTGGCCAGAAAGCGACATTCTTTACTTACCACAGATCAGAAACCTATACGAGGACTTTGTAGACAAGGTTTGAAGTCAGCTTTCCCAAGGGACTTTCATTGGCTCTGTAAGCCATCTTTCATTCCTTAAAGGAGTCTTTACCTGATAGGATGCCATTTCAGTCAAAACCTTAAATAACCAATGTCTCCAATTCTGTCCTGTTAATAACACAGATTCTTATTGCACTTATGCAAATCACTATATTGCCATAAGTGAAGTATATTCTGTTAGGGACAAACCGCCCCAAAAAGCTTCTTGGTACTGCCAACACTCCCCCCAAACCTCTCCATGCTGCCCACCCTTCCCCAAAACCATTTTACATTTCTAAGCCCTTACCTAGGCGCTGTGGTGAAGCCAGCAGATTTTATCTATCAGGTCTTGCTTCAATAAAGCAAACCCCAATTACAAAAAATCCAGACCGCACGGGGGAGGTTGTGGGAAGCATAAACAAACTTTACCTACACCCTCCTGTAAATTCTACCATAAACATCACAGGGTAATATGTGGCAAAATTAACCAGCAAACAACCCCGGGATGCAGCCATACCAAAGAACTCCCTCAAACTCCCTCCCCAATATAAACCCCTCATTCTGTAAGCTGGGGGCTGCTCTCTCTGACTGTTTAGAGGGCAGTCTGTAGGTTAATAAAGGCTTGCTGAACTTGGGTCTCTCTCTCTCTCATTCTTTCTCTCTCAGCTGACCTTACATATTAAAAACTAGTTTCTAAATTTTGAAGAAATTAGGTAGAGAGAAATATGCTCCAATTTTTTTTATAGGAGCACACTTTATTCGATTGTTAAAAGCTGCAAATAGCTCAAAAGAAAAAAAATTTTTTTTTGGCTGTGAAAAACAAAGAAAAGGATAACAACATTTTAAGCAAAAAGTCATTACAGGATTATTTCAGTCTTCTGTTAGTTCAGTCCATGTCGTTACCTCCCATTCTGCTTGATATTCCGGAACATTTTAGCTCTCCATGGGAGTCTTGGGAGTTTTTTTTCCCTAATCTATGTCACAATCTCCAAAACTGCATTTCACAGCACCCATCAGAGTCCTATGCTGATTATAAAACCACCTTTTGAAAATGATAAAAGTAAAACAATTGTGGATGACAAAAGTCTTAAAACAGTCATAAAGACACAATTGACAAGAAAATTTGGTTACTTCTGTGGCATATAATTTTACATAATAATTATAATTACTACTGGTAACATATGCTAAAACGTATCAGCATAGCAGGAATTGTATACAATTCTGGAACACATACTAATAACACATTTATATAAATATAATCCAAAGAAAGGCTAAACACCTAATTTAGTTTGACAAAATATTGTCACGTATTTTATATTTGACAGTACTTCCTGTACGATTTCTTTATACCAAATAAGCTGAATATATTTCTTTTGGACTTCAGGGGACTAATATTAAAAAATTAATGAGGACCAAAGTTAGAACTTGACTTTGAAAAGTTTGTCAAAAGTAAAATTTTAAAACACTTAATATCACTAAATAGGATCACAGGTCGTTGTAAAATAAGTCACTAACTTAGCCAAAGTGATAACTCAAAGATTTTCAACAAAAGGCAAAAGCCTTTATTCTTTGAGAGAGGAGACTTAATTTCCCAAAGAATAAGCCCTAATAAAAGCAGATGAGTCCAATTTTATTCTGAAATAAATTCTAATATTCTGATTGCTCATTCTTTGTATGTGACCTGTCTTTATATAACTGCAAATAAGACATTTTATGTGTCTTTCTTCAAATTTACTACAACATGTCAAAGTAGATTTTTTTTAAATTATATACTGCTTGGTATATATTGTTCCTTCTCGGATTTATGTTTAGTTTTATTAGTTTGGTATTTTTCAAATAATTACTTACACTTCTTTCTTTTAATTCTCTATATCTGAACCTTTAATTAGATACATATTACATGACTAGACTTCTCATTCTATCTTCATTATCTTTTATGATACCTTTCATATTGTCCATCTTTTAGTCTCTGTGTTCCATATTGGGTAATTTTTTTCACAGACTCTCCCACTTCACTAATTATCACTTAAGTTGTGTCTAATATGTTGTTAAATTCTTCCATTGAGTTTGATTTTTGGTTAACAATTACATTTTCTGTATCTAGATTTTCCATATGTTGTAAATTTTCTCCCAAAATGTGTGTGTTCATTCCTGTTAATTTTCTGTGTTTGCCTATTTTTGTAAGTGTATCTTTTAGTTCTTTAAATGTTTTGTGCTTTTCTAGAGAGGATTGAGATTTATTGTTTGTAATTTCTGCGATTCAGTGACTTAACTTTGGTCCATTAGTGTGCTTGTGTGAGATAAAGCTGCATAACAACCCCAAAACTCAGTGGTTTACCAACACTAATTTTTCACTGACGGGTTGATGGGTAAGCTAAGGGAGCTTTGGTTCAAACCTGAACTGATTACCAGGTTCAGGTTTGTTTCACGTTCTTCCAGGGTTCAGCCTGGAAGAGTGGGGCTTACCTGAGGTATATTCTAGTTGTAATAGAGGGCTCATTTTTAGCTTTCATTTTTAGTTTGTAGTGTTGTGTACCATTTACAAACCTTAAAAAGTCAGTTTTCTAAAGAAATCCTCAACAATTTTATTTAAGTAAACATTCTCCTACAGAATATATATCCTGTAGCTTTGCTGTTGTGTTTTTATAAAATAAATACATGTAAAAACATATAATTTGATTTACTTTTAATAACATGCTTAATATTGGTATTTTCATATTATGGAATAAATTTCTGTTAATGGGATTCTAGTTTATAGAAACACACATGTAAGAAGTGAGAAGTTGACTTACAACAGTTTGACTTCAATCCAGTACTCAGAAATATATTAGTAAAGAAATTGGGGCTTTTCTGTAGTTATTATCTTGAAGATACAAGGCCAAAGATTATCAACCACAACTAAGAAACAAACAAATAGAAAAGGTACTTGTGCCTGCTAGTGAAATATAACAACAGTCGTTTAATTTTAAATTTTAGGAAGACCGTACAAGTTATTCTAGAGCCTTTGAATGCATTGACATTTGCTTTCAGTTAGGAAAAGAACAAACACACGCTTCTTAAATCAGATCACTAAGCTTAACAGAAATATTATTTGCACTTATAGTTGTTTGGATTTCAGTTACATCAGACTGCTTGGTATTCTCTCCTTTTACTTTAAGTGACACTATAGCAGAGAACACAATGTACATTTTTTGGTGTTCATGATATCTGTAATTTGTATCATCTGTCAAAGGTGGGATTATTTTGTATCTGCCATTGCCTGTAAGTATATGAAAGTAAAACTTTTCTACATGTTTCACTTAGTTAACACAGTTTTTAAAATACAACTTTGCTGATTTCCTTAGCAAGTTTATAGTTAGGCAGCTGCAAAAATACCAGTGATAAATAAATGGAAGATAAGAGAAATAGCTTTCTCCATCTGTTCCTATATTAAATGAGTGATGATACACATTATCTTTCATGCAGTTTCTCAACTTTGCCTTGATATTTCTGTAGTACCAGGATGCTGTTATACTATGCATATGTTTTGGTCCACTGGCATAATTGTTTAAGTTGGTATTACTGGAAGCATGCAATGTTTAACCCATATATAGGCTTGTGTCATACAGAAGGGTGTGATGGGACTGGAAAATAAGGAAAATGAGAAATAAGACCTCATTGAGACCAATGTTATTTTCTTCTAAAATATCTTAAACCCAGATAAACTTTACAATAAAGTGTCTTCAGCGGACCCGTAGGCTCACGCCTATAATCCCAGCACTTTGGGAGGCTGAGGCGGGTGGATCACCTGAGGTCAGGAGTTCCAGACCAGCCTGCCCAACATGGCGAAACCCTGTCTGTACTAAAAATACAAAAATATTAGCCAGGCTTGGTGGCAGGTGCCTGTAATCCCAGCTTCTCAAGAGGCTGAGGCAGGAGAATCACTTGAACTCAGGAGTCAGAGGTTGCAGTGAGCTGAGATGGCGCCACTGCACTCCAGGCTGGGTGACAAGAGAGAAACTCCGTCTCAAAAAAAAAAAAAAAAGTGTTTTCATTCTCCATGAATTCTGTGCATAAATAAGAACCTCCACCTCACACACTTTAAAATAATACAGATAAATAATAAACTTAAAGCTTTTAGGTCAAAATAGAGTTATACGAAGAACTTAGGCTGTGGCAGTTATGGAGATTTTATGACCTTGAAACTTTCAGAGTCTTATAACAGTAAGGCCTTTCAGACATCCTGGGGGATAGGGAAAATAATCCATACAATTCTGTGGGTAGTGCTGGAATTAGAACACTGTAGTCAGGGTAAGTATAATCAATGGCTAATTGGCAAAGGGCCTATCTCTGGCTTTTCCACCATTTAAAGCAAACCTATGGTAACAGCTAGTGCCTTGACTGTCCTATGGACTTCAAATTTTGAAAGTAAGTAGTAAGGACAGAAAACATTAAAAATGTGGGGCTAATGGGATAGGTTTTAACTGAAAGCAGAAGGGAGAATCAAATTATTATTGCTAAAATTGGGTCATTACAACTATTCCAGTGATTGAAACTGGAAGGATATAAAAGTAATTTCTGAGACAACACTGTTTTAATTTCAGACAAGATAGAATGGTAATTTATTAGGCAATTGAAAAGTAGTTAAGGAGATAGGTTGGCAGGCAGGCAAATGAAAAGGTAAATATTTTTAACAAGCCCCAAATAAGTATTTCAAATGACATCCTGCCCATATCTACTTGAATATCTTACGGAATCTCAAACATCATGACCAAACCAAGATTCAATATATTCTATTCTCCCATACTAACTGCTTATCCTGTAATTCCCATCTCATTTAATGAGGAAAATATTCATTTTATATCCAATAAAGAAACTTGAGAATCATCCCCAAGTTGTATTTTTTTAAAAAAATCTCATATTCATACTTTGATTCCTGTCAGTTTGACTTAATAAGTATATCTTAAATTTGTCATTTTATTTCCGCCTGGAAGTACTACTGGCTTTATTCTACTCACCATCATCTATTACCTAGAATACTGAAAAAGCTTTCTAAGTAATTTCTCTGCCTCCACTTTTTTTCTCCTTTCTCATTCCATCCTCCAATCTATCATCTCCAGGGTAATCTCTCTGAATGGAAATCTGCTCATGTAACCAACTTGCTTAAAAATGTTCAATGTCTGTTTATAGCTTTCAAGATAAAGTCCAAACTTTTTAGCATGCTGTGTAAAGCCCTGATGATCTGCCCCCAGGCAGACCATTTTCTTAGTTTTTCACCATTCGAAAATATATATCCTATGTCCCTTCCACAATTGTATGCAACTTGCTAATGCATGCCTCTGTACTTTTGCATATACTACTCTACTCCTCCCCTAGTGGCTTAGTTCAATATTACATTCTCCATAAAAATTTCTATGCTTACTTTTGTATACATCCATTTATCTGTAATTCTTTAGCATATTGTTGATTTGTTCATTTACTGATTCATTCATTCAATTATATACATATAATTGCCTATTATATTTAGATACTATATTGAACACATGAAAAACAAGATTCACTTCCACATCTGAAGGAAACCAAAACGTACATGGGGGATATAAAATGATGACAAGGCAATTTGGTAAGTGCCATAATACAAGTAACTGTAAGATACTATAAAAACCCACAGGTACAGTATCTATCCAGTATGTGATGTGGGGCAAGGGTTATATGTCAAAGAAACTTCTTTGAAAAGGTATTGGCTGGAGAAAGGCAGAGAAAGATGGGTGAATAGAAGGCTCCCCCAAAAGCCCTTCACCAAGAAAAACAATTTAACAAATATTTAAACAAAGAAAGCATCTTCGTAAGAACAAAGAATCAGATGAATAATCACAGTATGTTGGTTTAACTTCATATTACTGAAAGAGGCACTGAAAAGGTTAAAAAAAGACAGTCATGAATTGCTGACACTACACCTCCCCAGTGCCCAGCAGCAACTGTGTGGCAGAGATAGAGAATCTGTGATCTTGGAAGAGGGAGAGTGCAACAGTTGTGAGACGTTGCATTGAACTCAATACTGCCCTATCACAGAAGAAAACAAAACCAGGCTAAACTCAGCTGATGCTCCCCCATGGAGAGAATATTTAAGACAACCCTAGCCAGAGAGGAATCACCCATCTAAGCAGTCAGAAGCAGATTTCTAGCAAGCCTTGCCACCGTGGGCTAAAGCGTACTGGTGCCCTAAGTAAACTTGAAATGCAATCTAGGCCAGACGACTGAAAAACGTAGGCAAATTCTACTGCTGAAATGGGCTTAGAGCCAGTGAACTTGGGAGGCATGTGACCTGCTGAGACACCAGTTGGGCAGCTAAAGGAGTGTTTGCACAATACCTCCCTCAAACCCAGGCTGCACATCTCTCAGACACAAAAGTGACCCCTCTCTTCCACTTGTGGAGAGGAGAGGAAAAATTTTAAAAGACTCTGTCTTGCATCTTGGATACCAGCTTAGCCAGAGTAGCACAGGGCACCAGTCAAAGGCATGAGGCCCACTGTCCAGGCTGTAGGTCCAAGATAACACTTCTAGACACACCTGGGACAGAAGGAAAAATCACTGGCTTGAAGAAAAAGACTCAATCCCAGCAGGTTTCATCACCTGCTAATTAAAGAGCCCTTGGGCTCTTTATATCCAGTGATATCCAGGTAGTACACCATGGGCCTTGGGTGAGACTTGGATACTTGCTTCCTTTAGGTATCAGCTCTGCCACAGGTAAGTAGAACACCAAGTGGGCTCCTGGGATCCCCAAATTCCAGAAATTTGTCTCTTGAATGGCATTTCTGGAAGTGCCATGGGCCAGAGGGGAGCCCACTGCCCTGAAGTGTGAGTCCCAGGAAAGGCAACAATCATCGCAAGCTGACTGAAACCCACTTGGACCTTAAGGAAACTCTGGCATGGGCTGGCGGTGGAGGTGGCCAGGAGGTGAGGCTCCTCTGTCTAAGCAAAGGGGAGAAATAAGTGAGAATGACTGAATCTTGTGGTTTGAGTCACAGCTCAGCTGCCGTACAATGGAATAACAGATAAAATTATGAGAATTTGACTTCACCTTCTGGCTCACAATGGCACCACTGGACTTGCCAGGCACTTGGGGAAGCTCACTGCCCTGAAGGGAAAGACATGAGCCTGGCTGGCTTCTCACCGGCTAATTGTAGAGCCTGGGGGCCCTGAGTGAAAATAAGCAGTAGCCAGGGAGTGGTTAAAGCAGGCCTTGGGTGAGCGTCAGTGCTGTGCTGACTTCAGGTCTGACCTAGTGCAGTCTCAGTAGTGGTGGCCACAGGGGTTCTTGTGTCAGCCCATCTGCAACTCCAGTCAGCTTAGTACACAGAGATAGATTCTATTTGTTTGTTAGAAAGTAAGGAAAGAGAAAAATAGTCTCGGACTGGTAATCCACAGAATTCTTCTGGATCTTTTACAAGACCATCAAGGCAATACCTTTATGAGTCTACAAGAACCACAGTGTTAGTGGGCTTGGGGTGCCCGCTAATGCGGGTGTGACTTAGAACACAATTATAGGTGGGAATTGAACAATGAGAACACATGGACACAGGAAGGGGAACATCACACACTGGGGACTGTTGTGGGGCGGGGGGAGGGGGGAGGGATAGCATTAGGAGATACACCTAATGCTAAATGACGAGTTAATGGGTGCAGCACACCAACATGGCACATGTATACATATGTAACAAACCTGCACGTTGTGCACATGTACCCTAAAACTTAAAGTATAATAATAAAAAAAATTTAAAAGAAAAAGAAAAAAATAAGAACACAATACTGAAGTCCTTTTGAATACCTACAAAGCTTTGAAAAGAAGGATGATCACAAAGAAGCACAGACCGAAAAGACTATAATAAATATGTAACTTTTCAATGCTCAGGCACAGATGAACATCGAGAAATATCAGGACCATCCAGGAAAATATACTAAGGCACAACTGACCAATCCTAGAGAAATAGAAATATGTGGCCTTTCAGACAGAGAATTCAAAATAACTGTCTTGAGGAAATTCCAAGAAATTCAAGATAACACAAAGAAGAAATTCAGAATTCTATCAAATGAATTTAACAAATACATTGAAATAATTTTTAAAAATCAAGCAGCAATATTGGAGTTGTAAAATGCAACTGGCATACTGAAGAATGCATCAGAGTCTTGTAATAGCAGAATTGCTCGAGCAGAAGAATTAATGAGCTTGAAGACAAGCTATTTGAAAATACACAGAAAAGACAAAAGCAAAACAAATTTTAAAAATGGAGCATGCCTACAAATTCTAAAAAATAGACTCAATAGACCAAATTTAAGAGTTATTGGACTTAAAGAGGAGGTAGAAAAAGAGAAATAAGTAGAAAATTTATTCAGATGGATAATAAAATAAAACACTACAATCATAGAGAAAGGTATCAATATATGAGTTCAAGAAAGTTATAGAACACCATGCATATTTAACCCACAGAAGACTGCCTCAAGGCATTTAATAATCAAACTACTAAATGAAAAGGATAAAGAAAGAATAATAAAGACAGCAACATAAAAGAAACAAATAACATACAATGGAGCTCTAATGCATCAGGCAGCAGACATTTCAGTGGAAACCTTACAGGCCAGGAGAGAGTGCTATGACGTATTTAAAATGTTGAGGGGGAAAAAAAAAACAAAAAACATTTACCCTAAGATAGTATATCCAGTGAAAATATTCTTCAAGCATGGAGGAGAATTAAAGACTTCGGACATACAGTCAAAAAAACCCTGAGGAATTTCATCGACATCAGATGTGTTCTACAAGAAATGCTAAAGGGAGTACTTCAATAGAAGAAAAAGATGTTAGTGATCAAAAAGATAGTATCTGTTGGGAGGCCGAGGTGGGCGGATCACGAGGTCAGGAGATTGAGACCATCCTGGCTAACACGGTGAAATCCCACCTCTACTAAAAATACAAAAAATTAGCCGGGCATGGTGGTGGGCGCCTGTGGTCCCAGCTACTCGGGAGGCTGAGGCAGGAGAATGGCATGAACCTGGGAGGCGGAGCCCAGTGAGCCGAGATCATGCCACTGCACTCCGGCCTGGGCGACAGAGCAAGACTCCATCTCAAAAAAAAAAAAAAAAAAAGAAGGATAGTATCTGAATGTACCAAACTCACTGGTAATAGTATGTACACAGAAAAATGAAGAATATTACAACACTGTAATTGTGGTGTGTAAATTACTCTTATATAAGTGAGAAATATTAAATGATGATCTAATCAAAAGTATTAACTACAACAAATATTCAAGACATATACACTACAATAAGTTACAAACAGAAACAAAAATGTAAAAAGTAGAGGAAGAAAAGTAAGGCATAAGTTTTTCTTAGTTTTCTTTCTGCTTGTTTGTTCATGAAAACAGTATTGTTATTAGCTTAAAATTATGGGTTATAAGATACTATTTGTAAGCCTCATGGTAACCTCAAATCAAAAAAATCATACAACAGATATATAATGATTGTAAAGCAAAAAATTGAATCATACAACCAGAAAAAATGACCATCAATAAAAGGAGGATAAAAAAGAAGAAAAGAAGAAATTGAAGACAACAGGCAGGGCGCAGTGGCTCACACTTGTAATTCCAGCACTTTGGGAGGCCAAGGCAGGTGGATCACCTGAGGTCAGGAGTTAAAGGCCAGCCTGGCCAAGGTAGTGAAATCCCGTCTCTATTAAAAATACAAAATTAGCTTGGCATGGTGGCACATGCCTATAATCCCAGCTATTCAGGAGACTGAGGCAGGAGAATTGCTTGAACCTGGGAGGTGGAGGTTGCAGTGAGCTGAGATTGCACCACTACACTCCAGCCTGGGTGACAAGTGTGAAACTCCATCTCAAAAAAAAAAAAAGAAAGAAAGAAAGAGAAGACAACAAACAACCAAAAAATAATTAAGGAAATGAAAACAGTAAGTCTTTTCTTATCAATAATACCATTAAATATAAATGACTAAACACTCCAATCAAAAGACACTGAGTGACTGAATAGATAAAAGAAAAAACAAGTCCCAATAATCTGTAGCCTACAAGAAACACATTTCACCTATAAAGACACATATAGACTCAAAATAAATGAATGGAAAAAGATAGTCAATGCTAATAGAAAACAAAAAAGAGCAGTAGTAGCTATATTTATATCAGACAAATTAGATTTCACAACAAAAACTGTAAGAATTGACCCCTTTATTAGGTCAATTCTGCAAGAGGTTATATCAATTTTAAATATATATGCACCCAGCACTGGACCACCTAGACACAGAAAACAAATATTATTAGAAATAAAGGTCAAATATATAGCACCTATAAAAAGCTTAATCAAATTTACAAGAAAAAAAACAACCCCTTAAAGCACAGGACATGAACACACTTTTCAAAAGGAGACATACATGTGGACAGCAGTCATATACGAAAAAAAGCTTAACATCACTGATAGTTGGACAAATGCAAATCAAAACAACAATGAGATACCACCTAACACTGGTCGGAATGGCTATTATTAAAAAGTCAAAAAATATCAGATGCTTGTGAGATTGTGGAGAAAATGGAACACTTATACACTCTTGGTGAGAGTGTAAACTAGTTCAGCTATTTTTTTTTTTTTTTTTTTTTTTTTTGAGACGGAGTCTCGCTCTGTCGCCCAGGCCGGACTGCAGACTGCAGTGGTGCAATCTTGGCTCACTGCAAGCTCCGCTTCCCGGGTTCACGCCATTCTCCTGCCTCAGCCTCCCGAGTAGCTGGGACTACAGGCGCCCGCCACCGCGCCCGGCTAATTTTTTGTATTTTTAGTAGAGACGGGGTTTCACTTTGTTAGCCAGGATGGTCTCGATCTCCTGACCTCATGATCCACCCGCCTCGGCCTCCCAAAGTGCTGGGATTACAGGCGTGAGCCACCGCGCCCGGCCTAGTTCAGCTATTTTGAAAGACAGTGTGGTGATCCCTCAAAGACCTAAAGACAGAAATACCATTTGTCCCAGCAATCCCATTATTAGGTATACACCAAAAGGAATATAAATCATTGTATTGAAGAACTAGAAAAGCAAGAACAAGCAAAAACCTAAATTAGTAGATGAAAAGAAATAATAAAGATTAGAGCAGAAATAAATGAATTTAAAATGAAGAAAACAATACAAAAGATCAATGAAACAAAAATTCGGTCTTTTGAAAAGATCAACAAAATTGACAAACCTTTACTCTAACTGAGAAAAAAGAGAGAAGACTCAAATAAATAAATTCAGAGATGAAAAATGAGACGTTACAGCTGATACTACAGAATTTCAAAGGATCATTAGTGGCTACTATGAGCAACTGTATGCCAACAAACTGGAAATTCTAGAGGAAAGGAATGAATTTCCTCACGCATACAATTTGCAAAGATTGAACCAAGAAGAAATCCAAAACCTGAATGAATCAATAATAAATAATGATATCAAAGCTATAATAAAAAGTGTCCTAGCAAAAAAAAAGCCTGGGACCCGATGTCTTCACTCCTGAATTTTACCAAGCATTAAAATAAGAACTAATATCAATTCTACTCAAACTATTTCATAAAATAGAGGATGAATGACTACTTACAAACTCTTTCTATGGGTCTAGTATTAGCTGGATACCAAAACCAGACAAGACACATCAAAAAAAGAAAACCACAGCCCAATATCACTGATAAGTATTGGTGCAATCATCCTTAACAAAATACTAGCAAACCAAATAAAACAATATATTAAAATGATCAATCATCTTTATTTATCCCAGGGTTGAAAGAATGGTTCAGCATTGTCAAATTAATTAATGCAATACATCATGTCAACAGGATGAAGGGCAAAAATCATGTGGTCATTTCAAGTGATGATAAAAGAGCATTTTATAAAATTAAACATTCCCTCATGAGTACAACCCTCAAATAAACTGGATATAAACGAAACATACCTCAACATTACAATAGCCATAAATGACAGTCACAAAGTTAGTATAATACTGAATGCGGAAATGTTTCTTGTCGTGTTTCCTCTCAATTTGGTAACATGACAAGAATGTCCACTTTCACTACTGTGACTAACATAGTACTGTATGTCCTAGCTAGAGCAATCAGACAAGAGAAAGAAATAGAGCGTATCCAAATCGAAAGGAAATAAGTCAAATTATCCTTGTTTGCAGATAATATAATTTTATATTTTGAAAAACCTAAAGACTCCACCAAAAAAGATTAGAACTGATAAACAAATTAAGTTGGAAAAATCATTAACATACAAAAATCAGTAGCATTTCTATGTGCCAACAGTAAACACTCTAAAAAGCAAGTCAAGAAAGTAATCCTATGTACAGTTGCTACAAATAAAAAAAAAAAATCTAGGAATTAACCAAAGAAGTAAAAGATCTCTACAGTGAAAACTATGAAACATCAATTCAAGCAATTGGAGAAGACACAACATATAGAAAGATATTCCATGTTCATGGATAAGAAGAATCAATATTGCTATAATGTTCATACTACCCAAAGACATTTACAGATTCAATGCAATCCCTATCAAAATACCAATGACACTTCACAGAAATTTAAAAAAATTCTAAAATTTATATGGAGCAACAAAAGACTCAGAGTGAACAAAGATATTCTAAGTAAAAAGAACAAAACTGGAGGAATCACATTACCTGCCTTTAAATTATACTACTGAGCTATAGTAATTAAAATGATGTGCTACTGCAAAAAAAAATGCATAGTTCAGTGGAACAGTAGAGAGTCTCAAGAGACAAATCCATACGTCTTCAGTGAACTCATTCTTAAAAAAATGCCACGAATATACATTAGGGACAGTCTTTTCAATAAATGGTGCTGGGAAAACTGAATATCATATCCAAGAGAAACTAGACTCCTATCTCTTGTCCTATGCAAAAATCAAATAATAGTAGATTAAACACTTAAATCTAAGACCTAAAACTATGAAGCTACTAAAAGAAAACATTGTGGAAACTCTCCAGAACATTGGCCCGGGCAAAAATTTCTTGAGCAATAACTCATAAGCACAGGCAACCAAAGCAAAAACGGACAAATGGGATTACAGCAACTTGAAAAGCTTCTGCACAGCAAAGAAAACACTCAACAGTGACACAACCCACAGAATGAGAGATTATATTTGCAAACTACCCTTCTGACAAGGGATTAATAACCAGAATATATAAGGGACTCAAACAACTCTACAGGAAAAAATATATAATAATTTGATCTAAATATGGACAAAATATTTGAATAGACATTTCTCAAATGAAGACATACAAATGGCAAACAAAGCATATGAAAAGGTGGTCAATATCACTTATCATGAAAGAAATACAAATCAAAACTGCAATGAAATATCATCTCATCCCAGTTAAAATGGCTTATATTTCCAAAAGATGGGCAATAAGAAATGCAGTTGATGAGGATGTGGAGAAAATGAAATGATTTCTGATAATACTACAGTCTATTCCTGCTGTCAGACACAGGATTGCTACCACTACTGAACTTATAATGCATTCTGCTATGCCTGAATATTTCCATCCAGCAATGCATATATCTTAGGAAGTGAAACATTTACCTATTCTTCTAGATCAGGGGTATGACACTTTTTCTGGAAAGGGTCAGATAGTAAACATATTAGGTTTTGTAGCCTGTCAGGTCTCTTTCACAGACACTTAAATCTGTTTCTGTAGCACAAAAGAAACCAAAGGCAATGAGCAAATACATAAATGTTGTTGTGTTTCAACAAAACTTTAGGTACAAAAACAGTAAATGAACTGTATTTGACACTCAGGCTATAATTTACTCATTCCTGTTCTATATCACTGCATTGTTCTATTATCTCTTCTAATTAGACTCATTAATTTAAATGTACTTATCTTTTTGATAGAGTCGGTAGATTTTACATTCTCCAGTTTCATAGTTAAGCTGTGTGTGTAAGATTTTAACTATTTCAGAAGAAGTAGCAGCATCTAAATATTGATTGTGAGACTGAAGCTTCCTAATTCTCATTTCACATTGGCCAATGACTATTAAATATTTATAAGAGGTGATAACTTTTGTAAAATAAAATGTTAAAAAACTCACCAAACTATTGTAGAATGTTGAGATCTAACATACCATTTTACCACAAAAGAAAAGATAATTGAGAGGTACCATAGTTCCCAGGAGGTAATTTTCAGGTATGACAATTGTTTCTTTGACATATGTTTATGGTACTTGGTGGCATTCCTGCACTGTGGCAGGTGCAGGTAAGGGATTCATACCAGGTAATACAACCCATCAAATATTGAGTCAAATATTTAGTCAAATAATATTCTGTACCAAGGAATGGTAAAATATGAAGTCTTTTGTCAAATATGTCTCTATAAAACCTGAAAAAAGAACCTCAAGAAAAGAGAGTAAACATTTGGAAACCATTAGCAGTGGAAGGCAAGAGAAAATTTCGAGTTATACTAGATAAATCAAAAAGCTTTTGCTCTTTCACCCATTCACTCTCCCCAGTATCAAAGCAGAATTAGTGAGAAAAAGGAGGAGTAAATGAATGAAAGAACAGAAAAAATGCCTCCTCCATCCTACATGCTAAACTCTGAGCATCAAGTCAGAGGGATTGGTGGAATTAGACTGTGAATTATGTAAGAGATAAAAGATTTGATCTCATGTTCTATATTTTTTTAACTTGAAAATTACACTGTTAATATTTGAAAGTGACCTAAAAAGCCGTGTGACCTGCCTTTCCAGGTTGTCATTCAGAAGCAAAAAAGAGAGATTGGACTGAGTGTGTTTGAAACAAATAATGTGAGAGGGATCAAGCTGTTGTTTGGTTTTATCCCATGGAGGTATGCCTTTTTAATAAACAAGCTAAAATGCATATTCCTTTTCTCCAGCAATTCAACTTTTTAATATTTATCTTCTCATTGCCCTTCACTTACTTCTCCATAATATTTTACCTGTAAAACTTACAGAAAATTAAAATATTAAAAATTAAGTAGAGGAAATAATGAAACTAATAATACAGGGTACTTTCCACAAATGAAATAAAATATAATTCTGAAAATTCAAAGAGTGCACTAATGGAAAACAATATGCATAGCTAGACACATAATTGTGAAATTTCAGAGGAAAGAGAGAAAGAGAAACAGAGAAAAAAGGTACATCTGTTTTCTGTCCTGTTTTTTGACATCTCATAAACAATTCTGGACTCTAGAAGAAAGGAGAAAAGTTTCTTCAAAGATCTGAGGAAAAATGATTTTTATCTTACAATATTATACTAAATAAAATCAAGTAAAAGCCATATCAGAACTCAGAACACTTGCCTTTTATAAACTCCTTATTGAAAAGAGACTTGATATTTTTGCAGCACCACGAAGTAAACCCAGTTAGGAGAACATATGGAATTCAGAAATGAATAGATCTAATCCAGGAGAGCACTGCATGCTCAGAGACCAACTAGTTCAATATGGAGAAGACAGACAAGGAGTTCCAGAAGGAAGTTATCCGTGGTAAAAGGAGATCTCATAGAAAAGATAATATGCTTGAGACATTAGAAGAATTTACTAATAAGATAAAATCTAAAAATATATTAAAAACTAGAAATACTAATAGATATTCCTGCAAAGAAAAAAGTGTGCAAAAGAGAAAATGAAATGGAACAGACTATATGGCCATGAAGCAGAATTTGCTATGATTATATGAGCTGTCAATTTACAATTTTGGGGGTTCAACCTATAGACAAAGCACACAAAATATATAATTATAGACTGTAACATAAATGTAACCACGTTTTTGAGGAGTCTCAACTTGCTCAACTTGTTAACACATAAACACAAAATGAGGTTTTATATTTTTCCCTGATGACTGCTACCGCATTGTCTTTCAATTGTACCTCACTATCAAACCTCACTATCCTGATGTGTATCGTATATCTTAATAACATCTTGGGTAGATTCTATAATTTTCTTTCACTTTAACCTGCTTAAATATTCTCTTGTTGGTATTACCATTTCGGTTCTACTCATCTTAAAGCTGTAATATCAAACTTGCTTCAAAGTATTTATCCTACTGTTACAGGAAAGGGGTCCCGATCCAGATCCCAAGAGAGGGTTCTTGGATCCTGAGCAAGAAATAATTCGGGGTAAGTCCATAGAGTAAAGTGAAAGCCAGTTTATTAGGAAAGTAAAGGAATAAAAGAATGGCTACTCCATAGATAGAGCAGCCCTGAGGGCTGCTGGGTACCCATCTACCTGGTTATCTCTAGATGATAAAATAAACAAAGGGTGGATTATTCATGTCTCCCCCTTTTAGACCATATAGGGTAATTTCCTGATGTTGTCATGGCATTTACAAACTGCCATGGCACTGGTGGGAGTGTAACCGTGAGGTAGACCAGAGGTCACTCTCCTGGCAGTCTTGGTTTTGGTGGGTTTTAGCCGGCTTCTTTACTGCAACCTGTTTTATCAGCAAGGTCTTTATGACCTGTATCTGGTGCCGACCTCCTATCTCACCCTGTGATTTAGAATGTCTTAACCATCCGGGAGTGCACCCCAGTAGGTCTCAGCCTCATTTTACCCAATCCCTATTCAAGATGGAGCTTCTCTGGTTGACATGCCTCTGACACTACCACCCAACCTAAGACAACCTAGTCTGGTCTAAACTTCAAGTGACTTATAATGGCAAGAAAGGATCTGTGCATTATAAAACACACTTTTTCTCTCAGAATGTTCTCACCCTTCTATCTTCAAATTCTAGATTGCCAAATACCTCTTACCTGACAATCAGTAGTGAGGTTAGAAGGCAGGCCACATAGCACCATCAGGAGTACAACAGACTTCCAGATGGGTAACAGAATACTAACGGACATTTCCTGCAGGCAATTCTAATCTTTATGAATGGTTTGCTTGAATTATCACTCTCACCAGATTTCAAAAACTGTAATGCATCCATTCTTTTCCCTCATGATTTCTAGGCATGAGGTGGGGGAGGGTAACTGGAGAATGTAGGCTAGTTATGGGACACTCAGTAAGCCCCATGGGGAGAAACTGGTCTTAAACTGCATTTTTAGCTAATTTGATACCATTGTAGCACAATTTTGAACTTAGAATGAGAGACATTTAATGCATTTTGTACTCGATTTTACTCATAGTCATAATTTCAGCACAACAGGAAAAAAAATTACACCGTATACGTTTTTGTTATTATATGCAATTTACAAAATTGAAATAGATAAGAAACTGGCAGGTAGAAAGAAAAGAAAAAGAGTAGGGTTGCTAAAAACTTTTTTATAAGGTGCAGAGTCTAGAAATAGAGGTATAATTAAGTTATATAAGTCATAATTGCTATAGATAAGTTAAATAATATTAATGACTTAGTTTTCCTGGACAGGGAGAATGTGAGGAAATGTGGAGATACGTACATGAACTAAATCTTCAGACATGATAATGGGATTTAAATGGATCATGTTTAAAATGATAAACATTTCTGATATGCTATAAACTCAAAATATGCTAATATTTTAACATATTTTAAAATATTAACAAAACACAATTTGAGTTTATAGCATAACATATCAGAAAAGTTAAAACCTGAAGCAATTAAAGATGGCTTTTTTTCTTTTTTGCTCACAAGTAGGACTTGTGGTGAAGACTGAGGCAGGATTATTGCTTTTTATCATGATCCCTTTTGTATTGTTTCTGTAAGTCATATGGACAAATTTTTTTATTTAAATTACAAGATAATATTTATTTTGGCAATGAAGTGGTGAATTAGATACAGTCATGCACTGATGTGGAACTACATGTTAGTATTACTTTTTGGGAAAATTTTTTTGTAATTCATTCAGAACTTGAAGCATGTCCCTCTTGGACACAACAATTATTGTATCTTTGTCTCTCTTTGACAATCTTTCTGTTTATGGATATTCAGATTAGATTTGTTCTCTCTGGGAATTTCTTCCAAATTAGACTTTACTAGAAGAAAATGTTTTCTCAATTAGCCCCTTAGGTCTGACCTGGTGAATGTAAAGATAAGAAGAAAATGGAGCTGCAATAAATCAGCTGTACTAACATCATTCTATCTCTTACATAGTTTGATGAAAATAACCAAGGAGAAGCATACAGGTGGTGCTCTACAAAAATAAACTTCACACAGAAATAAACTTGATGAATTTCCAATATCAAAGATTAAGTAATTTTTAGTGATTAGAGTTATTGATAAGAATAATTTCCTTATAAATTTGTCCACATTTTAATGTTTTTAAGTATACACAATGATATTCAGGAACTAAAAAAGTACTGTATACAACACATTTTCTATAGAATTTACAAAAATTAGGAGTATTCACAGAAGTACACATTTTTCAAATTTAGTACAGTCTCTATTAACAATTCTGAAGTAATACAATAGTAATTCCATTTAGTTGGAAGTAAATACAAATATCAACATTCAATATTGTGGTATAACATTTATAGAAAAACTTTTTATTTTGTTTATAACTGACACATAATAATTGTACATGTTTATGGGGAACAGTGTGATGTTTCAGTACATGTATATGTTGTACATGCTGTAGGAGTGATTTTGAAATAAAGGGTCATGACAATGTTTTATGAGATCAATTTAGTGAATCACAATCAGAGGGTTTTTAAATGAAATTGAAAAGAAAAGAAAAAGGATAAAAATGTCAGATAACACTTGAAAGTTTCATAAAACTTTTATTTCAGTTAGCTATGTGAAGAAAAATACACACTCATATGTATATGATGAGTTTATACTGTGAGACCCAATCAAAATAGAAAAGCCTCCTTATATACAGGACAATGAGCCTTTCAAATTTTGTGAAAGATCAGGATTTACTTGTGCATGTGTGTGTTTGCAAGCATCTTTGAAAAAGTTCATGCACCAAAATAATAAACATGTATATACCTTTGTTCTAAGAAAGATGTCTCCTAAAAGATACAAATAGTCTCTAGTCTACATAAAATCCATAAGAAATTTCTGGAGAATTACATTTGATATTTGTTTTTGAATGCATAGCAGATGCCTTATTGCTGGTCGCTGCATGCCTGCTAGTGTACCATGCGGTGATTATTACACTACATGCTGAGCAACAAGTCAGCTGGAGAGCACCGGAAGAGAAATGGGTACTTCGTGAATAAACATTTGCTTACAGATCACATTATGTGTGATCACTGTTTTGCAGCTGCTGTTGTTAGTCCTTTGTTGTAAATTGAAACAAAATCAATGTGAAAAATGAAAGATTATTTCGTTGTTCATAGATGCTGAATTTATGTAGCCTTCAGGCATATTTTTGTGATGCTGTTATTATAGTATCTTTAAGTGGGAACAATATTGCATTTCTCTGAGTATGTTAGCTACCTATCTTCTTTCCTAGGTCAAATTCACAGGTAACAAATGACAGATAATTAAAAACTAAAGGCAAAAATAAAAAGAAAAAGGTCAATGGTAAAGCTATAGCTGTCCTAAAACACTTCTACTCATAAAGAGGTCTCTGAAGGTTAACTCTCAGTGGCAAAGTAACGGCTTTGGATTGCATTCATTTTGAGTGATGACCGAAGTAAAACCTATACATGCTTGCTATTGCTGACAGGAGAAAGTATAGATTAAGACAGCACAAGAAATGAGTACATTTATATTCATGAATAAATTCATTCTTTCCTTTACGTAATATGGATAATTTTGAATATCTTTTCAACAACAAATGAGCTGGCATTATGTGCATAAGGAACTATTACAAAAACGGCTTATAGTTTTGCACTCAGCTTCTCAATGTAATGTCTAGATCTATTGAATATCAGCTTGTATTGGTGATTATTATATATTTAAGTTCTCCTTTAACCTAGTGTTCACAATTTTAATCTATTTCTTTTTTTCTTCTCTATTCATTTTATTGAGGAAAATGTCATTGTACAGAAAATATTATCACCTTAGTTCATTTTTTTGTTTGTTCGAGACGGAGTCTCCATCTGTCACCCAGGCTGGAGTGCAGTGGCACGATCTCAGCTCACTGCAACCTCCGCCTCCCGGGTTCAAGTGATTCTCCTACCTCAGTCTCCTCAGTAGCTGGGACTGCAGGCATGTGCCACCACACCGGGCTAATTTTTGTATTTTTGTAGAGACAGGATTTCACCATGTTGGCCAGACTGGTCTCGAAATCCTGACCTCACGTGATCCAACCACCTCGGCCTCTCAAAGTGCTGGGATTACAGGCGTGAGCCACCGCATTTGGCCTTAGTTCATTTTTTATCTGCATTATAAACATACTCACATAGCACTTTTATTCTCATTCTCCAGTACTAATAAATATGATTTTTTAAGAATATTTTATAACAAATATTTGACTTAAAGGATGAGAAACTGAAAAGGATATATAAAATAAGTATTTTTTTTCTTAAGGAAAGCACTAATTATGATGATTATTATGATGATTAATATTATTATGAACATGATTAATTAGTTCTATATGTTAAAGTATTTTTATTTAAACTATAAAAAAGTCAGTTTGCTGTACAATTAAGAAAAACATGATATGAATAAGTAGAACATAAAACAAATCCTACTTAATATACACTAGAATTATTTTTGAAAAACCAAGCCAAATACAAAATCGTCTAGAAATGTCTAATGATTCCTAATTTAATAGATACATGGGCCAGTCAAAATAAAACACATCTTATTAAAAAAAACTAACAAACATAAGAAAGAATAAAAGTAGTTTCTTAGTTGTAAATATATACCAATATTAGGTTTATTGTGCAGTTAAATTAAAATTTAAATAACATGGTCAAGCTAGTATGAAGCTATCACTAAACATAAACACAATACAAATGCCTCTACAAAATGGATTAATGGCTAACTAAATACTCTAATGAGTTAAAACACGGAAAGTTTCTAAATGAAATTAAATTATATTAAACAGAAATGATATCACTACTCTAAAATGTATCAGATGACTTTATCCTAAAGATTGTAGGGGTGAAAGTTTAGAGATAGAACATTGCAATGACAAGATATCTGTGTTTAGGACAGAATTGTCAAAGTATATGTGGAGCTTCACCTAATGATTTTTTTTTCATATAACTGAGTTGATCTGAAAGAAAAAAATTGAAATAAAATGTGTTTACCAATATGTTTAACCCCCCAAATGGGAATGCATTACTAATATCTTATATGTGTATTAAATAATAAACACAATAAGCCACTTGTAAATTTTGATTTATGTAAATAAAGATATATGACTTTCACAGTAATTCTGACTTATGTAAGTAAATATATATGACTTTCACCTTAATGCAGGAATAATTTTAAAAGTATTTCCTGGAAGAAGTAAGCACAAACCCTCTTTGAAGAAATAGAAGCCTGCCGTAATGATTTTCCAAAAACAAAATACCATGTTATCTTACATTCAAAAATGACAAAATTCACAAAAAAGTTACTATGAATTACAAACACTAAACACAAAAGACAGCACAATCAGACATCATAATATTTTATAATTGGAGTTATTGAACACGTAATATAAAATATATATGATTAATATGCTCCAAGAAACAGAATACGTGAAAATATGATCAAATTTAAAAATAAAAGACTTTGGAAAAGGAATAGATTATTCCCCTAGATACATTGGGAAGTAGTAGACCCCTGCTGACATCTTGATTTTGGCCCAGCAGTACTTATTTTGGATCCTAGCCTTCAGAATTGCAAGTCAATTTTGATTGTTTTAAGTCACTGAATTTGTGATAATTTGTTACAGCAATCACAGGAAATAACACGATATATTTTCTGAGCACTTTTTAGTAGTCAGAGTCAGAAAATACATTTTTAGTGAAATCATGGGTTCATACTGTAACCTCCAATTCAAATTCAGTACCACAGGATGCTTTATTTTATTTTGTATGTTTATCTTTTTTCTTTCCTACTGAGAACTCAAGTTTCCAACAATATCAATATTTCATGACAGTCTTCTATCTTCAAGTAAACATAAAATAACTTCAAAGTTACCACACGAGTACTTCTACCAAAATCAAAAGTAAAAGTTGAGATTTTGTTGTGCTAACATTTGTCGTTAGAATGTATTCCACCAAGTGTGTAGAATCAGAGTATGTGTTTTTATTTTAGTTAGTAATGTGGGTTCATCCACATCTTCAGAGTATTTCTTTAATCTTTTTGTGTTTAATTTAATTTTTTGAGTATTTAAAGTATTTACATGTTCAAAACTCAAAATTAAGTGAAAAGTAGTAGTCTTGCTTCAATTTTACTCCATCACTCTTTACCTATCCACCAAATATATAATAAATATTTTCATTAGCATCTTGTTTTCTCACTTTTTTAGCATTTACATTATATCCTATAATTCACTCCATATCAGCTAAAAAATAATATCTTCATTCCTTTTATTAACATTCTCTTTTGAGGTAGTTATTGAATTACATGTAGTGGCAATAAATAATCAGATAAATCCTATATAGTTTTACCTAGTTTCCCCCAATGGTAACACCTTGCATAACTATTTTACATTGTCATGACTAAAAAATAGAAATTGATACACTCTATCTATTCATATTTTACCAGTGTTACACACAGTCATTGAGTCATTGAGTGTCTGTGTGTTTATTTCATACTGTGAAATTTTATCACATGTCACATGCAGATTCATGTGACCACTTCCACAGTCAGGATATAGGATAATTTTATCACCGCAAGGATCTCTCATGTTGTCTTCTCACAACCACATTGACATCCTTCTCCCTAGACCTTTGCAAACCCTAGAAACCACGAATCTGTTCTTCACTAATATTATTTTGTCTTTTCAAGAATGCTGTATACACAGAATCCTATGGTATGAAACATTTGCAGATTTACATTTTTTCCACTTAGTATAATTCCCCTAAGACCCCACCAGGACTAGAAGCGGCTTAGATGTGTG
Organism: Homo sapiens; assembly: GCF_000001405.40. NCBI lineage: Eukaryota > Metazoa > Chordata > Mammalia > Primates > Hominidae > Homo > Homo sapiens. The sequence continues at coordinate 94,594,182 of NC_000023.11, forward strand.
GCTTTCACAGAGAGGAATGGAAGGGGCAAGTAAATACAGTAGCTTCAACAGTAACATCCAGGTACTCGCATTGGGACTAATCAAGGAAACAACTTGACCCACAAAGAATGGAGAAAAATAAAGCAGGACGACAGCCCACCCAGGAGTGACATGGAACCAAGGGAACCTCTCAGAGGGAGGGGAGGGCTGCTATCTTTGCTGTTTGGGCAACTTAGCCATTCCAGCTTGTGGGCTTTGGAAAGCTCAAGCCAACCAGTGCATAAGCAGTACCCCAGCACAGCACAGCTGCTCTACAAAGGCATGGCCAGACTGCTTCTTTAAGCAGGTCCCCATATGAAAAAGGCATAGGCCCTAGAATAGGAAAAAGAATCTTAAAACATATGGATTAAGTAGGAGGAATCACTCTATCTGATATTGAATCTTACTATATAGCTATACTATTCAAGACAATGCAATATTGTTAGACGAATAGACACATAGATCAATGGGAAAAAAAAGAGAAACCAAATACAGATTCACACAAATGTGCTAGACTGATTTTTGACAAAGATGAAAAAGCAATTAAACAGGAAAATAGATACCCTTTTAAATAAATGATATTGAAGCAACTGGGTACATATTAACCAGAAAAAAAGGTAAACTTTGACATCATTCTCACGTCTTATACAAGACTTAACCCAAAGTGGATTATAAACTTAACTATAAGATATAAAACTATACAACCCTTAGGAAAAAAAAACATAGAGGAAAATTATTAAGATCTAGGGCTAGGCAAGTGGTTCGTAGACTCGACACCAAAAACATGACCCATAAAATGAAAAAAATTGATAAATTGGAAATCAAAATTGAAAATATTTGCTGTGTGAAAGTCCCCATAAAGAGGATGAAAATACAAGCTATGAAGAGACAAAATACTTGCAACCTGAATATCTGATAAGAAACTTATATCTAGAGTATATAAAGACATCTTTGTAAAAACATAGTAAATATAAGCAAATAAAGCAATCCAATTAAAATGGGCAAAGTGTTTGATGGGACATCTCACTGAAAAAAAGACATGGAAGCCTAATAAGTAGGAGTAATTTTCAACATCATTAGCCATTAAGAAAATACAGATTAAAATTACAATTAAATATTACTACAAACTTATTAAAATGACTAAAACAAAAACATGTGACAAGTGGCAAGGACAAAGAGAAACTGCATCCTATATGTATTGCTGATGGGAATGTAAAGTTGAACACGCTATAAAACAGTTTGACAATTTCTTATAAAACTAAACATTTGATTACCATATGACACAACGATTGGACTTTTTGACCTTTATCCCAGAGAATGGCTATATTTTTGTTTACAAAAATATTATACACTAATGTTCAAGCAGCTTTATTTATAATATTCAAAATCAGAAATGACTCAGCTGTTATAAGATATGTGATGAGCTAAACCATCCATTTCATAGAATACTGCTTACCAATGGACTAGTGATGTACACACTAATTACAAGGGCATTATGCTGTGTGAAAGAGCTCATCTCGAAAGGTAACATAATGTATGATCCCATTTTCAGAAAAATCGTGAAGAGACAAAATTAAAGAGATGGAGAACAGATTTGTGGTTGCCAGAGCTTTTGGGGGAGAAGTAGAAAGATGGCTCTGGTCTGAAGTTGGTAGCACAATAGATACTTGTGATAGAACTGTTCTATATCTCTACATTGATAATGATCATACAAATCAGCAAATGTTATGAAATTGCATAGAACTAAATATATGCACACAAAATAGTGCACGTAAAACTGGTAAAACCTGAATAAGTTTGGTGAATTGTATAAATGTTAATTGACACAGTACTATAGGAAAAATATTATCATTGGTTAACACTGAAACTGGGTAATAATTTTACATGAAATTTCTGTATTGTTTCTTACTACTGAATGTGAATCTAAAATTACCTCAAAATTAAAAGTTAAAAAAGATTAAGCACTGTTAGCATCTTTCTTTAAAAATTATATATATATGGATATACGTGTGTATACACACATACACTCATATATATTTCAGTAAATGTATAGTAAGCATTGATTTTTCCCATTTATGAAGTTTAATAAGTTAAAAGTCTGTGAGTAAAGTAGCATTATTTATTAAAATCATAGATTTTTCATGTCATGTTAGTCAGATTGTCATTCTGTATGCCATACAGCATTTCCAAAACAAATCATGGTTAGCCATACTTTACCTCCTCTTTTCCCCTGTCAATATGGGTACATCAGTAAAAGTTATACAGTTTAAAAACTTTCAGTTTTCCAGCTTTCTTTTCTCAATTCCATATCTAATATTGAGCTAGAATATTTAGTAGTTCATCATTTTCTGATCTCTTGTTACCTGAGTGACCAACTGGGAAATAAAAGTGAGATGAAATGAAACTGCAAGATAATTGAAGTTTCCCCTGTTCTCCTGTCAGTTTGAGAGAATATTTGAATAATGTATTGTTAAATATTGTATTGTTTATTGAAAAATAAAAGTGAGATGAAATGAAACTGCAAGATAATTGAACTTTCTCTTGTTCTCCTGTCAATTTGAGGGAATATTTAAATACTGAAATATTTCAAGCAAATGGAGCTGTTATTCTTAGCTCTTCTATCCAAAGCACCATTTTGTATAATTTTTCATTAATTAAATATTGTATGGTTTATATCAATTACAACTACATGCACTTATTAGTTTATTTTTTCAAAAACAAGCACAAATTTTACTCTCCTCAATATATCTACTATATCACATTATTATTTTCTTACCACACTGAAATGCAATACTTCCAAGAATCATCCTAAACCATGATGGCTACACCTGTTAGTGATATAAAGGAAAAAGTGCACAGAGCTAATGATAACCAAAAGTAAAAAAGACAGTTATTCTCTTCTGAAACTAAGGGTATACAAAATGGAGCTAAGATATAGAACCACCTGTGTGCTACAATACAGAGACATTCTAATGGTTCTCAAATACTTTCTTTCTACCAGATATATACTGTACAGTAGAATCTAAAATGTTTATAATGCTCACAAATAAGAAGCAGACTTTTAAAGTGCATTTCAAGGAACACTCATTTTATAAGATGTGAATAAGTGTCCTGCACACACACACATTTGCACACTCACATATACATAGACACACACATATATACATATACATGTATATATGTATATATCTGATAAATATATATATATAGTATAAAATAACTGAAATGTATCAGGATACAAGAGTGTAAAGTACTGCAGAACTTCAAAGAGATTATGAACAGTAGTTATCTGAGGGAGGAATTAATCTTCAACCATGTTTGAATAAAGAATTCTCCACTTTTTAAATGCATAAAACCTACATACATAACATTTCCTAACTAATTCTGTGAAGCTAATATAACTGATTCCAAAATGAAGTAATAACATAGCAAGAAAGGAAAACTGCAGACCAATATCACAAATCCAAGAGCACATTTTAAAAAGAATATGCATCATGAAAAAGTAGGATTTATTAATGGAATACAAGAGTGGTTCAACACAAAAAAAATTAATGTCACACACTGCATTAATCGAATGAAGAGGGGGAAGCACATAACTATTACAACTGATGCAAAAAAAAGAGCATTTGACAAAGCCCATCACCCTTTTCTGAAATAAAATATTCAACAAACTAGGAAAAATAAAATATTCAACAAAATAGGAATCGAAGAATATTTCTTCAACTTAATGAAAGGCATGTAAGAAAAATATACAGCTAACATCATACTTATGGTGAAAGACTAAAAGTTTTTCTGTAAGATCAAAACAAAAAAAGGATTTTTTTCCACTTCTCTTCAATATTGTGCTAGAAGTTATGGCCAGAGAAATTAGGTAACGATAAAAGTAAAAAGTATCCAGATTGGGGAATAAAGAATAGAATTCTCTTTATTCATAGGTGACATGATCTTATATATAGAATACCATAAGCAATCCATAAAAACTATTATATTTAAGAAGTTAATTCAGAAAAGTTGCAGCATACATCAGCATACAAAATCAGCTGTATTTTTATATATTAGTAGTCTTAAAGTGAAATTAAGAAAACAATTTTATTTACAATAACATCAAAAAGAATAAAACACTTAGAAATAAAGTTAGCTAAGGAGATGCAAGACTTGTATACTTAAAACTATAGAACAAGTTTGAGAGAAATTAAAGAGTAGATAAATAAATGAAAAGATATCCCATATTCATGCATTGAAAAATAATATTGTTAAGACAGCAATACAGCACAAATAGGTGTAGAGATTCCATGCAATAGCTATCAAAGTTTCAACTGCCTTTTTTGAAGAAATGACAAGCTCATCTTACAACTAATATAGAATTTCAAGAAAACATGAATAGCCAAAACAGTCTTGAAAAATAATAAAGTTGGAGGACTCTACATTTTTCCATTTAAAAAAAATGCAGAAAAAAGGAAGTACACCAAGTTGAGGAAAAATGATACAACATGGAAAATCACTTCTATAGAAAAAAAGTAAAACCAGCTTTCATATATATATATATATAAAAAATATATGTTTATATAACATATATAAATCTATTGGATGTATTAAATTCATTGTACATATAAATTGAAGACAATATATTATATTTGAGTATTATGTATCTAATACTATATATGTATTATATATAATTTCTTGCCTTCAATTTATACATTCATATGAATTTATAAATAGGTATATATGTGTGCATATATGTGTATGAGTCAATAAATATACATATATAAACATATACATTCATCCATACACAGGCACACACACAGGCACAGGTGACTACTGTAAAGATAAGCTAAATAATAGTAAATAAAATAATGTTAAAGGTCTTATATTTTATGTGAAGAAAAACAGTGCTAACCCCTTATAGACTTTGGAAGTTAACAATATGTATTACAACGGCCAGAGGAAAAGCTAAAAAATGCAAATATTTAGTCATGAAAAACAGATGAAAGAGTATCTGAAAAAATATTTAATTCAGTCATAAAGAGGAAAATAAGCAGAAATAGACAAAAATAAAGGGAACAAGTTGAAAACAAATGAGTAATTGTAAATGTGAATCCAAACATATCAATATCAATAATGACATTTAAATATTAATGGAATAAATACTCCAACATAAAAGTTGAGATGAATAAAACTCATTAAAAAGCTGCAGCCAACTTTATGTTGTGATAGGTTAAAGAAAGATAGATGGATATATTAAAAAAATGGCATCATAAGTAAGAACAAAAAGGCTGGAGTCACTATATCATAATCAGATAAGTTAAACTTAAAGTGTAGGAGTATTAACATAAACAGAGACATTTCATGATTTTATGGCAAATATGAAAATTTATCAGAGAGATATAACAACTGTAAATATGCATGTGCATTATAAATGGCATTCCAAATACATAAAGCAACACTTAACAGAAATAAAGATAGAAATATATAATTCCATGAGCATGCAGGGAAATTTTAACTGCATTCATAGTAAGGCTGCACTCAACAACTGAAGAATAAACTTCTGTTAAGTGCATATGGCAAGTACACCAAAAATGGATCATAAGCTAGGCCTTAAACAAGTTTTAATACATTTTAAAATAACTGTAAGCATATTGACTATGTTCTCTTACAATAATTGTATTGAATTAGAAATCATCAACAATAATATTTCTAAGAAGTTGTTCTGTGCAGGAAATGCACAAGGGGAAAGGAAAAGACACACACAATACTTTTAAGGGTAAACAGTCTTTATCCCAAGTATATGGCAATACAGATATAATAAACAAATCATATAATAAGCAAATCATATGATAAGCAAATCATGTAATAAGCAAATTGCAATGGGAAGGGGAGAAGGGAAAATATATATATATTTACACTCACCACACGATTGAGGATTCATCACCAGACCGAGAAGGTACAGCCTGGGCTCCAGAGTCAGCCTCTACACTCACCAGACTATGGCGGATTCATCATTATACTGGGAAGCAACAGCCTGGGCCCCAGAGTTGGTCATCCGTCCATGCACAGATGAGGAGAGGTCTCAGGAAGCTTTGGCGTGGTCTGGGACCTTACCTCTTTGTGTAATGAGTTGTTTGGTGTGAGGCCCAGTCACAAGGGCCATTCATGACTGGGCTCAAGGAACACAAAAAGGTCAACTTGTTTTTCAATAACTAACATACAGGAACAGATTGAAACAGAGATTTCTCGGAAATGGTGTTGGATGAATGCCTCAAGGGGCTCACACAACCTGTTCCAGGACTTGGTGACCTTTCTTTGTGTCCACGTTCAATCGAGTTCATATTTAATATTTAACTTTTCTTCCAAAGAAGTATAAATTTCAAATACTTAAAAATTAAACAATACACTTTAACAATACACTTTAAATTATTCATGGTTCAAAAGCACAAAGAAGAAAAGGTGCCTGCATGATAAGGCCTCTGGTTAATCTCTTTAATCTTCTTATAGTAGGAGATCTGACATTATGTGCCTCCTGCTGTGTTGCAAGGGGGTACTGACACATGAATTATGTAATACATTTGCCCCCAAACATGAATCATAAGCACCCTTAGAAGTAAATATTTGGCCGGGTGCCGTGGCTCACACCTGTAATCCCAGCACTTTGGGAGGCAGAGGCAGGTGGATCGCCTGAGGTCAGGAGTTCGAGACCAGCCTGGCCAACCTGGTGAACCCTGTCTCTACTAAAAATACAAAAATTAGCTGGGCGTGGTGGCAGGCCCCTGTAATCCCAGCTACTCAGGAGGCTGAGGGAGGAGAATCACTTGAACTCAGGAGGCAGAGGTTTCAGTGAGCCGAGATTGTGCCATTGCACTCCAGCCTGAGCGACAAGAGCGAAACTCCGTCTCAAAAAACAACAACAAAAAAGGAAATATTTATGTCAGTCCAGTATATGCACTTTCTATAGATTAAAAAAGCCTGGTTTTAGCAAACATTATTGCAGTGAAACAGACACACACACACACACCACAAACACAAGAAAGAGAAATCATTCTACTTCAACAGAAACTAAAAGGACACAAATGAGTAAAATTTTATAGAATTATAATGAAACATTAAAAAGCTGCAATATCTTTTGAGATCAACTTGGAGAAATGTGCATATTTTCATGAATCAGAGTATTTTGCATGATAACATGCAATTATTTTCAATTTTCATATGTGTAATAATAATATTGAGGTTATGCAGAAAAATGTTTATTAAAAATGTCTACTAAAAGTAGACAAAATTTGAACTGTTGGGGGTGAAGTGGGATGATACTGCTAATTCAAAATATATTCTTAAGAAAAATATGTTTGAATATAACTATATATGTGTTTGAACTAGAGAGACAAAAATCACATGCACTAAAATAACAACACCTGGTGACTGAATTGGAATACTACAAGGATTTAATTGTAGTGCATATCCTCCTTGAAATAGGCACAATATTGTTCAAAATAAAAAAGTTAACAATAACACATCTTCTCACAAAGAATACCCTGGTCCAACATAACTGTGCAGGTAAACTCTCCTGAGTATTTAAGAAAAGAAAAATTACCAATACAACACAAAAAATAACTATGAACAGTAGAGAAAGAGATAACCATTTTAAATTTTTTAATGTGTCTGGCAATATTTTATATCAAACTTTAGCAAGAAAGTAATCTAAGGAACCCCAGACATTCATTCCTTACAGAAATATTAAAGAAAGAACTAGAGGTGCATAAAATATCTTTGTAAGTGCCCTGATAAGCTATGAAAGATCTATATTAATAAAGCAAATGCTCCTCGACTCTAAAAGCTGTCTTTATGGCTGCGATCATTTTGTTGGGCTGTTGTAACAAAATACCACAGACTCTGTGGTTTACAAAACAGAAATTGATTTTCTCATTTTATGGAGGTTGAGGAGTACAAGATTAAGGTGCCAGCAGGGTTGGTGTCTGGTGAAGGTTCCCCACTTGTGTTGCAGATGGCCGCCTCTTTGCTGTGTGTTCACATGGCCTTTCTTAGTGCATACGGAAAAAAAGGGGAGAGAGGAAATAAAGGAGGGAGGGACAGAAAGAGAAAAAGAGAAAGCTCTCTGGTGTCCATTCCTATAAGGACTCTAATTCTATCAGATTACATATCAAATAAGAAACACTAGAGAGCAACTCAAAGGCATAAAAAAAATAGAAAGTTCTCCAGTAAAAGTAATACATAGAAAAATATAAAAATAAGTATATTGTAATTATTTATAACTCCACTTGTTATTCCTCTACACAATTTTAAAGATAAAAGTACAAAAATAATTATAAATCTATGTTAATGGGGACCCAGTATGCAAAGATGTAATTTGTGACATCAGTAACATAAACACTGATTTAACATAAATAATCACAAATCAATACCAAAAATACCCCAAAGGATTAGAGTTCTCAAGTGCATTTGAAGTAAATTTAAAATGGGCCATTATAACTTTAGAATGTTATATGTAATCCTTATGGTAACCACAAAAAATATATATAAAATACATATTTTATATATATATATATAAATTTTTTTTTTTTGAGTCGGAGTCTTGCTCTGTCGCCCAGGCTGGAGTGCAGTGGCGCGATCTCAGCTCACTGCAAGCTCTGCCTCCCAGGTTCACACTATTCTCCTGCCTCAGCCTCCTGAGTAGCTGGGACCACAGGCGCCTGCCACCACGCCCGGCTAATTTTTTTTTTTTTTTTTTTTTTGTATTTTTAGTAGAGACGGGGTTTCACTGTGTTAGCCAGGATGGTCTCCATCTCCTGACCTTGTGATCCGCCCGCCTCGGCCTCCCAAAGTGCTGGGATTACAGGCGTGAGCCACTGCGCCCGGCCTATATAGAATATTTTTTAAGTGAGAAGGTAATCATAATGTGTCATTACAAAAAAATCACACATAAAGGCAGTAATGGAAAAAATGAGGAAGAAATAAATATAAGGTATACAGAAAACAAAATGGCAGAAGTACTTTCCTATCAATAATTACTTTATATATAAATGGATTAAACTCCCCAAATAAAAAAATAGATTACCTGAATGGATAAAAACAAAACAAAAAGATTGAACTATATGCTGTCTACAAGAGGCTCGCTTTATATATAATCACACTCATAGTTTGAAAATAAAAGGATGGAAAAAGACAGTCTATGAAAATACTAACCAAATGAGAGGAGAGGTGGCTACAGTAATATCAGATAAAATGGGATTTACATTAAAAGCAGTTTCTTACAAGACTAAACAAACTCTTATTATATGATCCAGCAATCCTACTACTTGGTATTTATCCAAAAGTGTTGAAAACGTATGCTGACACAAAAATCTGCCTGCAGATGTTTATATCAGCTTTATTCATAATTGTCAAAACTTAGAGGCAACAATATTGTCCTTCAGTAGGTAAATGGATAAATAAACTGTGGCATATCCAGATAATGGAATATCATTTAGTGCTATACATAAATTAGCTTTCATAGAATGAAAAGTCATAGTAGAATCTTAAATGCATATTGCTAAGAAAAAGAAGTAAATGTAAAAAGGCTGCATACTGTCTGATTCCAACTATATGACATTTTGAAAGGAGAAAAATTATGTAGAGAGTAAAATGATCAGTGGTTGTTGGGGATTGTGGTGATGAAATGATTAATAGCCAGAACACAGAGGATTTTTATGGCAGTAAAATAGTTCTGCATAATGCTATCATGGTAGTTATATTAATATATATTTTTGAAAACCTATACAATGTACACCAACAGTGTACCTTAATATAAACCATGGCCATTTGATGATAAGGATGTATAAATATAGGCTAATAAAGTGTAAAAAAATAACACTTTGGTGCAGGTTGTTGATAGTGAGAAAGGTTGATCATTATTGGGGACAGGAGGTATATAGTACCTACCACCTAATCTTGCTATCAACCTAAGACTGCTCTAAAAAGTGTAGTTTATTAATTCTACAAAAGTCATTAGACAAAGAGTAAATTTGAAAGCAACAATTTACTGCACAGCAAAGAGAGAGGCAAAATATCTATAATATTCAGAAATTGTTCATGAGATGAAAAGAAGAAGGCACAAAATAATAGAAGAAAATGTACAGAAGCTATAAGCAGTGATAATAATTTGTTTGTCCATTAGTGGTCAGATTAATATAGGCTCAAATTGTAAATGGTCAGGTCTAGGTACATGGTTTGATATAGTGTCTCTGAAATCCCATTCTGAATTTAGCCAGAGGAAGAGAGGATTTAAAAAGTGACCTAAGATCCATTTCTCTCCTGTTCCAGAGAGAAGACCCAGAAAAATAATTGAGGAATGTCAACAGATATTATTTTTTAAAAAGTTGTGGTATTAGATCCAAATATCTGAGCAGAGATAAATAAATGTCATTAGTGAAACTTCTAGGTAGAAATAATTTTGATTGTTTAATAAACAGCTTTCTTCAAAATTTAGCAGGTCTCTTTGATTATTCTGCTGTGACCTGTATAGATGCAAAAGCTTTTGGAGATGATGAATTTGACAAATAAAACAAAATATAATTACACACAAACCACATGTACATACACAAACATACATCATATATGCTATGAATTATATATGTAAATACATACACACATATATATATATATACCTATATATGATGTGAATTTGTGTATGACCTGGACAATTTTAAACTCTCAAGTAGTCACGCAACTATTTTAAAACCTGGAAATTAAAAATTGTTTAACACTTACATGAAATAAGTGTTGAATAGATATAGGGTGATTTTCTTTCTTTAAAAAGTGATTCTATATCTAACATCAATTATAGTCTAAATTTCAAAATGAATATGTGCTTTTTTCATAATGTTTTTCCCATTTTTAATTTTCTTTCACCAATTTTTCACGGCATTGTCTATATTATAACTTCTCACATATTACGCTCATTTTTATCTTTTGATAATTTCTCCTGTTTTGCAATTTTTTCTCTTCTGTATTATATATTCCTTAATACAATATACATTTAGAACATTATACTTCTGATTATTTAGTCAGATAGCTCTTCTTCCTCAAAGCATACAAGAATGTAGCTTGTGAGTAGATGTGAACACCAAAAAACTAGTTAATGCAGAATTTCCTCTGAAAACTAAATGTTTATAAAGTGAAGGCTTATGCTAGTAAATTTAAACTCGAAGACTAGCACATTTAAAAGGAAAAATGTTTAAATTTTATTTAATAGCTAGATGCATATTTCTAGTTTTTTAGTGAATTTGATTTAATTTAGAGAAAATGACAAATTTTCTTTTTATGTGTGATAGCTAGAAGTGACAATTCAACACATAGCAATAATGATACTATAGGCTTTTCAGCTAGGAATCATAGAATAGCAGAGAAGGAAGCTTTCATTTACGCCAAGATAATTTCAACTCCTCACAGAAAATATTTATTCTTCTGTCAAGCTTACCTAGTTTATATACAGAACTAAAAACTTATCTAATTAAAATGAATTAATAAGTTCTTTCTATTCATTAAAAGAGATTCCTAAAAAGAACTATGTTCAAGAGAAAATTATTCCTACCCAATTCAAGAGCTAATGAAAATGCAAAGCTTTTGATTTCACTCCTTTGAGCTGTCAGAAGTGACAGAATGATGAGGCATATGATTCACAAACAGCATCAAACTGGGCTCTGAAATAAAACTGGCTGTTCCCCGGAATATACATAAATTAGTGTTTGATATTACACAGAATAAATTCAATAATGAAAGGCATTCCAAAAATCATAAGAGTGAAAACACTTATGAAAAACGCCAGTCAAATTTGCAATTAGGATTGCACATCCTCCTTGAAATACATGCAATTCACAATTGTGCTTAAAATATAGCAAATTGTTTTCCTTGATTGAAGTAAGGTGCCAAATTGAAATCGCAAGAGTAAGGTGACAAACTGAAATAGCCATTTGCAAAATGTGAGTTCTCCGCAATATGACAGTGGAAATGAAGGGAATGGAAACATAATTTAAAAAGAGGGTTCGTGAAGTTCACACACTAACCAAAACTGGCAACATTTAGTCTTCAGAAATTAAATACAAACAGCTCTACTATGAGACACAATATTTTTGCTGAAGCCTACAGTAAAAATAATTTTCTAATAAAAATATATTGATGTAACTTTTCATATTCAAAGACTATGCAATTTCAAAAGTATTCTAGCAAAAATGCAATTTTTTTCCTAAGGAAAGCACAGTCATGTAGAGGTGATAATATGCCGTATCTCTCAAACGCCAAGAATTTTTAAAATCTCATGAAATTCCTGAAATAGAAAAAAATTACCTGCCAAATTTGAATTATCAAATTGGTTTAATTGACTAAACTACCCCAAACAAGAATGTTGTGAGAAAAATTTAGGCAGAATATGAGGGATTCTGTAATGTTAAGTAAAATACCTGAGCAAGTAGAGAACATGATTATAGTGGAAATATTTGTCAGTGATGGGAATTTAAATGTGTACTCCACTCGTCTGAAATATTAAAATTCAAAAATTAAAAATACGTGAAGCTTCAACCTTAAACTAGTAAGAAGAGTACAAATTAAACACATAGTAAATAGAAGAAATGAAATAATATGGATCATTATGGAAACCAATAAAATAGAAAACAGGAAAAAATGGTACAGAAAATCAATGAAACCAAAAGCTATTTTTAAGATCAATAAATCTGATCAAATTACAGCAAGATTGATCAGAGAAAAAATACATATGATATAACTTACCAATATCAGGGAGTGAGAAGATAGCAAGAAAATAGGAATATTAAAAATATAAGATAATATGATGAACACATTTCTGCCAAAAATGACAACTTACATGAAATAGGCAAATTATTTGCAAGACACAAACCAACAAGACAAATCAAGAAGAAATAAAGTGAATAGCACTATATTTACAAGAGATATTAAATTTGTAGCTAATTCTCCAGTACTTCCGCTCTTATTTAACATTATGATCTCCAGTTCCATTTATATTGTTGCAAATGACTGAATCTCATTCTTATTTGTAATTAAATAGTACCCTATTGTGAATCTTTACATTTTATTTATCCATTCACCTTTTTTTATTTTGATGAACACATACATTACTTGCAAATCTTCGCTATTGTAAGCAGTCTTGCAACAAACATAGAAGTGCAGATATCTCTTTGATATACTGATTTTCTTGTTTGGGAGTACGCCCATGGGATTGCTGGATTATATACTAGCACAATTTTTAGTTCTTTGAATAACCTCCAAACTTTTCTCCATAGTAGTTTTATTAATTTACCTTCCCACCAACAGTGTAGAAGGGTTTTTTTTTTTTTTTCTTTTTCTCCACATCCTCATCAGCATTTGTTATTGCCGGATTTTTAGATATAAGCCATTTTAACTGGGGTAAGAAAATATTTTATTTTAGTTTTGATTTGCATTTCTCTGATGATCAATGATGTTGAGCACCTTTTCATATGTCTGTTTGTCATTTGTATGTCTTCTTTTGAGAAATGTCCATTCAAATATTTTGCCCATATTTGATCACATTATTAGATTTTTTCCTATAGAGCTGTTGGAGCTCCTTATATATTCTGGATACTTATTCCTTATTAGATGGGTAGTTTATCAATATTGTCTCCCAATCTGTGGATTGTCTCCTCACTTTGTTGATTGTATCCTTTACTATGTGGAAGCTTTTCACTTCATGTGATACCAGTTGTCTATTTTTGTTTGGTTGCCTGTATTTATGGGGTATTGCTCAATAAATTTTTGCCCATACCAGTGTCTTGGAGATTTTCCCTCATGTTTTATTGTAGTGGTTTCATTGTTTGGGGTCTAGATTTAAATATTTAATCCATTTTGATTTGATTTTTCTATATGGAGATAGATAGGGGTTGAGTTTCAGTCTTCTGCATATGGATATCCAATTTTCCCAACACTATTTATTAAAGAGACTGTCTTTTCCCAGTGTATGTTCTTGGCACTTTTGTCAAAAACAAGTGCACTGTAGGTGTATGGATTTATTTGTGGGTTCTCTATTCAGTTACATTGGTCTATGTTTCTGGTTTTTTTTATGACAATAGCATGCTGTTTTGCTTAGTATGGTTCCACAGTATAATTTTAAGTAAGGCAATATAATTCCTCCAGTTGTGTTATTTTTCCTTAGGATAACATTGTCTGTTCTCAGTGTTTTGTGGTTCTTTATGAATTTTAGATTTTTTTTTTCTATTTCTGTGAAGCATATAATAGGTATTTTAACAGGAATTGAATTGAATCGTAGATAGCCATGGGCCATACTAACATTTTAACAATATTAATTTTTCTAATGAATGGACATGAAATATTTTTCTGCCTTTTGGTGTCCTCTTCAATTTTTTTTTACTAGTGTTTGACAGTTTTTTTTATTATTATTTTTACATGACAGTTTTCATTATAGAGATTTTTTTCATTTTTTTGGGTAATCCCTAAATAGTTAATATAATGTGGCTATTGTAAGTGGGGTTACTTTTTTTTAACTTCATTTTTATGGTGTTCACTGTTGGCATATAAAAATGCTCCTGACTTTTCTATGTTGCTTTTGTATTCTGAAACTTTACTGAATTTGCAGTAGTTTTCTTGCTGAGTCTTCAGCCTTTTCCAAATATAAGATTATATCATCTGCAACCAAGGGTAATTTGACTTTTTCCTTTTCTAATTGCATGCCCTTAATATTGTTCTCTTGTTTGATTACTCTAACTAGAACTTCCAATGCTATGTTGAATAACAGTGGTGACATTGGTCAACCTTGTCATGTTCCAGATCTTAGAGGAAAGGCTTTCAGTTTTTGTCATCAAGTATAATTCTACCTGTGGATTTCTTATATAGGCTTTTATTATGTTGAGGGTTGTTCTTTCTATCCCCAGCTTTTTGAAGGTTTTTATCATGAAATAATGTTGGATAGTATCAAACACTTTTTTAGCATCAATTGAAATGGCCTTATGGCTATTATCCTATATTCTGTTTATATAATATATCAAATTGATTGATTTCATGTTTTGAACCATTCTTACATCCCAGGCATAAATTACTCTTGGCCATCATAAATGATATTTCTGATATATTGTTTAATTTGTTTAGACAGTATTTCATTTAAAATTTTTTGCATAAATATTCATCAGATATTTTGGCCTCTAACTTTTTTGTTGTTGTTGTTAAGTGTCTTCATCCGGTTTTGGTATCAGGGTAATACTGGCCTCATATAATAAGTTTGGAAATATTCCCTCCTCATCTATTTCTCAGAATAGCCTTAGTAGGGTTGGTATTAGTGCTTCTTTAAATGTTTGGTAGAATTCAGCATTGAAGTCATCAGGTCTTGGGCTTTCTGCTACCAGGAGGCTTTTTAATAGGGCTTCAATCTCATTACTTGATATCAGTTTTGTCAAGTTTTAGATTTTTTCATTGTTCATGATTGGTAGGTTGTATTTATTTAGGAATTTATTCATTTCTTTTAGATTTTCCAATTTATTGAAATATAGTTGCTCATAGTAGCCACCAATAATCCTTTGAATTTCTGCAAAATCTGCTATAATGTCTCCTTTCTTATTTCTGATTTTATTAGTTCCTTTCTGGTTTTTTGCTGTTGTTGTTGTTAGTCTGTCTAAAGGTTTGCCAATTTTTTTAATTTTTCAAAAAACCAACTATTTTTTATTGGTCTTTTGTATTTTTATTTCAATTTCATTTTTCTGCTGTTATTATTTTTTTCTTCTAGTATTTTTGGATTTGGTTTCCTCTAGCTTTTCTAATTTTTTAAGATGTATTGTTAAATGGTTCATTTGAAGTTTTTCCTCTTGTTTAATGTAGGCACTTACAGACATAAACTTCCCTCTTAGTACTACTGGTTTTGCTGTATTCCATAGGTTTTGGTATGTTGTTATAATTGTTATTTGTTTCTAGAAATTGTTCAATTTTCTTCTTAATTTCTTTTTTCTCTACTTGTCATTCAGTAGCATACTTTTGATTTTTATGTATTTATATGGTTTCCAAAATTCCTCTTGTTTAAAATTATTAGTTTTATTCTATTGTGGTCAGAGATTATGCCCAATATTATTTCAATGCTTTTAATGTTTTAGGACTTGTTTTGTTACTTGTGGACTATCCATGAGAATGATCCATGTGCTGAGGAAAATAAAGTGTATTCCACAGCTATTGGATAAAATTTTCTGTAAATGTCTATTCTAGTCATTTGGTTGATAGTGAAGATGAAGTCTTATGATTCTTTTTTGGTTTTCTTTATGAAAGATCTGTCCAATGATGAAAACATGGTGTTGAAGTCTTTAGCTATTATTGTATTGGAGCCTATCACTCCCTTTAGCTCTAATAATATTTGCTTTTTATATCTGAGAATCCAGTGTTGAATGCATATGTATGTAAAATTGCTATATTCTCTTGCTTCATTGACCCTTGTATCATTAGACAATGACCATCTTGGTCTCTGATAGTTTTTGCCTTGCAATATAGCTTGACTGAGATAAGTATAGCAACTCTTGCTCTTCATCCCTTTATTTGCAGTCTACCTAAGTCTTTATAGTCAAACTGTATTTCTTTTAGGCAACAAATCAATGATTCTTGTTCTTTTATCTATTTAGACAGTCTGTGCATTTTATTGGAGAGTTTAGTTCATTTACATTTAATGTTATGATTGATAAGTATGGACTTACTCTTTCCATTTTCTTCTTTGTTTTCTGATTGTTTTGTGGTCTTCTCTTCCTACTTTCTATTCTTTCTTCCTCTAGTGCAGATGATTTTTCTGGTGATATGAGTTAGCTTATTGCTTTTTATTTTTTATGAATCTATCATATGTCTTTTTCATTTAAAGTTACCATGTGGCTTACAAACACTACCTTATATCCCACTATTTTTACCTGATAACAACAACACTGTTTGCATAAAAAAATCAATCTAAAAAGAAAGCATGAAAACTCTATACCTTAACTTTGTCCCTGTGCTTTTTAACTTTTTGTTGTTTCTATTTATATCTTATTGTATTGACTGTGCCTTGAAAAGTTGTTGTAGTTATTTTATTTTTTATTGGTTTATTCTTTAGTCTTTCTACTTAGGATAAGAGACATTTATACACTACAGTTCCAATGTTATAATATTCTGTATTTTTTGTAGTCATTATTACCAGGGAGTTTTGTACCTTCAGGTAATTATTCATTGCTCATTAGTATTCTGGTTTTCTGATTGAAGTACTTCCTTTAGAATTTCTTATAATACAGATCTGGGATTAAGAAAATCCCTCAGCTTTTCTTTGTCTAGGAAAGTATTTCTCATTCAAGTTTAAAAAACATTTTTGCCAGATATACTATTCTACGGTAACAGATTTTTATTCCTTCAGCACTTTAAATATGTTGTGCCTTTCTCTCCAGGCTTGTAAGGTTTCCACTGAAAAGTCTACTGCCCAACTTACTGGAGCACCATTGGATGCTATTTGTTTATTTTCTTTTGGTGCATTCAGAACTCTTTCCTTATCCTTAACATTTAGGAATTTAATTAAAAGTTTTGAAGTACTCTTCTTTTGATTAAATCTTCTTGGTGTTCTATAACCTTCTTAACCTTCTTATACTTTGGTATTAATACCTTTTTCTAGATTCAGCAAGTTTTGTGTTATTATCCCTTCGAATAAGCTTTCTACCCCTATGTTTATCACTACCTCCTTTTTAATGACAATAACTTTTAGATTTGCCATTTTGCGGTTGTTTTCTAGATGTTGAAGGTGTACTTCATTGTTTTTATTCTTTTTGCTTTTGTCCCCTTTTACTATGTATTTTTAAATAGCTTGTTTTCAAACTTACTAATTCTTTCTTCTGCTTGAGCAATTCTGCTATTAAAGGACTCAGGCATTCTTCTGTATGCCATTGCATCTTATAGCTCAAGTATTGCTGCTTGATTCTTTCTAATTATTATTATTTATTTGTTAAATTTATCTGATGGGATTCTGAATAGCTTCTTTGTGTTACTTTGAATTTCCTTAGTTTCCTCAACACTACTATTTTCAATTCTCTGTACATATTTTTTTCTTATATCCAGGATTGATCCCTGGTGCCTTACTTAGTGCATTGGGTGACGTCATGTTTTTCTGAATGGCATTGATGCTAGTAAATGTTCTTCGGTGTCTGGGCATTGTAGAGTTAGGTGTTTATTGTAGTATTCACTGCATGGGCTTGTTTGTGGTTATTCTTCTTGGAAATGCTTTCCAGATATTTGAAAGGACTTGAGTGCTGTAATTTTAACTGTATCTACTTTAGGGGTCATTCCAATCCCAGTAATGCTGTGGTTCTTGCATACTCATAGAGGTACAACCTTGATGGTTTTGGACAAGATTGGGAAGAATTCTCTGAATTACCGGAGCATGACTCTTGTTCTCTTTCCTTACTTTCTCCAAAACAGAGTCTCTCTCTCTTTCCATTCTGAGCCATCTGAAGCTACAGTTGAAGTGACACTAGCATTCATGTAGCCTCCACTGCTATAACTGTGCTTGATGAGAACTGAAGCCTGCACAGCACTGGGTCTCACACATGGCCTGCTGTAACCGCTCCCTGGCTACTGCTTATGTTTGCTCAAGGCTCAGTGGTTCTGCAATTAGCAGGTGGAAAAGCCAGAATGGGCTCTGTACTTCTCATTAGGGTGGCAAGATTTCCTAGGTCCCTGGTAAGTCCAGAGGTGCTGGAAGTCAGAGACTAGAGTAAAAACCTTATAATTCTCCCTGATGCTCTATTATATTGTAGCTGAGTTGGCACTCAACTACAACATGAAGTCCTTTCCACTCTTCCCTCCCCTTTCCAAAGGCAGAGGAGCACCACACCATAGTCACTGTCACCCCAGGCCATAAGGAGTACTGCCAGATTATCATTGAGGTTTTCTTAGGGCCCAAGGTCTCTTAAGTCAGCTTGTCATAAATGCTGCCTGGGTTGGGACTCACCCTTCATTTAGTGAGCTTCTGGTCCAGCGTAAGTCCAGAAATGCTTTCCAAGAATCAAGTTATGGAATTTGGAACCCCAAGAGCTTGCTTGGTGCTCTAGCCTCCTGTGGTTGTGCTGGTACCTAAGGGGCAAGACGAAGTCCCTTTTACTTTTACCTTTGCTTTTCACAAGCAGAAAGAGTTTTGCCACTGGTGGTAATGTGCTGAGCCTCACCTGAAGCCACCAAGTGTCAGAGGCTCACCTAAGGCCTTTAACATAGTACCTGGGTATCACTGTGAGTTATTCAGAGCCTAAGAGCTCTTCAGTTAATGGGTGATAATGCTGCGAGGACTGGGTCTTTTCCTTCAAGGAAGCAGATTCCCTTTGGCCCAGTGTCTAGAAATGCTGTCTGAGAGCTAGAGCCTAGAACAGAGGCCTAATGAATCCGATCAGTGCCCCATTTTTCTGTGGCTGAGCTGGTATCCTAAATGCAAAACAAAGTCCTTCCAACTCTTCCCTCTCCTCTCCTCCAGTGGAAAAAAGAGGTCGCTTTTGGAGCCATGAGCTGCACAGCCTGGGGTTAGGGGAAGGTGATTCCAGCACTCCCTTGGTTGATTCAGCTATTGTGTCAGTATGTTGTGTGCCTCCCAGTCTGTCTCTGGGCCTAGTTCAGCACTAGGACTCAAAGAATGATTGCAATTTTTATGGCCCAAACTGTTTTTCAAGTTTACTTGCAAACAAACAGTACTGTAGTCCTAGGTGGTGTGGTTTTCAGGCATTCAAGTTCAGACTGCTGGAATTGGCAATTCCCATCTGCTAGGGCTGGTTTAAATGCTCCCTCCATTAGCTGAGTTTGGCATGGTTTTTCTTTCTGCTCTAACAGGACAGCACTGAGTTCAATGTCTCACATGTTGTGTTCTCTCTCCCTCAGTACCCAGAGATGCTCTCCACACCACACCACTGCTGCCAGAGAGTGAAGAAGAGGTGGCGTTGGTGATTAAGGACTTCTTCTATTTCTTCAGTTCTTCTTTCAGCAATATAAAACTAAAACCAGGTACTATAAGTAGTCACCATTAGGTTCTCATGAAGGTGTTTTTTATGTGTAGATACTTGTTAACTTAGTGTCTTTGCAGAAGGAAAAGTTAGTGAAGCCTTATATTCCATCATCTTGTTCCACCTCCTAGCAGATCTCTTTTGGTTACTCTTTACATAGAATATTATTTTTTCTATTTTTTTATTTTCAATATATTTGTGTCTTTGTTTCTAAAATGTGTCTCTGTAGACAGTATATTATTGGATCTTCCCCTTTTATCAATTCCCCTAGTCTCTATCTTCTATTTGAATTTATTCAATTTTCATTTAAAGTAAGGTGAAAGGAAGAGATTTATGCCATTTTTCTATATGGTTTTTAAGTGTTTTCCATATTTTTTGCCTTCAATTCATCAAATGACACTCTTTTGTGTGTTTGATGTTTGATTGATGTTTCTTTCTAATGTGTTTTCTTTTTATTATTTCCTTCTCATTTTGTTTTCTTTATATTTTTTAGTTGTTTACTTGCTGAAGATTACCATTGGCATCTTAAATTTACAGTAAACTAATTTGAATTTATACCCACTTATATTCAATAGTATACAAACACTTTGGTTTAATATAGTTTGCTTCCTTGTATCCTTGTACATTATTGGTATCACAAATTTCAACTTTGTATATTGCATGGTTATTATTATACATGTATAGTTATCACTTGTTGAATTTTTTTAATAAGAAACTACATGGCAAAGATACTTATTCCAATAGTTACCTAGGTAGTACCTTTACTGGATGTATTTGTTCGTTCTCACACTACTATAAAGAAAGTACCTGAGACTGGGTAATTTATAAGCAAAGAAGGTTAATTGACTCACTGTTCCACATGGCTATGAGGCCTCAGGAAAGTTACAATTATGGCAGAAAGGGAAACAGGTACATATTACATGACGGCAGGTGAGAGAGAGCAAACAAGAGTAGGAAAAACTGTCTTACAAAACCATCAGATCTTGTGAGAACTCACTCGCTATTATGAGAACAGCATGGGGTAAATCACCCCCATGATCCAATCACCACCCAACTGGTCCCTTCCTTGATATGTGGGGATTATGAGGATTACAATTCAAGAAGAGTTTGGGGGAGGGTACATAGATCCAAACCATATTATTCTACAACTGGCCCTTCACAAATCACAAATCCTCACATTCCAAAATACACTTATGCCTTCCCCTCAGTTCCCCAAAGTCTAATCTTTGGACTGTGGAATTTTGGGTTAATGCTGGAATGAGTTAAGACAAGACAAGTCTCTTCCACCTAGGAGCTTGTAAAATAAAAAGAAAGTTAGTTACTTCCAAGATACAATGAGGGTACAGGCATTGGATAAGTGTTCCCATTCCAAATAGGAGTAATTGGTCAAAACAAAGAGGCTGCAGGCCCCATGCAAGTCTGAAACCAACTGGGGCAGACATTAAATCTTAAAGCTCCAAAATAATTTCTCTTGACTCCATGTCTCACATCCACAGAACACTGATGCAAAAGGTGGGCTACTATGGCCTTGGACAGCCCTGCCCCTGTAGCTTTGCAGAATATAACTTTCTGCCCTGGCCGCTTTTGTGGCTGGTATTGAGTGTCTGTGGCTTTTCCAGGTACACAGTGCAAGCTGTCAGTGGATCTACTGTTCTGGGGTCTGGAGGGCAGTGGCCCTCTTCTCTCAGCTCCACTAGGCCCCAGTGGGGACCGTGTGTGGAAGCTACAACCCCACATTTTCCCTTTGCATTGCCCTAGCAGAGGTTCCCCATGAGGGATTTGCCCCTGCAGCAGACTTCTGCCTGGTCATTCAGGCCTTTTCATACATCTTCTGCTATCTAGGTAGATGTTCCCAAACCTCAATTCTTGACTTCTGTGCATCTGCAGACCCAATGCCGTGTGGAAGCCACTAAGGCTTGAGGCTTGCACCCTCTGAAGCAATGGCCTAAGCTGTACCTTGGCCCCTTTTAGCCAGGACTGGAGCTAGAGTAGCTGGGACATAGGGCACCAAGTCCCAAGGCTGCACAGAGCAGGGACGCCTGGGACTGGGCCATGTAACCATTTTTCCCTCCTAGGCCAGTGGGCCTCTGATTAGAGAGGCTGTTGACAAGATCTCTGACATGCCCTGGAGACATTTTTCCCATTGTCTTGGTGATTAACATTTGGCTACTTGTTATTTATGCAAATTTCTGCAGCAGGCTTGAATTTCTCTCCAGAAAATGGGTTTTTCTTTTCTATTGCATCATCAGGCTGCAAATTTTCCAAATTTTTATGCTCTGCTTCCCTTTTAAATATAAATTCCAATTTCAAATCATTTCTCTGAAGTTCAAAGTTCCACAGATTTCTAGGGTAGGGGCAAAATGCCACCAGTGTCTTTGGTAAAGCATAGCAAGAGTGACCCTCACTCCATTTTTCAACAAGTTTCTCATCTCCATCTGAGACAACCTCAGCCTGGACTTCATTGTCCATATTACAATTAGCATTTTGATTAAAACTAACAAGTCTCTAGGAAGTTCCAAACTTCCCCACATCTTCTTGTCTTCTTCTCAGCCCTCTAAACTGTTTCAACTTCTGCCTGTTTCCCAGTTCCATAGTTGCTTCCACATTTTTGGGTATCCTTATAGCAGTGCCACACTCTCTGTGGTACCAATTTCCTGTATTACTTCATTCTCACACTGCTATAATGATACTATCCAAGACTGGGTAATTTATAAACAAAGGAGGTTTAATTAACTCACAGTTCTGTATGGCTGTGGAGGCCTCAGGAAACTTATAATTATGGTAGAAGGGAAAGCAACCACGTCTTACATGGCATCAGGTGAGATAAAGTGAGCAAGAGCAGGGAAAACTGCCTTATAAAAGTATCAGATCTTGTGAGAAGTCAGTCACTATCAGGAAAACAGCATGAGGGAAATAGGCCCTCATGAACCAATCATCAGGTGCCTCCCCCAACACTGGGAATTACAAATCAACATTAGATTTGGGTGGAGACAAAAAGGGAACCCACATTACTAGTTATAATAATGCATGAATCTATCTTAACAGCCTAGAATGAAAGATTGTCCTGCTGGCTTTAAAGAAGTTATCTGCTGTGTTGTTAAAAGGCCTGTGAACACCTGTAAGAGCTGAGAGCAGCCCTCAGCTCACATTCAATAAGAAAATAGGAATCTCAGTACTACAACCCAATGAAACTGAATACTTTCACCAATCTGAAGGAGCTTAGAAGAGGGCCACAAGCACAGGAAACATAACCTAACTAACATACCTTAATTACAGCCTCGTGAGACCTTGAGCAGAGGACTCAGCTAAGCAATTTCACCATTCCTGATCCAAGGAAACAGTGGACTAATAAATGTAATGTTTTAACTAAGTTTGTGGTAATTTATTAGGTTGTAACCAAAAAAAAAAAACCTGGTATAATGTCCTCTTTGAAATTTTTAATATTTAGTTATATTTATTTATACATATATAATTTACAGAACACATAATATAATTATAATATATATCCCCTTTTTCTTTTATAACAGTCTACATTTTATTTGTTTGCTTTATTTTCTTTTCTGTTTTCTATCACTCCTCTTTATCAATCTATATTAACCTCACTCCAAAGGTGAAATTCTAATTCATAATTTTTAACAACTGTATAATATTAATAATATAAATATAATATTTTTGTGTGCTTATCCATTTAGATTTTTCATCTGTAAAATTCTCATTTATATAATTTGTTCATTGTTCTATTCTATAAAATTTTCCTTGTAAATCTCTAACAACCCTTTTTTAATGAATAGGACACATTTTCTATCAACATTATAAGTACATCCTTCAAAATCCATAGATTATTTACTAACATTATGGTAACATTTTATGTACAACAGTTTTAATTTTTTTGTATATTCAAATATATCTGATTTTGATTTTTTAAATATTTTTTGAAGGTTCTGAATTCTAGTATTGATCAAAAAATCACCCCAGCATCTCAGCTAGATTATAAAATGTGTATTAATTATTAGTAATAATATTTTGATACACATTCAATCTGGAATGTATTTGAATATTATATATCTACTAGAAGCTTCACTACAATGCTAAATGACGCTGACAAGCTTTGTATCTGTGCTAGTACTCATGCTATCACTAAATAGTTTAACTTCTGTTCTCATTTTGCTTAGAGTCATTAAAAATGGCTATTGTATTATTTCATACAGCTTTAAACAATATTGATGAAATTATACGTGTGTATATATATACCTATAGTCATGCATTAATTAGAGACATGAATATGTTCTGATAAATGCATCACTAGGCAATTTTGTTGTGCATACTTCATAGACTGTACTTACACAAACCTAGTTGGTATACCCTACTACACATGGGGACTATATGTAATAGCATATTTCTCCTATGCTACAAACCTTTAGAAAATATTAGTGTACTCAATACTGTAGGAAATTATAGCAAAATGCTCAGAATTTGTGTATGTAAACATCTAAACAATGAAAATGTACAGTAAAATAATATATAAGTGATAAAATATGGTATACTTACATAGGGCATGTTCCATGAATGGAGCTTACAGGATTGAAATTTTCTCTGTGTGAGTCAGTAAGTGAGTAGTAAGTGAATGTAAAGGCCTAGGATATTACTGTACACTCCTGTAAATGTTATAAACACTGTACACTTAGGCTGCAGTAAATTTATAAATTTTTTTCCTTTAAATAATTAATTTTAGCTTATTAAATTTTCTTTATAAAATGTTTAATTTTTTTAACTTTTGGATTCTTTTTGACTGTACATTCATGAACTGCATAATGAAAGTCAGTCAACAATAAACTGCATTTATGATGGGTGGGTCCCATAATATTATGATTTTCTAATGTCATAATTTTGAACAACCCATCTATGCTCAGAGGAGGGAAGGGGAGGCCTACTTGATCTTAGTAAATTTTTATTTTAATATACTGCGGGAGTCTGTTTCATGCATTTTATATATAATTGTTGTTTCTACATTCATAAAGAAGAGTACCTTCAAGTTTTTAAATTATTTCAATGTTTTATTATTAATGTTATTTTTGCTTCATACTACTTTATTTTTTGTTAGCTTATCATAAAATTTTTAATAATATTTGAATTATTTTCTATGTAAATTTTAGATAGAAGTATACTTGGAACATATCTTACCTTGATGTATTATTTAATGGCAGACACTCAAATTTTTTAACAATTTATTTTATGATAATGTATCCAAATAAATGTTTTACATCTCCAAGGGCAATTTTGGAAGATTACATTTTGATAAAAAGTAGCCTGTTTTCTCTATACTTTTGATTTACTTGTACATAGTAGCATGTGGTATTTTCTTGTTATTATTTTCATATTTTCACGTAAATGTGTTATTGCTCTTTTTTAGTGTTTACTTACATGTTTAGCTCTTATATTGTGTTAATCTGGCTCATAAAGCATTTATTATATTTTTCAATGAATAAATTAGAGTGTGTTTTATCACAATAAAACCCTAGAAAGCAGTAATTCAAGTTGTCAGTGCTGCCAAATTAGCTCCAATGTATAATAACTTGGAATATCATTAGGTGAAAAATCACATTTAACTCTCAATTGTTTGATTAGTGTCTGCATATTGATATATCAGAAAAAATGCTATTAATCAAAATGCTTGAACCCATGTTTAGAACCACACAGTTTTCCTGAGAATCTCTTAATTCAAAGTGTCTTTTTTCACTTTGGAATTTGTTTCTCAATTTCACATTAGTACTGTATTAGTCCTTTTTCACACTCCTGATAAAGACATATCCGAGATTTGGAAGAAAAAGAGGTTTAATTGGACTTACAGTTCCACATGGCTGGGGAGGCCTCAGAATCATGGAATAAGGCCAAAGGCACTTCTTACATCATGGCAGCAAGAGAAAATGAGGAAGAAGCAAAAGTGGAGGCCGGGAGCGGTGGCTCACGCCTGTAATCCCAGCACTTTGGGAGGCCGAGGCGGGCGGATCACGAGGTCAGGAGATCGAGACCATCCCGGCTAAAACGGTGAAACCCCGTCTCTACTAAAAATACAAAAAATTAGCCGGGCGTAGTGGTGGGCGCCTGTAGTCCCAGCTACTTGGGAGGCTGAGGCAGGAGAATGGCGTGAACCCGGGAGGCGGAGCTTGCAGTGAGCCGAGATCCCGCCACTGCACTCCAGCCTGGGCGACAGAGCGAGACTCCGTCTGAAAAAAAAAAAAAAAAAAAAAAGTGGAAACCCTTGATAAATCCATCAGATCTCATGAGCCTTATTCACTATCATGATAATAGCATGGAAAAAACCAGACCCTGTGATTCAGTTGTCTCACCCTGCATCCCTCCCACATCATGTGGGAATTCTGGGAGATACAATTCAAGATTAGATTTGAATGGGAACACAGACAAACCATATTATTCCGCCCCGACCCCTCCAAATCTCATGTCCTCACATTTCAAAATCAATCATGCTTTCCCAACAGTGCCCCAAAGTCTTAACTCATTTCAACATTAACCCAAAAGTCCACAGTCCAAAGTCTCATCTGAAAAAAGTCAAGTCCCTTCCACCTATGAGCCTGTAAAATCAAAAGCAAGTTAGTTACTTCCTAGACACAATGCGGTTACAGGTATTGGGTAAACACAGCTGTTTCAAATGGGAGAGATTGGCCAAAACAAAGGGGCTACAGGCCCCACGCAAGTCTAAAATCCAGCGGGACAGTCAAATTTTAAAGCTCCAAAATGATCTCTTTTGACTCCAGGTCTCATATCCAGGTCACACTGTTGCAAGAGGTGAGTTCCCATGGTCTTAGGCAGCTCCACCCCAATGACTTTGCAGGGTACAGCCTTTCTCCTGGCTGCTTTCATGTTGTGGTGTTGGGTGTCTGTGGCTTTTCCAGGTGCAGTGTGCAAGCAGTCAGTGAATATACCATTGTAGGGTATGGAGGACAGTTGCCCTCTTCTCACAGCTCCGCTAGACAGTGCCCCAGTAGGGACTTCGTGTGGGAGCTCCTACCCTACATTTCCCTTCTGCACAGCCCTAGCAGAGGTTCTCCATGAGGGCCCCGCCCCTGCAGCAAACTTTTGCCTGGGCATCCAGGCGTTCCCATACATCTACTGAAATCTAGGCCGAGGTTACCAAACCTCAGTTCTTGACTTCTGTGCACCTGCTGGCTCAACACCACATGGAAGCTGCCAAGGCTTGGGGCTTCCACCCTCTGAAACCACAGTCCCAGCTGTACATTGGCCCCTTTCACCTATAGCTGGAGCAGCTGGGACACAAGGCACCAAGTCCCTAGGCTGCACATAGCATGGGGACCCTGGGCAGGGCCCACAAAACCACTTTTTCCTGCAGGGCCTCTGGGCCTGTGAATGGAAGGGGCTGCTGTGAAGGTCTCTGAAATGGCCTGGAGGCATTTTCCCCATGGCCTTG
Organism: Homo sapiens; assembly: GCF_000001405.40. NCBI lineage: Eukaryota > Metazoa > Chordata > Mammalia > Primates > Hominidae > Homo > Homo sapiens. Next base: position 94,621,656 of record NC_000023.11, read on the forward strand.
GGGATTAACATTAGGCTCCTTGCTCCTTATGCAAACTTCTGCAGCCTGTTTGAATTTTTCCTCAAAAAAATGGGTTTTTCTTTTCTACTCCTTCATCAGAGTGCAAATTTTCCAAACTTTATGCTGTTTCCATTTTAAAACAGAATGCTTTAAACAGTACCCAAGTCACCTCTTTAATGCTTTTCTGCTTAGAAATTTCTTCTGTCAGATACCCTAAATCATCCCTCTCAAGTTCAAGTTCCACAAATCTCTAAGGCAGGGGCATAATGCCACTAGTCCCTTTGCTAAAACATAACAAGAGTCACCTTTGCTTCAGTTCCCAAAAAGTTCCTCATCTTCATCTGAGACCACCTAAACCTGGACCTAATCGTTCATATCACTATCAGAATTTTTGTCAAAGCCATTCAACAAATCTCTAGGAGGTTCCAAACTTTCCCACATTTTCCTATGTTCTTCTGAGCCCTCCAATGTGTTCCAACCTCTGCCTGTTACCCAGTTCCAAAGTCGCTTCCACATTTTTAGGTATCTTTTCAGCAACACCCTACTTCTGGTACCAATTTACTGTATTAGTCCATTTTCACGCTCCTGATAAAGACATACCTGAGACTGGGAAGAAAAAGAGGTATAACTGGACTTACCATTCCACATGGCTGGGAGGGCCTCAGAATCATGGCAGAAGGTTAAAGGCACTTCTTACATTGCATCAGCAAGAGAAAATGAGGAAGAAGCGAAAGCAGAAACCCCTGATAAACCCATCTGATCTTGTGAGACTTACTCGCTATCACTAGAATAGCATGGGAAAGACCAGCCCAGTGATTCAATTACCTCCCCATGGGTCCCTCCTGAGTCCCTCCCACTACACATGGAAATTCTGGGAGATACAATTCAAGTTTAGATTTGAATGGGGACACAGCCAAACCATATCAAGTACTGATAGAAGTATTGAAGACATTGCTGTCTGCTACATCTAAATTACAACAAGCTTAAAAAGAGAAACTAGTCACAATAACAAAGCCATGAAATCAACCCAAATGCCCATCAATGATAGACTGGATAAAGAAAATGTGGAACATATACACTATGGAATACTGTGCAGCCATAAAAAGGAATGAGATCATTTTCTCTGCAGGAACATGGATCAAGCTGACAGCCATTATCCTCAGCAAACTAACACAGGAACAGAAAACCTAATGCAGCCTGTTTTTAATAAGTGGGGCCTGAACGATGAGAACACATGGACACAGAAGGGGAAAAGCATACACTGGGGCCTGTTGGGGGAGGGCATGAGGTGGGAGAGCATTAGGGAAAACAGCTAATGCACACTGGGCTTAATATCTAGATGATGGGTCAATAAGTACAGCAAACCACAATGGCACCCATTTACCTATGTAACAAACCTGCACATCCTGCACATGTACCAAGGAACATAAGAAAATAAAATAAACAAAATAAAATAAAATAAAATAACTAAAGGAAATTGGCTAGAGCATGAACCAACGATTATCACTGAACAACTTTTCACATGAAGGAAAATAATAGTGATAAATAAATGAATAGCAAAATAATTAAAAATTCATTTATTAACTCACATAATGCTATTTTTAAGTGTTTTGAAACTTAAAAGAAAACATTTTAATTTCTAAAATTTCTACATTTACTGTACTTTTGTATTAACAAAAATAGTCTAAAGAAAAACTGTACAAATAAATTTCATTAAATGAAGATCCATGGGTATCTTTTAACCTACTACATATAGCATTTATAGTTTTCAGAAGAAACATTTGCATATTTTATCTTATGGGAATGTGTAGCATATTGAGGACATAGGAAATTTAAAAAGATCTAACAACTAAACATTTTCAAAGATTTGCTAATTTCCTTTTATTACAACACTTCTCTTAGTGAATCTTAAGATAAACAATCTTTTTCTTATTTGACAATTATGCCAGAAAATTGATAAAGTTCAAGTTTAGGGTTAAATAATGTTACAATCTCGCCAATGCACCAAGATGTAGCAGTCTCTCTTTGTGAAGTATCACTGAGAGTTATTTGTCTCATGACCAAGAGAATTAAGGAGTGTGGACACAAAAAATGAAGTTGGCGTGAAAGTTTGTAAGCAAAAGAAGAAAGTTCTCCACCAAGGACAGCAGGCCAGGAAGAAGGTTGTCCACTCTAAGTCAGGGTCCAGGGTTTTTATGGACTGGGAGGGGAAGGAAATACTGACTGATCTTAAAGGAAGCCTACTCAGCTTGGCTTGGGGCCTTGGCATGGGACCAATCAGTAGCTGAAGTAAAAGCTTAGCCCAGGACCTTGGCCTGGGACCAATCAGGAGTTGAAGCGAAAGTTTGGCCTGTACCTTGGCCTGGGACCAATCATTAGCTGAAGTGATGATTCATAGTGGCTCTGCTCACAGTCCAAAGCATGTCCAGAAAATAAAAGAAAAGTGCCCACCAGAATCCACAGGAGCCCACCATGTACATGCCCATAAAATGAAAAGAGACTATTTCCTGGAAACCCATGGGTTATACAAAGGAAAATGGCATTTCTATGTTGGGCCGTGTTCCTTTATCTGAGTGAGCTGAGGATTAGTGCAAATTACCCTATCTGTGCCTGCAGCCTGATTTTTCATGTTGTTTCTCTGTTTAAAGGAGTTTTGCCAAAGACCAGCTTTTCGCTGTCTGCCCAACTAAGTTTTCCTTTTTTCCTCCCTCAATAATATTACTATGTTATTTTTATATGACTGTTAAAGCAATGTTGTGTATTGAACTCTGGCTCAGACAAACCTGGTATGTAATATTGGCTCAGTCTCTGATGAGTGAGATAATAGATGATGGATATGTATATAACAAATATATATATAACATATATTATATATATACAGTGTTATATAGGTAAAAAACAGGGATACTTTTGGAGAAATGCTTCATTAGGTGATTTTGTGATTTTGTTGTTGTGTGAAAATCGGAGTGTATTTACACAAACCTAGGTGGTACAGCCTACTACACACCTAAACTATACTGTATAGCCCTATTTCTCCTAGGTTTCAAATTTGTGCAGAATGTTACTGTACTGAATATAATAGGTAATTATAATGGTCAGTATTGTGTATCTAAAAACAGGGAAAGTACAGTAAAAAATATGGTATAAAGATTTTAACATGTTACACCTGCATAGGGCACTTACTATGAATGAAGTTTGCAGGATGACAAGCTGCTCTAGGTGAGTCAATAAAGTAGTTAATTAAGTGAATGTGAAGGCCTTGGACACTACTGTATTCTCTTGTAGACTTTATGTACACTTAAGCCATGCTAACTTTATTTAAATTTTATTTTTGTTCCACAATAAATTAACCTTAGCTTACAGTAAGTTTCTTACTTTAGAAAGTTTTTGTTGTTGTTTTTAGAGACGGAATTTCACTCTTGTTGCCCAGGCTGGAGTGCAATGGCTCAATCTCAACTCACTGCAACCTCTACCTCTTGAGTTCAAGTGATTCTCCTGCCTCAGCCTCCCAATTAGCTGGGATTACAGGCATGCATCACCACACCCTACTAATTTTTTTGTATTTAGTAGAGACAGGGTTTCACCATGTTGGTCAGGCTGGTCTTGAACTCCTGACCTCAGGTGATCCACCCACCTCGGCCTCCCAAAGTGCTGGGATTACAGGTGTGAGCCACCATGCTTGGCAGAAAGATTTAAATTAAAAAAGAATTTTGACACTTATAAACACTTTGCTTAAAACACAAACATACTGTAAAAGTGTATAAAAAAGTTTTTTTCTTTAGATCCTTATTTTACAAGCTTTAAAATTTTTTTGAACTTTTAAAAATATTTTTGTTAAAAATGAAGACAAAAACTTACACGTTAGCCTCGGCCTACACAGGGTCAAGATTATCAATATTACTATCTTCTTACTCCACATCTTGTCCCACTGGAAGGGCTACATGAGCAATAATATTCATAGATCTGTCATCTATGATAACAATGCATTTCTCTGGAATACCTCCCGATGGACCTGCCTGAGGATGTTTTATAGTTAACATTTTTTCTTTTTACAAGTAGAAGAAGTATACTCTAAAATAACAATTAAAAGTATAGTACTGGCCAGGCGTGGTGGTTCACGCCTGTAATCCCAGCACTTTGGGAGTCCGAGGTGGGTGGATTGCCTGGGTCAGGAGCTCAAGACCAGCCTGTCCAACATAGTGAAACCTCGTCTCTACTAAAAATACAAAAAATTAGCTGGGTATGGTGCCGGGCGTCTGTAGTCCCAGCTACTCCTGAGGCTGAGGCAGGAGAATTACTTGAACCTGGAAGGCGGAGGTTGCAGTGAGCCGAGATCACACCATTGCACTCCAGCCTGGTCAACAAGAGTGAAACTCCACCTCAAAAAAAAAAAAAAAAAAAAGAAGAAGTATAGTATTATAAATACATATACCAATAAAACAGTTGTTTATTATCAAGTGTTATGTACCATACACCATACATAATTGTATGTGCTATTCTTGACTGGCAGTGCAATAGGTTTGTTTATACCAGCACCACCACAAACAAGTGAGTGATGTGTTGTGCTATGACATTAGGATGGCTATAATCTCACCAGGTGATGGCAATCTTTCAGCTTCAGTTCTCTTATAATCTTATGTGACCACCATCATAATGCAATCCATCATTGATCAAAATGTCATAGAGCTCAAGACTTGTGTGTGTGTATTTGTGTGTGGACGTGTGCGTGTGTAAAATAAAACAGAAAGTTTCAAAGAAGGTTGCAGTGAGGATAGTGAGGATTAAATTTGAAATATATAACAATATGCCTGCTATGTATTAAGAACTATAATACTCTTATTTCTTTGTTTTCTTTCTCTTTCTAGTTAGTGTCCAAGAATTATGAGGATATGACTATTGCTATTTTCTTTGCATGATTTACATTGGATCTTGATACTCTGTAGCACCGTAGTACCACTATGGGAATAATTTATCTCGGATCTGCTGATTCAGTTGGGTCACTTTGAAAAAATAAATAAAAATAAAGATTGTTTCTCATCATTTCTACTTTCTACACTGTATGTCAAAGGAGGATAGAACTACCATTCATGATCTGAAAACATAACAAAGTGGAGTTTACACTTTCTACAGTAAGGGAGTGATCTGCTCATCAGACACCATCTCTCCAAGCAGAGCAGATAGCTAATCTTGGATAGCTTTGAAGAAGTATGGAGTACAAGGATTGACTGGAAATCAGCGGTGTAATTAGCTTGTCATAATCTGTAGAAACTTTGTTACTTAGATGAAACTTATTTTTTTATTGACACTTCAAGGGATGTTTATCAGAATGAGGCTATCCCTGATTGACTGACTTTGAGAAGAAAAGAACAGGCATTGATTAGTTGGCTTAGAAAATTATTTTCAGTATAAAGGCAGACAAAAATTTAAGAATAAGAGACTGAATGCTCCCTCATGAAAATAAGGGCAGATGCTTCTTCCCAAAGCTTTGTTTCCGAATTTCTTTCTCTGTCCTTCTCAAATATTTGTGAATTTTTTAATGAATATGTTAGACTCTTCCCAGTCTCACAATTCAGGAATATTTCCTCAAGGAATTTGTATCCGAAGTTCTGAAATATTTCAGCCTCTTCCCAGTCTCACAACTAAGGAATGTTTCCACAAGGAACTTGTATCCATCGTTCTGAAATGCAAACATCAAGGGAGATAGTGCTCCTATTTCCCACTTTCTCTGGGGGGACAAGAGGCGAACTTCAGTGGGTATTTTGCTCCAATTTGCAGTAAGTTTATTTCCTCTCAGGGTAAAGCCAACACAGGGGTCTCTCCAATTACATGATAAAGTTAAGACAAACTATGTGTACAAAAGATGTTAAGTCCTCTTATTTGAAAACATTATTATTTATCTGAAAAACATGTATATAGTGGGTTGTGTCTGTTTGGCTGCATAAGGGGGTGAGATTCCTTTCTGTCTTAAAATTGCTTAAAAGATTGCCTGTGATGGACATCACATTCTGCTTTAATGCCTATTCAATAAGAAAACTCTTTTCCTTCTCTATTACCTTTTTGGAGAGGTTTTCTGGGTTGGGAGAACATTTTGGTTTAAATTAAATTTCCCGAACACTACTCAGGTAGTTTTTGTTAAGTTTTTGGAGACTTAAAACCAGTTCTAATAGCTGCTTTTGATTATAGCTACATAATAATTAGTATTTTACTAAGTTTGTAGTATTTTAAAAATTTGCACATACTTTCTGTTGCCACTGTGTAACATCATAGGCATTAGAGCTTAATCAACACAACTGATTAAATTGTATCACACAACTATCAATTCAAACTTCCTGGGTCTGTGTCTTACACCATTTTCTGCTGCTATAACAGAATACTATAGACTGGGTAATTTATAAGGAAAATAAGCTATTTTTACTCAAACTTCTGGAAACTAGGAAGTCCAAGAGCATAGTATTGGCATCTGCTGAGGGGCATTCCATGCTGAAAGTTAAGAGAGAAATAGACAATACATGAGACAAAGAGAAAGAGGAACCTGAACTACTGTAATAACTAACCCACTCCTGCAATAATGGCATAAATCTGCCTTCCCTGGGCACCTTTTCAAGGCCGTACCATTGAATTCAATTACATTGACAATTAAATTTCCACGTGAGTTTTGGAGGGAACATTCAAATCATAACGTTTTGATTGCTACTCTACACTTGCTAGTTATGTGATCATTAGCAAATTACCTTCTTTTCTATATTTCAGTATCCTTATCTGTCAACTACAAATACTAAAAGTTGCTACTGCATAAGATTTTTTTGGGAAAATGCTATGCTATGTTACCAAATCCAAAGTAGTTGCATTTAATTATGTTTATAATTAAATTAATTGCATAAAAATATATTAAATGTATAAAAATTTAGTATAATTAAATTATAATGATATCATTATTAAAATAGTATCTGACATATAATAAGGAGAACACATTGTGTTTACTAAATTAAATAAATATTTTTAGGCTATATATTTTAAATCAGAATCTACAATTAATTTTTTATATCCCAATAGCACCTAATACTAATGTGTGGACCCATTCAGGACCCCAGGGTTGGTATAAAAATTATTTTAGGCTGCAGAAATTTGAGATTCAACAAATACAAAAGGAAGCCCTTTTTGAGCTTCCCTTATAGAACTAAAACTTCAACTTCTGGAAAATGAGACTTCCATATAGTCTCTTTAAGAACAGCCTACTCCCAACAGAAAGAATAACGATAAGCCTGCATAAACCCTTATTTAAAGAGATTTATAACCCTGAAGAATATGGAAAGTCCACTCATTTATGTATAGAAAAATGTTGTTTCATTCGTTCTCCTAAAATCCCATTTTTTCCCTAAAGGGATCCGTGTTCTTCCCGTAAGAACCTTTCTTGCACCCTTCCATTTTCAGCTAAGTTAGGTATACAAGCTTCTAAGTTAAATTATTTAATGAACCACCTACTTCTTTGTTGACTTCTGTATACATACATATGAAACTTTTTCTCCCATTAATCTCTATTTTTCAGTTTAATTCACTGTCCTCCAGTTACAGAACATAAGAGGTAGAGGAAACATTTTTTTCTGCTTGATACTAACGATTTTAAAAAGTACTTTATTTGTAGTTAAAGTCAACTTTACAGAGTATATAATGTTTATTCTAACTCAAAATTATTTAATATAAATTAATAAGTGTGTATATTTCCAAGTAATGGCCAAAAGAATAAAAAGTAGTTCTGAAGCAACAAAATCATAATAGAACCAGGTAGTCAATCATCATGTCTTAGCGTATCCAAAGACTTTCTGTATCAGAACATATGGGGGAATAAAAATTAATTTCAAAAAGGGATTTTTATGAAAATCATATGTAGCTTTGGCCTCAGAAATAATGGACAACTTTATAAGAAGCAATATTGCAAATTGGAAAAAGCTCAGTTTTTATTTTTAAGTTGAACCTATGTTCAAACATAAACTATTCTGTATATTAATATTTCCAGAGTTTTAGATTTTGGCCATTCTAATAGGTATGTAGTAGTACCTCATGGTTATTTTAATTTAAATGACCCTGATGACATATGATGTGGTACATCTTTTCATATGCTTAACCTTAGGCTTTGTAGGCATATGAAAATTGTAATTCTTTGAAATTTACTTCTAATTTAAATTGAGTTATTTTTGTAATCATTCCTAATGCTAATTTGTTTTCCTCAAACCAGGTCCTATTATAAATGATTCCCAGTCATCTTCCATCTCCCAAACCTGCCGATGCAACCTTAGCCTTTCTGCTTTCTTTCCAAGGTACCAAACCACTTGTGTGACAGTTGAAAACCCAGATGCTCTGTTTATATATTTTTTCAGATTATTAGTTACTAAAACGAAAGAAAACTGTCTCCTTCTCCTCAAGAGGAAATAATACACATTGAAATGGACTATGATTGGACTGTGTTCACAAATGAGGAAAGTCGTTATATTTAAACCAATCCAGGAAGGAGCTTCTGTCAAGAGGACCTGTACTCAATGAATCAATCAATGTATTTTTTTTCTACCCATCCCAGCCTAAGTGTGCTAATTATTGTTTTGTGTCCCTGCAAAATATGGTTATCCAGAAAATAGCAGGAGTTCAAGCTTTAGATTTAGGCTTACAAGGAAGTAGAATAGAATGCCTATTGAATTTTAAGCCTAAGCTGCATTGGAGTGTGTGATAGGTGGTATTTAGGAGTGCCCTAGATAAGAATGAAAATGAATCTGTAATCCAAAAATAAAATCTTAGTCTCCCTAACTGACTAAGCAGACCCCTCTGGGCCAAGGGAACCTCAGAGAAACCTGAAAATTTGAATTGTAAGACATAATCGGAGGAGGTTGGGCACAACTTATTATACCTCCTCCCTTTTGGACTTTAGGTTCAACTGACTAGCATTATCATTAAAACAGAGATCATAGGATTAACAAAACAGACTTTTTGCAGCAATAAGATACTAATTTCTGACCTGACTCTGGTCCAGCATCATTTGGCAGATGACATATCCTGAAAAAAATGAAAATAATGTACCCCAAAATACATTTCTTTGACGTATTTTGAAATGGCCTTATAAAGCCATTTTTGTTAGTGAAATTTGCATACGTAGAGAATCTCCATTAATGCAGGAAGACTTTCCTTTCTACGCCTTTCCCAGGTCTAGGAGAGAGTAAATGAGAGTCTGACACCCTTAAATTCTGAAAAGAGACATTTACCAACTATTCCCTATGAAGGCTGCTACCTATGAGACTTCATCTACATAACAAAACCTTAACCTCCACAATCTCCCTTATCTTAAGTATTTCTTTCTAATTACTTCAAGTACTTAGACAAAACTTAACTTTCTCAACCAATTGACAATTAGAGAATCTTTGAATTCACCTGTAACCCATAAACAACCCCCTTCAGCTTCAAAATATGCTCTTTAGGTAGTACCAATGTACACTTCCCATGTATTAATTTTCTAATTTTACCTACAATTCCCATTTTCCTAAATTGTATAAAACCAAATTCTAAGCCAACTTATTTAGGCACACTTTCTCAGGGCCTCTTGAGACTGTTCCCTGAGCCATGGTCAGTCATATTAGCTAGGAATAAACCTCTTTAAATGTATTACAGAGTTTGGTTTTTCTATTAACAGGCCTTGTTTCTTATTGGCTTTATGCTCCATTTATGTATACATGTTAAAAAATTTCCCAGAAAAGCAGGATGATTTAAGCACACCTTATTTTGTTATGACTGTAATTACATCTTAATACTCTCACAAATTTATCCCAGATTTTCACAGCTAACAAGATGAATACATAACATATAGATCACTGATTTTTATTTCACCTACTATCCAAATAGTGTAATATCATGTGACTGGAGACTAAAATTTGTAAGAGAAAACCTTCAGTTTAAAAAAAATATATGTTTTATAATACAAATTCAACAGAATGATTGGTGGTGTGTAAAATAAAACTTATCTCATTATAAAGTAGTGTTTGATGATATATGATTTCATGAATATCTTTACATTGAGCTGTTAATAATAAATATGTTCATTCTGGGTGAAATGAGTCAACAATGAGGTATGTCTATTTTTAAAGTAGGTTTAGAAATAGAAGGCAAACAGAAGAGCATTTAAACTGAAAAATTATTAGCATATAAAGTTTAATATCCATTGGAATCAGGTGACTTTACCATTACATATTTGTATATATATAAAGGTGTAGGTTGCTAAAGAAATATGAGAAACATAGAAATAGCAGGATGGTTACCTAAAGCTTGTTAATTTTTATTTATTTATTTATTTATTTTAGTGAAAATGCTGAGGCTTCTTTGAATAAGAAATTTTCTCTATGTCAAATTCAAATGCTTCTGGTTTTGGCCTTAACTGTGAAGATCACAGAAACAGTTTGTTTGGTTCTAATTCTATTCAATTGTGTTAGAAACCTATAATAAACAACACAATATAAGATTATTATGTTTGCCCTCAGACCCTTACATTATAAAACAATTTTCTTCAAAATTTATCTTTCTGCAATGTATTCTTTGATGTATTACTTAGCTCAAACAATACGAATAGACTACTCATATTTGTCATTATTAATTCTACTCACAGATGATCGATTACCAACTCAGTGTATGCATAACAGTTCTTACCTCAATAATGCCTCTTATGCCTGTTTCTCTCTCTCTCTTTTTTAAATTTTTATTCACTCTTCACTAAATCAGACATTCATGACCTCTCATTTACAACAGTATCTGAAAGAATTTTGCTGTTTATAGCATTTCTTCAGTCTGGTTAAACTGTACAGTGCTACCAGGGTTTTCTTCTAAACAGAGGTCAGATCATATTGCTCAACAATATTCCATAAATCTTTCCTGACCCTTGTGTGCTTCCATGTATGTATATGCACATGCATATATGTATGTCTATTTTATATCCTCAGGGAAAGAAATAAATTAAATATATTTAGAAAATATCATGCTTTGCTTGGAAAACACTTCTATTTTACATAGAAAAAATATCAAATACGAATCTGCTATAATAGTTTATTGTACATGCTTCTTTTACTATTTGTACAATGGGGAAACAAAATAAAGAAATATCCACAATACTGTTCCTAATGTAGCCTCTTCAGGAATGTCAGTCTTTCTAAAATGACTGAAGGTAATTAACACATAATTAGCTTTAAGCCTTTAAATAACTGCTCACAATTTGCCCATGTTTGTTTCTACGTTTTTCGTCCTCATTGAGTTTTAAGTTTTGTCTTCCTCACCTAATAATCAGTTTGCCAACAATCATGTTATTTCCTAAATGTATACTTATGCCTTTAAAAAGCAATCACTGAGATTTGTTTTGTCTCTTTAAAATTATGGCATTATTTCTTGAGAGCTCTTTCAAACTAAGAAATTGAAATAGATAACTTTATTAACTTCTAGATGTCAACCATGACACTTTACAGCACTTTCTACCATTTACTCTATAAAAGCTTCACAATCGTCAGAATCATATCCCTGAAACTGACTTGTGTATGTACCAAACAGCACTGTGAGTTGGTTTTAATTTAGACTAAATTTCTTTAGAGTCTGGTGAGAACATGAGCAAGTTTGAAGTGGATTTTTTTTATTATTTTCTGTTTTAGCTGTGTTGAGAATAAATGTTTTTAAAAAATCCATTACTGCTTTATAGCATTATAAAAAGTATTCTTATTTTTCTGATTAGTCAAATAAAATGTGCCTGAGCCATTATTTCTAAGGAGAAACAGCTCCATCTAAAGGTGACTATGATTTATCTCAATCTTTCACTTCCAAATTTGCAAAAAGCTATTGCAAAAATGATTTTACTGGTACAAACAAAGCCTTCTTTGTCTTTAAAATAAAACTCTATTTAGAATACATATTTAAAAAGAGTATTATATATTATATATATATATATATATCTAAGAGAGAGAGAGAGAGAGAGAGAGAGAGAGAGAGAGAGACCCACATCTGTATTTACATCTATCATCTGTCTTACCTATCAGTCTATATCCTGGATACGTTAACTAACATATATTTAAATAAAGGAAAATAGATTCTGTATTTACCAAAGTTTTATATTTTTTTAGCAAAAATTGATATAGATTCAATTTTGTGTTGAGTTTGAAATATGGCTTGTGCTTTTGAGATACAGTATATTGACGTCTATTGCAATATTAAATTACTTTTTTAGCATTATAGAAAGGATTATTTCACCATAATTGATTATACCTTATTGGTGTTATTTTATCAAAAGAAATTATATTATTAATATTTTTTTTTCTGGAAACAAAGATTCTAAGCCACCTATAAATTTCATGTTTAATCTTCAGGAGGAAGTAATATAAATGATGTGTAATCTGAACACTTGTTAGAAATGAATTTTTGGTCAAACTGATTTTGCAAGGTGGTTTTTATTGTTTAGATAGTGATATGGTTTGCCTGTGTGACCTTCCGAATCTTGAATTGTAGTTCCCATAATCCCCACGTGTCATTGAAAGGACACAGTAGGAGGTAATTGAATCCTGGGGATGGTTACCCTCATCCTGTTCTCATGATAGTGAGTGATTCTCGTGAGACAGAATGGTTTTATAAGGGGCTTTTTCCACTTGTACTAGGCACCTCTTCTTCCTGTCTTCATGTGAAGAAGAATATGATTGCTTCCTCTTTTGCCATAATTGTAAGTTTCCTGAGACCTCCCCAGCCATGACAAACCACGAGTCAATTACGCCTCTTTTCTTTATGAATTACCCAGTCCCAGACAGTACTTTATAGCAGCATGAGAACAGACTAATACAATAAATTGTTACCACAAGGTAGTGGGGCACTCCTATAAGGATACTCAAAACTGTGAAAACAACTTTGGAACTGGGTAACAGGCAGAGGTTGGAACAGTTTGAAGGGCTCAGAGGAAGACAAGAAGATGTGGGAAAGTTTGGAACTTCCTGGAGACTTGTTGAATGGCTTTGACCGAAATGATGATAGTGATATGGACAATGATGTTCAAGCTGAGGTGGTCTCAGAGGGAGGAACATGTTGGAAACTAGAATAAAGGTGACTTTTGCTATGCTTTAGCAAAGAGACTGGTGGCATTTTGCCCCTGCCCTAGAGATCTGTGGAACTTTGAACTTGAGACAGATGATTTACAATATCTGGGAGGAAAAACTTCACAGCAAAATGTTCAAGAGGTCACTTGAGTGCTGTTAAAAGCATTCAGTTTTATGTATTAACAAAGATATGGTTCGGAACTGGAAATTATGTTTGATAGGGAAGCAGAGCATAAAAGTTTGGAAAATTTGCATCCTGGTGATGTGATAAAAAAGAAAAAAAATTTCTCCAATTTTCTGAGGAGAAACTCAAGCTGGCTGCAGAAATTTGCACAAGTAACAAAGGGTCAAATGTTAATTGTCAAAACAATGGGGATAATGTCTCCGGGGCATGTCAGAGATCTTCAAAGAAGCCCCGTCTATCACAGGCCCAGAGGCCTAGGAGGAAAAAATGGTTTTATGGGCCAGGCCCAGGGCCTTGATGCTTTGTGCAGTCTTGATACTTGGTGCCCTGCATCTCAGCCATGGCTAAAAGGGGCCAACATACAGCTCTGCCTGTTGCTTCAAAGTGTGTAAGCCCAAAGCCATGGCAGCTTGTACGTGGTATTGGGCCTGTGGGTGCACAGAAGTCAAAAATTGAGGTTTGGGAACCTCCACCTAGATTTTAGAGGATGTATGGAAATTCCTGGATGTCCAAGCAGAAGTTTGTTGCAGAGGTGGAGCCCTCATGGAGAACCTCTGGTAAGGCAGTGTGGAAGGGGAATGTGGGGTTGGAGTCCCCACACAGAGTCCCAACTGGGCCACTCTCCTCCAGACCCCAGAATGGTAGATACACCAAAAGCTTGTACCTTGCACCTGGAAAAGCCACAGACACTCAATGCCAGCCTGTGAAAGCTTCCAGGAGGTGCCTGTACCCTGCAAAGCCACAGGGTGAAGTTGTCCAAGGCCTTGGGAGCCCACCTCCTGCATCAGATGTGAGACATGAAGTTGAAGGAGATCATTTTGGAACTTGAAGTTTTAATAATTGCCCTACTGGATTTAGGACTTGCATGGGGCTTGTAGCCCCTTCTGTTTTTGCTAATTACTACTGTTTGGAATGGGTGTATTTACCCAATGCCTGTACCCCCACTGTATGTAGGAAGTAACTAACTTCCTTTTCATGTTAAAGGCTAATAGGTGGATGGGACTTGCCTTGTCTTAGATGAGATTTTGGACTTGAACTTTTGGGTTAGTGCTGGAATGAGTTAAGACTTTGGGGGACTGATGGAAAGACATGATTGTGTTTTAAAATGTGAGGACATGAGATATGGGAGGAGCCAGGGGCAGAATGATTTGGTTTGGCTGCATCCACACCAAAATCTCATCTTAAGTTGTAATCCTATAATCCCCATGTGTTGTGGGAGGGACCCAGTGGAATGTAACTGAATCATTGGTGCAGTTACCCTCATGCTGTTCTCATGAGAATGAGTGAGTTCTCACAAGATCTGGTGGTTTTATAATAGACTTCTCCCCCTTTTGCTGTGCACTTCTCCTTTCTGCCATCATGTAAAGAAGGCGTGTTTGCCTCTCTTTCCACTATGATTGTAAGTTTCCTGAGGCCTCCCCAGGCATGTGAAATTGTGAGTAAATTAAACCTATTTCCTTTATAAATTACCCATTCCCCAGCAGTTCTTGATAGTAGCATGAGAATGGACTAATACAGACACTGTGATAAATGAAATACCCATATAGAATATTTTCTTTTTTTAGGAATTGGGTGTTCATATTTATTAATATGGATCTAGAGAAGCCTTTATTCACTAATGCATTTCATTTGTGTTCTCTAATTTAAAATCACCTTTTTATCTTGCTTGATTTTTTTTGCAGCTAAATTAGAAATTTATACTTTTCTCTATAAGAAACACAATGATGTTCTTTCTTATAAATTACATTCTCTAATTTTCTTGTGGGCCTGCTTCAAGAGAATCCATGTGTTCAAAATGATTCCTTGCAGTTCTCCCCATGTCTAATGCTTATTTATTCCAAATATCTGAGCAGCAATATGAGCTGATCCTTCTGGAGAAAATATGGTTTAACAGGCAAGACCACTGGGACCACTGGGTAGTTGAAGAGAAGATCACACATCCTAAGTTCTCCAGACTAGTTTAAGAAGAACACAGCTAATGACTGGATATGTAGAGCTGCCATACATTACTGGTCCCAAACCATTTTTTCCACTTGCCACTGCCACAAATACAGTACAAATGCTATTCCCTTTATATTCAGCTTTACTCTTCAGAGTTTCATCTCGTCCATTATGTGCGGATGTTGCTCAAAGTTCACATGGAATTCCAAAATTTCCATAGGCCTTCTGATTTTTTTAAAGTGACAATTCTCTCTGCAACCCACTCAAATTTTTTTTTTTTTTACCATTTGGAGCCCTTGAAAATTTACTTCTTTGAGGATGCAATACAACAGTTTGTCTTTCTGTTGGCTTCAATCCCCTGATGGCCAGAGTCCCCAAAAATCATTATCAATAATACCAGCAAGAACAATTTACTGGATGGTTACATCAACACCAAATGTAGTCTTCATTCCAACCAGTGTAGAGTTCTGGGGCAACCAGGATTTCTCCAGTATTTAAAAAATAGCCTGTGTAGCATGATTCATGATATCCACTTCTGTATGGCCTATAGCAAATCCAAAGAAGCAAAATTTTGCAACAATTAGCTATTCTTCAGGCCACCGTGGGTCATTATTGGCATCATCCTTGAAAAACATCTCCACTGTAAGAATCAAATAGACCCAATAAAAAATGATAAAGAGGATATTTCCAATGATCCCACAGAAATACAAACTATCATCAGAGAATACTACAAACACCTCTATGCAGATAAACTAGAACATCTAGAAGAAATGGATAAATTCCTAGACATATACACCCTCCCAAGACTAAGCCAGGAAGAAGTCAAATCCATGAATAGACCAATAACAAGTTCTGAAATTGAGGCAGTAATTAATAGCCTACCAATGAAAAAAAGCCCAGGACCAGATGGATTCACAGCCGAATTCTACCAGAGGTACAAAGAGGAGATAGTACCATTCCTTCTGAAACTATTCCAAACAATAGAAAAAGAGAGACTCCTCCCAAACTCATTTTATGAGGCCAGCATCATCCTGATACCAAAACCTGGCAGAGACACAACAAATAAATAAAAATTCAAGCCAATATCCCTGATGAACATTGATGTGAAAATCCTCAATAAAATACTGTCAAACCAAATACAGCAGCACATCAAAAAGTTTATCCACCATGATCAAGTCGGCTTCATCCCTGGGATGCAAGGCTTGTTCAACATATGCAAAGCAATAAACGTAATCCATCACATAAACAGAACCAATGACAAAAGCCACATAATTATATCAAGAGATGCAAAAAAGACCTTCTATAAAATTCAACACCCCTTCATACTAAAAACTCTCAAAAACTAGGTATTGCTGGAACATATCTCAAAATAATGAGCTATTTATGACAAGCCCAAAGTCAATATCATACTGAATGGGAAAAAGCTGGAAGCATTCCCTTTAAAAACCACTGCAAGACAAAGATGCCCTCTCTCACCCTTCCTAATCAACATAGTATTGGAAGTTCTGGCCAGGGCAATCAGGCAAGAGAAAGAAATAAATGTATTCAAACAGGAAGAGAGGAAGTCAAATTGTCTCTGTTTGCAGATGACATGATTGTATATTTAGAAAACCCCATTGTCTCAGCCCAAAATCTCCTTAAGCTGATAAGCAACTTCAGCAAAGTCTCAGGATACAAAATCAATGTGCAAATATCACAAACATTCCTATACACCAATAATAGACAAACAGAGAGCCATCCATGAGTGAACTCCCATTCATCATTGCTACAAAGACAATAAAATACCTAGGAATGGAACTTACCAGGGATGTTAAGGACCTCTTCAAGGGGAACTGCAAACCACTGCTCAAGGAATTAAGAGAGGACACAAAAAAACGGAAAAACATTCCATGCTCATGGATAGGAAGAATCAATATCATGAAAATCGCCATGCTGCCCAAAATAATTTAAAGATTCAATGTTATCCCTATCAAGCTATCATTGACTTTCTTCACAGAATTGGAAAAACCTACCTTAAATTTCATATGGAACTGGAAAAGAGCCCACATAGCCAAGACAATCCTAAGCAAAAAGAACAAAGCTGGAGGCATCATGCTACCTGACTTCAAACTATACTATAAGGCTACAGTAACCAAAACAGCATGGTACTGGTACCAAAACAGATATATAGACCAATGGAACAGAAAGAAAGCCTCAGAAATAATGCCACACATCTACAACCATCTGATCTTTGACAAATCTGACAAAGACAAGCAATGGGGAAAGGATTCCCTATTTAATAAGTGGTGTTGGGAAAACTGGCTAGCCATATGCAGACAACTGAGACTGGACCCCTTGCTTACACCTTATACAAAAATTAACTCAAGATGGATTAAAGACTTAAATGTAAGACCTAAAACCATAAAAACCCTAGAAGAAAACTTAGGCAATACCATTCAGGACATAGGCATGGGCAAAGACTCCATGACTAAAACACCAAAAGAAATGGCAACAGAAGCCAAAATTGACAAATGGGATCTTATTTGTCAATTGATTGTTTCTGTCAGCATAAGTTTAAGAAGTTAAAATTATGCTGCATTTCCAGCTATAATCTGGTCCTTGGACTGTAGGAGGACTTGTCCTGGACTATCTATAATTCATAGACATGTGTTGTTTTACCCTCATACACTTTTTTCCCAATGTTCAATACCTCTGTTGTTGCCATTGTCCTGAGTGGGCTGAGGGTTGTGACCATACTAGGAAGAAAGGCAGAAATCTCAATTTTTAAAAATATTTTCCCATATTTACAATGGGTACAAAGTCATCTTTCAGGTAATTCTTCAATCAAGTATTTTATGGAGCTCTTATCAACATTCTACTAAGGAAGCCAGCAGAAAGAAGACTGCTTTTTTGGCTGAGAGGAACGCAAAATAATAATTTTTTTAAAAGATGGGAGAAGGCATATTTTTACATTAGGATTTCTGAAGCACTATGCTCTTCTTTTGTAGTGCAGAATACTTTGTTGATATCCTACTCACCAACCAAATCACCCCCAGAAAGGAAAATGGAAATTGTTAACTGCAAGAAGATGTAGCAGGTTCAGTTAAGCATTGATAAGTCAACATTTTTACATCTCTCTCCATCTCAGAATTTCTCTCTAGGCAATATATCTGCTGTCAGATCTTTAGCATGTGGCAACTAAGCTTTCTGCTCCTAATCCTGAGGAGGTGCTGCCTGTACCCTCTTGAAGCTTCTCTTCCCTCTATCTTTTTCCTTTCCGAAGGGCAACACTTACTATTTTAAGGTCGAGTAAAATTACTATCATTGTTCAAACTACTATTTTAAAGATATGGCCCCTATCCTCAAATAGTTAATGGAGAATTGTCATCCAAATCTTATAGTTGAGATAATTAAGGTCCACAGTGATAAAGCATAATCTTAAATTACAATAGCTTTTGGAGTTAGACAGAAATCAAATTTCTGTTCTTTATTGGATTTATCACATTGAACAAATTACTTAACTCCACTGTGCATCAGTTTCTCATCTACAAAATGAAGATGACGAAAAATATATACGGTATTTTATGTATTTGTTGTGAAGACTGAGTTAACATATGTAAAGAACTTAGAACAGTGCCTGGAAGTACTCTGCAAACATTTTTGTTGTTGTTATTGCTTTTACTCAAAGTCACACAGTCAGTAAATGAACTAGCTGAGATATAAGTTAAACTAAATTGAAACCAAATAACTCTCCACTTAAGATAATTTTTCCAGTTATAATGAAATAAATTTAGCGGTGGTTGTGATATTGTGGATATAATTCTGTAAGGGCATTTTGAACACCAGCATTTCAATCAGATATGTTTTCCTGCACTGAAACGTCAGGAAATATATGGTTTTCTCAAGTATACAATGGGGATAGTACTAAAACTACTTCATGGAGATACTAAAATATTATATGAGATAAAAATGTGATTTAATATAACTTTAAGCTTAATGTTAAAACACATGAGCAATGTATTTTATTAATACAATTATTTTGATGATATTGACAGTATTAAAGGAATCTCTCTTTTGTTGCAGTTGTCTTCCAACATCATTATACTTCTTTTAATCATGACAAACTTTTTCCTTCTGAGATTGTATACAATTTTTTTAACAGTTAGGGTGTCAGAAATAGAAATAGAGAAGGAAGACTAGAAATAGAGAAGGAATAGAAACTGATAAGCTGGATAGCACCATTACTGAATAAAAATAAGATTTAAGTATGAAAAGCGATTTCTTATGTGACTCATACATTGCCTTTGAAAATATTTCAAAATCATGACAACATGTAATTGAATGTGCAGTGTGTTTTATAAAGCTATTAACAGTAAATTCATTATTTTATAATTTTACAGAGTACAGTTTGTTTTTGTTTTTTGAAGTTTTTATTCATGAAGCATGTGACCTGAATATTCTTAAAACTCACCTTCATATAGTCTTAAAAAATACATACAATCATCTGTGTCCTACATTTATTTATATTTTAAAATGCTGTGTGATTCTTACAAAAGCCACTGGAGTTTACATTTAAATGGTTGAGAATAATCTTTTAAAATATCTTGTGAAGGTATAATGATCTCTGAAAGGCAATATTTATCAAAATAAGTTTAAGAAGTTAAAATTATGCTGTAGGTAGGTGTTAAAACTTTGTTTTCCTGCTATGCAGAGAAGAAAATAAACAAATTCTGTCCATTAAAAATTTTAAGTGATCAATTAGGAAATATTTTTTCACAAGACAGCTATTCCTTTTAGAAAGCACTTTTAGCCAAAATACCTTTATTCCCCCAAATACTCCATTATTTGTCATAGTGATCTATATATTCAATATATGCTAGCTAACAAGCACCAGACCCACAGTATTAGTTTTCTATGCTGTGTAACAAATTATCATAAACTAAGAAGCTTAAGACAAGACACATTTATTATTGCATGCTTTCTGTGGTCTAGTCCCTCCGACATGGCTTATCTGGGATGCCTCGTTAGGGTCTCACAGGGCTGGAAATCATGGTGTCAGCCCAGGATGAGTATTTATCAGAGCTTGATGGGGGAAAGAACTGCTTCCAACCTACCTCATATTATTGTAAAAATATACTTCCTTGCAATTTTAGAATTCATGGCAGATTGCTTCTTTAAAAGCAGCAACACAGGGAGAAAGCAAGTCTGCTAGCAACACAGAGAATTACAAAATGTAATACAATTACAGGCATGACATACCATCACCTCACCATTCTCTATTTGTTAGGTGAAAGTCACAGGTTCTGCTAACAAACAAAAAGTTATATTAGAATGTGGACATAAGGAGCTGGAGCTCAATGGGCCCGCCTTAATGTTTGCTTGTCACATTCACCTACATGTTTAAGATAACTAGAAATGTTGGATATAAAATATTTTTAAAGACTTTTTCTTTAGAATTTACATCTGTAAACCCAAATTCATATATACAATTGAATTAAGGTATAACTTCTCTCAAAGTGGCAACATCAAACACACATTTAAACTTGAATGCATTGTTTCATTCTATATGCAAATATTTTCATTGACTAGCGCAAAACAGCACTGGGGGAATAAATTACTTTCTCTGCATGGTGAATATAATTGATTTTATGTAAAATCCTAACTACCTCCCAAGTTTCAAAGGAAACTGAATTTTAACATTAAGCGTATATGGCACGTTGGAGATATGTATGATATAAAGATACTTGGATTAGAAAATATCTCCTGTTTAAAAGACTCACCGTAGCTCTTTCATTAACTAGTTGATTCAACAGAACATGTTTACCCTCTGACAATCTTTTAGCCCTTAGGCTCTATCTTTTGTGGAGAAACCATAAGCTACTTGTTAATTAGCACCCTGGCAACCACTTTTAGTTTTTTATTCAAACTGTATACTACAAATATTATTATAGCACCTCTAACTCTTGAAATACATGGTTGGTTCTACAAGTATTTTTTAATCAACAACATTGTTATTGATATTGGTATTATTTTTATCTCCAAAGTAAGTACTATACTTGGTAGACCTCTTCCTTATGGTTTTGCAGAAAGAGTATGCTTTGCACAATTTGTTACGAAATCAGCCATCATGGTAGTAAAAGAGTAAAATAAAAAGTGCAAGCATCGTCTATCCAATAATTTGACAATTTTGCTAAAATCCTATCCTATTCAAGACCATGCAGTATACTAACAAAAGCTAACTTTTTCACAAATTTCTATCCCATTTAATTCATTTGGAGTTTTTGTAAAATACCATAATCAAAGACATACCATTTACTTCATTAAGACAAAATCATCAGAATTGGCTCACGCCTATAATCCCATCATTTTGGGAGGCTGAAGCAGGCAGATCACGAGATCAGGAGATCAAGACCATCCTAGCTAACACAGTGAAAGTCCGTCTCTACTAAAAATACAAAAAAAAAAAAAAAAAAAAAAAAAAATTACCCGGGTGCAGTGGCACGTGCCTGTAGTCCCAGCTACTCGGGAGGCTGAGGCAGGAGAATTGCTTGAACCTGGGAGGTGGAGATTGCAGTGAGGAGAGATCACGCCACTGCACTCCAGCCTGGGTGACAGAGTGAGAGTGAGACTCCATCTCAAAAAAAAAAATTTAAAAAAAAGATAAAATCATCAGAATTAAGTTACTGAAATTAGCAGTCTAGTTCTGGACAAGCTTGCATGTCAGTGAAAACTTTTCAGAAACTATTTTTTTTTATTCTTTTTGTTTTTGTTTGGCACAATGACTACAGCATTATTATTGAAACTGTATGGTTTTTGGAGGTACAAAGTAAATATAATTCCAGGGTTAATTTTTCAATACTAGCAAAAGTCCTATTACAGAAAAATTTCTGTGCCAGTAACATGATAAACTCCTACTTGGGTTAGAGAAGTTTAAATTGAATTAACTGTGTAGTATCAGTCATTTAAAAGTGTTGATGGGATATTGTAGGAAGATATTTTAAAAGCAGTGGAGGATATGGGCGTCACTACATATTAACTAAAATGGCACTTTAATAAACTGCATTTCATATTTCATATTATTTAAATATCCATATTGACATAAAGTCTTTTGTTTCTTACTCACTAAGGCAAACATCTTAGTTGCATATTAAAGATTACTTGTCATAAATTTGAGACAAATTAAGTTTCTGTTATGTAGCTTATACAAAAATACATTCTAGATTAAATATTTCAATGAGAAACAACTCAAATGATAAATATTTTAGTAGAAAATATTGGAAACGGGTGTTCACTGCTAACTCACAAAAAGATAAATAAAAGTGACTGATAAACACAAAAAAGACCAACTCCAAATAACCAAAAAATTACAATTAAGATAGTGAAAAATTAAAAATAACTAATTGGTAAAGATTAAGGAGAACGTTAAAACCTGGTGATGTGAAGGAAGTGAGAAATTAGACATTCTCATTATCTAAAGGGAGTGTAATGCTAACAACTTCCCTGGAGATTTGGCTATTAATTGTATGTGTGTGCATGTCTGTATAATATTAAAATCACATACACCTTTTCAAGTGAGCAATCCGATTCTAGAAATTTATCACATTGAACTCACCATGGCTCTATCTTCAAGAATGTATATTGCAATGTTGTTTATAATACTGTAATTTTTTACTAGAAAATACTTAATTATGTAAAATAAATAAATACATTTATGTATAGCTATGCAATAAGCTACCATATAGCCATTCAAATGGTGAGGTAGAATATTTAATAACATGTGAAAATGTATATGTGATAATAAATGAACACTTCTGCAAACAATGTATATTATAATTTCATTTTATGAAACATAAATCTATTTATGGAAAAAAGGTATCTCTAAATGGTGAGCTTGTTGAATAATGTTTCCTAAAAAATAAGTATTATTTTTGAAAATTTAAGCAGTTAGTGCTCTAAAAATGTCGGCAACTATGTGTTTGTTCATTTATTAGGAACAGAATGTCTTCCAGATGAATTTTCATGAATATCAGTCAATAGTTTAACTGTTGCTACTTCCCATTCAGAAACATTTCAGCCACATTTAATTAAACATATCTAAGACACTTAACTAGAAGACATTGAGCAGTAGTCATCAGAATTATTTTTCTTCCATCAAAATGGAATTTTGAATTTTTTTGTTCACTAATTACAATTAGAACTGATTCATTTCCACAGTAAGGGCCCCTAAATTGTTCAGTTCTAATAATGATGATGAGAAATAGGCATTCTTTTAGGGAAACATACAAGTAACTCTCAATAATAATTTCTTATTAAGAAATAGCAAATCTTATTTTAAGAGTAGAAAACTAAGAAAACAAGTGACTTATTTTACTACTTACTGGAATAAAATTGTATTAAAAAATAAATATTGACATTTAAAAAATTGCACCAAATAGAGATATAAAATTTTATATAGCACCATAGATCCTCTATCATTTAGTGTTGGGTAATGAGAGTATGATTGGAAGCACTGTGCTTATAAACACAAGCAAACTTAATTTTAAGAAAATTAATCCTTTCATTTATTTTAATCATAAGTTCTGCTTTACAAACAATCTACATACCACATGACCAAAATTTACAAAATATATACCACGACTTTGGAGGCCACTTGGTAAACCATTTTGTAGTTGGGTTGTCAAGCTATCAATTATTATATCACATTATGTAGTCATCCAATAATAGTTAACAAGTCAACCATAATAACTGGATCACAGAGTGATTAGACCAGAGACTTAATAAGTAATTCCGATAAGACAATTCAAATGTCAGATTTTCAAAATCCCTATCAGCTCAATTTGTTTTCATCCTGGATAAAGAAAGGCATAGAAGGAACTAGAACTCCTGACCTTTAAGTATTTTTGTAGAAAGCAACCCACGATGAAATAAAGAATATAATGAATAAATCTTCATTCAACAGAATAGATTAACTTCATCAATTTTTATGCTCAATTTATGTGATATATGTGCAGACTATCAAAATCTGTCAGTGGCTCCTACTTCCAGTTTCCTTCTACTTAAATAGCCATATAGCCTTGTCAGCAAAATTTGTACCTATAGTCATTTCTGCTATTATGTCTTTAGATTCATCTAGCAGACATTTTGAACATTGAGGCTCCAGACATACCTCATTTTATTGTGCTTTGCCTCCTTCTCACAAATACATGCCTTTCTCACACGCAAAATACATTTATTCCTTCCCAAAAATCTCAAGTATTAACTCATTACAGTGTCAACTCTAAAGCCCAAAAGTCTCATCAAAGTTCAAAGTCTCATCGAGATATTTAGATCAGATATGAGTATGATTCAAGATATGATTCAGCCTGAGGTAAAATTCCTCTCTAACCATGAAACCAAGCAAGTTATACGCTTCCAAAATACAATGGTACAACAGGCATTGATTAGTCATTCCCATTCCAAAAATGAGAAATAGGGAAGGAAGGGGTGACAGATTCCAAACAAGTCCAACATTTAGTAAGGCGAACTCCGTAAGACATTAAGTGTCAAAAATAATCCTCTCTGGCTCAAATCTTTACCTTCCAGACCCTGTGGAGCAGCAGTCCTGCCTTCTGGACCCACTGGATAGCAATGCCACCCACACAGATTGATAGAGAGCTGTCTCTAATTTGATGTTCTTTGTTGTGGACCCACCCATGCTGTAGTTCTCTATTAGGATAGGGGTTATACTATCAGGGCAACACCAAGTGGCCCCATCCCTATGACTCTGCTGAGTGTTGGTCTTACACTTTGAAATCAAGGTGGAGGCAGCCCTTCCCCTCCCTGCGAGGATTGCGCACTCTTAGCATATAGTGGGAGTGGCAGCCCTGATGATCCTTGAATGCTGTTCAGGTCCTTCTCTTGTCATAAAGAATAACATGTGCTTATAGACAAATAGTTTTTTAGTCCAGTCCTGCACAGTCTAAGAAGTCTGAAGATCTTCCTTCATTTTGTCCAATTTTCTCTGTTCCCTTTAGTCTTAACTAAAACTATTTCTGCTGATTTCTGCTGCTATAATCCCATTATTATTCCTAGGTTTTGTTGAGGTGATTCATTAAATCTACAGTTCATATATATATATATATTATATATATATATATATTATATATATATATATATTATATATATATATATATTATATATATATATATATACACACACACACACACATATATATATACACACACACACATATATATATATATATATTTCAAACAATTGCTTGACAACACTTCAGTGTTCCTTTCCAAATATTCTTTCTCTCTCTCACTCTCTTTTTTTTTTGCAGTATGAATAGGCTGAGAATTTTCCAAATCTTTAAGTTCTGGTTTCTTTTTGCTTAACAATTCCATCTTCCTTTCTCTCTCCTCACATTTTACTATAAGTAGTCAGGAGGAACCAAACCACTTCTTCAAAACTTTGCTTAGAGATCATCTCAGCTAAATACCCAATATCATCACTCACAAGTACTATCTTTCACAAAATACTAGAACACAAACGTAATTCAGCAAAGTTATTTGCCGCTTCTTAACAACTGTTACTTTTCCTCCAGTTTCCAATAATATGTTTCTCATTTATGACTGAGACCTCATCAAAATAGCCTTTAGTTTTCATATTTTTCCTAACATTCTGTTCATGATCACTTAGGCATTCTCTCAGAAAATAGAAACTTCTTTACACATCTCCTCTTTTCTTTCTGAGCTTTCATTAGAATTACCTTTAAAACTTTGTTAACCAGCAATCTAGGCTTTCTCTACCGTGTACCTTAAACTCTTTAAGCCTCTACCACTTACCCATTTCCAAAGCCACTTTCATATTTTTTGGTATTTGTTGCAGCAGCACTATCATTTCTTAGTACCAAATTCTGTCTTAGATAATGTTGCTATAACAAATTACTATATACTGGATGTATTATAAACATCAGAAATGTATTTCTTATAGTTCCAGATGCTAGAAACTTGGGATTAAGGTGCCAATGTAATCAGGTTCTGGTGAGGGCCCGCTTTTATGTTGCAGACAGCCAATTTCTAATTGCATATTTATGTGAAGCTAAGAGGACTAGAGAGCTTTTTTTGGTCACTTTAATAAGATCACTAATTCAATTTATGAGAGCTCTACTCTCATGATCTAATTATCTCTCAGAAGTCTCACCTTCTAAGAAAGAACATCACATTTGGGATTAGAGATTCAACACATAAATTTGGGGGTAACACAAACATCCAGTCCATTGCACCATGTTTTTTTTTATCCATTCATTGGTTGATAGATATTTGAGTTGTTTACACCTTTTGGCTATTATGGATAATTCTGCTGTTACCATCAGTGTACAAATATCTGTTAGAATCTCTGATTTCAATAATTTGAAGTATATATCCAAAAATAGAATTACTGGAATCACCATACTATTTTCCATAGCAGATAGAATATTTCAACAATGCACATCAGTTTTAATATATATAGATATCCTTTCCAATATTTATAACTTTCTGTTATTTTAATAATAGTCATTCTAATGTGCCTAAGGTACCTCATTATGTGTTTGATTTGCATTATCCTAATGGCTAGTGATGACAAGTGTCTTTTTATGTGCTTATTATCCATTTGTATATTTTCTTTGCAGAAAAGTTGATATTCAAGTTATTTCTCTATTATTAATTGGGTTTTTTATTCTTGTCTAGTTGTAAAAGTTTTTTGATATATTCTAGATATCAATCCTTTACAATATATTTAATGTAAAATTATTTTCTTCCATTCTGTGGGCTGTATTTTTACTCAGTTTTTAGGTCTCTGTGATATATAATTTTTTTTTTACTTTTAATGAAGTCCAAAGTATTTTTCTTTCTTTTTTTGCCTGTGCTTTTTGTCTCATATAGATGAAATCATAGCCAAATACAGTGTCATGAAGCATTTTTTGAATGCTTTTTTCTAACAGAGAGTTTTACAATTTTATCTTTTATATTTAGGTCTTGAATCCACATTTCAGTTAATCTTTATAAATGTTTTAAGGTAAGGGTCCAGCTTTATTCTTTTGCATGTGGATATCCAGTTTTCACATCACCGTTGGTTGAAAAGATTCTTCTTTCCACATTTGATGGTCATGGAACCCTTGTCAAAAAGTAATTGACCATATATGTGAGGGTTTATTTCTGAACTTTCTCTTTTATTTCATTCATCCATATGTCTGCCTTCATGAAAGTACCATGCTGCTTTGATTACTGTAGCTTTGCAATAAGTTTTGAAATCAGAAAATGTGAGTTGCTCTTTTGTACAACTCTATGGGCTGTTTGACGTCCCTTGAATTTACCTATAAATTTTAGAATGGGTTCTTCTATCATTGATAAGAAGGTTGCTGGGATTTTTCAGAGATTATATTGAACTTGTAGATCACTTTGGGTCATATGGATATTTTAACAATATTGACTTCAATTTATAAACATAGGTGTCTTTCCATTTTATCTGTATCTTCTTTAATTTATTTCAGTAATGTTTTGTAGTTTTCAGTGCACAAGTCTTTTGCCTCCTTGGTTAAGTTTATCCCTAAGTACCTTATGCATTTTGATGCTATTACAAATGTAATTATTTTCTTAATTTATTTTTCTTATTGTTTATTGTTTATAGAAATAGCATAGCTTTCAGTTTTAATTTTTATCCTAAACATTTGCTGAGTTCATTTATTAGGTTTAACAGATGTTTTTCATGTGGAATCTTTTTTCTCCATATCAGCTCATTTCATCTACAGAGATGTTACTGCTTCCCTTTTAATCTAGATACACTTATTTTATTTTCTTGTCTAACCTCTCAGATAAAAATGTGGCTAGACATGGTAGATAGATATAAGATGAATAGTAATTGTGTTTCATTTACTAAAATTCAAATGTGTTTTTGTTGGGTGGCTTTCTTTTATTATTTTGAGCTTGTGATTAGGCCAAGTTAAGGCAGAGGTGGAAGAGGTAAAAGCTGTAAACAACATAATAGAGATGGAAGTAATGGGAGAGAAGGAAACTTCAGAAGTTAGGGAAATTATAGAACCCGTAGAAACCATTAAAGTGAAGCCAGTACAAGCAGTGCAGCTATTAGAAACCATGAAGAATGTATAGATTCTATAGGTAGTAAAAAAATAAGAGACGGGGAGCTAATGGAGGTAAAGGAGTGATTGCAACCAAGTGTAGTTCTTGAATTCAGTGGAAAATAAAATTACTCATATGCATATGGTCTAGGTTTGGAGCACCCTAGGATTTTAAATATCAAAAGGAAGTATTGCACCATTTGAAAGGAACGTGAACTCCTGCCACTGCTAATTTGTTTCTGCATGTGATATGTAGCATTTTCACATATTCCAAATAGATTTTAACCTTCTACATCAAATCTTTAAAAATTTTAACTATAGCTCTAGGTAAATTACTATGTCTTCTAATTTCATTAATTCCATTTACTTCCAGAAATAGAAATTTCTTTTTTATGTTTGCCATTATTACTCATATCACATGTTTGAAATAGCCTTTAAATACATACAATGATTTTTTTCTGGCAGGATACTTTTATTGTGGTAAATATACATAACAATATTTACCATTTAACAAGTTTTAGTGTACATTTTTAGTGGCATTAAGTACATTCACAACGTTGTGCAACCATCATCAGTATGAATTTTGAGAACTTTTTTATCATCCCAATAGAAGACTGTACCTACTAAACAATAACTCCCCATTTATATATATCCTGAGCTGCTGATAACCTCCATTTTATTTTCAATCTATATGAATTTCTCTATACTAGGTAACTTACATAAGTGGAATCATGTAATATCTGTCCTTTTGTTCCTGGCTCATTTCATTTATTATGATGTTTTCATGTGGTATTATGATGTTTCATTTATGTGGTAGCATATAATAAATTCATGATGTTTTACTGCTGAGTAATACTAATCTATTACATTGACGTACCACATTGTGTTAATCCTATTTTTAGGAATTAGAGACATAATATTACTTAAACGACAAACTTTCCAAAGTGATCTATAAGTGCAATGCAATCTCTATAAAAATGCTCATGACTTTTTTTTTGGCAGAAACGGAAAAATCCTTCCTAAAATTCATTTGGAAAATCAAGGGACTCTAGATGTCCAAAACAGTCTTGAAAAAAACTCAAAGGGCTGACATTTTCTGATTTCAAAACTTACAACAAACTGACAGTAATCAAAATAGCATGGTGCTAAAATAAAGACATATAGACCAGTGGAATAGGATAAAGTTCATAAATAAACCTTCATTTACTTTCTATTAATTTTAAAAGATTTATTAAATTCAACTGATACACAAATTTGTATATTTTGTATGTAATGTTGTGAGTTTCATCTTATCTGTGAAACCATCACCAGATCAAAGTTATAGACATACCCATCACCTTCAAAAGTTTTGTCGTGTCTCTTTTTTTTGGTAAGAACACTTAATATGAGGTCTACCTTTTTAAGATAATTTTAAGTGCACAATAAAATATTGTTAAATAAGGTACTATGTTGTACAGCAAATCTCTAGAACACATCCATCTTGAATAATTTAAACTTTATACCAATTGAGCAACAACTCTCCATTTTTTCCTTTCTGCAGTCCCACCATTCCTATCTCCATTTGTATGACTCTGATTATTTTACATACCTCATATAAGTGTAGTCATGCCATATCTGTCCTTCTGTAACTGGCTCATTTCATTTAATGTAGATTAGAGTGAATATCTTGTGAAAAGTTTTTTGAAGTCCTCTATTTTGGGAATAAAATTCTATGTTTTATTTTTAATAGCTTCATGAGGTATAATTAATATACAAAACTGCACATATTTAATGTATACAAGTTGATGAGTTTGGACATATGCAAACACCTGTGACATCATTACTGCTATCAAAGTAATAGACATATCCGGCACTTTTCATGTGTTCCTTTCTTTTTTTCACGGTAAGAACGTGTAACATGAGATGTACCCTCAGCAAACGTTGAAGGGCACAATACTGTCTTGTTAAGTATAGGCACTATGTTGTATAGCAAGTCTCTAGAATGTATTCATCTTGTGTAACTGAAACTTTATTGAACAATTCCTCATTTTTCCATCCTCCATGTTTTATGTATTTAATGTTGCATATATTTAATATTCAGTAGTTACTGCTGAATAATATTTTATTGTATTGATATACCACATTTTATTTATTCATTCAACTGTTTATGAATATTTGGGTTGTTTCCAGTTTGGGGGTATTACAAAAAACTTCTATGAATATCTGTGTATAAGTCTTTGTATGGGCATATACACTTTTCATTTTCTAAATGGCGATTTCAAATGGTAGATGTATGTTTAATATTTAATTTATTTTTTAATTTTGTTATGTTTGTGGGTACATAGTAGATGTGTATAGTTAAATGGGACATAAGATGTTTTGATACAGGTGTGCAATGTGAAATAAACATATCATGAAAAACTGAGTATCCACCCCCTCAAACAGTTGTACTTTGAGTTACAAACAATCCAATTACACTTTTTGCATTATTTTAAAATGTACAATTAAGTTATTGACTATAGTCACCCTGTTGTGCTATTAATTAATAGGTCCTATTCATGCTTTTGAACTATTTTATTTGTACCCATTAGCCATCCCCACTTTCCCCACAATTGCCTCCTACCCTTCCCAGCCTATGGAAGCCATCATTCTATTCTCTAAGTCCATAAGTTTAATTATTTTGATTTTCAGATTTCACAAATAAGCTAGAACATGTGATATTTGTCTTCTGTGCCAGGCTTATTTCACTTCACATAATAATCTCTAGTTTCATCCATGTTGTTGCAAATGACTGGATCTCATTTTTATGGCTAAATAGTACTCTGTTGTGTATATGTACCACATTTTCTTTATACAGGAATCTGTCGATAGACACTTAGGTTGCCTCCAATCTTAGCTATATGCCCAGCAGTGAGATTGCTGGATCATATGGTAGCTCAATTTTTAGTTCGTTGAAGAACCTCCACACTGTTGTCTATAGTGGTAGCATTAATGTACATTCCCACCAGCAGGGGACAAGGATTGCCTTTTCTCCACATAATTATCCACATTTGTTATTTATTGTCTGCCTGTTGGATATAAACCATTTGAACTGGGGTGAGATGCTATCTCATTATAGTTTTAATTTGCTTTTATCTTATGTTCAATAATGTTAAGCACCTTTTCATGTACCTGTTTGTCATTTGTATGTCTTCTTTTGAGAAATGTCTATTCAAATATTTTGCCCATTTTTTGATTGGATTATTAGATTTTTTCTTATAGAGTAGTTTGAGCTCCTTATATATTCTGTTTATTAACCTCTTGTCAAATGCATAATTTGCAAATGTCTTATCCCATTCTATGGGTTGTCTCTTCACTTTGTTGATGGTTTCCCTTTGCTGCACAGAAGCGTTTTAACTTGATATGATCCAATTTGTTCATTTTTGTTTTGGTTGCCTGTGCTTGTGGGGTATTGCTCAAAAAATCTTTGCCCAGAACAATGTCGTAGAGTTTCTTCTTAATGTTTCCTTGGAGCAGATTTATAGTTTGAGGCCTTCAATTTAAGTCTTTAATCTATCTTTGTTTGATTTTTGAATATAGCAGGAGATAAAGATCTACTTTCATTTTTCTGCATATGCATACCCAGTTTTCCCAGGACTATTTACTGAAGAGACAGTTTTTACCCAGTTTTTATTCTTGGTACATTTGTCAAAAATGATTTCACTCTAGGTGTATGGATTTGTCCCCAGCTTCTCTATTTTGTTATAGTGGTCTATGTGTCTGCTTTTGAATGCAGGTTTCTGGTAACTTTAGAGATTGTGACATTAGAATAAAGAAAAAAACATTCAGGACTCTGAGAGTGAAAATGTTCATAATGATCAAGCAGAATAGGAGTTAACTACATGGACTGAACTAACAGAAGACTGAAATAATCCTTTTATGATTTTTGCTTAAAACGTTGCTGATTATTTGTTTTTCACAGCCAAAAAAATTTAAAGCTATTTCTTTTAACAATTGAATAAAATATACTCCTATAAGCAAAATTTGGAGCATATTTCTCTCTACCTGATTTCTTCAAAATTTAGAAATTATCTGTGAGCATTCCTAACTAATAGTTATATAGTTATTTGCATAAATGCAATAAGAATTTGTTTTATTTTGCAACGGGACACTATTGGAGAAACTGTTTATTTTATCAAGGCTTTAATAGGAATGATGTGCTTCCATTTAAGGAATCAATGTTTATTTATAGGGCCAATAAAAGCCCCTTAGGAAAACTGGCTTCATATCTTGTTTACATAGGCCCTTTACATGGTTCCTGACCTGTGTTAAGAAAAGAATGTCACTTTCTGACAGGCCCAGCAGCCTCATTATCGTGGAACCTCAAGAGGAGAGGAATTTACCCAACTTACACAGATTTTCAGTGGCACAAATCCATGGCTGGATTCAAGGATTTTAAAAAAGTCTCTTAACTAGATCCTTGTGAAACAAAGTTTCATCAAAGCCAATTTAAAAAGAAGCCTATATGAAAAATAATTATTTTCGCTGTGCCTTATGCAAACAATAAGGCTAAGTATAATAAGACTAAAGCTTATTTTGCAAACAAATCAGTCTTACCATAATTCGTTTTTATTAAAAATGAGGACAGAAGAGAGAAAAATTATGTTTTAATAATTATGGTACACCTGTTATTGGATTCTGGTCTCATCAGTTGCTTCTGAGTTTTTCTACAATTTAGACTAACGCTGCTTGTTTCTGTAAATCAACCAATAATTCCTGACATCAACTTAAAAGAAACCACAGGGATGGACCATCAAGCTTCAGATAATCCTCAATGAGAAATACTATCCTATGAATATTCAAGAACCATCCTACTACAGAATAGTCCTAGACTGCCCATCAATGGGACATGACAAAAGTGAGATCCTGCCCCTATTACCCTTGTACCTAGCTGGATACTGCTTTCACCAACTCAGGGAACCACCCTGCCCTGAGAGCTAGCAAGAGTTCAAAACTCACAGAATCACTACCAGAGCTCCTCTGGTCAGCAGGAAGAAGTTACAAAACACTGAACTTCATCCATTTTTCCCAAAGAATTTGGGCCTTGAACTCTTGAGGGGAAAAATGTTATACTAGGTAGCTGGTCAGACATGAGCAGGGCAGAAGATGAACCTCCTCCACAACTAGGAAAGTCAGGTGACCATCTGGTGATGATCTGGCAGTTGTTAAGCTGTCTCTCTAAAATAATAACTAGTCATAGCCAGCACCAGGGAAAGGCAGTCTCCTGATAGATAGAAAAACCTGAAACTAACGATCAGCTTCCTGAGAAGCTTTCAGGAGTTGGGTGAGTGGGCTCAAGCATGCAAACTAAGAGGCTAAATTCCAGAGTTTAACAGGTATCTGACCTTATAGGAACACTCAACTGATAAAGGAAAAATGTCTCAGGTGACCATGCATACAACTCCAGTAAACACACTGCACATGCAGTTCCTCCCAAGTGTTGGCAGGCCACTGCACAAGAAGAATGTCAACATATAAGACCCCAAGTCAAGTGTCAAACTGTGTACTTTATCTCTCAAGTCACCCACTTGTTCTTCTTCCAAGTGTACTTTACTTCCTTTTCTTCCTGCTCTAAACTTTTAGAACAAACTTTTACCCCTGCTCTAAAATCTTGCCTCAGTCTCTCACTCTGCCTCATGCCCCTAATTAAATTCTTTCTTCTGAGGAGGCAAGAATTGAGGTTGCTGCAGACCCATAGAAATTAGCTGTTGCTAACATAGGAATTCACTGTTGTTTCAGAGGGGAAGAAAAGTTGGAAAATATAGGTAATTATGTTGAGGGGCAATAAATTGTTACTAGAAAGAATGAATAGATACTGAAAGAATGAATAGATGCAATGAATATAAGTTGACCTACAAAATAGTTCTCTTTGGAAACTGAATAAATCTGAAAGACATATGACTTTGTAAAAAGTTTGGGCCAGGTCTGATTACATTCTTGGTCTTCTTTCCTGCAATAGATAATGAGACAACAGGGAGGAGAAAAAAATGTTTATTTTTTCAGTGGGTCAGTCTAATCTTTATATAGATAGGGACACAGTCTCTTCCAAGGCATGTTGATTTCTAAGGTTTTTTAATTCAAAATATTCTTTATACTAGGGAGACATATTTTTGAGTAAAATTTTGTGTGCTCCTTCATTCACCTCTTGAATGTATTTCAGTTTACTCTTACAATATAAAAACGACTGAGTTTTCAGAAACAAGAATTTTAACAATACTTTAAAATGTTTTCTGATTTCTGTTGGGAAATATGAGGGAATATATTCTAAACAGTTTAGAAAAACATTGTGTCAAATTTTGTAGTAGGCTTTTCTGTTTCACTGAGTTTGAAAAGAAAAATAAGAAATGAAAATATTTTAAGGGAAAACAATCATCAAATTCATCTTTGTATAATTCATAAAATTAACTGTTAAAAATTAGGATAATTCTAAAATTTTCCTTTTTCTCACTTCAGAAATATACTCTATGCATATTATAAATGCAAATAAGAAAACAAATACAGTTTATATTTACAAGGAACTAGTCTATATTTATGCTTTTTCCCATATAAAAATTTGGCCAATTTATGGTAAATAATTTCAGCGCCCCCAAATGAAGCAGGAGTATTTACCTTTTTCTCAAAAGTCCTAGCATTGTAGTAACCTAACACAAATCTCATCAGAGAAAAATTAATAACAAAAGCTTTCTGGTTTTATATATATAATTTCAATGCTACTTAAAATCATAAATTCTAACTCTCTGAAATATTCAAATACAAGTATTCAAGACTGTGAGATTGTTTACTTATAATAATAGGAAACCTTGTAGTAAACACATTTAAAATGACATTTTTGGGAAAAGAGTGCATGCATCAAATAGCTTCTCCAGTGAGTGTGTTTAAATATTTCCTTTCTTCAATGCTTATGATTGAATAAAAATAGAAAGCCATGTTCATAGTTGAATTTATAATCTCATGAGTGAATTGAAGACTGCTACTAATAAAGCAAGATAAACAGATGGAAAGAAAGAGGAGCAACATAAATTCTCATGCTGCCTTTTTTTCTGAGAAGTCAGAAGTGATGAGCAAAAGTATAATCATGTCTAAATAATGTGGCCTCACAGGGCAGATTTGCAACAAGATCTTCATGACAGAAGGCAGAAGGCATGCTGTTTGTGAGAAAAACAAACAAATTAACATTGATAGAGGGTCTACTATTTGAAAGAAAATACTTTCAATTTTCTTTTCTGCTACACTGGGAGATTCTTGTTCCACCAAGACAGCCCTAGAGAAAAGTAGGCCTAGAGAAAAGTAGAATAGCATTATACTGGCGTAATTGTGTCTTCTTCTACTACTACTAATAATAATTTTATTGAATTTATATCATGAGCCATATATACGGTTTTGAGACAGGGTCTCACTTTGTCACCCAGGCTGGAGTGCAGTGTCATGATTATGGCTCACTGCAGCCTCAATCTCTGGGCTCAAGTATTTCTCCTACCTCAGTCTCCTAAGTAGCTGGGACTACAGGCCTATGCTACCAAGGCCAGCTATTTTTTGTAGAGACAGGGTCTTACTATATTGCCTAGGCTGGTCTTGAACTTCTAGACACAATTAATCCTCCCACTCAGCCTCCCAAAGTGCCAGAATTAGAAGTGAGCCACCATGTCCAGCCATGAGCCATATAATTTGTTATGTACTTTATTAAGATGGTCTCTGATAAGGTTTGGCTCTGTGTCCACCCTCAAATTGCACCTTGAAATGTTATAATCCCCACATGTCAAGGGCAGGACCAGGTGGAAATAACTGAATCATGGGGGTAGTTTCCCCCATGCTGCTCTCGTGATAGTGATTGAGTTACCATGAGATGTGATAGTTTTACAAGGGGTTCCCCCCTTTGCTTGGCACTCATTCTCTCTCTTGCCACCCTGTGAAGAGGTGCCTTCCATCATGATTGTAAGTTTCCTGAGGCCTTCCCAGCCATGTCGAACTGTAAGTCAATTAAACCTCTTTCTTTATAAGTTACCCAGTCTAGGGTATTTCTTTATAGCATGAAAATGGATTAATACAGTAAATTGCCAATGCAGAGAGTCGGGTGCTGCTCTAATAATACCCAAAAATATGAAAGTGACTTTGGAATTGGTAACAGGCAGAGGTTCGACCAATGTGCAGGGCTCAGAAGAAGACAGGAAGATGTGGGAAAGTTTGGAACTTCCTAGAGGCCTATTGAATAGTTTTGACCAAAATGCTGATAGTGATGTTGACAATGGAGTCTAAGCTGAGGTGGTCTCAGATGGAGATGAGGAGCTTTTTGGGAACTGGAGCAAAAGTGACTATTGTTGTGCTTTAGCAAAGAGACTGGAAGCATTTTGTTCCTGCCCTAGAGATCTGTGGAACTTTGAACTTGAGAGAGATGATTTAGGGTATCTGGTGGAAGAAATTTCTAAGAGGCAAAGCATTCAAGAGGAAGCAGAGCATGAAAGTTTGGAAAATTTACTGCTCAATGATGCAATAGAAAATAAAAACCTATTTTCTGGTGGGTAATTCAAGCCCACGACAGAAGTTTACATAAGTAATGAGGAGCCAAATACTAATAACCAGTACAATGGGAAAAACGTCTCTATGGCATGTCAGAGACCTTCAGAGCAACCCCTCCCATGACAGACCTAGAGGCCTAAGAGGGAAAAATGGTTTTGTGGACAGGGCCCAGGGGCCCCCTGCTCTATGCAGCCTTGGAACATGGTACCCTGCATCCCAGCTGCTTCGACTTCAGCTGAGGCTAAAAGGGGCAAAGGTAAAGCTTGGCCATTGCTTCAAAGGGTGCAGGCCCCAAGCCTTGGTGGCCTCCACATGGTGTTGAGCCTGTGGATGCACTGAAGTCAAGAATTGAGGTTTAGGAACCTTCACCTAGATTTCAGAGGATGTATGAAAAGGCCTGAGTGTCTAGGCAGAAGTTTGTTGCAGGGGAGGAGCCCTCATTGAGAATCTCTGCTAGGGCAGTGTGGAAGGAAAATGTGGGGTGGGAGCCCCCACACAAAGTCCCCACTAAGGCACTGCCAAGTGGAGCTGTGAGAAGAGGGCCACTGTCCTCCAGACCCCAGAATGGTAGATCAACAAACAGCTTGCACCATTCACCTAGAAAAGCTGCAGACACTCAACGTCAGCCCATGAAAGCAATCGGGAGGCAGGCTATACCCTGCAAAGTCACAGGGGCAGAGCTGCCTGAGGCCATGAGAGCCCACCTTTTGCATCAAAATAACCTGGATGTGAGACATGGTGTTGAAGGAGATCATTTTGGTACTTTAAAGTATAATGACGGCCCTATTTGATTTTGTACTTGCAAGGGGCCTGTAGCCTCTTTGTTTTGGCCAATTTCTCCTATTTGGAATTGGTATATTTACCCAATGCCTGTACCCTAATTGTATGTAGGGAATAACTAAATTGGTTTTGATTTTACAGGCTGATAGGCAGAAGGGACTTGCCTTGTCTCAGATGAAACTTTGGAGGACTGTTGAAAAGGTACAATTGTGTTTTAAAATATGAGGACATGAGATTTTGGACAGGCCAGTAGTGGAATAATACGGTTTGGCTTTATCTCTACCCAAATCTCACCTTGAATTGTAATAATCTCCACATGTCAAGGGTGGGACCAGGTGGAGATAATTGAATTATGGGGGGCAGTTTCCCCCATGCTATTCTCATGACTGAGTTCTCATGAAATCTGATGGTTTTATAAGGGGCTTCCTCCTTCGCACAGCACTCATTCTCTCTCACACTGCCCTGTGAAAAGGTGTCCTCTGCCATTATTGTAAGTTTCCTGAGGCCTCTCCAGCCTTGCAGAAATGTGAATCAATTAAACCTCTTTTCTTTATATATTACTCAGTTTAATTTATTTATTCATAGCAGCATGAGAACAGACAAATACAGTCTCACTTGGTTCTTACAATGGCCCTATAAATTAAAATGTTTTTTTTTTTTTTTCTTTTTGTGGCTCAGGAAAATAACACTCATAGTGGTCAGTTTACTTACTAAGATTACAAAACTAAGAGGTTCTATAGGTGAGGTTTACCTGAGGATATTTGACTCTAGATCCTGAACTCTTTATTGCTATCCTATTATGCTTCCCATGACCCTTGAATAAATTGTGATGATATATAATTTCCAAAGGTAATGATAATAATAGTAGTAGCTCATCATTTATCAAAATCTTAGTTTGGAACAAATTCTCACGAACAGTGAGATTGTAATCACTGTATCACATTTATTCTCATACTCTCTTATGATCAGATAAAGGTTCAGTGCATTTATCAAGATTCCCCCAACTAATTGTGAGAGAGCAAGAACTGGAATTCAAATGAATGTGGTGACAAAGATTATTTCACTGACTAATCTTTAATCAGGCTCTTCTGAATCAATCTTTTCTTTGTCCCATCCTTGCCAGACCTCTGTAACTCAGTTTTAGGAAGTATCCTGGTAACTCAGTTTAGTGATGTTAAAAGATAAACTCAGGCACATTAAAATTTTAAAGAGTTTATTTGACAAAACAATTATTCATGAATCAGGCAGTGCTAGATTGCAAGTGGTTCAGGGCTCCACCAAAAAGACGCAAGAGGAAGATGTTTATAAGGTGTTTGTGAAAGTGAGACAAATAAAATATATTCAATTGATTACAGTGTAAAGTCCCTAGTGAGAGGTTTGTTGTCAATTTCTAATTGGCAAAATCTCTAGTTACAGGTTAGTTGGTGGTTGCTGATTGGTTAAGCTTAAGTTTTGTTTTATTGTTTATATTGTTAGGTTTCAGTTTGCTTACATGGAAACTCAAGGCACTGGAGCCCTCTCAGCCTAATAGCCTCCCAATTATTTTAAGAGAGAATTCCTGATCTCATTGATATATAATCAAATTATTTATCCTCATTTTCTCCCAGGTGATACCTGGTAACCCTGTTCTACCTTTAGCAAGAATCCTGTGATGTCAGGTAAACCAGGATTTCCCCTTGCCCCTGATGTTCTCTCTTAGTAATTTTTTAACCATTTTTGGCTATTTTTATCCATTTTTCTTATTGAATTTGGAATTGAGGACACTTTCCACCTACTACAATACTTCCTGAATAAAATCTGCTTTTAATACTTTACTACCTAGTTCTGGTTACTCTTTAACAGTGGTCTCCATGCTCCTAAAAATGATACTTCATTGAATGTTTTTAAATATGAGCAGGAATTTGAGTGAATTTGTAACTCTAAAGTTATTCCACATCTTAAATTAAAATATTCATACTCTCTTCCCCATAAATCTGAGTGTGTGTTTTAACTGGCGAGGTCTTCAAATATCTCATTTACTTTATAAATTATAGGCAATACATTTTAAATACTTTATATCATAAAAACTATAATTACTATGTTATAAATTGACAATGACAGAAGAAAAAGTGAAAGAGTCCAATACAGATAATATTAAGATATTAACTACACAGAAATCTGCAAACACTTAGATTTCTGCTAATATTAAAATTATTTAAAGATTTTGCCAGGCAAGTTCCAGAAATGTTCCCTTAGAGAAATTAAATTATTTTCTCTTCCTTCTGTATATAAATATTCTTGCTTCTGAACCAAGCTAAAGATATACTATAAAATTCCACACTAAAACTTTAATAAGATGAAAGTTACTTTTCTAGTTTTGGCACTATACGGCCAACTACCTCATCTTAAGTTTGAAGAGCTACTCTGCCAACATGAACAGGAACTGTCAAGCTTGTATCCTAGATCAGTGCCTGGAACATGGTAGGCCTTCAATATAAATTAATCCACTGTAAAGATCTACCAATTTTCTGGTTTCAGAAAACCCAGG
This sequence comes from Homo sapiens, assembly GCF_000001405.40. NCBI lineage: Eukaryota > Metazoa > Chordata > Mammalia > Primates > Hominidae > Homo > Homo sapiens. The sequence goes on from NC_000023.11 coordinate 94,661,789, forward strand.
AAAACAAAAGAGAAAAAAAATTCATTCAGTAATTAAATGGAAAATGATGTCAAATACTGTTAGAAGAGGAAACAAGAGCAATATAATAATGGTCTGAAATCTGTGGAATCCTACAAAAAAAATTGCCATCAAATATTGGTCTCAAGAATTGTTGTGCCACTGTTTAATTTGAAATTTATCTGTGCATAACTTGTCAGGATAGACCAATTATGCTGTCATGTCTAACTTCATATAAACCGTGAAATATGATGTCTTTTAATAGTCAATATGAATAATACTTTTGAAAGACAATTGTATTCTTAAAAAGACAAATGTAACTCAGGTCTAAAATAATATATTGTATTAGTAATTGAAAAAATAATGTGTTCCAACTTAAAACTAAGGATATGTTGAGAATCAAATTGGTAAAACCAATATGAAGTTCTTCATTAGTCTAACTTTAAGAAAGTGACTTCTAAACAGGATAAATGATTCTAGTAACTTGTAAGTTGTGACCTCTTTAGAAGCCTATTTATCAGCTGAACAAATCTCATATCACTTTTCATAGGTAGAAATGACTACAGAAAGTGATGTAGGTAGCAGTGACTACAGGAATAGGATCAAAACAGCATTTTTTACTGAAAGTTAAATTTGAATTAAGCAGTTGGAAGATTTATTGACATTTTTTAATGATACTTAAAGCAATAAAGGGTAATGTTCTATATACCATTATAAACACATTTTTAGACCTGGCTCATGATCAAGTATATTAGTCTTTTTTGCCATTATCTCTTAAATATATTTCTATTGGAAGCTACTTGTAACTGAATGAAAGCTCAGCTGCTTGTCACTTGTCATGCTGAATGAACAAGGATGAGATGCTGTGAAAGGAAAGTGACTTTAATCCAAAAGCCAAAAGTGGGGAAATGGCCAAGCTTATGCCTTAAAGAAACAATTTTTTATTCTGGGCTGAGTGCAGGGGATTAATAAGAAAAATTTGGTATGAGGTATAGACAAAAGTAGCAAGGAGACACTGGTGCATCTGACTTATTCTAGTGAATATCTTGGATTATTGCCCCCTCTGGTGTTTGGCTCATGCCATCTGAGGTACAGCTGGGTTGTAAATTAACTACTGTCTTAAAGTAATCTTCAGGTGAGTGTACATTCTGTAGCTGCCTGAATTGTTTCAAGATTTAGACCCTGGAACTTCCAAGTAACCACATGATTAGATATGGGAAAATGTTGTGCAAGGGAGTGTTTTGTGGTAAAAAGAGAGCAGAGGTTATTACATTATTAAGATCAAAGCCAAAGGAAAAACAAAACAAAACAAAACAAAATTTAAATGGGGAACTCTGTTACATACTCACATTGTAACAAGTAGACTGTACCTCCAAAATGAGCAAGATTAATAAAAACTTTGCTTGTGATGTGTTTTTAATAAAAGGGAAAGTAATAAATTATACCTTAAACTCAATCACAAAATAATGAAAAACAAATAAATAAATATTCTCACAATCATCAATGATACCTGCATTAATAATACAATAAAATATATTTTTAAAAGTTTAAGTGCTAATTTAAAATTTTATAATATGTAGGATCAAAAATCACTTTTTTGTTTTTTAAGCTATAATATTTTATTTTTGCTCTAATATAATATGTATATGTATACACGTATGTATGTATGTATATATAGGATTATAGCATTATGACTTTCAGTTTATGTTTATTTTGTGATTTTCTGTTTTAATTTCTGCATTAATTAGAGTTGGCAATTTCTTCTAATTTTTTTTTTTCATTTTCCCATAGGTTATTGGAATACAGGTAGTGTTTGGTTACATGAATAAGTTCTTTAGTGGTGATTTGTGAGATTTTGGTGCACCCATCACCTGTGTACAGGTGTACACAGGTGAGCAGTGTACACCACACCCTATTTGTAGTTTTTTATCCCTCCACCCCCTCCTACACTTCCCCCGCCCCGAGGTCCCCAAAGTCCATTGTATTATTCTTATGTCTTTGCATCCTCATGGCTTAACTCCCACATATGAGTGAGAACATGCGATGTTTGGTTTTCCATTCCTGAGTTACTTCACTGAAAATAGTAGTCTCCAATCTCATCCAGGTTGCTGTGAATGCCATTATTTCATTCTTTTTTATGTCTGAGTAGTATTCCATTGTATATATATGCAACAGATTATGGCTATTCTTGCAGGAGTAAGGTGGTATTGCATGTCAGTCTCTTTCTTTAGGTCTAATAATATTTGATTTATATATCTGGCCACTCCGATATTGTACATATGCATATTTGCAATTGTTATATTCTCTCATTGAATGGTTCCCTTTACCATTAAACAATGACATACTTCTTTTCAGTTTTGCACTGAAAGTCAATTACATCTGATAAGAATATGACTATTTCTGCTTGCTTTTGGTTTCCATTTGCATGGAATATCTTTTTCCATCCGTTCACATTCAGTCTACATTTGTCTTTAATGGTGAGGCACATCTCTTGTAGGCAGCATAAAATTAGGTTTTGTCCTTCTTGTCTATTCATCTACTCTATATCTTTTAATTGGATAATTTAATTCATTGATATTCAAGGCTATTATTGATACATAGGGACTTACTCTTGTCATTTTTTTCATCATTTTTCTGGTTGTGTTGTAGAATCTTAGCTTTTTTTTCCTTTCTTGTTATTTACCTCTTTGATTTGGTGGTTTTCTGTGGTTCTAAGCTTTGACTCTTTTCTCTTTTTTAGTCATGTATCTGATGTAATTTTTTCTATGTGGTTACCATGGGGCTGGAATAAAGAGTCTTTTAGTTGTAATAGACTATTTTAAGCTGATAGTAACTTTGGGCATATAAAAATATTCTAGACATTTTCTCTTTCTCCACAATTTATATTTTTGTTGCTTTAATTTGCTTCTTTATCTATTGTGTATTTCTTAGCAACTAATTATAGTTGCTGTTTTATTACTGTTTTTATCATTTCAACTTTAAACTTTCACAGTAGTGGATTGAAAGATTTACATAGCACCATTTAATCAATGGGCTATTATATCTAATTTATGCTCCACAAGGATTTCACCACACTTCTGCTGCTCTTCAGCATACTCTCTGTCAGTCCCATCAAAATATAACGGTTTACTTGTTATTTTGTTTCTTTTATGTTGGGAGACAAGCTCCAGGAAACTCCAGTCAACCATCTTGCTAACATCACTTTCTTTTCATATTCTTAGTGCTGTGTATTGAAGGGTGCAAGTTGGAATTTTGATAAAGAACAATTCATCACCTGTCTTCTATGTTTGTATTTTTTTTGTAAAATATTTGCCTACCTTAATATTATAAAAATTTTAAAATATTTTCTTTTAGACACTTATAGTTACAACTATTTTTTGAGTGGTGTAATCTACATCTAACTAATTTAGTCTGCAGTTTGAGGTAAGAGTAAAAATTCAAAAATAAACTGACTATACATATAAATTTGGAGAACATCTATATTTTATTTTATTTTTTAAATTTAATAATGCTTATTCCAATACCATACTGTCTTAAAAACTATAACTCTATAGTAAGCCTCAAAATCAGGAAGTACGTGTTCTCAATTTATTTCTATTTTGAAGTAATTTTGGCCATTCTATGTCTTCTATATTTTTTATAAATTTTAGAAACAATTTGTCAATTTCTACAAAAAGATACTAGAATTTTAATTAGGACTGAATTAAATCTAGAAATTATTTTGAAAAAATTAATATCATAACAATATTAAATATTTCAATCTGTATACAAGGTATATGTTTCCATTTATTTAGGTGTTCTTCAATTTGTCTCAGCAAATTTTTGTTGTTATAAGTATAGAAGTTGTATGGATCATTCACTGAAATTATATTTTGCATTTCATTGATTTCCACGCTGTTTAAATACCCCTTAAAATTATTTCTTAATTTGTTTTGCAAAAATTTAGAAACACAATTGGTTTTTGTATATAGATCTTGCATCCTGGGAACTTGATAAAAGAATATTAATTCTAGCAATATTTTTGAAAACTGCTTAATATTTTCCATGTAGACAATACTGTCACCTATAAGAAGACAGTTTTGCTTATTTCTTTCCAATCCTTATTCCTATATGATTTGTCAGGTCTTATTACCCTGACTAGAATATTTAGTACAATATTGACTGTATAAATGTTGCTAGATTCAATTTGTTAATATTATGTTTAGGAATTATGTATTTGCATACATAAAAGACATTAATATATAATTTTACTTTCCTGTTATATCTTTGTTAAATTTTGTTATCAGAAGTATTTTCCCTTCATAAATAGAGATGTGCTTACTCTTCTATTGTTGTAAACTGTTTAAGTAATATGGTAGTGTTTCTTTCTTAAATGCTTGATAGAATTTACTGGTGAAATTACCTACTGCAATAATTTCTTCAGAGAAGGTTTATAATTATGAATTAAATTTTATTAATATTTTCAGAGCTTTTCAGTTTTTAAAAATTTATTCTTGAATGAATTTGCTATACTATCTTACCAAGTTTTTTTTTTCATGGTATCTATGTTGTTAACATTATTCAAGCATTTTTTTTATATTGTGCTTATTTTCCTTTTAAAGTCTTTAGGATCTACAGTGATGTCCCCTCTGAATTTTGATCTTGGTAGTTTGTGTTTTATCTTTTGTCCTTTTCAGTCTAGTTGAGAATTTACTATTCTTTTCTTTAAAAAAGAAACATTTTGCTTTTTTTGTTATTTTTGTTTGCTCATATATATTTTATTTCACTTGCTTTAAATAAATAGTATGCTTCTAAATGTTGTATTTTGAAAGAAAATTTTTGAATATAGTACTAAGTTTCTAAATACATCACAACTAATTTCTTCCTATAAATAATAATTCACTTAAATATGGTCCATTTGTTACAATTAATAAACCAATATTATTATTAATGAAAACCCATAATTTATCTTTTTAAAGTTTTTGCTTAATCTTTTTTTCTCTGTTCCAGGATTCTATTTATGATACCACATTGCCTTTAGTCACCATGTCTCCATAAACACATTTGGATTGTGATAGTTTCTCAAACTTTCCCTATCTTGATGGCCTTCTGAGATTTGCAGAATTCTGCTCAGTTATTTTGTGGAATGTCTTCATGGTCATTTTTAGGTATCATCTTGACTGGATTAACGAATACCTAGAGAATTGGTAAAACACTACTTCTGTGTGTGTCTTTAAGGGTGTTTCCAGAGGCGACTGGCCTGCTAATCAGAGGACTGAATGGGGACGCTTTGCCCTCAATGTGAGTGGGCATCATCTACTCATCTGAGGTTCCAAATAGAAAAAATAAAAGTAGGGAAAAAAGATTTTCTCCTTCTCTCTTTGATGTGAGACATTCCTCCTTCTGCTTTTGACATAAGAACTCAACCTTGGGACTTTAGGACTTACACCAGTAGCACCCCCGCCTGCACCGCCCGGTTTCTCAGGCCTTCAGGCTTGGACTGAGAATTACCCTTTTGGCTGTTTTGGTTCTGAGGCTTTCATACTTGGACTGAGCCATGCTAGCCTCATCCCAGGGTCTCTAGTTTGCAGAGAGAATGTCCAAGGACTTAGCCTCCATAATCATACAAACCAATTCTCCAATAAATTCCCAATTATATATCTATGTATATTTATATATGTATCTATATTACATGTATCTCTGTATTATTGGTTTGATCTCGCTGGAGAACATTGACTAATTCAAATGTCGATTAGTTGGAGATTGTCTAGTGGTTTATCATAGACTGAGATTTGTGATTTAAAGGAGAATACCACGGAGAACAAATTGTCATTTTCAACACAACAAATCAGGGGAAACATACTCTACACATTGCTTATCACTGATTGTGACCTTGATTACCTGACTGAGATAGTATTTGTCTGATTTCCCCACTGTACTACACTCTTTAAAAGGAAGTCACTATGAATATTCTATATTTAAAAAAATGGGAAGTTATGTCCCAATACTTTGAGGATGCAGTATAAATGCAAACTGTTTAGAATTCTTTTGCGTGGCAGATTTATTATTCTATCTCCACACACACAGAAATCTATTTTGTTATTTAATTATTTGTTTGTATCATTATTGACTCATTGTTATTTATTTGACATTTTGCGCTATAATCTAGTACTACTTTATTATGTTGCTCAAATTGTTCCAGATTTGGCCATTGGGACCTCTTTCTGTTGGTGCCTGTGTCTCTTTGACACACCTACACCTCATCAATTAGTGTGTTTCTGCATGTGTGCATTGTGTGAATGAGAGGGAGTGGTAAGGGCGTAGGTGTGTGTGAGCACTTCATTATTTTCTGGGACTGCAATATGCTCCAGGTTCTTTTTGTTCTGACCCAGTCATAAAATCAGCCATTTCTCCAAGTAATCTTGGTTCCTTTTATTGGAGAATGGTATTAGAAACCAAGGTGTGCTCAGTGCAACTGTAGTGTCCTTGCTTTGTGACCCTCTCAACTAACAAACTGTGTGTGTGTGTGCATGTGCATGTGCATGTATAATTGGTTATCCATAGTAGACAATACATGGGTTTATACTAATGACTCCTAATCATGGATTATTCCAGCCTCCTACCCTTACTTATTTGTAGTCTCCCATTCTAACAGTGAGAAAACCAGATCCCACTGCCTTCCATTCTTCAATTTCAGTATACATGTATACCAGTATTGGAATTGTTAACCTATGCCATCATGGGAAACAATTTTATCAATCAGAGTAGAGTAATTATATACAGGCTTTTTAAAATTTAGTCTCACTGCATTCATTTTCAAAATTACTTAGGAAAGAATCTATTCCCTGAACCCTCTTCCCTGAGGAAGTATTATGCATTTGTAATACTGTTAGATTGTTTTCTCACAATCTTTATTCTGTTTTTCATTCTATCCCGACTAATTTACAGACATTAAAGTTCACTCTTTATGCTGTAAAGTTCTATGGGTTTTGACAAATGCCTAGTATTATCCACCATGATAGTGTCACATAATCATTTTATACTCCTAAAAATTTCCTTACATTTGACCTCTTTAAAGCTCAGGCAGGTAGGAGAATTTCTCGAGTCCAGGAGGTTGAAGCTGTGGTTGTGATTGTATTGCTGCTTTCCAGCCTGGGTCACAGAACAAAACCCCATCTCAAAGTAATAATAATGATAATAATAATAATAATAATAATAAACTATAATGAAATAAAAATGATGGTAGAATATTTTCATTTGCTTATATCATTTTCTGTATGTATTGTTTGTTGTGTCTTTTCAGATAAATTTTGCCTACTATTCAATTGGTTTGCTGTTTTACATATTAATTTTTAAGAGCTCTGTGTATAAGTTGAACATGAGCACTTTATCAGATAAATTTTTGAAAAAATTTTCTCACGGTCTGTCGCTTGTCTTAAATTTTTCAAAATTATCATTCACAAAAAAAAGTTTTCAATTTTAATTAAATCCAACTTATTTTTTTAATTTGTAAATTTGGTGGGCACATAGTATGTGTATATATTTATGAAGTACATGAGATGCTTTGATACAGGCATGCAATGTGTAAAAATCACATCATGGAGAATGGAGTATCTATCCCCTCAAGCATTTATCCTTTGTGTTACAAACCATCCAATTAGACTCTCTTAGTTATTTTAAAATGTACAACTAAATTATTATTGACTATAGTCACCCTCCTGTGTTATCAAATACCAGTCTTATTAATTCTTCTAATCAGTTTTTGTACCCATTAACCATCTGAAAATTGCCCACACCCTCACTACTCTTTTCAGGCTCTGGCAAACATCCTTCCACTATCTCTAGAAGGTCAATTGTTTTAATTTTAGGCTCCCACAAACAAGTGAGAACATTGGACATTTGTCTTTCTGTGCCTGGCTTACTTCACTTAACATAATGATCTCAAGTCCCATCTAAGTTGTTGCAAATGACGGGATCTCATTATATTTAAGGCTGAATAGTACTCCACTGTGTATATATACCACATTTTTTTATACATTTGTCTGCTGATGGACACTTAAATTGCTTCCAAGTCTTGCTATAGTGAATAATGCTGAAATAAACATGGGAGTACAGATATATCTTTGATATACTAATTTTCTTTCTTTGGGGTATTTACCAAGCAGTGAGATTGCTGAATCCTATGGTAGCTGTATTTTTGCTTTTGGAGGAACCTTGAAACTCTTTTCTATAGTGGCTGTACTAATTTAATTTTCCACCAACAGCGTATAAGAGTTCCCTTTATTCCACATCTTCTCCAGTATTTATTATTGCCTTTGTTTTGGATATAAGCCACTTTAACTGGGGTGAGATAATATCTCATTGTAGTTTTTATTTGCATTTCTCTGATGTTCAATTATGTTCAGCACCTTTTCATATGACTGTTCATCATTTGTATGTCTTCTTTTGAAAAATGTATTTGAATCTTTAACATATTTTTAGATCATATAGTTAGATTTTTTTCTACAGAGTTGTTTGAACTCTTTATGTATTTCAGTTATTAATTCTTACTCAGATGGGTAGTTTGCAAATATTTTCTCCCATTCAATGGTTGTCCTTCACTTCATTGATTGTTTTTTGTTTTTGTTTTTGTTTTCTGCTGTGTAGAAGCTTTTTAACTTGATGCAATCCAGTTTGTCCATTTTTGTTTTGGCTGCCTGTGCTTGTGGGGTTAAATTCAAGAAATGTTTGCCCAATCAAAGTTTTTGCAATGTTTTCTTTTAGGAGTTTTATTGATTGAGGTCTTAAATTTAAGTATTTAATCCATTTTGCTTTTATTTTTATATGATGTGAGACAGATGTCTAGTTTCATTATTCTGCATAAAGATGCACAGTTTTTCTTGGATGATTTATTGAAGAGACTTTTTTTTTGCCAGTGTATGTTTTTGGCACCTTTGTTTAAAATGAGTTCACTGTAGGTATATGGATTTGTTTGTAAAATGCTTATTCTGTTCCTTTGGTCTATGTGTCTGGACTTATGCCAGTACCATCCTGTTTTGTTCACTATAGTGCTATAGTATAGTTTGGAGTCAGGTAATTTGATTCTTTTTTTTTTTTTTTTTTTTTTTTTTTTTTTACCCTCAGGATAGGTTGTCTACTCTGGGTCTTCCGTGGTTGCAAATAAAATTGTAGAATTTTTTTTTTCTTTAAAGAATGTCATTGGTATTTTGATAAGAATTGAATTCAATCTGTAAATTGCTTTTGGTAGTATGGACATTTTAACAGTATTGATTCTTCCAATCCAAAAATTGAAATATATTTTCATTATTTGGTGTTCTCTTCAATTTTTTATTAGTGTTTACTGTTTTCATTGTGGATATCTTTCATATATTTGGTTAATTCCTAGGCATTTAATTTTCGTAGTGGCTATTGTGGGCTAATTTTTAATTTTTTTTTTTTCAGATAGCTCACTGTGGGGCATTTAGAAATGCTACTAGTTTTTTTTATATTGACTTTGTATCCTGAAAATTCACCAAATTTGTTTATCAGTTCTAACAGTTTTCTTGTGGATTCTTTAGATTTTTCCAAATATAAGATTATATATAAACAAAAAAACTACCTTCTTTTTTTCCAATTTGGATGTCTTTTTCTTTTTTCTTGTCTGATTGCTCTAAGACTTCCAGTACTATATTGAATACCAATGGTAAAAGTTGGCATCTTTGTCATTTTCCAGATCTTAGAATAAAGACTTTCACTATTTCCCCATTCGTTATGATACTAGCTTTGGATCTGTTGTATATATTTTTGTAATGTTGAAGTATATCTTCTCTACCCAGTTTGTTAAAGATTTTTATCATGATGAAATATAGAATTTTACCAAATGCTTTTTCAGCATCAATTGAATAATCATATGGTTTTTGTCCTTTATTCTGTTGATATGATGTATCACATTTAGTGATTTCTGTATGAGAAACCATCTTTGCATCCTGTATTAGTCCATTTTCACACTGCTATAAATAACTAGCTGAGACTGGATAATTATAAAGAAAATAGGTTTAATTTACTTACAGTTCGGTATAGCTGGGGAGGCTTCAGTAAACTTACAACCATGGCAGACGGCAAAGGGGCAGCAAAGAACCTCTTACATGGTGGCAGGAGAGAGCAAGTGAAGGGGGGAAGTGCTGGACTTTTAAACCATCAACTCTCATGATAACTCACTCACTATGGGAAAGCTGCCCCCATGATCCAATCATCTCCCACCATTCCCTCCCCTGACACATGGTGATTAGAATTTAGATGAGGTTTGGATAGAGACACAGAGCCAAACTACATCACTCTGTCACTGGCCCTTCCCAAATCTCATGTTCTTCTGACATTTCAAAACCAATCATGCCTTCCCAACAGTTTCCCAAACTCTTAACTCATTGCGGTATTAACTCAAAAGTTCAAGTTCAAAGTCTCATCTGAGACAAGGCAAGTCCCTTCCACCTATAAAGCTGTGAAATAAAAAACTAGTTAGTTTTCTGATCTGTGTTAGTTTGCTGAGGATAATGGCTTCCATCTTCACCCATGGGAGCTGAAAAATTAGAATTCATGGACACAGGGAGGGAATAACACAAACTGGGGCCTGTCTGGGGAAGGAGGTTGGGGAGAGCATTAGGGAACAGGGCTAATGCATGTTGGGCTTAATACCTAGGTGATGGGTTGACAGGTGCAGCAAACTACCATGGCACACATTTACCTATGTAAAACACCTGCACATGTACCTTGGAACTTAAAAATAAAATAAAATAAACAAATTAGTTATTTCCAAGATATGATGGGGTACAGGCATTGGGTAAGTGCCCCAATTTTTAAAGGAGAAATTGGCCAAAACAAAAAAGGTACAAGCCCCATGCAAGCCCAAAACTTGGCAGGGCAGCCATTAAATCTTAAAACTCCAAAACTCCCAAATCTCCTTTAATTCCATATCTCACCTCCAAGTCACACAGATGCAAGGGGTGGGCTTCCAAGGCCTTGGGAAGCTCTACCCCTGTGGCTCTGCTGGATACAGATTCCATGGCTGCTTTCACAACCTGGCATTAAGTGCCTTGGCTTTTCCAGGTGCATAATGCAAGCTGTTGGTAGAGCTACTGTTCTCTGGTCTGGATGACGATGGCCCACTTCTCACAGCTCCAATAGGCAGTGCCCCAGGGGCGACTCAGTGTTTGGGCTCCAACCTCACATTTTCCCTCTGCAGTGCCCTAGTAGAGATTCTTCATGAGAGCTCTGCTCTTGCAGCAGATTTCTGCATGGACACCCAGGCATTTCCGTACACCCTCTGAAATCTAGGCAGAAGGTTCCAAACGTCAATTCTTGCCTTCTGTGCACCCACAGGCCCAATATCATGTGGAACCTACCAAGGCTTGGGAATTACACCATCTGAAGCAATGGCCTGAGCTATACCTTGGCCCCTTTTGGCCATGGCTAGAGCTGAAGTGGCTGGGATTCAAGGCACCAAGTCCCAAGGCTGCACAGAGCAGTGGGGCCCATGAAATCATGTTCCCTCCTTGGCCTTCAGGCCTGTGATTGAAGTGGCTGCCACAGATCTCTGAAATGCCCTGGAAGTATTTTCCCAATTGTCTTGGCTATTAACATTTGGCTTCTCATTACTTATGCACATTTCTGCAGCTAGCTTGAATATCTTCCAAGAAAATAAGTTTCTTTTTTCTACCACATGTTCAGGCTGCAAATTTTCCAAACATTTCTACTCTGCTTCCTTTTTAAATATAAGTTTCAGTTTCAGAATCTCTTTTTTTACACATATGGGAGTGCACTTTCAGAAACAGCCAGGTCACATCTTAGATGCTTTACTACTTAGAAATTTTTTCCACTAGATATCTTAAATCATCTCTCCCAAGTTCAAAGTTGCACATATCTTTAGGGTAGGGGCAAAATGCTGACAGTCTCTTTGTTAAAGCATAGCAAAATAACCTTTACTCCAGTTCCTAATAAGTTTCTCATCTCCATCTGAGACCACCTGAGCCTGGGCTTCACTATCCATATCACTGTGAACATTTTGATCAAAACCATTTAACAAGTTTCTCAGAAGTTCCAAACTTTCCCACATCTTCCTGTCTTCTTCTAAGCTCTCCAAACTGTTTCACCCTTTGCTTGTTAGCAAGTTCCAAGGTCCTTTCCACATTTTTAAGTATCTTTATGGCACTGCCCCACTTCTCTTGTACCAATTTTCTGTATCAGTCCATTTTCACACTGCTATAAATAACTACCTAAGACTGAGTAATTTATAAAGAAAATAGGTTTAATTGACTCCTCATGGCTCAGGAGGCCTCAGGAAACTTACAATTATGGTGGAAGGGGAAGAGGAAGCAAGGCACATCTTACAGTATGGCAGGAGAGATAAAGCAAGCAAAGGGGGAAAATGCTACACTTTTAAGCCATCAGATCTCTTGAAAACTTATTCACTATCACTATCATGAGAACCACATGGGGGAAACTGCTCCCATGATGCAATCACCTCCCAGCAGGTCCCTGATACATGAGGATTACAATTTGAGATGAGGTTTGGGTGGAGACACAGAGCCAAGCCACCATATCACATCCCAGTGATAAATTCCACATTATCAACATGAATGGCCTTTGAATGTATTGTTGAATTCAGTTTTCTAGTATCTTGTTGAAGATTTTTGCATTAATATTAATGAAAGATCTTGCCCTGTAACTTTTATTTATTTATTTATATTAATTTGGCTTTGGTATCAGGGTAATACCAGCCTTTTAGAATGAGTTTGGGAGTGTTCTCTCCTCCTCTAATTTTTGAAATATATTAAGTAGAATTTGTATCATTTTTTGTTAAGTGCTTGGTGAAATTCAGCAGTAAAGCCATTGGGTCCCATGTGGTTATTTGTTTTTTAATTATTATTATTATTAATTTTTTTGAGATGGAGTGTTGCTCTATCACCCAGGCTGGAGTGCAGTGGCATCATCTTGGCTCACTGCAACCTCTGCCTTCTGGGTTCAAACAATTCTCCTGCCTCAGCCTCCCGAGTAGCTGGGACTACAGGCGCATGCCACCATGCCCGGCTAATAATTATTTGGTGTGTGTTTTTTTAGTGAAAGTAATTTTCACTGGTGATATGATTTATTTCTTGCTTTGTATTTTTTGCATATCTGTTGTATGTTTTTTGATTTGAGGTTACCATGGGACTTGAAAATATTATCTAATAACTGACTATTTTAAACCTGATAACAATTTAACATGATAGCATAAATAGATAAGCAAAACATAAACTAATAAACACTCTTTACATTACTTTATCCCCTCACTTTTTAACTTCTAGTTGTTAAGTTTTATGTGTCATTGTACTATGTCCTGAAAAGTTGTTTTAATTATTATTTTGAGTGGTTCATCATTTAGCTGTTCTACTTAAGATTAGCATGGTATACACCCACTATGACAGTGTTATAATAGTCTGTGTTTTTCTGTGTTCATACTAATAGCAGTGAGTCTTATACTTTCAGATGGTTTCTTATTGCTCATTAACATTCTTTTCTTTCAAATTGAAGAAGTTCCTTTAGCATGTCTTGTAGGACAGGTCTGGTGTTGATAAAATCTTTCAGCTTTTGTTTGTCTTGGAATGTCTTTACTTCTCCTTCATGTTTGAAGGATATTTTCACCAAATATACTATTCAAGGGTGAGAGTTTTTTTTTTTTTCTTCAGCAATTTAAATATATCACTCCTTCCTGGCCTGTAAGGTTTCCACTGAAAAGTCTGCTGAGAGATGTACTGGAGCTCCATTGTATGTATGTTATTTGTTCCTTCTCTCTTGCTGCTTTTAGGATCCTTTGTTTTTGACTTTTGGGAGTTTGCATATTGTATTAGTTCATTTTCACACTGCTATGAAGAAATATCTCATACTGGGTAATTTATAAAGGAAAGAGGTTTAATTGACTAACAGTTCCACATGGCTGGGGACGCCTCAGGAAATGTACAATTATGACAAAAGGGAAAGCAAACATGTTTCTCTTCATATGGGTGTCAGGAGAGAGGAGAGGAGAGTGAAAGGGGGGAAATCCCCTTGTAAAACCATCAGCTCTTATGAGAACTCACTCACTAATATGAAAATAGCATGGGGGAATTGCCATGAGCCAGACCATATCATTCTGCCACTGGCCCCTGTCAGATCTCATTTTTCTCACATTTCAAAGCACAATTATGCTTTCCATACAGTTCCCCAAAGTCTTAACTCATTTCAGAATTAACCTAAAAGTCCAAGTCTGTAGTCTCATCTGATACAAGGCAAGTGACTTCCACCAATGAGCCTGTAAAATCAAAAGCCAGTTAGTTACTTCCTAGAGGCAACAGAGGTAAAAGAATTGGGTAAATACAATTCCCAATGTGGAATTCCCATTCCAAATGGGATAAATTGGCCAAAACAAAGGGGCTACAGGTCTCATGCAATTCCAAAATTCAACAAGGCAGTAAATAAATCTTAAAGCTCTGAAATAATCTCCTTTGACTCCATGTCTCACATCTAGGTTACACTGAGGCAAGCAGTGGGCTCCACAGATTTGCACAACTCTGCCACTGTGTCTTTGCAGGGTACAGCCCCCTCCCAGCTGCTTTCATGGGCTGTCCATGATTGTCTGCAGCTTTTCCAGGTGCACAGTAAAAGTTGTTGGTAGATCTACCATCCTGGGGTCTGGAGTACAGTGGCCCTCTTCTCCACTAGGTGGTGTCACAGTGGGGACTCTGCATGGGGGCTCCAACCTCAAATTTCCCTTCTGCACTGCCATAGCAGAGGTTCTCCATTAGGGTTTTGCACTTGCAGCACACATCTGCCTGGACATCCAGGCATTTCCATACATTCTCTGAAATCCAGCCGAGGTTCCCAAACGTTAATTCTTGTCTTCTGCAGACCTGCAGGACCAACACCATGTGGGAGCTGCCAAGGCTTGGGACTTGCACCCTCCAAACCAATGGCCTGGCCTGTACCTTGGTTTCTTTTAGCCCCAGCTGGAGATGCTGGGATGCAGGGCAACAAGACCTCAGGCTGCATACAACAGCCTGGCACTGTATCTGGCCCATAAAACCATTTTTCTCTCCTAGGCCTTTGGGCCTTAGAGGGGCTGCTCTGAAGTTTTCTGACATGCCCTGGAGATATTTTTCCCATTGTCTTGGCAATTTGAACATTTGGTATCTTATCACTTATACAAATGTCTGCAGCGGACTTGAATTTCTCCCCCCAAAATAGGTTTTTCTTTTCTACCACATCATCAGGCTGCACATTTTCCAAACTTTTATGCTCTGCTTCTTTTTTAAACATAAATTTAAATTTCAGATCATCTCTCTCAAGTTCAAAGTTCCACAGATCTCGAGGGCAGGGGCAAAAGCTGCCAGTCTCGTTGCTAAAGCATAGCAAGAGTGACCTTTACTACAGCTCCCAGCAAGTTTCTAATCTTCGTTTGAGACCACCTTATCCTGGACTTCATTGTCCCTACTACTATCTGCATTTTGTCCAAAGACATTCAGCAACTCTTTAGGAAGTTTCAACTTTCCCACATCTTCCTGTTTTTTGAACCCTCCAAGTCTCCAGGAAGTTCCAAACTTCCCCACATTTTTCTTTCTTCTTCTGAGCCCTCCAAACTATTTCAACCTCTGCCTGTTACTCAATTCCAAAGTTGCTTTCACATTTTCAGGTATTCCTTATAGAAGTGCCCCACTCCCAGTACCAATTTACTGTATTATTTCATTTTCACACTGCTATGAAAAAATAGCTGATACTGGGTAATTTAGAAGAGAAAAAAGAGGTTAATTGACTCACATATTGCATGGCTGGGGAGGCCTCAGGAAACTTACAATCATGGTGGAGGGGAAGCAAACACATCCTTCTTCACATGGCGGCAGGAGAGACAAGTGCAGAATAAAGTGGGGAAAACCCTGTTATAAAATTCTCAGGTCTCATGAGAACTCACTATCATGAAAACAGCATGGGAGAACTGTCCTCATGATCTAATCACCTCCCACGAGGCAACTCCCCCAACACCTGAAGATTACAATTTAAGATGTGGTTTGGTTGTGGGGACAGAGTCAGACTATATCAATTATTAAATGACTTTAGGTAGTTTTCTTTTAGTTAAATCTGCTCATTGTTCTATAACCTCTTTGAACTTGGGTATTGATATTTTCCTCTAGGTTTGAAAAATTCTCTGATATTATTTCTTTTTATAAGCTTTCTTCTGCTATCTCTTTCTTTACATCCTCTTTAAGGCCAATAATGCTTAGATTTATTCTTTTGAGGCTGTTTTCTAGATCTGGTATGCATGCCTCATTCTTTTTTAATTTTTAATTTTTAATTTTTGTCTTTTCTGTGTATTTTCAAATACACTTTCTTCAAGCTCACTAATTATTTCCTTTGCTAGATCAGTTCTGCTATTAAGAGACTCTGCTGCATTCCTCAGCATATCAGTTTTATTTCTCAATGCTAGAATATTTGCTTGATTCTTTTTAATTATTTTAATCCGTTTGCTACATTTATCTGATAGAATGCTGAATTCCTTCTCTGTATTTTCTTAAATTTTGTTGAGTTTCCTCCATACAGCTATTTTGAGCTCTTTGTCTGAAGAGTAACATATCTCTCTTTCTACGTAATTGACTCCTGGTTTCATATTTAGTTCGTTTGGTGAGGTCAGGTTTTTCTATCTGCTCTTGATGCTTGTATGTGTTCATCAGTGTCTGGGTATTGAAGAGTTCAAAATTCACTGTAGTGTTTGTAATCTGGATTTTGCAATCTGTGCCTGTCTTTCTTGGGTAGGCTTTCCAGGTATTTGAAGAAACTTGGAAACCAAGCACAGTGATGCTGTGTTTCTTGCAGATTCCTAGAGGTACCACCTTGATGTTCTTGGATAAGATAAAAAAAATTGAATTATTTGGCAGAAACTCTTGTTCGTTTTCTTTATTTCTTTTCCAAACAAAGTCTCTCTCTTTGTGCTGAGCTGCCTGGAGCTGAGGGTGATGTGATGAAAGCAGTCCCGTGGCCACCACCACTGGAATTGAATTGGGCCAAACCTGAAGACAGCACATCACTGAGTCTCACCCAAGGTCCACTGTAACCACCACCTGGCTACCACCTATGTTTGCTCAAGGCCCTAGGGCTCTACAATCATTAGTTGGCAAAGGCTGCCAGGTTGTGTTTTTCCCTTCAGGGTACTAAGTTTATTCTGGCCCCAAGCAGGTCCAGAGATGCTGCCTGTAAGCAAGGGACTGAAATAAAACATCTTAGTATTCTATTCCACTGCAGCTGTGCTGGCACTCAAACACAAGACGAAGCCTTGCCTGCTCCTTTTCTCCCCTTTCCACAGGTAGAAGAGCCTCTCCTATGGACCTCACCAACATTGTCCCAGAGAAAGTTCTGCCCCACCACTGCCAATGTTCAATTATGGTCCAAGGGCTCTTCAATCAGCTTGTGTTGAACACTGCTAAGCCTGAGACTCACTTTTCAGGGCAATGGTCTCCCCTCTGGCCCCGGGCAGGCCCATAAATGCCATCCAAGAGCCTAATCCTGAACTCAGGGACTCTAAGAGCCCACTTGGTGCTCTATCACATTGTGGGTGAGCTGGTACCTGACACCAACACGTCTCAGAGTTTCACCCAAAGCCCATGGTGTACTACCTAGATATTGCTATTGGTAATTCAGAGTCCAAGGGCTTTTCAGTTAGCAGGTAATGCAAGTTGCCAGGACTGGGTCCTTCTTTTTATGGTCCTTCTTTTTATGGCAGTCGGTTCTGTTTTGCCCTAGGGTGTGTCTAAAAATGTCATTTGGGAGTTAGGGCCTGGAATGGGAGCATCAAGGCTCTTACAGTTGTCTTACCTTACTGTGGCTCAACTGAACTGGTAGATGCAAAGCAAAGTTATCTTTACTAATTTCTCTCCATTCTTGAAGCAGAAATAGAGTCATTTTCATTACTGTTAACTGCATTGTCTGAGGTTGGAGGAGTGGTGGCTCAAGCACTCACCCAGTGGTTCTGTCTTGTGTCTCACTAGGTCACACGCCACCTCAGTCCAGCAGTTCTAAGCCCAGAATAGCATCAGGAGTTTTTTAAGAATTGCAGTTCTCTTGTCCTAGACAGCCTTTCAAGTTCACCACACAGGCTGGAGAACAGTGGCATAATCTCAGCTCACTGCAACCTCCACCTCTGAGGCTCAAACCATCCTCCCATCTCAGCCTCCTGAGTAATTCAAACTGCATGCCTGCACCACCATGCTTAGCTTTTTTTTTTTGTTTTTTTTTGTTTTTTTTTTTGCATTTTTGGTAGAGATGGGGTTTCACCATGTTGTCCAGGCTGGTCTCAAACTCCTGAGCTCAAGTGATCTTCCCACCTCGGCCTCTGAAAGTGCTGGGATTATGGGCATGATCCACCACACCCCACAGCAATAGATAGATTTTAAATGCATGCCTCTCTTTCTCCCTCCTCCCTCTAGTAGTCTGCAGTGTTTATTGTTGTCATCTTTATTTTTATGTGTACTCAATGTTTACCTTCCACCCATAAATGAGAACATGCACTATTTGGTCTTCTCTTTCTGTGTTAATTATCTTAAGATAATGGCCGCTGGGTGCATCCATTTTGCTACAAAGGACATAATTTCATTTTGTTATGGTTGTGTAGTCTTCCATGGTGTATATATGCAATATTTTCTTTACATAATCCATCATTGATGGAAACATAGGTTGATTTTATGTCTTTGCTGTTGTGCATAGCTCTGCAGTAAAAATACTAGTGCATGTGTCTCTTTATTAGAATAATTTATATCCGTTTGGATAAATACCCAGTAATGAGATTACTGGGTCAAATAGTAGCTGTGTTTTATGTCATCTGAGAAAACTTCAAACTCCTTTTCACAGTTGTTGAACTAATTTACATTCCTAACAATAGTGCATAAGCATTATCTTTTTTCTGCAGCCTCAGCAGCATCTGTTACTTTTTGATTTTTTAATAATAGTCATTCTGACTGGCACGAGTTGTGATATGGTTTGGATTTGTGTCTCTGTCCAAATGTCATGTCAAATTGTAATCCCCCATGTGGAGGTGGAGCCTGGTGGGTGGTGATGGGATCATGGGGGCAAATTTTCCCTTTACTATTCTTGTGATAGTGAGTAAGTTCTCATGAGATCTGGTTGTCAAAAAATGTGTAGCATTTCCCTCTTTTCTCTCCTCCTGCTCTGGTCATGTCAGATGTGCTTCCCTTCACCTTCTGCTATGATTGAAAATTTTCGGAGTTCTCCCTAGCCATGTTTCCTACATAGCCTGCAGAACTGTGTGAGAATTAAATTTCTTTTCTTTATCAATTACCCAGTTTTAGGTATTCTTTTATAGTAGTGCATGGACAGACTAATACAAGGTCGTATCTTATTGTAGCTTTGATTTTCATTTTTCTGATTATTAGAAATAAAGAGCATTTTTTATGTTAATTGGCCGTTTGTATGTCTTCTTTTGAGAATTGTCTAGTCCATGTACTTTCTCCATTTTAATGACCTTATTTAATTTTTGTTTGTTGATTTCCTAAGTTTCTTATAGATTCTGGATATTAAATCTTTGTCCAATGAGGAGTTTGCAAACATTTTCTTCCATTGTGTAGGTTGTTTGTTTACTTTGTTGATAGTTTCTTTTGTTGTGTGAAAGCTTTTCAGTTTATTAGGTCCCAATTGTTAGTTTTTGTTTCTGTTACAGTTGCTTTTGGGGACTTGGCCAACTATTTATTACCAAGGCTGATGTCAAAAAGGTATTTTCTGGCTTGTCTTCTAGGATTTTTAGTGTTTGAGGTGTTTTAAATTATTTAATCCTTCTTGAGTTAATTTGTATATATAATGAAGTGTAGGGTTCCAGTTTATTCTTCTGTCTATGTGAGAAAAATAGCCAGTTATCACAGCACCATTTATTAAATAAAAAGTCATCTCCCCCTTGTTTTTTTTTCTTTTTTTTTTTTTTTTTTTTTTTTGATGATTTTGTTGATGATCCAATGGTTGTAGGTGTGAGGCTTTATTTCTGGGTTTTCTATTGTGTTTCAATGGTGTATTGGTCTGATTTTGTACTAATACCATGCTGTTTTGGTTACTGTAGTATATTATACTTTGAAGTCAAGTAGTGTGATGCCTCTGGCTTCCTTCTTTTTCCATAGGATGGCTTTGACTATTCAGTCTCTTTTGGTTACATATGAACTTTAGAGGAGTTTTTTTATAATTCTATAAAAAATGACATTTGTAGTCTGATAGGAATAGCATTTATTCTATAGATTGCTTTAAGGAGTATGGCAATTTTAACAATACTGATTCTTCCAATCCATGAGCATGAAATGCCTTTCCACTTATTTTTGTCATCTCTAATATATTTCAGCAGTGTTTTGTAGTTCTCTTTGTAGAGATATTTTATTTGATTGGCTAGCTGTATTCCCAGGTATTTCATTTATTGAATTCAAAATGTTTAATTTTATTCACTATTCTTTATTTTACTCTCAGATTGAATGTTATTGATGTACAGAAATACTACTAATTTTTCTACAATAATTTTATATTTTGAAACTTTACTGAGGTTGCTTATAAGTTCTAGGATCCTTCTGGCAGAATCTTCAGGATTTTCTAGGTATAGAATTATATTATAAACAGAAAGAGATAGCTTGACTTTTTTCCCTATTTGAATTCTCTTTTAAAAAAAATGTTTAGGCTGGTTTCTCTGTCTAGAAATTCTAGCGCTAAGTTTAATAGGCATGGTGAGAGTGGACAACCTTATTATTTTCCAGTTCTCAAGGAGGGTGGTTTCAGCATTGTCACATTCAGAGTAATGTTGGCTGTGTGTTTGTCATACATGGCTCTGATTATTTTGGGGTTTGTTACTTTGATGGGTAGTCTGTTGAGAGTTTTTACCATGAAGGATGTTTTATCTAAAGCTTTTTTTCATTTTTTTTTTTTTGTTTTTTTTCATCTACTGAGATGATCATATTGTTTTTGCTTTTAATTGTTTATTTGGTAAGTCATATTTGTTTATTTGCATATGTTGAACCAGGCTTGCAATCCAGGAATAAAGCCTACTTTTTTATGTGCTTCTGAATCAGTTTGGTAGTGTTTTGTTGATAATATTTGAATCTACATTCATCCAGAAATTGGCCTAAAGTTTTCTTTGTTCACCGTGTCTCTGCCATATTTTGGATTAGGCTTATGCTGGCTTTATAGAATGAGTTAAGGAGGATTCTCTTTATAATTTTTTGAATAGCTTTATTAGAATTAATACCAGTTATTTGTACACCTGGTAGCATTAATCTATGAATCCATCTAGTCCAGTGCTCTTTTTGGTTGGTAGGTTTTTATTACTAATTCAGTCTTGGAACTTGTTATTTGTATTTTCAGGTTTTCACTTTTGTCCTGGTTCAATTTTTAGAGATTGTGTGTTTCCAGGGATTTACCCATTTCTTCTAGGTTTTCTAATTGGTACGCATACAGTGGTTCATAATAGTCTCTCAGGATCTTTTGTGTTTCTGTGAAATCAGTTGTAATGTCATCTTTGTTGTTTCTAATTGTAGTTTTTGAATATTCTCTTTACTTTTTTGCTAATATAGCTTGTGGTCTATGCTTTTTGTTTTTATTTTATTTTATTTTTTTTGAGTAACCAACTCTTTGTTTCATTGATGTTTTCTATGAATTATTCCATCTCAATTTCACTCAGGTCCCTTCTAATTTAGTTATTTCTATGAACCTAAAAGTCTCTAAGACAGGTCTCAATCAATTTAGAATGTTTATTTTGCCAAGGTTAAGGATGCACCTGTGACACAGACTCAGGATGTCTGGACAACATATGCCCTAAGCAGTTGAGGTATAGCTTGCTTTTATACATTTTAGGGGGACATAATACATCAATCAATACATGTAAGATTTACACTGATTCTATCTGAAAGGGCAGAACAACTCGAAGTGGGAGCTTTCAGGTCATAGGTAGGTTAAAAAATTTTCTGAAAATTGGTTGAAATAGTTATTAGCAATAGAAAGGAATGACAAGGTTATGATAAGTGATTGTAGAGAACAATGTTTTATCACGCAGATGAAGCCTCCAAGTAGCAAGCTTCAGAGAGGACAGATTGTAAATATTTCTTATCAGACTTAAGGTCTGTGTTGATGTTAATGCTGGTCAACTTTCCCTGAATTCCAAAAGGGAGGGTACAATAAGGCATGTCCGACCACCTCTTTCATCATGACCTTAACTAGTTTTTTGTGTTAACTCTGGAATGCCCTTAGCCAACAAGAAGTGTTTATTTAGATGGTTGAAGGGCCTTAGACTTTTATTTTTAGTTTACATTCTACCCCTTCTGCCCAAGATTTGCCAGGGGCAATATCAGTGGCCAGCAAATTTTTATTTGGTTTCATAGCATTGTTAGGCTGGCATGGCTGTCTGCCCCAAGTTTATCCTGTCTCTCGCTGGGACACTTTTTGGTCAAGAGACTTAGAGCCCAAAAACTCTAATTAAATATTCTACACCAAATAGAAGTAAATGTGAACAGGTATTTATTACCTTTTTTTTTTTTTTTTTTTTTTTTTGTAAAAAGCCAAAAAATAAAAAGCCAAAGGCAAGGTCACAAAACTGACTTATTTTTAACTTCTATGCATTGAGCTACTCTAATCTTGATTTTAGTTACAGACGTATAGCAATTAGCATTACAAAACATAAGCATTGTTCTGAATTAAAAAATATATATATATCTATCTGCACAACCCATAACTGAGAGTATTATGCCCAGGAGGATTTGCCACAAGGTACCTTTATCCTCTCAGTTATTATTTTCTTTTAACTTTACAGGAAGCAAGAAATTCTTTATGGTTGAGATAAATAAAAAGATGCCATATAATACCTCAGAAAGCAGTCTCTTGTTTTATCAGGAGATATTTTCATGATAGTGAATAAAGTGTACCCATCCTTGATTTGGAGGGTCTGAGCTGATTTTTTCCTTCAAAATTGGCCCTTGCAATCTCATGCACCCACCTCTATTGTGGCAGTCCCTGGGCTTAGAGGGAGGGTGCTTGTATGGTCTTAGCAGTAGGGCATTTATAGTGAAAAACAGATTGGGCCTAGTGGGATGCCAAATGAGGGAGATTTGCATTTCTATTCTTTAGAATACTATGATTCTAGTTTCCTTAGAAGTAAAACAAAGAGAGATAAATAACATTAATATTTTGAAAATCAAAAGAGTATTTGTGGATCAGAAGAGAAAAAGGAACATATTCCATTAGGGCACAAACTAAAAATATAGAGAAAAATGATAATCTTATACTCATTAGTGGATTATTGCAGCCAAAAAATGATTTACAATTCAATATGCTCTCAAAAAATAAAAATAAGGGCTAAAGTCTAGTAATAAGTTGATATGGTTTGGCTGTGTCCCCACCCAAATCTGAACTTGAGTTGTATGTCCCAGAATTCCCATGTGTTGTGGGAGGGACCCAGGGGGAGGTAATTGAATCATGGAGAGCATTCTTTTCCATTCTATTTTCATCATAGTGAATAAGTCTCATGATATTTGATGGGTTTATCAGGGGTTTCCACTTTTGCTTCTTCCTCATCCTCTCTTGCCACCACCATGTAAGAAGTGCTTTTGACCCCCTGCCATGATTCTGAGGCCTCCCCAGCCATGTGGAATTGTAAGTCCAATTAAATCTATTTTTTCTTCCCAGTCTCGGGTATGTCTTTATCAGCAGCGTGAATATAGACTAATACACTAAATTGGCACCAGTAGAGTGGGATGTTGCTGAAAAGATATCCAAAAATGTAAAAGGGACTTGGAACTGGGTAACAGGCAGATATTGGAGCAGTTTGGGGGGCTCAGGACAGGAAAATGTGAGAAAGTTTGAAACTTCCTAGCGACTTGTTGAATGTCTTTGCCCAAAATGCTGATAGCGATATGGACAATAAGATTCAGTCTGAGGAGGTCTCTGATGGAGATGAGAAACTTGATGGGAACTGAAGCAGATGTGACTCTTGTTATGTTTTGGCAAAGAGACTGGTGGCATTTTGCCCCTGCCCTAGTGATTTGTGGAACTTTGAACTTGAGAGAGATATTTTAGGGTGTGTGTGCCAAATAAGTTTTTGTCTTATTATACTTGGCAAATATGTGAATATTATATTCACATAAAGTGCAACAACAATTGATTGGCTATATAGGCTTTTCTTAAGTTAGTTTTGCTGGAATTTTACCTAAAAATATGTTATTCTACTCAAAGCTTTGATAAAATAACCAGTGCCTGCAACTGCTCTGTTTTAAAAGAAAAGACTCTCACTAAATTTATGCAAGTAACTATATTGTCATAAAATCAG
Source organism: Homo sapiens (assembly GCF_000001405.40). Classification (NCBI taxonomy): domain Eukaryota; kingdom Metazoa; phylum Chordata; class Mammalia; order Primates; family Hominidae; genus Homo; species Homo sapiens. Next base: position 94,686,096 of record NC_000023.11, read on the forward strand.
AATACTCATGAACAGTTTCTGAACTTTGGAGAACTCAAAGAGAAAAGTGAATTTGCTCACAAAAACATATTTCACTAGATTTCCCTGACTCTTCTTTAATCAGAGGAGCAGCTTTCAAACAGGATGTTGCTTGTTCACGTTGAAACTGCTTCCCTCAAGCCAAACAGCTGTTGTGAGATGAGAGCAGTCTATCAGGCATTGTGGAATCTAGCAGTTCCTCAAATAGTTAGAATCCCTCCTAGGGAAAAGAAAGACTCTCTGCTTATGCATATTCTTCTCCTTATATGGTCCAGGTAGCAAGATTCTATATAAAAATGATTTGAGTCCTGAACGTAGGATTGGGACAAGAGACTCAGGCTGTTTTGTCAGTCTTTTTAATTTGCCTCATCATTGTCCAGGCAATGTCAGCTTTCTCATTATAACCTTTGCATTTTGATTTTTCTTAAATGTTCCAATCTGGGGCAAATAGTGTTTGAAAGATCTTTGTTTTAACTCCTCAATTTTCATTTTACTTATTTTATTTCTTAATAACCATCCAAAATTTTCTATTACACTTCTGTGGCAAAACGTTTGACTCCCTTTTTCTATTCCCATTTATTTTGTTAATTATCTCCAATATTTTATTAAGCAACTGTAAAACCCACGAGGGACAGCAAATTTGATAAGGCTTCTCAAACAGTCATATGAATCTGTGCGAGTAATGTCATCCAGGGCACTCATGTAAAAGGAGCCCCTTAACAAAAATTTACCATGAACTGGGTAACAGGCATATTCAGTGGGAGAATATCCTGGTCATTATAAATCCAGTCCCAACTGGCTTGCATATGTAGCATAGCAACTGTTTCATGTGGGGTCCTCCACTTGGTATTTCTTAGGGAGAGTAGGAAAGTCCCATTCTCAGGGTAAATAGACCTTACAGTAGCATTTATCTGATTCACTAGACTGGTTGTTCTCTCAGGAATAATCTGTGCATTTGGATCACATATATTTATCAACAATTGTTTAATAGTAATCTGCTGGTCCTGCATTAAACCAAACAAGCTCTTTTATTCTGTAGCATTTTAAATGAAGGATTCTGTCCTTAAAGTAGTTATTTCTACAATCTATTATAGTAAATGTTTCACAGGAAGCTGATGATACCAATCTAGAAAATGAAACAATTTCTTTACATTATACCTTCTGATTTTAATAGTTACTTAGTTTTGCTCTTCCCCACATTGACTATTTTCTTGGTAACCACAGATATCAGAGGTAACATTTTGCCCTGGCTTAATTTTTCTCTTTATCCATTTAGTTTAATTTGTATAACTTTTTCTTCATTTTAAAGTGACTCTTAACTAGTCTTTTAAAGCATATCAACTGGTTAATCTGGGGTGCTCTACTTGGTATTTTATAGGGAGAGTTGGGCAGTCCAATTCTCAGGGTAAACAGACATTACAAGGGCAAGTCTCTGCTTTACTAGGGCAGTTGTTCTCTCAGGAATAACCTCCTGAGTGTTTGGATGACATATATTTGCATCACAAAAAAATACATTTTTTTTTTTGGCAAAAACCACATCCTTGTGTTTTTATTAACCAAAAACACCTTTTACACTCCTACTATTTTATCTCCTAGCAGTCCTAATTCCCAGAAAGAAAAGTTACTTAATTTAACATAACATTACTATAAGCTTTTAAACTACTAAACTGAATTTTGAGATTAAATTTACCTAATTAATTTTACCAAGATCATGTGAATTGAAAGGAATCTGAGATAACTTCTATCTGCTTAGTAAGCCCTTACTTTTCTTTAACACAATTTTGCTTAGAGTTCTTTCATATAGTTTAGAAGTAAACCATCACTTCCACATGACAAATATAAATATATACATATAACAGATGGGCAGACAAAAGCAGATCCAAAAGATTATGTATTTTGCCTGTTTTCAAAATTTATCCCCCTCATTTTAGAATATTAGTTAAAAAATTACAGAAGCCACCAAGAGTTGAATGAAAAAGTTACCATCCTAGACGTTCTCAAAAGAGAGAATTGGCAGAAGCATCAGGGTACAGCTTCTGAGATATCAATCTGAATAATTTCAAAAAGAAACATATTATAGAATTTTAAAATTAAAAACCCTCTTGCATTAAAAGTAACTCCATATTTTTGATAAAAACTTGCTCTAACCCAATGTTTAGTTGGTATAAGGGTATTTTTAATGTCAAAGTCCAATTTTTAGAAAAACTATTTATTATAATTTTCTTTAATTATTGTCAATTACATAACATTTTTATAATTTTTTTTTACTAATTTTATTATAAATCAGATTATTCATAGCATGCTTGGACTTTCAGGTTTTTTCTAAATGTTCTCTTTCTTAAGAAACTAATTTTATTTTAAGCCAAAAATTCACCATACAATTACTTTTAATATAAAATTACTTTTTTAAACTTTCTAACTAAAAATAACTCTTGATTTTATAACTTTCTTTACCTGTATTTTATTTTCTTGTTCTTTTTACCTTGTTTTACACATAACCTTTAAATGAGTTTTAATTACACAAAAACAATTTACTTTTTAGTAAGAACACATTTTTTAGAATTTTCCTGTAATTTTTTTAAATTGTAAAATATTTAGAAATGTAATGAAATATTTATTATTCATCTATTATAACTTTAAATTCTTAATTATGAAAACTTGGTTTGCAAGTATTCATTCCATTACAGTTACCTAATTATTTTATTTGATAGTTTACCTAGATTATTTATAAAAAATGTGATAGTCGTCATTTAAAATTATTTACCTGTCAACCATTTTTAAGTCCTGCAAATTTCAGGTTTTTACATAAGAATCTTAAGATTAAAGATATGGTTACTTTACCAATAATTCAAACTTTAGCTCTTTCCATTAAACCAACAATATTAATGTTTTATTTATCAAAAAATTATACAAGCAAAAGTCATTCTGTTTTTGGCTGGGTTTATAGTTTTTAACCCTTATGGCAAATTTTGACACCTTATAGTATTTGGCAGGGATAAGTATAAAATCACTTGATCAATAATGCAAACAGAAATGTAGGCTGACAATTCTTGAAACATCTCTAATATTACTTTACCAATGATTTTAAAGCCAACTAATTTATTAGAGTTTACTTAAGTCACATGAACTTGAAAAGCAGTTTGGCTTTTTATTTAATTTATGAGTACTCTTTAAGTCAACTTGGTACCTTGTAGTCAAAAACACATAACAAAATAGGCATACGTGATACAGTTTGGCCGTGTCCCCACCCAAATTTCCCTGCACAAACTCTCCCTTTTTGCCTGGTGCCATCCACATAAGATGTGACTTGCTCCTCCTTGTCTTCCACCATAATTGTGAGGCCTCCCCAGCCATGTGAAACTGTAAGTCCACTAAATCTCTTTCTTTTGTAAATTGCCCAGTCTCAATATGGCTTTATCAGCAGTGTGAAAATGCACTAATACAGTAAGTTGGTACCAGTAGAGGGTGAGCTGCTGAAAAGATACCTTCAAATGTCAAAGAAACTTTGGAACTGGGTAACAGGCAGAAGTTAGAACAGCTTGTGGGGCTCAGAAGACAATAAAAGTTTGGAACTTCCTAGAGACTTGTTGAATGGCTTTGGCCAAAATGCTGTTAGTGATACGGATATTAAAGTCCAGGCTGAGGTGGTCTCAGGTGGAAATAAGAAACTTGTTGGGAACTGGAGCAAAGGTGACTCTTGTTATGTTTTAGCAAAGAGAGTGGTGGCATTTTGACCCTGCCCTAAAGATTTGTGGAACTTCAGACTTGAGAGAGATGATTTAGGGTATCTGGTAGAAGAAATGCCTAAGCAGTAAAGGATTCAAGATGTGACTTGGGTGCTGTTAAAGGCATTCAGTTTTATAAGGGAAGCAGAGCATAAAAGTTGAGAAAATTTGCAGCCTGACAATACAATAGAAAAGAAAATCCCATTTTCTGAGGAGAAATTCAAGCCAGCTGCAGAAATTTGCATAAGTAATGAGGAGGCAAATGTTAATCCCCAAGACAACGGGAAAAATGCCTCCAGGGCATGTCAGAGGTATTCATGGAGACCCTTCCATCACAGGCCTGGAGGCCTAGTAGGAGACAGTGGTTTTGTTGCCTGAACCCAGGATCCCCGTGCTGTGTGCAGTCCATGGACTTGCTGTCCTATGTCTCAGCCACTCCAGCAATGGCTAAAAGGGGCCAAACTAGAGTTCAGGCCATGGCTTCAGAGGGTGCAAGCACCAAGCCTTGGCAGCTTCCATGTGGCGTTGAGCCTGTGAGTGTACACAAGTCAAGAAGTGGGGTTTGGGGACCTCCACATGGATTTCAGAAGATGTATGGAAATGCCAGGATGTCCAGGCAGAAGTTTGCTGCAGGGTCAGGGACCTCATAGAGAATCTCTGCTAGGGCAGTGCAGAATAGAAATGGGTTGGAGCCCCCACACAGTGTCCCTATTGGGGCACCACCTAGTGGATCTGTGAGAAGAGAGTCACCATCCTCCAGTCCTCCAGATCCCAGAATGTTAGATCAACTGATGGCTTGCACTGTGTGCCTGAAAAAGCCACAGACACTCAATGACAGCCTGTGAAGGCAGCCAGAAGGGAGACTGCACCTTGCAAAGCCACATAGGCAGAGCTGCCCAAGACCATGGAGACCCACCTTTTGTGCCTGTGTGGCCTGGATATGAGACCTGGAGTCAAAGGAGATCATTTTGGAGCCTTAAAATTTAACTGACCTGCTGGATTTCAGACTGGCATGGGGCCTGTAGCCTTTTTGTTTTGGCCAATTTCTTTAATATGGAATGGGTGTATTTACCCAATACCTGTACCCCCTTTGTAGCTAGGAAGTAGCTAACTTGCTTTTGATTTTACAGACTCATAGGCAGAAGTGATTTGCCTTGTCTCAGATGCAACATTGGACTATGGGCTTTTGAGCTAATACTGAAATGAGTTGAGACTTTGGGGGACTGTTGGGGAAACATGACTGGTTTTGACATGTGAGGAAATGAGATTTGGGAGGGGCAAGGGGCAGAATAATATGGTTTGGCTGTGTCCCCACCCAAGTCTCATCTCAAATTCCCATGTGTTGTTAAAGGAATCTGGTGGGAAGTAATTGAATCATGAAGTCTTTTCTGTGCTGTTCTCATGATAGTGAATAAATCTCACAAGATCTGATGGTTTTATAAGTGGGAGTTTCCCTGCACAAGCTCTCTCTCTTTGCCTGCCATCATCCATGTAAGATGTGACTTGTTCCTCCTTGCTTTCCACCATGATTGTTAGGCCTCCCCAGCCATGTTCTACATGTGTCTATTAAACCTCTTTATTTTGTAAATTACTCAGTCTCCGGTATGTCTTTATCAGCAGTGTGAAAATGGACTAATACAATACATACACATAAATACACACATACACAGTTATACAAACAAAAATCTTATAGCTTTTACTTCAGAACTCTAGCCATAAAGTATTAATACAAACTCACTGGTTTGCAGAAGCAAATAATGAAAAGAAACATTTGGATGTAAACAGTGGATTTTATCTAATAGAAAATTAACAGGAGACGTAAAAAGCAGGAAGAAAAGAAAACAGAGAGATTGACAGAGAACTTAGAAACTTTATAGTTGCAGGTCAACTTTTAGGCTCTGAATTTTCCTTGATGTGATTTCCCTGTTAGTTTAAAATGTGCACAAGAACAGACGTAATGTTTAACTAAACTGGAATATTAGAAGATGTGACATGTTCTTTCATTTACACAACCACTTGCAAGGAGAGGCACCGTAAAACAAAATAGGTGTGTGAAGGGGTCATTCTTAGATAATCTGTTTCCTATATGTCTTGAAAAGAAGGTGTGCAACAAAATAAACTTTATATCTCAACCAAATTTTGGGAGATCAGGGATTCTCTGGAGTAGTGAGGGGGAGCACCCAGGTGTCTGCAAATTGTCCTATTGGTTTGAGCCAAAAAAGTAGCTAAACCTAATACGAAGCACCGATAGGAGATTTGTCTAAAGTCAGGGGCACCTCCACTCAGAATCCCTTCATGGTTTCCAATTTGTGAACCTAAAATATCTGAGAAAGGTCAGGCATGATGGCTCACATCTGTAATCCCAGCACTTTGGAAGGTCAAGCAGGTAAATTGCTTGAGCTTAGGAGTTTGAGACCAGCCTGGGCAACATACTGAGACCCCATCTCTACAAAAAAATGCAAAAATTAGCCAGGCATGGTGGCATGTGCCTATAGTCCCAGCTACTTGGGAGGCTGAGGCAGAAGGATCACTTGAGCCTGAAGGCAGATGTTGCAGTGAGCCGTGATCACGCCACTGCCCTCAAGACTGGGTGATCGATCAAGAGATCAAGACTCCCTCTAAATATATATATATAAAATATTTGAGGTTGTTCTTAATTTAGAAAGTTTATTTTACCAAGGTTAAAGACATGCCTGTGAAACAGCCTCAGGAGGTCCTGATGACATGTGCCCAATGGGGTCAGGGTACAGCTAGCTTTTTGTACATTTTAGGGAGACATAATGCATCAATCAATGCATATAAGATTTACATTGGCTTGATCTGGAAGTGTGGAACAATTCAAAGTGGGGGCTTCCAGGTCATAAACAGATTTAAAACTTTTCTGATTGGCAATTGGTTGAAAGAGTTATATCAATAGAAAAGAATGTCTAGGTTAAAATGAGGGTTTTTGGAGATAGTTTTATGATGCAGACGAAGCCACCAAATAGCAAGTTTCAGAGACAATAGATTATAAATGCTTCTTATCAGACTAAGGTCTGTGTTGATGTTAATGCTGATCAGCTTTTCCTGAGTTCCAAAAGGCAGTAGGGAATAATGAGGCATGTCCAACTCCGTCTCTTCCATCATGGCCTGAACTTGATTTTTAGGTTGACTCTGGAATGCCCTTGGATAAGAGGAGGGGTCCATTCAGATGGTAGATATGCCTTAGAATTTTATTTGTGGTTTACATTTATTTTCTTCTGCTAGCTTTGGGGTTTGTTATTTCTTTTTTCTCAATGCCTGTATGCTCAATGTTAAATTGCTAATTTGAGATTTTTCTAACTTCCTGATTAAGCCATTCAGTGCTATAAACTTTCCTGTTAATATTGCTTTAGCTGCAACCCACAAATTTTGGTAAGTTTTTCCACTATTTTCATTAATTTTAATTTTTTTCTTCATGCCTTAATTTCATCGTTCATTTAGCAGTTTATTCAGGAGAAAGTTGTTTAAATTTTATGTATTTGTGTAGTTTTGAGATATCTTGATTTTTTTTCTATTTTTATTACATTGTAGTCCAAGATTGTGCTTAGTATAATTTACATTTTTTTAGTTTACTGAAACTTGCTTTATGATCAAGCCTACGTTAAATCTTACTATAAGTTCCATGTGCTAATGAGAAGAATATTTTTCTGTGGTTGTTGGATGGAATATTCTAGATGTCTATTATGTATAAATGGTCAAGGATCGAGATTAAATCTAGAATATCTTTGTTAGTTTTCTGTCTCAAGCTCTGTCTAATACTGTCAGTAGGGTGTTGAAATTTCCCACTACTATAGTGCATCTGTCTAAATATTCTTACAGGTTAAAAAGAACTTTTTTTAAAATGAATCTGTGTGCTCCAATATTGGGTGAATATACATTTAGAATAGTTAACTCTTCTTGATGAATTGAACCCTTTACCATTATGTAATTTCCCTTTTCCTCCTTTTTTAATTATTTTGTGTTCAAAGCCTATTTTTTTCTGATATAAGAATAGCAACTCTTGCTCTTGTTTTTCATTTGCATGATAGATTTTTCTCCATCTGTTTTACTTTGAGACTGTGGATGTCATTACATGTGAGATGGGCCTTTTGAAGGCAGTAAAGGGTTGAGGCTTGTCATTTTATTCAACTTGCCACTCTGTGTCTTTTATGTGGGACATTTAGATGATCTACAATCAAAGTTAGCATTGACATGTAAAATTTTTATCCTGTCTTTGTGTTGTTAGCTGGTTGTTTTGTAGACTTAATTGTGTAGTTGTTTATAGTGTCTTTAGATTATGTGCTGAAGTGTGTTTCTGTGGTAGCAGATGTTATTTTGTTTCCATGTTTAGCACTCCCTTAAGGACCTCTTGTAAGGCTGGTCTAATTTCCTTAGCATTTGCATCCCTGAAAAGGATTTTAGGTCTCTTTCACTCATGAAGCTTTATTTTTCAGGATACGAAATTCTTGGTTGGAATTTCTGTTTTTAGGGATGCTGAAAATAGGCCCTTAATTTCTTCTGGCCTGTAAGATTTCTTCTGAGATATCCACTGCTAGCCTGATGGGGTTGTCTTTTTATGTGACCTGATCCTTCTATGTAGCTGCCTTTAAGAGTTTTTCTCTCACTTTGACCTTTATCAGTCTGATGACTATATGCCTGGGGGGTGATTTGGTTGTACATTATCTTGCAGGGGTTTTCCGTGTTTGTTGACTTTGTATGTCAAACTCTTTAGCAAGACTGAAGATATTTTCATGGACTATATCCTCAAACGTATTTTTTCAAAGTTCCTTACTTTCTCTTTTTTCTCAGAAATGCCAATGAGACATAGTTTTTGTCCTTTACTTAATCCTATATTTCACTTCAGTTTTGTTTATTAGAATTTATTTTTCATTTTTGTCTGACTGAGTTTATTTGATTAATCAATCTGTGAGCACTGAGATTCTTTCCTCAGCTTGGTCTATTCTGCTGTTAATAGTTCTGATTGTATTACAAAATTTTTGTAGTGATTTTTTTAGTTCTAGAAGTTCACTTTGGTTCTTTTCTAATATGGCTATTTTTTTCCTTTTAGATCCTGTGTCATTTTATTCACTTCCTTGGATTTCCTGGACTGGCTTTTAACTTTCTCCTGAATCTTGATAAGCTTCCTTGCACTCCAGCTTCTAAATTCTATGTCTTTTATTTAAGTAATTTCAATCAGCTCCATCCTCCATACCTCTGGAAACTAAACGACTGATTTGAAAGTGGGAAGACACTCTGGCTTTTTGAATTGCAGCCATTCAAAGCCTGGAACTAGCCCTAGCATTTGGTAAACCCATGCAGGGTTCCAAGCCTCCTTTCTCTTCAGCCTCAGCGTCTGCGTCACCTTTCTATAAACTCTTTGTTTTCTCTCCAATGATCTGCACAAAGTATGGGTTAATTTACTTGATATTTTGGGCTCTTTTGCTGGGAGCGACACTCCCTGGCTCTAGACAGTACTTACACCTGAGTTTCTCGTCCCTGAATGTTTTGTTGATATCTAAGGTTTATTTTGTCCCTGAAACTCAGGTGTAAGTAATCACCTGAAACTCAGGTGAAAATAAAATATTCATTTTATTGCATAAGGACATTCTGTTGTTCCAGCAGCAATTGTTGGAGACTATGCTTTCTCCACTGAATTACCTTTTCTTTTTTGTCAAAGATCAGTTGACTAAATTTGATTGCTTTTTAAATGTTGAATTATCTTGCATACCTGGTGATTTTTGACCCAAAATGTGGTCTCTCTTGCTGAATGTTCCGTGTGGCTTGAGATAAATGTATTTTTGCTATTGTTGGATAACAAAATCCTATACATGTCAAATGCATCCACTTGATTGATAAGGCTATTAGTTCAACTATATCCTTGCAATCTTTTTGCCTGATAAATCTGTCAATTACTACTAGAACGATGTTAAAATCTTCAATTGTTATGGAGTAAATCGTGTCATTCTAAAATTCGTATGCTGAAGTCTCATTACCCAGTACCCATTTAAAATATGATTGTGTGTGGAAATAGGCTCCTTAAATAGATAATTAAGATTAAGTGAGGTCACATGGCTAGGATCTAGTCCAATATATCTGATTTGATGGCTAATTTTACGTGTCAGCTTGACTGGCTGATGGGATGCCCGAATAGCACATGAAACATTATTGCTGGGAATGTCTCTGCAGGTGTTTCCGAGTAAAATTAACATTTGAATTGCTGGACTAAGCAAAGCAGAGGGCCATCATTAATCTGTTTAAGGACTAAATAGTACAAAAAGGAAGAAGGTTGAATTAGCACTCTACCTGACTGCTGACTCTACCTGAAATTCCATACCCTCAGGGCTTCTGGTTTTCAGGCCTCTAGATCTGGACTGAAATCTATGCTCTGACAAAAAAATAAAAACTCAGGACCCCAATTAACTATGCCAAAGTTAGAAAAAAAAAATACACTGAAAGCTGAGTCATCCAATTAACTGCCTTCATTTTGTTCCTAAGCAGATACCTACAGATAAAAGGTTAAATGTCTCCACAGGTTGCTACTCTGTGTTCACTGTATCTTACGTAAAGTGCTGATTTACTGAGTTTGAGATATACATAATTTACTATTCCTCTACCTGTTTCTTTTCCCTTTCATCATGTGGATTACCATACTCTTCTTCTTTCTCCTCCAGCTTACTTTTTTCTCCTAAATATTGAAGCTCTCAAATTCATCTTTGGAGAAAGGCACAGACCAAAGATTGTTTCTGTGATTACATGTTTCTTATTCTGGGCATGTCCCTAACCCTGGCAAAATAAATTTTCAAATTGATTGAGACCCATCTCATATACTTTCTGGTTTACAAATTGGCAACCAATAGAAGAGACTGAATGGAGGTTGCCTTGACCTTTGACAAATCTATTGGTGCTTGGTACTAGCTTGGAATATCTTTATTTCTCAAACCAATAGGACTATTTGCTGAAATTTAGGAGCTCTCTCCTCCAGAGAATTCCTGATCTTCCAAATTTTTGTTGATATATAAGGCTTATTTTGCTATATAACACATTTTCTGGAGTTTCACTTATTTTCAACAAGGAAGATGAATTTTCCTGCTTCTATGATGATGGATGGCAACTCTTTTTTGAAGTTTCAGCTCACTTCCAACAGGAATGGAGAGTTTGAATTTTTCCTGCTTCTAAGATTGTATAGAGCAGTCTTCAGCCAGGGCTTCATTCTTAGGTAAGTAGCTGAATTGGAATTTTGTCTTGAAAATTTCCCTTAATGTCTGAAATTTAAGATTGACAGACAGCTGGTCTTAATTTCTTATTATTAGAGTGCTCAGGAATCATACTTTTTGTTCTGTTTTTGTTATGTTTTAGTATGTTAACCCAAAAATTGGTGACAGGTCTCAGTCCATTTAAAAAGTCTCTTTTGTCAAGGTTAAGGATGCACCTATGACACAGCTTCAGGGAGTCGTGACAATATGTGTTCAAGGTGGTCGGGGGTACAATTTGCTTTTGTAAATTTTAGGGAGACATGTGACATCAATCAATATGTGTAAGAAGTACAATGGCTTGGTCCAGTAAGGTGGGACAACTTGAAGTAGGGGCTTCCAGGGTAGAAGTAGATAAGCATTGCACTCTTTTGAGTCCTTGGTAAGCCTTCCACTGAATACGCAATTTAGTCTGGCTCAGTGAATCTGCATCTTTACATAAACATTAGGGGAAAGAGAGGAATCAGATATGTGTTTGTCTCAGGTGAGCCTGAGGATGGTGACTTTGAGTTCTGTCTGTCCTTTTGCGGCAGGCCAATACTTCCTGACAATCACACAGACAGGCCTGCATGACAGTCACACAGACAGGCCTGCATAGCAACCCAGTGACACCAACAAATTTTCACAGCGCTGTCTTAACATTGAGCAAATAATTAAACTAAGGGAGATAAATGCCCAGACATCAAAGCTAGAAATGAAACATGTGGTCAGTAGGAGCCTTGCACAGGCTTCTCCCTAACCTGGAGCAAGTCAAAATAATGGACACAGCTTACATTCCTTGTGCCAAAATAATGGAGACAGCCTTACCTTCCTTGCGCCAGGAGCCATCTCAGGTCGATGACATCTGAGACGAGTCAAGGTAACAGAGGCAGCTGTTTGAATAGATTTACTGGGGAGTCTAAGGCAGCTCTCTGGACCAAACTGCAAACAAGGTAAGATAGAAATTAATCACTCCGGTACCACAGTCCTCATTAATTAGACTTTAGGAGACAGACCTTTAAAATACCAGGACCCTCACAGCTTGATCAGACTTAAAAAGCATTTTTGGCCGCTGACCTTCTAGTTAAAACAAAATTAGTTACCTATAAACTTAGGCGAATGCAATGCTGTGGGTAAGCACATAACCCCAACCTATATAAGCACTAAGGAAATTGTAGCACTTTGAGTTGGTCTGTTGAAACTATCTCTGACCTTCTCTCTATAACCAGTTACAGCAATAAACTCCTTTCTTTCCCAATTTGTCTACTTCTCGTTATTGGGTTGTGAGGACACGCAGCCAGATCAAGCTTATTCTGGGAACACTTTGTCCACAAGGAATTTCCTTGTGGGCAAATTGTGAGGGAGATATGTAGCTTCTTATCTCTGTAGCTATTTTATTAAGAAATAAAATGGGAGGCGGTTTTACCTGACATAGTTTCCAGCTTGACTTTTCTTTTGGCTTAGTGATTTGAGGATCCCAAGATTTATTTATTTTTTCACAAGTATTTCGCTCATCAGGTTTGACAAACCCTACTTGACTTAGTCAAATGTGAGTGAGAATTCCAATTTATGGAAAACGAGGCTTCTGAATTTGCTAAAATTCCCCACAACTGCCGAAAAAAAATGTTTTTAAAAACTGCATTTTATGTTTTCTTTAAATTTTGTTTTTATTTATTTTTCTCTTACTCTATTTCTCATACCTCTTTTTTCATCTTCAGTACCAAGTGAGCAAAAAATCTAGCAAAGGCTTTTTCATGCGCGTCCGTGTGAAGAGACCACCAAACAGGCTTTGTGTGAGCAACAAGGCTGTTTATTTCACCTGGGTGCAGGCGGGCTGAGTCCGAAAAGAGAGTCAGCGAAGGGAGATAAGGGTGGGGCTGTTTTATAGGATTTGGGTAGGTAAAGGAAAATTACAGTCAAAGGGGGTTTGTTCTCTGGCGGGCAGGAGTCGGGGTCGCAAGGTGCTCAGTGGGGGTGCTTTTTGAGCCAGTATGAGCCAGGAAAAGGACTTTCACAAGGTAATGTCATCACTTAAGGCAAGGACCGGCCATTTACACTTCTTTTGTGGTGGAATGTCATCAGTTAAGGTGGGGCAGGGCATATTCACTTCTTTTGTGATTCTTCAGTTACTTCAGGCCATCTGGGCGTATAGGTGCAAGTCACAGGGGATGCGATGGCTTGGCTTGGGCTCAGAGGCCTGACATTCCTGCCTTCTCATATTAATAAGAAAAATAAAATAGTGTTGAAGTGTTGGGGTGGCGAAAATTTTTGGGGGGTGGTATGGAGAGAGAATGGGCAATGTTTCTCAGGGCTGCTTCAAGCGGGATTAGGTGAACCTAAAGTGGGAGAGATTAAGCTGAAGGGAGGTCTTGTGGTAAGGGGTGATATTGTGGGAATGTTAGAAGAAACATTTGTCGTATAGAATGATTGGTGATGGCCTGGATACGGTTTTGGATGAATTGAGAAACTAAATGGAATAACAGAGGAGAAAAACAGGTATAAAATGTCTAAGAATTGGGAGGACCTAGGGTATCTGATTAGAGAGTGCCTAAGGAGATTCAGCATAGTCCTGCCAGTAAAGATTATTTATTTACTTCAAGAGTTAAGAGTGGCAGTTTGGGGATAGCACCAGGAGATATCAGCTGTGATGGCTTGGAAAAACAGTGTAAACCGGCAGTGTAAACAAGAGCAGGGCATGTATGAGTAGCTGAGAATGGTGAATAGGAGTATGACTAGACAGAAGATAGTAGGGATGACAAGTTTTTTGGGGGCACAGTCTAAGTTGGTCTGGTGTCTGGAATGAGACTGGGGCCTAATAAAAAGGAGCGTCTATACAGGAGCTTAAATGGGCTGTACCCTGTAGCATTCCGAGGACAGGCCTGAATTCTGAGAAGGGAAAGTGGTAAAAGTATTGTCCAGTCCTTTTTAAGTTGGTGGCTGAGCTTGGTGAGGTGTGTTTTTAAAAGACCTTTAGTCCATTCTACTTTTCTTGAAGACGGAGGACCGTAAGGGATATAAAGGTTTCACTGAATACTAAGAGCCTGAAAAACTCCTTGGCTGATTTGACTAATAAAGGCTGGTCTGTTATCAGACTGCATTGAGGTGGGAAGGCTAAACTGAGGAACTATGTCTGACAGAAGGGAAGAAATGACTGAGGAGGACTTCTCAGACCCTGTAGGAAAGGCCTCTACCTATCCAGTGAAAGTATCTACCTAGACTAAGAGGTATTTTAGTTATCTGACTCAGGGCATGTTGAGTAAAGCTAATTTGCCAGTCCTGGTTGGGGCAAATCCTTGAGCTTGATGTGTAGGGAAGGGAGGGGGCCTGAATAATCCTTGAGGAGTAGTAGAATAGCAGATGGAACACTGAGAAGTTATTTCTTTGAGGATAGATTTCCACGATGGAAAGGAAATGAGAGGTTCTGAGAGGTGGGCTAGTGGCTTGTACCATAGCATAGCCTGCCTTTGCTGGTGTGTGGCGATAAGGCCTGGTGGAACCGCCATCAATAAATCAAGCGTGATCAGGGTGAGGAACAGGAAAGAAGGAAATTTGGGGAAATGGGGTGAATGTCACGTGGATCAGAGAGATACAGTCATGGGGGTCAGGTGTGGTATCAGGAATAATGTGGGAGGCCAGATTGAAGTCTGGGCCAGGAACAATGGTAATTGTGGGAGACTCAACAAAGAGTGAGTATAGCTGAAGGAGCCGGGAAAAAGAAAGTATGTGTCAGGTATGAGGAAGAAAATAGATTTTGGAAGTTATGAGAACTGTAGAGAGTGAGTTGAGCATAGTTTGTGATTTTGAGGGCCTCTAAAGGTATTAATGCAGTGGCAGCCGCTGCACGCAGACATGAGGGCTAGGCTAAAACAGTAAGGTCAAGTTGTTTGGACAGAAAGGCTACAGGGTGTGGTCCTGGCTCTTGTGTAAGAATTCTGACCGTGCTAACCAGGCCTAGGAAGGAAAGGAGTTGTTGTTTTGTAGAAGGTGCTGGGGTTTGAGAGATCAGTCGGACACGATTGGTAGGGAGAGCACGTGTGTTTTTATGAGAATTATGCTGAGACAGGTAACAGATGAGGAAGAAATTTGGGCTTGATTGAAGTAATGGGGGCTGTCTGTGAAGCTTTGCGGCAGTACAGCCCAGGTAATTTGCTGAGCTTGATGGGTGTCAGGGTCAGTCAAAGTGAAAGCGAAGAGAGGCTGGGATTAAGGGTGCAAAGGAATAGTAAAGAAAGCACGTTTGAGATCTAGAACAGAATAATGGGTTGTAGAGGCAGGTATTGAGGATAGGAGAGTATATGGGTTTGGCAGCACGGGGTGGATAGGCAAAACAATTTGGTTGATAAGGCGCAGATCCTGAACTAACTTGTAAGGCTTGTCTGGTTTTAGGACAGGTAAAATGGGGGAATTGTAAGGAGAGTTTATAGGCTTTAAAAGGCCATGCTGTAGCAGGCGAGTGATAACAGGCTTTAATCCTTTCAAAGCATGCTGTGGGATGGGATATTGGCATTGAGCGGGGTAAGGGTGATGAGGTTTTAATGGGATGGTAAGGGGTGCATGATCGGTCGCCAAGGAGGGAGTAGAGGTATCTTATATTTGTGGGTTAAGGTGGGGGGATACAAGAGGAGGACACAAAGGAGGCTTTGGATTGGGAAGAAGGGCAGCAATGAGGTGTGGCTGTAGCCCAGGAATAGTCAGGGAAGCAGATAATTTAGTTAAAGTGTCTCCGCCTAATAAGGGAACTGGGCAGGTGGGGATAACTAAAAGGAGTGCTTAAAAGAGTATTGTCTAAGTTGGCACCAGAGTTGGGAAGTTTTAAGAGGTTTAGAAGCCTTGCCGTCAATACCTACAACAGTTATGGAGGTGAGGGAAACAGGCCTTTGAAAAGAAGGTAATGTGGAGTGGGTAGCCTCCGTATTGATTAAGAAGGGAACGGACTTACCTTCCACTGTGAGAGTTATCTGAAGCTCAGCGTCCATGATGTAGGGGGGCTTCCGAGGCGACTGGGCAGCGTCAGTCTTCAGCCGCTAAGCCAAGAAGATCTGGGAAGGAGTCAGAGAGCCTTGGGCCAGAGTTCCAGGGGCTCTGGGAGTGGCTGCCAGGTGAGTTGGACAGTCCGATTTCCAGTGGGGTCTCGCACAGATGGGACGCGGCTTAGGAGGAATCCTGGGCTGCAGGCATTCCTTGGCCTGGTGGCCAGATTTCTGGCACTTGTAGCAAGCTCCTGGGGGAGGCGGTACTGGAGGAACGCCTGGCCGCTGCGGTTCAGGCATTTGGAAGTTCTTGTGTGCTAGAGATGTGGTTGGGGTTTGTCTCACAGTGGAGGCAAGGAATTGCAACTTTTTTCTATTATTGTACACCTTGAAGGCGAGGTTAATTAAATCCTGTTGTGGGGTTTGAGGGCTGGAATTTAATTTTTGGAGTTTTATTTAATGTCAGGAGCAGATTGGGTAATAAAATGTATTTTGAGAATAAGACGGCCTTTTGACCTTTTAGGGTCTAGGGCTGTAAAGTGTCTCAGGGTTGCTGCCAAACAAGTTATGAACTGGGCTGGATTTTTATATTGATAAAGAGCCTAAACGCTATCTGATTTGGGATAAAGAAAAAGGAGCAATAACCTTGACTATGCCTTTAGCTCCAGCCACCTTTTTAAGAGTAAATTGCTGGCAGGTGGGGGAGGGCTAGTCACGGAATGAAACTGTAAGCCGGACCGGACTGGGTGTGAGGAGAGGAGGTGATAAAAGGATTATAGGGTGGAGGAGCGGAGGCTGAGGAAGACTTGGGACCTAGCTCGGCCTGGTGAGGAGCAGCCTGGGGAGGAGGGGAGAGGTCAGATGGGTCTGTAGAAAAGGAAGATTAGAAAGACTCAGTGATGCTTGGGGTTGGGACTGAGGGGACAGGTGGGAGGGAAAGAAGGAAGATTTGGGATGAGTTGCATTGGGCACAGAGACTGGGGAGGGACCGATGTGTAAAAGAATGCCTGGACGTCAGGCACCTCAGACCGTTTGCCCATTTTACGACAAGAATTATTTAGATCTTGCAGGATGGAAAAATTGAAAGTGCTGTTTTCCGGCTATTTGGAACTACTGTTGAGTTTGTATTGGGGTCAAGCGGCATTGCAGAAGAAAATAAGGCATTTAGGTTTTAGGTCAGGTGTGAGTTGAAGAGGTTTTAAGTTTTTGAGAACACAGGCTAAGAGAGAAGAAGGAGGAATGGAGGGTGGAAGGTTGCCTATAGTGAAGGAGGCAAGTTTAAAGAAAAGGGAGAGTAGAGACACGGAGGGAAGCGGTTCAGGGGTTCTTACCCTCCAGAAAAGCAGGAAAGGGGTCGGGGTGCAGAGATACGAGGTCAGGGCGTGGAGACATAAGATGTCGGGGCATGGAAATAAGGGATTGTGGTGCAGAGATAAGAGGTTGGGGCATGGAAATAAGGGATTGGGGCACAGAGATAATAGGTTGGGGTGTGGAAATAAGGGATTGAGGTGCAGAGATATGAGGTTGGGGTACTTTCCCCTCCTCTAGAAAAGTGGGACTTGCCACTCAGGGTGAAGGAGAAAGGGTTGGGGGTTTCTTGCCCCCCAGAAAGGCAGAGAAGGGGTAGAGACACGGAGAGAAGGGGTTGGGGTACTTGCCCCTTCCCCAGAAAAGCAGGACTTGCCACTAAGGGTGAAGGACCAAGGCAGGCATCCCTGCGTGGTCTGACACCTCTGAAACCTGGGTAAATAATCAGAGAGGTGTCCCTGAAATGATTAAACACCAAGGGAAAGCTGCCTTCCCTAGTCCGTGACCGGCGCCAGAGTTTTGGGTCCAGGGATAAAACATGTCTCCTTTGTCTCTACCAGAAAATGAAAGGAATTGAAATTAAAAGAAGGGAGAGATTGAAGTGTGGCACCAAGATTGAAAGGAGAAAGAGGCTGAGGGATAGTGAGGGAGGTTGGAGAAGAGAGTAAAAAGAGGCGGCTTACTGGATTTGAAATTGGTGAGATGTTTCTTGGGCTGGTTGGTCTGAGGACCTGAGGTCGTAGGTGGATCTTTCTCACGGAGCAAAGAGCAGGAGGACAGGGGATTGATTTCCCAAGGGAGGTCCCCTGATCTGAGTCACGGCACCAAATTTAATGCATGTCCGTGTGAAGAGACCACCAAACAGGCTTTGTGTGAGCAACAAGGCTGTTTATTTCACCTGGGTGCAGGCGGGCTGAGTCCGAAAAGAGAGTCAGTGAAGGGAGATAAGGGTGGGGCTGTTTTATAGGATTTGGGTAGGTAAAGGAAAATTACAGTCAAAGGGGGTTTGTTCTCTGGCAGGCAGGAGTGGGGGTCGCAAGGTGCTCAGTGGGGGTGCTTTTTGAGCCAGGATGAGCCAGGAAAAGGACTTTCACAAGGTAATGTCATCACTTAAGGCAAGGACCGGCCTTTTTCACTTCTTTTGTGGTGGAATGTCATCAGTTAAGGCGGGGCAGGGCACATTCACTTCTTTTGTGATTCTTCAGTTACTTCAGGCCATCTGGGCATACATGTGCAAGTCACAGGGCATGCGATGGCTTGGCTTGGGCTCAGAGGCCTGACTGGGACCAAATTTCATGCGCGTCCGTGTGAAGAGACCACCAAACAGGCTTTGTGTGAGCAACAAGGCTGTTTATTTCACCTGGGTGCAGGCGGGCTGAGTCCGAAAAGAGAGTCAGTGAAGGGAGATAAGGGTGGGGCTGTTTTATAGGATTTGGGTAGGTAACGGAAAATTACAGTCAAAGGGGGTTTGTTCTCTGGCGGGCAGGAGTCGGGGTCGCAAGGTGCTCAGTGGGGGTGCTTTTTGAGCCAGGATGAGCCAGGAAAAGGACTTTCACAAGGTAATGTCATCACTTAAGGCAAGGACCGGCCATTTACACTTCTTTTGTGGTGGAATGTCATCAGTTAAGGTGGGGCAGGGCATATTCACTTCTTTTGTGATTCTTCAGTTACTTCAGGCCATCTGGGCGTATAGGTGCAAGACACAGGGGATGTGATGGCTTGGCTTGGGCTCAGAGGCCTGACAGGCTTCTAATGAATCAGACCCCTTAACAAAGAGAGAGTATTCTGCTTTCTTTGTGGAGTTTCAAGTGTCATGGCAGATTTCTTTCAGGTCTAAAGTTCTGCTTTCTTATATTGCATTACCTGATCTCTTTGGCTTTGGTGGGTACTAGAGATTATTTTGTACTGTTACAAAATTTGACCTTGGTGTGTGTAGTGGCAGATGAGAATGACAATGTTAGGGATGGCTGAGCAAAATTTATAGAAAATGGCCATTACTACTGAGGGAAGAGAGAGACTCTCTCATATTGTTTTATATTGTTTTATACTCAGTATCTGTTTTAAGAAAAAAAAAAACAAGGAAGTGAAATCAAAGACAGTCAGCCCAGTGCCAGGCCCAAAACCAGGCCTGGGCCTGCCTCGCCTAAACATAGTAGTTAAAAATCAACTCATGACTTAGAACCCAATGTTACCCATAGATTTCAGGCATTGTGTGGAAGAACATTGTGAAACTCCCTGCTCTGCTCTGTTTCACTCTGACCACCAGTACATGCAGCCCCTGTCACTACCCCTTGCTTGCTCAAATCAATCACGACCCTTTCATGTGAAATCTTTAGTGTTGTGAGCCCTTAAAAGGGACATAAATTGTGCACTCAGGGAGCTCGGATTTTAAGGCAGTAGCTTGCTGATGCTCCCAGCTGAATAAAGCCCTTCCTTCTACAACTCGGTGTCTGAGAGGTTTTGTCTGTGGCTCGTTCTGCTACACTACGAGGAACAACTCATTTATTTGAACATTTAGATAAAAACGTCATTATGCAAGCCCTAAAACCTGCATGCTTTGTTGGCCCTGTTTCTTAAAGGGCTTCACCCTAAAGTTAGTAATCTAGTAAAGCTAAGTTGAAAAGACCATCTATAAAACTAAATCATTTAAATAAATCTCTTTGTATGGAAAATTTTCATCTTTAAATAAAATCTTTTTTTTTTTTTTTTTTTTTTCGTAAAGCAGCTGTGTCTCTGCACCTAAACCACTAGAAATTTTAACTAGGGAATAAACAATGTTTTAAAGTTTACATAATAGACCTTACTTTTGTTTACATCTAAGTCTATGCCTTTGAGATGTACGTTTTCTACCTTTTTTTAAACCTAAGTCATGTCTTTGGAGATGCAAATTTAGAGTTGCCTAGTTAACAATTGTTTAGGACATGGGACAGATAATCAAGAGATTAATAGTCTGTAGCAGGAGCTAGAACATGTTTGAAAATAGGCAAACGAAATATTTTAAATCTATAAGATCTGCCTCTGTCTGGGTCTTCTATGTCAATATGTTATATGTGTGTTGTGGAAATGATGTTCATCTATTAATCATATGAGAGAACTCTAATTAACTGGCTAAAAGAAAAGTGTTTATCAAATTAATAGAAGCTAGCTCACAGACTTCAGTTCACATGACTGTAGTAATCATTGGTAAGATTAATTTAGTAACTTTAGTCTCAAAATTTTCTCCAATAATTTGAAATCTTAAAGTCATGTATGACCCCTGAATATCTGAGACAGGTCTCAGTTAATTTAGAAAGTTTATTTGCCAAGGTTGAGGATGCGCACCCCTGACACAATCTCAGGAGGTCCTGATGACATCTGCCCAAGGTGATCAGAGCACAGCTTGGTTTTACACATTTTAGAGAGACATGAGATATCAATCAACATATGTAAGATGAACATTTGTTGGGTCCAGAAAGGTGGGACAACTCAAAGCAAATGTGGGATGATTCGAAGTGGAGTGGGGACTTACAGGTCATAGTTAGATAAGAGACAAATAGTTGCATTCTTTTGAGATTCTGATTAGCCTCTCCAAAGGAGGTGTATTAGTTCGTTCTCACACTACTGATACAGACATATCCGAGACTGGGTAATTTATAAATAAAAAGAGTTTTAATGGGCTCACAGTTCCACGTGGCTGGAGAGGCCTCACAATCATGGCAAAAGGCCAAAGACATGTCTTACATGGTAGCAGACAAAGGAGAAAATGAGAACCAAGTGAAAAGGGTTTCCTGTTATACAAACATCAGCTCTCAGGAGACTTATTCATTACCACAAGAAAAATATGGGGGAAACCACCCCCATGATACAATTATCTCCCACTGCATTCCTCCTACAACATGTGGGAATTATGAGAGCTACAATTCAAAATGAGATTTGGGTAGGGACATAGCCAAACCATATCAGGAGGCAGTCAGATATGCATTTATCTCAGTGAGCAGAGGGTTGACCTTGAATGGAATGGGAGGCAGGTTAGCCCTAAGCAGTTCCCAACTCGACTTTCCTCTTTAGTTTAGTAATTTGGGGGACCCAATATTTATTTTTCTTTCACACATTTTATGTTAAACAATATTAGGTTTTTTACTAGGAATTAAGGTTACTAAGAGTTAGGCTAGTCAGGCAGTAAGATTGTATTAGTTTGTTTTCACACTGCTGATAAAGACATACCCAAGACTGGGCTATTTACAAAAGAAAACAGATTAATTGGACTTACAGTTCCACATGGCTGGGGAAGTTATCACAATCATGGCAGAGGGTTAAAGACACTTATTATATGGTGGTGGCAAGAGAGAATGAGGAAGAAGCAAAAGCAGAAACCGCTCATAGACCCATCACATCTCATGAGACTTATTCACTATCATGAGAATAGCATGGGAAAGACTAGCCCCCATGATTCAATTACCTCCCACTGTGTCCCTCCCACAACCTGTGGGACTTCTGGGAGATATAATTCAAGTTGAGATTTGGGTGGAGGCACAGCCAAACCATATAATTCCACCCTGGCCCCTCCCAAATCTCATGTCCTCTCATTTCAAAACCAATCATGCCTTTCCAACAGTCCCCCAAAGTCTTAACTCATTTCAGCATTAACTTAAAAGTCCAGAGTCCAACATCTCATCTGAGAAAAGACATGTCCCTTCAGGCTATGAGCCTGTAAAATCAAAGGCAAGTTAGTTACTTCCTAGATACAATGGAGGTACAGACATTGGGTAAATACAGCTGTTCCAAATGAAAAAAAAAAAATTAGCCAAAAGAAAGGGGCTACAGGCCCCATGCAAGTCCAAAATCCAGCAGGGCAGTCAAATCTTAAAGTTCCAAAATGACCTCCTTTGGCTCCATGTCACACTGATGCAAGAGGTGGGTTCCCATGGTCTTGGGCAGCTCCATCCCTGTGGCTTTGCAAGGTACGGCCACCCTACCTGTGGCTTTCATAGGCTGGCATTGAGTGTCTGAGGCTTTTCCAGGCACACAGTGCAAGCTGTTGGTGAATCTACCATTCTGGGATCTGGAGGATGGTGGCCCTCTTCTCACAGTTCCACTAGGCAGTGCCCCAGTAGGGACTCTGTGTGGGGTCTCTCACCCCACATTTCCCTTCAGCACTGCTCTAGCAGAGGTTCTGCATGAGGGCCCAGTCCCTTCAGGAAACTTTTGCCTGGGCATCCAGGTGTTTTCATACATGTTCTGAAATCTAGTCTGAGGTTCCCAAACATCAGTTCTTGACTTCTGTGCACCCACAGGCTCAACACCATATGGACCCTGCCAAGGCTTGGGGTTTGCACCCTCTGAAGCCAGGGTCTGAGCTGTACCTTGGCCCCTTTTAGTCATAGCTGGAGTGGCTAGGACACGGGACACCAAGTCCCTAGGCTGCACACAGCACAGGGACCCTGGGCCCGGACGATGAAACCATTTCTTCCTCTTAAACCTCTAGGCCTGTGATGAGAAGGGCTGCCACGAAGACCACTGACATGCCCCAGGGACATTTTCCCCATTGTCTTGGAAATTAACATTCAGCTCCTTGTTACTTATGCAAAGTTCTACAGCCAGCTTAAATTTCTTTTCAGAAAATGGGATTTTCTTTTCTATCACATTGTCAGGCTGCAAATTTTCCAAACTTTTATCCTCTGCTTCCCTTGTAAAATGGAATGCCTTTAACAGCACCCAAGTCACCTCTTGAATGCTTTGCTGCTTAGAAATTTCTTCTGCCGGATACCCTTAGTCATCTCTCACAAGTTCAAAGTTCTACAAATCTCTAAGGCAGAGGCAAAATGCCACCATTTTCTTTGCTAAAGCATGACAAGAGTCACCTTTGCTCTAGTTCCCAGCAAGTTCCTCATTTCCATCTGAGACCACTTCATCCTGGACTTTATTGTCCATATCATTATCACCATTTTGGGCAAAGATATTCAACAAGTCTCTAGGAAGTTCCAAACTTTCCCACATTTTCCTGTCTTCTTCTGAGCCCTACAAACTGTTTCAACCTCTGCCTATTACCCAGTTCCAAAGCTGCATCCACATTTTCAATTATCTTTTCAGCAACACCCCACTTCTCATACCAATTTACTGTATTAGTCCATTTTCACACTGCTGATAAAGACATACCTGAGACTGGGCAATTTACAAAAGAAAGAGGATGAATTGGATTTATAGTTCCACATGGCTGGGAAAGGTCTCACAATGAAGGCAGAGGGTGAAAGGCACTTCTTACATGGTCATGGCAAGAGAGAATGAGGAGGAAGCAAAAGTAGAAACCCCTGATAAATCCACTAGATCTCATGAGACTTATCCACTATCATGAGGATAACATGGGAAAGACCGGCCCCATGATTCAATTACCCTTCATTGGGTCCCCCTCACAACACATGGGAATTCTGGGAGATACAATTCAAGTTGAGATTTGGGTGGGGGCACAGCCAAACCATATTGAAGATGTAGTGAGATTTATAAAGAAACATAAGGATTGTTTTTTTCTTACAAAAATGTAAATTTTTTTCCAGTTGAGGACCTTTCTTCTAGTGTTGAGATAAAGACCACTATTGGCATCCACCTATTTTTGTTTTAAACTGGGGAGTTTATATTGATACCTCATGGCAAGAGTTCCAAAATAAAAGCTACAGAATCTTTTTATGAATGTGTATGTATTCTTAGATATGTTTATGTGTATGTACATGTGTTTTACTATTTGTTGTGGCCACAAGGTACCATATTGGTCTAAAAATAAAGCAGTACTCATAAATTAAGTAAATAAGCAAATAATTTTTAAGTTCATATGACTTCATTAAATTTTTAATAAATAATCTGGCTTTTAAATTATTGGTAAAATAAAATTCTAAAGGCCTACAGAATTGTCAACATACACTATTGTTTAGATTTGTTGGTCAAGCAGTTATATATTTATTTCTGCTAAATATTATAAGGTGTCAAGATTTGGCATGAGAGTTATAAAACTATAAATGTAGCCCCAAGCAACTTTGCTACTGCGAGAGAAAATTCTAAGGAGGGTTTAATACTAGATGTCAGAACCTCTGCCAAGGGCATCCCCTTTGGCAGGTTGAGGTCTGCAGGACCCATGGAGCATCCTCCTGTGGGTTCCAATCTTAGAGTTCCAGACATCTCTGGCCTTACTTGGGTGGGCACCAGTGCCACTTTGCATGTGTTCCCTCTTGAGCCTGCTATGAGCTTTCCTTTGGTATGTGGGTGTAATCCCCAACTTTTAGAATCCTTATAATTTGATAAGGCTATGTTTTCCCATGCTTCCTGTTCCATGAATTTTAATGATAGCAACTGGAGGATGAGTGGGTTTCTTTTGCCTATAGCCAGTTGTAGCCAGTTGAATAGGGGAAGGGAAGAATTTAGCATTAGAAAAGAAAGTTTAAGTCACCTGAAACATGTGAAAGTTTGTTCTGACCTGTGCTGCAAGTGAGAAACAGTAACCAGGCATGGAAAAGATAATTTATAAAACAATATAACATGAATTAGTAAATAAAACAAGAGAGATGTAAAGGAAGTTATAAATATAAGGAGGTTACTTCAATAAGAATGGTTAAAAGAAAGTAATTTTATGTGAGAAAAAAATCTTGTGTGTCAATGTTTGTCCTAAAATAAAAAGATTGGTTATTTTAAAAAGAGGAATAATCTTTAAGTAACCTTTGCATTAGACAAAAATATTTCCTTTTAATAAGAACACTTATTTATAAAAACGTTTTTCTATAATATAATTTTAACAAATTGGAAGTGACCCAGACATTTGATAAATGTCTATTATTTTATTATTTTATTTAATAATTTAATATAATAGGTCCTAAATTATATTGCAAGTTTATAAGCATTTATTCTATTACATTTACCTAATTAATTAATTTTAAATTTTTAATTAGTTTACCTAGCCAATGGGAAACTTCTAGAGGGTATTTGGACCCAAGAAGATTCTGTATTTGGGCCCTTGGTGCTGCTCGTGTGACAGTAAGTGAGATTTTGTGAGATCTGCCCGTTTAAAGGTGTGTGACAATTACCCCACCCCGACTCTTGCTTCCATTATTGTCATGTTAGATGCCATCTCCTCCCTTGCCTTTGAGCATAATTGACAAGAGGATTTCATGATGGTAACAGGTTGAATTCAAAAAGAAGACCTAACTATTTTAAATATATATGGACCCAACCGAGGAGTACCCAGATTCATAAAACAAGTTTCTAGAGACCTATGAAGAAACCTAGATAAACACACAATAACGGTGGGAGATTTCAAGAAATATTAGAAAGCTTATCATTGAAAGAATAAGTAAGATGGATAGATTACTAACTAGACTACTAAAAAAAGATCAAAATAAAATCAGAAATGAGAAAGGTGACATTACCATAAACCCCTCAGAAATACAGAAACCCTCAGACATTATTATAAATATCTTTATGCACACAAACTAGAAAAATCTACAAAAATGGATAAATTCCTAGAAATATACAACCTCCCAAGTTTGAACAAGGAAGTAATTGAAACCCTAAACAGACTAATAACAAGTTCCAAAATTGAATCAGTAACAAAAAGTCTACCAATCAGAAAAAAAGCCCTGAAACAGATGGATTCACAGGTGAATTCTTTCAGACATATAAAGAAGAGCTGGTGCCATTCCTACTAAAAATATTTCAAAAATTTGAGGGGGAGAGACTCCACCCAAACTCATGTTATAAGGCAAGCATAATTCTGACATGAAAACCTAGCAGAGACATAAGAAAAAAAAGAAGTGTCCAATAATATTGATGAACATATGTGCAAAAATGCTTAACAAAATAGCAGCAAACCAAATCCAGCAGCACATCAAAAAGCTAATCAGCCACATTCAAGTAGGCTTTATCTCTGGGACGCAAGTTTGGTGCATCATAGAAAATTAATAAATGTGATTCTTCACTTAAATAGAGCTAAAAACAAAAACCAATATTTGGTCAACCGATTGACCAAATGTACCTAACAGACATCTACAGAACTCCTCATCCAAAAACAGCAGAATATACATTCTACTCATCTGCAGAAGGCACATAGTCAAAAAGTGACCACAAATCTCAATAGATACATAAAATCTTATAATGAAATCCAGCAATCCTTCAGGGTAAAAGCCCTCAACCAACTAGGCATTGAAGGAACACATCTCAAAATAATCACAGCTGTCTATGACAAACCCACAGCCAATATAATCCTGAATGGGTAAAAGCTGGAAGTATTGTTCTTGAGAATCAGAACAGGACAAGAATGCCCACTCTCATCACTCCTATTCAACATAATACTGGAATTCCTGGCCAGATCAATCAGGCAAGAGAAAGAAAAAGGCATCCAAATAAGAAGAGAGGAAGTCAAACTATCTTTGTTTGCAGATGATACGAC
This sequence comes from Homo sapiens, assembly GCF_000001405.40. NCBI lineage: Eukaryota > Metazoa > Chordata > Mammalia > Primates > Hominidae > Homo > Homo sapiens. Next base: position 94,712,752 of record NC_000023.11, read on the forward strand.
TTTATACCTAGAAAACTCCATAGTCTCTGTTCAAAAGCTCTTAAATCTGATAAACAACTTCAGTAAAGTTTCAGGATACAAAATCAATATACAAATCTCAATAGCATTTCTATATACCAACATCCAAGCTGAGAGCCACATCAAAAATGCAATCTCATTCACATAGACACACACACACACACACACACACACACACACACACACACACTAGGAATACAGGTAATGAGGGAGGTAAAGATCTCCACAATAATTACAAAACACTGCTGAGAAAAAATCAGATGTCACAAACAAATGGAAAAAATATTTCATGTTATAGGTAGGAAGAATAAATATTGTTAAAATGACCATGCTGCTCAAAGCAATCTAGAGTCAATGTTACTTCTATCAAACTACCAATGAAATTTTTCACAGATTTAGAGGAAACTATTCTAAAATTCATATGGAACCAATAAAGAGCCCGAATAGACAAAGCAATCCTAAGCTAAAAGAACAAAGCTGGAGGCATCACTTTACCTGACTTCAAACTACACTAGAAGGCTATAGTAACCAAAACAGCATGGTACTGGTACAAAAACAGACACTTAGACAAATGGAACAAAATAGAGAGCACAGAAATAAAGGGATACACCAACAACCATCTGATCTTTGTAAAAGTCAATAAGAATGAGCAATGAGAAAATGACTCACTATTCAATAAATGTTGCTGGGATAACTGGCTAGCCATATGTAGAAGATCAATACTGGACCTCCTCCTTATACCATATACAAAAATCAACTCAAGATGGATTAAACACTTAAATGTAAAACCCATAACTATTAAAACTGTGGGCTGGGTGTGGTGGCTCATGACTGTAATCCCAGCAGTTTGGGAGGCCAAGGCAGGCAGATCACCTGAGGTCAGGAGTTCGAGATCAGCCTGACCAACATGGAGAAACTCCGTCTCTACTACAAATACAAAATTAGCCGGGCGTGGTGGTGTGTGCTTGTAATCCCAGCTCCTCAGGAGGCTGAGGCAGGAGAATCGCTTGAACCCGGGAGGCAGAGGTTGCAGTGAGCCAAGATCGCACCATTGCACTCCAGCCTGGACAACAAGAACGAAACTCCACCTCAAAACAAAACAAACCAAAAACAAAAAAAACCGTGGAAGATAACCGAGGAAATAACACTGTAGACATAAGACTGGACAAAAAATGTATTATGAGGATGCCAAATGCAGCTGCAACAAAAACAAAAGTGACAAATGGTATCTAGTTAAATTAAATAGCTTCTTCACAGCAAAATAAACTATCAGCAGAGTAAATAATCTACACAATAGGAGAACATATTTGCAAATTATTCCTCCAAGAAAGTTCTAATATCCAGAATCCATAAGGAACTTTAACAAGCAAGGCTGGGCACAGTGTCTCACACCTATAATCTCAGCACTTTGGGAGGCTGGGGCTGGTGGATCACTTGAGGTCAGGAGTTTGAGACCAGCCTGGCCGTCATGATGAAACCCCATGTCTACTAAAAATAAAAAAAAATTGCCAGGCATGGTGGTGCGTGCATGTAATCCCAGCTACTTGGGGGCTGAGGCACGAGAATCGCTTGAACCTGGAAGGTGGAGGTTGCAGCAAGCGGAGATCGCCAACTGCACTCGAGCCTGGGGGTGGCAGAGTGAGACTCAGTCTCAAAAAAAAAGAAAAAGAAAAAGGAACTTTAACAAGCAAAAACAAGTAACCATATTAAAAAGTAGGTAAAGGGCATGAACAGATACTTTTCAAAAAAAAAAAAAAATCATCTGGCCATCAAGCAAATGACAAAATGTTCAACATCACTAATCATTAGAGAAATGCAAATCAAACCACAATGAGATGCCATGTCATAAGAGTCAGAATGGCTAAGTAAAAAATAACAGATGTGGGTGAGGTTATGAAGAAAAGGGAACACATACACTGCTGGTTAGAATGTACATTATTAGGTTGGTGCAACAGTAATTGGGGTTTTTGCCATTAAAAGTTACTTTTACTTGGGCCGGGCGCAGTGGTTCATGCCTGTAATCCCAGCACTTTGGGAGGCAGAGGCGGGTGGATCACAAGGTCAGGAGATCGAGATCATCCTGGCCAACATGGCAAAACCCCGTCTCTACTAAAAATATAAAAATTAGCTGACCGTGGTGGCGCATGCCTGTAATCCCAGCTACTCGGGAGGCTGAGGCAGAAGAATCACTTGAACCAGGGAGTCAGAGCTTGCAGTGAGCCAAGATCACGCCACTGCACTCCAGCCTGGCGACAGAGTGAGACTCTGTCTCAAAAAAAAAAAAAATTAATGACAAAAACCCCAATTACTTTTGCACCAACCTAATAGGTCATTGTGGAAAGCAGTGTGATAATTTCTCACAAAACCTAGAACAGAACTAGCATTTGGCCTAGAAATTTAATTATTGGGTATACACCTAAAGAAATATAAATCATTCTACCTTTAAGATGTGGGCTGGGCGCGGTGGCTCATGCCTGTAATCCCAGCACTTTGGGAGGCCGAGGCGGGCGGATCACGAGGTCAGGAGACCGAGACCATCCTGGTTAACACGGTGAAACCCTGTCTCTACTAAAAACTACAAAAAAAATTAGCCGGGCGCGGTGGCGGGTGCCTGTAGTCCCACCTACTCGGGCGGCTGAGGCAGGAGAATGGCGGGCGCCTGTAGTCCCAGCTGCTCGGCGGCTGAGGCAGGAGAATGGCGGGAACGCGGGAGGCGGAGCTTGCTGTGAGCTGAGATCGCACCACTGCACTCCAGCCTGGGAGACAGAGCGAGACTCCGTCAAAAAAAAAAAAAAAAAGCATGTGTGCGTATGCTCATTGCAAAACTGTTCACAATAGCAAAGACATGGTATCACCCTAAATGCCCATAAACATTAGAGTAGATAAAGAAAACTTGGTATATGTATAAAGGAATACTATGCAGTCATAGAAATCATGTCTTTTGCAATAACATGGTTGGAGCTGGAGGCTATTATCTTAAGCGAACTAACACAGAAACAGAAAATAAAGCACTGCAATTTCTCACTTGTAAGTGGCAGCTAAGCATTCAGCACATATAGACACAAGAGAATAAGAGACACGGGCCAATTTCAAGGTGGAGAGTGGGAGGAGGGTGATGATCAAAAATTTACCTACCTGGTGCTATGTTTATGTCCTGGTTGACAAAACAATGTGTACACCAAACCCCCACAATATGCAATTTACCTGTATAACAAATCTGTCCATGTACTCATGAACCTAAAATAAAATTTAAAACAATTCTTGAGAGAAATAAGAATGCAAAACACTGTGTCAAAACCTATTGGATATAGCAATAGTAGTTTTAACAGGGTAGTTTATAGTAATAAATGACTGTCACAAAAAAGAAGACTTTTTTTTTTTTTTTTTTGAGACAGGGTCTCACTTTGTCACCCAGGCTGCAGTGCAGTGGCACAATCTCGGCTCACTGCAGCCTCGATCTCCTGGACTCGAGCGATCCTCCCACCTCAGCCCCGGACCTCCAAGGAGCTGGGACTACAGGCATGCTCCACCACACCTGGCTAATTTTTTGTGTGTTTTTTGTAGATGCGGGTTTCACCATGTTGCTCAGGCTGGTCTCGAACTCCTAAGCTCAACTGATCCACCCACTGTGGCCTCCCAAAGTACTAGGATTACAGAAGTCAGCCACCGTGCCCTGCCAAAATGAAAAATTTCTAACAAATAATATAACAATGTACCTCAAGAAACTAGAATAACAAGAACAAATAAAACTCAAATTTGGTACAAGAGAAAAATAATATAGCTCAGAGCAGAAATAAAGAAAATAGAAACTAAAAAAAAAAAAGATGAACAAAACAGTTTTTTAAAAAATACTAACAAAATCAAAAAACTTTATCTAGACTAAGAAAGGTGAAGACTCAAAATTAGAGATGAAAAAGGAGACATTACAAATATTGCCACAGAAATACAAAGGATCACAAGAGACTACTATGAATAATTACGTTCCAAAATATTTAATAACAGAAAAAATGAATAAATTTCTGGTCATATACAACTTACAAAGATTAAATTAAAATAAATTAGAAATTCTGAACGGACCAATAACAAGTGAGGAAATTGAATTAGTAATAAATATTCTGCAATCAAAGAAATGTTTGGGCTTTATTGACTTCACTGCTAAAGTCCACCAAACATTTAAGAAAAATAGCAATTCTAGAACTATTTCAAAGAATCGAAGAGCGAGAGATGCTACTAAACTCATTTTATGAGGCTAGTATTACCCTGATTTCAAAATTGGACGAGGACACAACAAAAAAGTCAACTAAAGCTCCAAACCCATGATGAACATAGATTTTAAAATTTTCAACAAGATACTAGAAAACTGAATTCAACACCACATTAAAAATATCTTTCACTATGATCAAATGTGATTCATCAGAGAGACACAAGTTTGGTTAACATATGCAAACTAATACAATTGATATACTACATTAACAAAAAATGAAAACCTATGATTATTTCAATAAAGTCAGAAAAAGCATTTGACAAAATTTAGCATTCTTTCATGATAAAAACTCTTAACAAATTAGGTATAGAAGGTATGTACCTCAAAACAATAAAGTCCATAAATGACAAACAAACAGCTCATAGTACACTGAATGAGAAAAGGCTGAAAGTTTTTTATCTTAGGTTAGGAAGATTATGATGCCCACTTTTACCTTTTTTATTCAACATAGTACTGGAAGACTCAGAGTTTTTAATATAAAACCTTGCTAATCTAAATCCATCTTCAAATAACACTATAATAACTTCAAGTGTAGTGCAGATTACATTTAAGAAAGCACTCCTAATTTCCACCTTATGTCTCTGATTACATCGCTTAATTTATTTACCTTATCTATATGATGTAATCATCTCATACCTTCTTACTATTATTACTTTAAGCTTTGATCTTTTAGTCCAATTAATAGAAATGAATTATTTCATTTTACCTTTATTTATTCTGCTCTGTTGCTTTTTCTTTATTTATGAATGACCTATCTATAATTTTTTTCTATATAAATAATATATTTTAACATTCCTTTAATGGCCTGTAGGCTGTTAATGCTTCTTCCCCTCAGTTTTTTAAAAATATTTTTGTTTTTATTTCAATTTCTGAAGAATAATTTATCTGGATATCAATTTCTTTGTCTCTGATTTTTTTCAACACTTTAACACTTCCCAATCCTCTTGCTTGTATGGCTTTCGATGAGAAGATAACTGCAGTTCTTTTATCTTTATTCTATAGGTAAGTTTTCCTCTTTCCAGCTTCTTTAAGACCTTGTCTTTGGTTTTCTGCAATTTTCATAGGATATACCTAGGTGTGCATATTTTGATATTTATACTTCTTGGTGTTCTGTAAGTTTCTTGGATCTGTAGTTTGACGTGTGTCATTAATTTTGGAAACTACTTGGCCATTGTTACCTCAAATACTTCTGCCGTTCTCTTTTTTCTTTATTTTTCTCTGGTATTGGTATCTGGCATTTTATGTATGGTATACTTATTGAAAATTTACCACAGTTGTCGAATGTTCTCTTTTTATTATTTTTATGCTGTTTTTCTTTGCATTTCTGTTGGGAATTTTCTATTTACTTGTCTTTGAAATTATTTATTCTCTCCTCAGCCTTACTCAGGTCACAAATGAGTGCCAGAAATCATTCTTTATTTTTGCTATTTTGGTTTTGATTTCTATAATTTTCTTTTTATTCTTTTTCTTTAGAATTACATTCTCTTGTCTTTTGTTACTCAGCTGTTCATGCATATTTTCTAATTCTTCAATTGGAGCTATTAATTTATTTATCATCGTTATTTTAAATTCCCTGCCTGATAATTATAAAATCTTTGTTACAGATGAGGCTGGTTATGATGCTTTTATTTGTCTCCATGTTTTATTTGTCTTTTAAGATGCCTTGCAATTTTTTTTGATAATTGCATATCATGTATCAGGTAATAGAATAAGATAAATAGATTTTTAATGTGAGGTTTTATGGTAATACAGATAGCAGTTGGCCTGTGTTTGATATTTGCTATAGCTATATGTGCCAGATTCTTTAAATTTTTCTAGTGTTCTCATTTTTATCTGCTTTTTTGTTTTTGGTCTTCCCTGAGAACTCTTAGATTCTGTGTCTTGCAGCAGTTTCTGTTGTAATGTATTTTATTCTTATTGTCTTTCTGTTCATTTTTGCTTTATGTATTTTAAAGCTCTGCTTTTAAATATAATTATGGGTTGAATCGCATTTCTTCCAAAATTCACGTGTTGAAATCCTTTCAGAAACACAGAAATGATTTTACTTGGATATCAGGCCATTCCAGTTGTAGTTAATTAAGATAAAGTCATTAAGACGGGTCCTAATTTAACATGACTGGTATTTTTTATAAATAGAGAGTTTTGTCACAGAAACAGAGACACAGAGAGAATGTCATGTAATAATGAAGGTAAAGATAAAGGTGATGCAGCAGAAGCCAAGGAAAATCAAACGTTGTCAGCAAACCACCAGAAGCTAGGGGAGATGCAGAGAATAAATTCTCCTTCACAGTATTCAGAAGAATCAAATTCTGCTGACACTATGATCTTGAATTTCTAGCCTTCAGAACTATGACATAATACATTTCTATTTCTTAAACCATTTAGGTTTTGATACTTTGTTATAGCTATCCTAAAAAAACTAACACAAATAACTCCTATTTATGATAATGTCTTCTTTTTTAAATTTTAATTTTAGGTTTTGGGGTACATGTGAAGGTTTGTTACATAGGTAAACACATGTCATAGGAGTTTGTTGTACACATTATTAAATACCCAGATATTAAGCGCAGTACCCAATAGTTCTCTTCTTCTCCTCTCCCTCTTCCCAGCACTCCCTCAAGTAGACTCCAGTGTCTGTTGAGACAGGCATTTTACAACATCAAAAAGAAGACTTAGCAAACAAATGATAAGTATTTTTGATGTTGTAAAATGCCCCTTTTCATTTATCATAACACTTTTATCTTGAAGTATACATTTTATAAAATTAATATAGACAACCTAGCGTTTTCGTGCTTAAAGTTTCATTATAGATCCTTTTAATCTTTTTATTCTTGATCTGTTTTTTTCATTGTAAAAGTGGGTTTCTTGTAGACAGCATAAATTTTATCTTTTTCTATTAAAACCAGAGGTCCTAAGACTAGAATACCTCGGCTTTTAATAGAAATATTAGAAAATTTATATTTATTGTAGTTATTGATATAATTATTTTGTCTACATGTTCATCTATTATTTTATTTCTTTACTTTTTCTTGCTTACATTATTTAAGATGAATTAAATATTTATTATTAATTCCCTTCATTCCTTCTATCAACATTTTGTTTTGCCTCCATGTTTTTAGTGACTTCTCCAGAAATCACAATGTGAGTTTTCTATTTATGATAGCTTACTATCAGGTACATCAAAACACTTCACAACATGAAAACTTAGAACAGTATAATTCTATATGCTCCTTGCATTCCTGTCTAAATCTACTTTCCCATTTATTTTTGTATGAAACAGTTGTTAACAAATTTATACTCTCACATATTTACACTTTCTAGTGCTAATAATTGTTTTCTTCAGATATAAGCTTGCATCTAATGTTTGTTTTCATGGATACTGCAAAACTTCTCTTAGAATTTTTTCAAATGCTGGCCTGATGGCTAAGCATTCTCTCAGTATTAGCTTACCTTAAAATGTTTTATTTTATTATTATTTTGATTATTATGTAGAATTTTAGAGGGGCAATTTTCTTTTCAACACTTTAGAGATGTTATTTTATTGTATTCTGACCTTCATTATTTCTGATGATAAATCAGTTCTCATTCTTACCATTGCTTTCTTCAATGTACATGTTTTTTTTTCTGACTACATTTAACATTTTATCTTTACTTGCTTCATTGTATAGAACCATATTTTAAAAATATCTTGGTGTTTTACATTTTATTGATAAGAAATATTCCCTTTTTACAAAAGCCTATTTTTCTCTTACTAGTACTATTAAAGTAGTAGTTATATAAATTAAAGAAAAAAATTCATACTGTGACTTAGACTGAAGAACTACAAAACTCTTTAAAAGTTAAAGTCAAATGGATGAAGAAACTACCCAATTCACGCTCAGATTCTCACCTGTAATTTTTTATTAAAAACTAAGTATGGGCCGGGCGCGGTGGCTCACGCCTGTAATCCTATCACTTTGAGAAGCCAAGGCGGGCGGATCATGAGGTCGGGAGTTTGAGACAAGCCTAGCCAACACAGTGAAACCCCGTCTCTACTAAAAAATATAAAAATTAGCTGGGCGTGGTGGCAGGTACCTGTAATCCCAGCTACTCAGGAGGCTGAGGCAGGAAAATCGCTTGAACCCAGGAGGCGAGGTTGCAGTGAGCCAAGATCGCGCCACTGTACTCCAGCCTGGGCAACAGGACTAGGCTCCGTCTCAAAACAAACAAACAAACAAAAAAACCAACTAAGTATGGTCACACTGTAAATCATTCTGTCCTCCACTTCCACATCACTTCCTAACCTAAACTGTATAAACATGTGAGAGTACATTTTAAAATTTGGATTTAGTAATAGCTTATATATTGCATTTCCAGAGAGTTAGGTATAGAAAGTTACATCCTTAAAATATATAAAATATGTTTCTAATTATATTTGAGCAAATGTCCCCAGATTTAATTAAAATCAAGTTATATAAAGAGGAACAAATATTAATGCAATGGCAGGTTTTTCAAGCCAAATCAGCATCACTAACTTGAACATAAGTGGAAAGAGTACTCAGCATTTTTCGCTGATTCAGGTAATTTTTTACTTATATCTAAGGACCATAAATTTTATGCATTACAGTTATATTTGCATCATAAAAAAAGCTAAAAATATTTTTCTTGTAGTATTTTTCCTCATCATATTATTACAGTTAATATTTCAACTTATAGAAAAATATCTTCAACGTAGTAGATATAATGATAGACTTAGGACATAGGTTTAAGTCCAAATAATGTGTGAAAAACTGTGTGAGGTGAAGGCTGGGTTTACAATATCATTTAATGCATTTCTCATTTGTGGTTTTATTTTCCTTGAAGACATTGAGATTTTGCAACTATGAATATAGATTTGACTTTAATAATTGGACTAGTAATAACAGGATAATACGTGCATAATGATAATTTACTGAGAACAAATAAACTTTAGCTTTTCCAATGTACATCCTAATATGAAGCATTTTTCTCTACTTCTATTCTCATTCCTTCATCTGGGTAAAAAGTAGTCATCCTTCTGATCTCAGTTTAAATATACCTTCTTCTGGAATGTCTTCTGAGGTCATAAGATTAACAAGTGCCCAAAGATTTCCATGGCCTAATTTTCAGAACCTGTGAATTTATTGTTATGTGGCAAAGAAACTTTTGAAAGTATAATTGAAGTTGTGGGCCTTAAACTAGGGAGAATTTCTTTGATTATTGAAGTGGAACCTATCTAATCACTTGGAACCTTAAAAGCAGAAGAGGAAGCAGGAAAGTTGTGTCAGCAGGAGAAAAATTGCTGTTTATGCTTCTGAAATTTATGTGTTATGTGTAAGGACTGAAGAAAATTCTATAAAAACTAAGAACAGCCTCCAGCTGACAGTGAGCAAAGAAATGGGGATCTTAGTCCTAAAATGACATGAAGCTGAACTCTACTAAAAATATAAATAAGCCAGGAAGCAGATATTTTCCAGGAGTCTCCAGTAAAGAACACTGTTTTGCTGATTTTTAGTCCAGTGATACCTATGCCAGACTTCTAACCTACAGAACTGTGGGATAATAAATGAATATTATTTTTAGCCATTAAGTTTCTGGTAATTTGTTATTATGGCAAAGGGGAATAAACACGCGTTCCATAACCTCTATTACATAATTGGAAGCTGAACCTTCCTGCAAATAGTGGGTGAGAAATTTAGACCTACTGCCAAAAGCCATTTAAGTAAGCCACTTCCACTGAAGTGGATCCTCCAGCAACATGTTACTTCATCTCAAGCTTTAAGATGACCTCAGCCACAGCTGACATCTTAACTGCAACTTTATGAGAGACCCTGAGCAAAAACCACCCAGGTAAGTCACTCTCAAATTCCTGATCCACAATAACTGTGGGATAATAAGTGCTTAGTATTTAAATCTGCTATATTTTGAGAAAATTTATTACGCAGCAAAAGAAAACTAATACAAATTTTAATACCCCAAATTGGAGTAATGCCATATAAAATACATATAAATGCGAGAATAGCTTTAGAACTGGGCAGTGATTTCCATGTATTTGCATGGTTTTGAGGGTTCCTTTTGAAGTTGATTTCCAATTTTTTCCACTGTAGTCTGAGAGAGTACTTGATATGATTTTGATTTTCTTAAATTTGTTGAGACCTGTGTTGTGGCCTATCATATGGTCTATATTGGAGAATGTTCCATGTGCTGATGAATAGAATGTATGTTCTATAGTTGTTGGGTAAAATGCTCTGTAAATGTCTGTTAAGCCCATTTAATCTAGGGTGTAGTTTAAGTCCATTGTTGTTTGGTTGAATTTCTGTGTTACTGACCTATCTAGTATTGTCAGTGGAGTATTGCAGTCCCCCACTATTATTGTGTTGCTGTCTATCTCATTTCTTAGATGTAGTAGTAATTGTTTAATAAATTTGAGACCTCCAGTGTTAGTTGCATATATATTTGGAATTGTGATATTTTCCTGTTGAACTAGTCTTTTTTTTTTATCATTATGTAATGTCCCTCTTTGTCTTTTTAAATTGCTGTTGCTTTGAAGTTTTTTTGTCTGATATAAGAATTGCTACTCCTTCTTGCTTTTGGTGTCCATTTGCATGAAATATCTTTGGTAGTATAGGGCGGATATAAGCTGGCTCTAGGGTCAGGCAGTGGGCAGGCCATGGAGCTTCCAAGAATTATGTCTTTTGTCTTTGGCCACGAGGGAGGGTAGAGAAAGACCATGAAAGACCATTTGGTGGGGATAGGGTTAGGCATGTCTGAGCCCAGACTGTCCTTGGGCAGGGCTTGCTGTGGCTGCTGTGGGACATGAGGGTGCGGCTTTCAGGCCAATGGAGTTATGTTCCCAGGGGGATTATGGCTGCCTATGCTGCATCACACAGGTCTTCAAGGAAGTGGGGGAAACCTGGCAGCCACAGGCCTCACCCAGCTCTCACGCAGCTCACAGCCCAAAAGACTGGTCTCATTCCCACTGTGCCCTCCCAACAGCACTGAGCTAATTTCCAGGCATCCAGTGAGCAGGGCTGAGAACGTAGCCTAGGCTACAAGCCTCCCAGCTGAGAAAGCAAGCAAATTCACAGTTCCCTGGCTGTCCCATGGACCCTTCAATGGCAGTGCACCTCCTTCAAAAAAATCTGTGGATTCTCTCAGCTTTCCTGGTATGTTCCCGTAGTAATTCTTTGAGCAAAAGTACATGATGTGTGTCTCCACAAGCGGTTCTGTCCATCCAAGTGGGAGCTGCAAGTTGGTCTTGCCTCTTATCTGCCATAAATAATCTGATCCTGAATGACTGTTGCATCACCAATTAAATAAAGATGGAAATTTAAAAATTATTTGAACTGAACAATATTAATGACACAACCTATTGAAACCTCTCAGATATGGCCAAGGTGGTGCTAACAAGGAAATTTATAACATATAATGCCTACACCAAAAAGCCTGAAAAAGCACAAATAAATGATTTAAAGTCACATCTCCAAAAGCTAGAGAAACAAGAACAAACCAAACCCAAACCCAGCAGAAGAAAAGAAATAACCAAGAACACAGCAGAACTAAATAAAGTTGAAACAACAAGAAAGAATGCAAAAGATAAATGAAACAAAAAGCTGTTTTTTTGAAGAGATAAATCAAACTGATAGACCATTAGTGAGATTAACTGAGAAAAGAAGGGAGGAACTCCAAATAAGATCACTTAGTAATGAAACGGGAGATATCACAACCAATACCATAGAAATACAAAAGGTTATTCAAGGCTAATATGAACACCTTTATGTGCATAAACTAAAAAACCTAGAGGAAAGATGGGGTAATTCCTGGAAATGAACAACTCTCCTAGATTAAACCAGGAAGAAATAAAAACTCTGAACAGACCAATAACAAGCAGCAAGATTAAAATGGTAATTAAACAGTTACTAACAAACAAAAGACCAGGACCAGACAGACTCACAGTTGAATTCTATCAGACATTCAAAGAAGAATTGGTACAATTTTACTGACACTATTCTAAAAGATAGAGAAAGAGGGAATCCTCCCTAAATCATTGTAGGAAGCCAGTGTCACCCTAATAGCAAAACCACAAAAGGACATAACAAAATAAGAAAACTATAGACCAATATTCCTGATGAACATACATGCAAAATTCCTCAACAAAGTACTAGTGAACTGAATCCAACAGCATATCAAAAAGAAAATATACAAATGGCAAACAAACGTGAAAAAATGCTCAACATCACTAATGATTTGGGAAATTCAAATCAAAACCACAATGCAATACCACCTTACTCCTGAAAAAAAATGGCAATAATTAAAAAATAATAGATGTTGGCATGGATGTGGTGAAAAGGGAACACTTTTACACTGCTGGTAGGAATGTAAACAATTAAAATCAATATGGAAAACAGTGTGGAGATTCCTTAAATACCTAAAAGTAGATCCATCATTTGACACAGCAATCCTACTACTAGGTACCTACCCAAAGAAAAAGAAGTCATTATACGAAGAAGATACTCACACACATATATTTAAAGCAGCAAAATTTGCAATTGCAAAAATATAGAACCAGCCCAAATGCCCATCAATCAATGAGTGGTTAAAGAGAATGTGAGATATACATATATATATATATATATATATATATATAAAATATACACACATATATGTATATTATATACACACATATATATACACATATATATGTGTATATTACATGAACCATAGGAAGTGTCATTATATGGTGGGTGTGTGTGTATATATATACACACACACACCCACCATGGAATACTACTCAGTGCTCAGCCATAACAAAGAACACAATAATTGCATTCACAGTAACCTTGATGGATTTGAAGCCCATTATTCTAAGGGCAGTAACTCAGAAATGGAAAACCAAATATTGTACATTCTCACTTACAAGTGGGAGCTAACCCATGAGGACAGAAAGGCATAAGAGTAATATAATGGACTCTGGGGACTTGGGAGAAAGGGTGGGAGCAGTGTGTGGAATAAAATACTACACGCTGGGTACAGTGTACACTGCTCTGTTGATGGGTGCACCAAAATCTCAGAAATCATCACCTAAAAACTTATCCAGGTAATGAAACACCAAATGTGCTACAAAAACCCATTGAAATAAATTTAAAAAAATAATAATCACCAACAGCTAACACTTATTACAAGGCTCCAGGCAGTTTCAAAATCCTTTATATTTCATGTTCGCTACTACCTTAGGATATAGGTACTGCAATGCAGAGTCCTGGGCACAGAGAAGTTAGGAACTTGCTCAAGGACAACTTGCAAGACAGAGCACTGTGATATGAACTCAGAGGATCTGACTCCAGTGCCCAATTCTCAACCACTATTAATTAAAAGGGAATCAAAGAGAAATTAAGTCACAATAAAAAGAAAATAACTGTGTAGTGAGTGGAAAGGGAATAGGAGAGTATTAGTGAAATAGGAGAGTATTAGTGAAAGTATAAAGAATTCTAAAGAGGTTTTTAGAAGCCTGGTGGCCTTTAGAGAGGCTATCAGAGAGTATTTGCAAAAGCTGTGAAGTAAATGTAATTAGAAGCTGGAGAAAAAGATACCATTGTTTCATAGAGATTGAAAGTTTAGCAAGAATGTTACCAGCAATAATTTTCAAAGCATAAAATTCAAGTAATAAACCGGTGATTTAGCTAAAGAGATTTCCTGAGAAAAGTGTTGAAGGTACTCCTAGTTACTTCTTGCCTTTTGTATTATTTTAGGAGAAAGTTAAGCTTAGGATGATGATCCATCCTGTTTTTCCAGGCTTGCCCTAGGTTTGTTTGTTTGTTTTTTTTTCAGACAGAGTCTCGCTCTGTCGTCCAGGCTGGAGTGCAGTGGCGTGATCTCGGCTCACTGCAATCTCTGCCTCCTGGGTTCATGCCATTCTCCTGCTTCAGCCTCCCGAGTAGCTGGGACTACAGTTACCTGCCACCACACCCAGCTAATTTTTTGTATTTTTAGTAGAGACAGGGTTTCACCGTGTTAGCCAGGATGGTCTCAATCTCCTGACCTTGTGATCCACCTGCCTCAGCCTCCCAAAGTGCTGGGATTACAGGCGTGAGCCACCACGCCTGGCCAGCTTGCCCTAGTTTTAACACTGAAAATCCAACATCCCAGAGAATTTCCCAGTTTCAGAAAAACCAGGATGAGTAGTCACCTGAAAATCATTGAAGAAAGAGCTTTTAAGCAAAGCAGAGCCAATAGTTGTTGGTTTTGAAAGTTCCTAGCCTCTTTAGATATTAAAAAGTGATAACATTATAGAATGGCTTCTAAGAAAACATCACACTTAAGAAAATATAATCTAAAAATGAAGCCAAAGGTAAATCTGTAAAATCTTATGTTAAGACCTAGGAAGGTGGTGCTTCACATAGAAATTCAATTAAATAATATGGCTTCTAAGATATTCAAAGATGTTGTCCCTCAGTACACTCAATGGAAGCCCAAGGTAGACAACGTTTTAGTTTTTTTTAAAAAAAATTAAGTGTGACTTTTTTCTACTGTGACAAATCCCAATAAGATTCAAAGAATACCCCAGGCTGAAGATAAATTAGGTTGGCAGAAATTCTGCAAGCTTGGACTAAAAAAAAAAAGAGAAACAACACATGAAGAAATGATGGCTTTGACCCTAAAATTCTACCAGGAGAATGAGGCTGATTAAACTATGTAACTGAAAACAAATGCTGCATTTAGCATCAAAAGTAGAATGAGACAGAGAGGAGTTAAACATTACTTATAATTACTCTTGGGATGAAGTAAGACTGAGTCCTAATGAAAGACCTTACAATATGTGCCTGGATGAATTTAAGAGTTTCTGTGGAAAAGGGACTTTTTTCTGCTTCCCAATTTTTTTCCTTTTAAAACAAAGTGGTTTAGAGATGTTATGTTATGTCTATGCCACTATTGCATATAGACTATGTTGGCAAGATAACTGTCTCTTTAGTAAACAGACGTATAAGCAGAAACTACATTTGAGGAGCTATAAATAGAAACTAAACTTTGGAAGCCTCATTCATATCTGGATCCCCTTTAGGTACCAGAATTCTAAATTTCAAGCAAATTATGTAAAGGAATGAGATGTTTTGGGTGGTGGTGGAGACTTCAGAAAGAGTAAATGTATTTTGCACGTGAAAAAAAATGTAAATAACTTGGAGCCAGAGGGTACGCTGTGGATTTTGAGTATGTTCAAAACAATAATGACTAATAATTATAACTAACTTTAACTGACTGTTTCAAAAGTACCAGGTATTTTGCATGTATTATTGTATTTAAACTGCCCACAGTGAAATAGGTACATTGATTATATGCATTATACGGATGAAGAAAGTGATGGTAAATGATTTGTTCAAGTAACTATCAGTAAAAGAGAACCCATATTTATTTAAAATCAAGGCCCATTTTCTTAATCATTTACCCACTTTTACATATGACCTTTATTTGTTGAAGCACTTTTCCTAGATCTGTAGGTTGTTGAGTGATATTATAAAAGGATATTGAATTTTGTCAAATAACTTTTGCATTAAAACGGTAATGTGCTTTTCTTCATTCTGTAATGTGGCATATAAGAATGACTGATTTTCATTTATTGAAACATTCATGCATTCCAGAAATAAATACCACTTGGTCATATTGTATGATATTGTGTTAACCTGTTTTTGTACTGGTATAAGGAAATACCTGAGGCTGGGTGTGTTGGCTCACACCTGTAATCCCAGCACTTAGGGAGGCCAAGGCAGGTGAATCACCTGAGGTCAGGGGTTTGAGACAAGCTTGGCCAACATGGTGAAACCACATCTCTACTAATAATACAAAAAATTAGCCTGCGTTTGGTGGTGCATGCCTGTAATCCCAGCTGCTCAGGAGGCTGAGGCAGGAGAATTACTTCAACCTGGGAGGCAGAGGTTGCAGTGAGCCAAGTTTGTGCCACTGGACTCCAGCCTGGGCGACAGAGTGAGACTCCATCTCAAAAAAAAAGAAAAGAAATACCTGAGACTGGGTAATTTATAAAGAAAAGTGATTTAGTTGACTCACAGTTCCACATGGGTGGGGAGTCCTCAGAAAACTTACAATCATGGCAGAAGGCAAAGGAAAAGCAAAGGCATGTTTTACATGGTGGCAGGCAAGAGTGTATGAAGTGCAAGCACTGTGAAAACTGCCACTTTTAAAATCATCAGATCTCATGAGATTCACTCAATATTATGAGAACAACATGGGGAAATTTGCACCCATACTTCAATCGCTTCCCATCAGCTTTCTTCCTTGATACATGGAGTTACAATTTAAAATGAGATTTGGGTATGGACACAGAGCCAAATCATATCATTCTTACCCTGTCCCCTCCCAAATTTCATGTCCTCACATTTCAGAACCAATCATGCCTTCTCAACAGTTCCCCGAAGCATTAACTTAGAAATCCAAGTCCAAAGTCAAATCTGACACAAGTCAAGTTCCTTCCAACTGTGAGCCTGTAAAAACAAAAGGAAGTGAGTTACTTTCAAGATAAAATGGAAATACAGAAATTGGGTAAATGTTCCCATTCCAAATGGGAGAAATTGGCCAAAACAAAGAGGCCACAGACCCCATGCAATTCCAAAATCCAACAGGGTGGTAATTAAATCTTAAAGCTTCAAAATGATCTCTTTTAACTCCATGTCTCACATCCAGGTAACACTGATGCAAGAAGTGAGATTCCATGGTCTTGGGCAGTTCTGCCTCTGTGTCTTTGCAGGATACAGCACCACTCCCAGCTGCTTTTACATTGTGTATTTGCAGCTTTTCCATGGGCACAGTGAAAGCTGTCAGTAGGCCTACCATTCTGGGGTCTGGAGAATGGTGGCCCTCTTCTCACAGATTCACTATGCAGAGCCCCAGTGGGGACTCTGTGTGGGGGCTACAACCTCACATTTCCATTCCATATTACCCCTGCAGAGTTCTCCAGAAGGGTTCTGCCCCTGCAGAAGACTTCTGTATGGACACCCAGGCTTTTTTATACATCCTTTGAAATTTAGGCAGAGGTTCCCAAACCTCAATTCTTGACTTCTGTGCACCCACAGGCCCAACAGCACATGGAAGCCACCAAGGCCTGGGGCTTGTATCTTCTGAAGCCATGGCTTGAGCTGTGTACCTTGGCCCCCTTTAGTCATGACTGGAGCTGAAGTGGCTGGGGCACAGGGCACCATGTCCCAAGGCTGTTCTTATGTGGAGCAGTGGGGCCCTGGGCCTGGCCCATGAAACCATTTTTTTCCTCCTAGGCCTCCGGTCCTATGATAAGAGGGGCTGCCATGAAGGTCCCTGACATACCCTGGTGACATTTTCTCTATTTTCTTGGCTATTAACGTTCAGCTCCTCATTACTTATGCAAATTTATGTAGCACGCTTGAATTTCTTCCCAGAAAACAGGTTTGACTTTTCTACCACATTGTCAGGCTGCAAATTTTCTAAATCTTTATGCTTTGCTTCCGTTTTAAACATAAGTTCCAATTTCAAACCTTCTTTTTGTGAACACATAAAACTGAAGGCTTTCAGAATCAACCAGGTCACTTCTTGAATGCTTTGCTTCTTAGAATTTATTCTGCCAGACACCCTAAATCATCTTTCTCAAGTTCAAAGTTCCACAGATATTTAAGTCAGGGGCAAAATGCCACCCACCTCTTTGCTAAAGCATAGCAAAAGTCACCTTTATTCCAGTTCCTCATCTTCATCTGAGACCACCTCAGCCTGTACTTTGTTGTCCATATCACTATCAGCGTTTTAGTCAAAATCATTTTGATAAGTCTCTAGGAAGTTCCAAACTTTCTCACATCTTTCTGTCTTCTTCTGAGCCCTCCAAACTGTTTCAACCTTTGCCCATTACTACTGAGTCCCATTACAACAAAAGTTGCTTTCACATTTTGCCATTTCTTAATAGCAGTGCCCCACTACATTGATACCAATTTTCTGTATTAGTTTGTTCTCACACTGCTATAAAGAAATACCTCTGACTGGGTAACTTATAAAGGAAAGAGGTTTAATTGACTCACAGTTCTGTATAGCTGGTAAGGTCTCAGGAAACCTACAATCATGGTGGAAGGCGAAGGTGAAGCAAGAACCTCTTCACAGGGGTGTCAGGAGAGAGAAGTGCAAGTAGGGTAAATGCCAGATGCCTATAATACGTCCAATCTCATGACACTCACTCACTATCATGAGAACAGCATAGTGAGTGAGTCTCATGAGATCTGATATATTATAGGGGAAACCGCCCCCATGATCCAATCACCTTCCATCAGGTTTCTCCCTTGACACATGGGGATTACAATTTAAGAGAAGAATTGAGGGAGGAATCAGAGCCAAGCCATATCACATATTTTTAATGTGCTGTTAAATTCTATTTGCTAGTATTTTATTAAGTAGTATTGTATCAATATTTATGAGGGATATTAGTGAGTTGTTTTCTTATAGTGTCTTTGTCTGGATATAGTAATAGGATAATACTGGCATCATCAAATAAGGTTTAAAGTGTTTTATTCTCTTTAAAGTTTTGGAAAAATTTTATGATGATTGGTATTAGTTATTTTTAAAATATTTGGTAGAATTTACCAGAAATGTAATCTCTTTTGGGGCTTTTCTTTGTTCGGTGAGGTTTAATTAATAACTCAATCTCTTTATTTTTATAGGTCTATGAAATTTTCTGTTTTCACAATTTATTCTTAGTAAACACGTATTTTTAGAAATTTCCCATTTCAATGTATACTTGAGAAAAATGTGTATTCTGTTGTTGAGTGTCTTCATATGTCTCTTAGATACAATTAGTTTATAAGGTTATTCAAGTCCTCTATTTCTGTATTGATCTTCTGTCCGGCTGTTCTATTCATTTTTGAAAGTGAGGTGCTATGGTGAAAATGTGTGTGTCCCCAAAATTCATTTGTTAGAATTATAATCCCCAAGTTGATGGTATTAGAAAATGGGGCCTTTGGGGAGGTGATTAGATTATAAGGGTGGAATCTTTGTGAATGGGATTTGTGCTTATATTAAAGAGTCCCCAAAGATCTGTGAGGACACAGTTAAAAGGTGCCATCTATGACCAAAGAAATAGGCCCTCTTCTGGGTCTTAGATGTCCCAGCCTCAAGAATTGTGAAAAATAATATTTGTTGTGGATGTATCACCCCATTTACAGTATTTTGTTATAGAAGTCCAAACAAACTAAGATAAAATTGGTACCCAGAAGTGGGGGTGCCACTGTAACAAATGCCTAAAATGGTAGAATAATTTTTGGAACTGGGTAATGAGTAGAGATTAGAACAATTTTGAACTGCATGCTAGAAAAAGTCTGTATTTCCAAAAACAGACTACTAAGGGTGCTTCTGGTGAGGAATAAGGAAAAGACAAAATTTGTAGACAAAGAGTTAAACTTCTTAGAGTGTACTTAAATGGTCATGATCTGAATTTCACTGGAAATACTAAAAATATGAATGGCAAAGGCCATTGCAATGAAGTCTACTTGGAAATAATGAACATGCTAGTTGAAAACTAATAGGCTCGCAATTCTTCTCATAAAGTGGCAAAGGACTTGGCTGAATCATGTTGATAAGTGTTGTGGAAAAAAGAATTTACAAGTGACCAAATAGGACATTTGACTAAAAAATTTCTAAGCAAAGTGTTGAAAGCACAGTTTGACTTTTCTTTAATTGGTACAGTATAATCAAGAAAAGGAGAATAATGTTATAATTAAATGTTTAATAAGAAATGAAGCAGGACTTAAAGATTGGAAAATTCTCTTTCAGCCTATACTGTAAAAAATGAGAAAATGTGGTAAAAAGGTAACATCAAAGGTATGGCCAAGTGACTATTTAATAAGAAGATCAGTATGGCTTGGCCAGGTGCTGTTCATTAAGATAATTTTAAAAAGACCTCTAATATATTTTTGTATTATCCATCAAAGGCTCAGAGTCCCAGGTTCTGCAGTACAGATAAATAATTAAAAAGAAGGGGCTGTAGGTATCGACAGGGTCACAGTACTTGCTGCCTAGCACAGCCTAAAGGCTCTGCTCATCACACTCCATTGCTGTGCTCCTCAGTCACCCCAAGTGTAGCTCCAGCAGATTACAGTATGGTATGCATTGTGCCCAGTGAAGCTGTGGGAAAGTGACTGCCTCAACCTGGATTTCAAAGGAGACTCCAGAAAGCTGCAAAGCCCAGACAGAAACGAACTGTGAGGATGAGGCCTTTTTTATAGAGTCCCTACTAGGGAAATGCCTGTGAGGGTGGGGATACCTCCTTTATGTCAGGCTGGTGTGCATGAAATTCTAGCTTAGACAAGCCACAGGTATACAACCCAGGCACACAGCAACCACAGAGGTGGGGCCACTACAGTTAAATGCCATGGACATGGAGCATCCCAAAGCTGTGAGGGAAGGGCCATTGCTTCAGTGGATCTGGAAGGCAGACTTCCACCCGGTGGTCCTGGAAGGCTGAAACTTGAGTCTAAGAAAATTATTCTTGAGCCTTAACACATTGAAATTTCTCAAAACCTGTTACTCCTTTTTAATTTTCTGTTTATTCCTTTTAAAAAAGAATGTCTGTCCCAACATTGCATTTTGGAAGAACTTAACATGTTTAATTTCACAGTTTCACAGCTGGATGGCAATTTGTCTCAGGATAAATCATATCTTCAGTTTCATCTATATCTTATTTAAATGACATTTAGATAAGACTTTAAACTTAGACTTTAACATTGATTATGAAATGAGTTAAAACTTCCGGGTATATTGGAATAAAGTGAATGTATTTTGCATGTAAGAAGAAAGAAATGTTTAAAAAGAATGAAATGGTATGGCCTAAATGTTTTTGTCTCTCCAGAATTTACATAATGAAATCCTAACTTTAAAAGTGATGGTACTAGAAGGTGAAGCCATTTGGGAAGGTGATAGGTTGTGAGGATACAGCCTTCATGAATGGGAGTAGTGGTCTTATAAAAGAGGCCCCAGGGAGTTGCTTTGCCTCTCCCTCCATGTGAGGATATAGCAAGTAAGTTTCATCTATAAAACAGGAAACAGGCTTTCACTAGACACCAAATCTGCTAAAACATTGATCTTGAACTTGTCAGCCACCAAAACTGTGAAAAATAAATGTTTTTGGCTTTTAAGTCACCCATTTTATGGTATTTTGTTATATCAGCCTAAATAGCCAAAAACATAATGTATTTCAATCTCCCACTATTATTGTACAATTGTCAATTTCTTCCTTTTATTCTGTTAACATTTCCTTCACATATTTTTGAGCTCCGATGTTTGGTGGGTATGAATATGCAAATTGTATCTTGTTGGTGAATTGATACTTTTATTAGTATATAATGTACTTTTTTGTCTCTATCAGTTTTTTTATGTAAATTCTATTTAGCGTTATGTTAGTATAGCCACCCCAGCTCTTTTGCTTACTATTTGTATAAATTTTTTTTTCACATTTTTTTACTTGTAACCTCTTGTGTCCTTAAATTTAAAGTGTGTCTCTTGTAGACAGCATATAGTGGGATGCTATTTTTTAAAATCCGTTTTGCTAATTTATTTCTTTGGTTGTGTAGCTAATCCATTTCTACATCAAGTGGTTATTTATAGGGAAGGATTTAATTTTTTCATTTTTAATTTGTTTTTGTTATGTCTTACAGTTCTTTTTGTCCTTCATTTCCTCCATTACTGACATTTTTATGTTTAGTAATTTATTTTGTAGTGATAAATTATGGTATTCTTCTTATTTTTTGTATATATTGTGTAGATATTTTGTATTTATTATGGGGATTGCATGTAATATTCCAAATTAATAATGATATATTTTCAATCATATCAACTTAACTTTGATTGCATACACTCTAATCCTGTACAGCTTTGTCTCTCCATTTTATGTAGTTATCAAACACTACATAAATAATGTTTATTTATTAAAGTAGTTTTGAAATTATTTTATACTTTTTAAAATCCTGTAGAAAAATAATAACTGGAGTTTCAATCTAAAATTACAGCAATACTGGCTTTTATATATATCTATGTATTTGCTTTTACTGGAGATCTTTATACACAGCTGTTTTATTTGTAATTTTTTCTACTTTTACTTTAGATTTGGGGGTACATGTGTAGGTTTGTTACATGAGTAAATTGCATGTCACTGAGTTTTGGTGTACAAATAATCCCATTACCCAGTTAGTGAGCATAGTACCTGTATTAGTCCGTTTTCATGCTGGTGATAAAGACATACCCAAGACTGGGCAATTTACAAAAGAAAGAGGTTTAATTGGAGTCACAGTTCCATGTGGCTGGGGAGGCCTCACAATCATGGCAGAAGGCAAGGAGGAGCAAGTCACATCTTACGTGGATGGTGGCAGGCAAAAAGAGAGCTTGTGCAGAGAAACTCCCATTTTTGAAACCATAAAATCTTGTGGGACTCATTCGCTATCAAGAGAACAGCTCAAGAAAGACCCACCTCCGTAATTCAATCACCTCCCACCAGGTTCCTCCCAAGACATGTGGGAATTGTGGAAGTTACAATTTAAGATGAGATTGGGTGAGGACACAGCCGAGCCCTATCAGTACACAATAGGTAGCCTTCCAAAGTATGCCCTTCTTCTACCCTCCCCCGTAAAGCAGTCCCTAGGTTCTACTATTTTCATCTTTGTTTTCATATGTATTCAGTGTTTTGCCCCAACTAATAAGTGATGACATGCAATATTTATTTTGTTGCTGTTCCTGAATCAGTTCATTTAGGATAATGGACTTCAGTACCATCCATGTCCTGGGCTTTTTTTGGTTGATCAACTGTTTATTACTGCCTCAATTTTAGAACTTGTTATTGGTCTGTTCAGAGATTCAATTATTTTCTGGTTCCTTCTTGAGAGGGTGTATGTGTCCAGGAATTTATTTCTTCTCTATTTTCTAGTTTATGTGCATAGAGGTGTTTATAGTATTATTTGATGGTTGTTTATATTTCTGTAGGATCAGTGGTAATAGTCCCCTTATCATTTCTGATTGTGTTTATTTGAATCTTCTCTCTTTTCTTCTTTCTTACATCTATTTTATTAGTTTTTTCAAAAAAAAAAAAAACAGCTCCTGGGTTTGTTCATTTTTTTTTGTCTCAGTCTCCTTCAGTTTAGCTCTTATTTTGGTTATTTCTTGTCTTCTGCTAGCTTTGGGGTTTGTTTGCTCTTGGTTATCTAGTTCTTTCAGTTTTGATGTTAGGTTGTTAACTTGAGATCGTTCTAGCTTGTTGATGTGGGCATTTAGTGCTATAATTTTCCTTCTCAACACTGCTTTATGTGTGTCCCAGAGATTCTGGTACATTGTATCTTTGTTCTTTTTAGTTTCAAAGAACTTCTTGATTTCTGCCTTACTTTACCGTTTACCCAAGAGTCATTCAGGAGCAGGTTGTTCAGTTTCCATGTAGTTGTATGGTTTCGAGTGAATTTCTTAATCTTAAATTCTAATTTGATTGTGCTGTGGTCTTAGAGACTGTTTATTTTGATTTCAGTTCTTTTGCATTTGCTGAGGTATGTTTTACTGTCAATTATGTGATCAATTTTAGAGTAAGTGCCATGTGGTGATGAGAAGAAAGTATGTCCTCTTGTTCTTGGGTGAAAGATATATTGATACTTATCTGGTTTACCTGATCCAGACCTGAGTTCAGGACTTGAATATTTTTGTTAATTTTCTTTCTCGATGATATGTCTAATATGGTCAGTGGGGTGTTAAAGTCTCCCACTATTATTGTGTGGGAGTCTAAGTCTCTTTAACTGTCTCTAAGAACTTGCTTTGTGTATCTAGATGCTCCTGTATTAGGCACATATATATTTATAATAGTTAGATTTTCTTGTTGAATTGGACCCTTTACTATCATTGCCCTTATTTTTGTTTTTTGTTTTTTTTTTTTTTTTTTTTTTTTTTTGGTTTAAAATCTGTTTTGTCAGAAACTAGGATTGCAACCCTGGATTTTTTTCTATTTTCCATTTGCTTAATAAATTTTCATCCATCCCTTTATTTTGAGCCCAAGTGTGTCTTTGTATGTGAGATGGGTCTCTTGAAGACAGCATATCATTCTGTGTCTTTTAATTGGGGCATTTATCCCACTTACATTTAAGGTTAGTCGTGGTTATGTGTGGATTTGATCTTGTCATCATGATGCTAGCTGGTTATTTTGCTGACTTGTTTATATCATTGTTTCATAGTCTCACTGGTCTGTGTACTTCAGTGTGTTTTTGTAGTGGCTGGTTACCGTTTTTTTTTTTTTTCTTTAATATGTTTACTTCTTCCTTCAGGAGCTCTTGTAAGGCAGGTTTGGTGATAATGAATTCCCTCAGCGTTTGTTTCTATGAAAAGCATCTTATTTCTCCTTCATTTATGAAGCTTAGTTTGGCCAGATATGAAATTCTGAGTTGAAAAATGCTTTTCTTTAAGAAGAAAAGAAGGTTCTTTTAAGAAGGTTAAATATCATCCCCCAATCTTTTCTGGCTTGTAGGGTTTCCACTGAAAGGTCTGCTGTTAGTCTGATGGGATTTACTTTGTAGGTGACCTGGTCTTTCTCTCTGGCTGCCCTTAAAATATTTTTCTTTAATTTTGATCCTGGAGAATCTGATGATTATGTGTCTTGGGGATGATCTTCTCATGGAGTATCTTACTAGGGGGTTCTCTGCATTTTCTGAATTTGAATGTTGGCCTCTATAGCTAGGTTGGGGAAGTTCTCCTGGGTCATATTCTGAAGTATATTTTTCAACTTGATTCCATTTTTCCCATCTCTTTCAGGTACCCCAAACAGTTGTAGATTTGGTCGCTTTACATAATCACGTATATCTCAGAGGTTTTGTTAATTCCTTTTCATTCTTTTTTTCTGTATTCTTGTCTACCTTTCTTATTTCAGGAAGATAGTTTTCAAGCTCTGAGATCTTTCCTCCACTCAGTCTATTCTGCTACTAATACTTGTGATTGCATCGTGAAATTCTAGTAGTTTCTTTCTTTTTTTTTTTTTGAGCTCTATTAAGTTGGTTATGCTCATCTCTTAACTGGCTATTTTGGCTGTCAGCTCCTGTATTGTTTTATAATTCTTAGGTTCTTTGCATTGGGTTACAACGTGCTCCTTTAGCGCAGTGAAGTTTGTTTTTATTCCCATCTTGAAGCCTACTTACGTCATTTCAATGATGTCAGTTTCAACCCAGTTATGAGCCCTTGTTGAAGAGGTGTTGTGATCACTTGGAGGAAAAAGTGGCATTCTGGATTTTTGAGTTTTCAGTGTTTATGCATTCTTTCTCATCTTTGTGGGCTTATTTACCTTTGATCTTTGAGGTTGCTGGCCTTTGGATGGGTTTTTGTGATTTTCTTTGTTGTTGTTGTTTGTTTGTTTGTTTTTCTTTGAACAGTCTGGCCACTCTTCCATAGGGCTGTTGTGGTTTGCTGGGGGATCGCTTCATTCCCTAGTTGCCTCGACTTTTTCCATAACTGCAGGTATCATCAGTAAAGGTTGCAGAACAGCGAAGATGGCAGCCAGCCTTTTTCTTTGGAAGCTCCATCCTGGGGTGTACTGACCTGTTACCCACCCAAATGCACCTGTAGGAGGTAGCTGGAGACCCCAGTTGGGAGGTGTCAACCTGTCAGGAGGAATAAAATCAGGGACCTGCTTAAAGAAGCAGTCTGGCTGCTTTCTGTTAGAGCAGTTGTGCTGTGTCGGGGATCTCTTCAGCCCCTGATTGGTTTGGGCTCTCCAAGACTCACAGGCTGGACCAGCTGAGAAGCCCAAATAGCGAAGGCGGTGGCCTGCCCCACATCCCAGGCACTTCATATCAGGGAGAAATTAGAGCTCTGTCTGCTTTAAAACACAAGTGAGAGTGGCTGGAAGCCTCAGCTTGGAGAACCCACCCTATGAGGAGGAGTGAATCAGGGTCCTGCTTAAGGAAGCAGTCTGGCTATTATCTGTCAAAGCAGCAGTGCTGTGCTGTGGGAATGCTTCCTTGTCCAGACTGGACTTTCTGAAATCTGCAGGATGGAATGGTTGAGTTGATAAAACAGCAAAGATGGCGGCCCTCCCATCTCAGGCATGTATCAACCTGTTGCCAGTGTCTAACTGGAGTTCCAAGCCAATAGGTCTTATCATGTGAGATGTGGACACCCCCCCATTCTGTGGGGTCCACAGAATGATGCTTCTTGGCTCCCTGAACACAGCCCCCTTCCTAGGGGTATGTACAGACATTCCACCTTTCTTGAGTTGCAGACACATTTGTTTGGGGATCCCAGGGCTGGAGCATGTAAAACTCCTGGATCTCTGTGTGTGGAGACACAGCTTTGTGTGTCAGACCCAAGGCCTTGGTGGCATGGGCTCACAAGGAGATCTCCTGATTCATGTGTTGCAAAGGTCCATGGAAGAAGTGTGGTTTTCCAGGGTCACACAAACACTCACTGCTTCCCTTGGCTGGGGGTGGGAGTTCCCTTGGCTTTAGATCGCTCCTGGATAAGCCATCACCCCACCTTGTTTTTCTTCATTCTCCATGGGTCTGGTTGTTTCCCTGATCAGTCCCAAGGCGAGTACTTGGATATTGCAGTTGAAGGTGCTGTATTCACTTGCCCCTTTCCTTCCTTTCCGTGAGTGCTGCAGACCTCAGCTGCTTCCAATTGGCCATCTTGACCCCCTCCAGTACCATGGATATTTTTATTGTATTTTTCATTTCAATTTTATTTATTTCTGCTCAGCTCTTTATTATTATTTTTTCTTCTACTAAATTTTTATTTGGTTTGCTTTTGCTTTTCTAGTTTTTTAAGATTAATCATTAAATTGTTTATTTGAATTCTTTCTCTTTTCCAATGTAGGAATTTATAACCATAAACTTTTCTCTTAGTACTGTTTTTGCTTTACCTCATAGGTTTTGGTATGTTGCGTTTTCATTATCGTTTTTCAAGAATAATTTCAATTTTCTTATTAATTTCTTCATTGACCCACTTCTCATTCAGGAGTATATTATTCAATTTCAATGTATTTGTAGTTTCCAAAATTCTTCTTGTTATTTATTTCTAGTTGTATTATATTGTGGTGAGAGAAGATGCTTGATATTATTTCAATTTGTTTTGGAATATTTTAAGAATTGTTTTGTGACCTAATGCATGGTAGGTCACACACACACAAAAATAGATGTCTATTGTAGCCTTCACCGTCTGGTCTTATTTTTAGCCATCTTTTTGGGGAACACTTTGAGAATGATCTATGGGCTGAAGACAAGAATGTATATTCTGCAGCTGTTAGATAACATGTTCTGTGAATATCTATTAGATCTACTTGGTCTATAGTGCTGATTAATTCTGATATTTGTTTGTTAACTTTGTCTGGAACATGTGTCCAATGCTGAAAGTGGATTGTTGAAGTTTCCAGCTGGTATTGTATTAGGGCCTATCTCTGTTTTTATTTCTAATAATGTTTGGTTTATATATCTGGGTGCCACAGTGTTGGCTGCACATATATTTACAATTGTTATCGCTTCTTGCTGAACTGACTCCTTTATTATTATATAGTGCCTTTATTTGTGTCTTCTTATAGGCTTTATCTAGAGATTTATTTCTGTCTAATATGAGCATATCTACTCTTTTTTTTTGGTTTTCTTTGGCAAAAAAAATATCTTTTATTACCCATTTATTTTTAATCTGTGTATGTGTGTGTGTGTGTGTGTGTGTGTTTAACATGTTTAGTGTGTTTCTTTTAGGCAACAGATCAATGTTTTTTTTAAATATATTTACATTGAATCAGACTATGTCTTTTGATTGGAGAATTTAGTTCATTTACATTCAGTTTTATTATTGATAAGTAAGCGCTTTTTTTTCTGCCAGTTTGTTATTTGTTTTCTAGTAGTTTTGTGGTATTCTCTTCTTTCTTTCTTTCATTCCTCCCTTCCTCTAGTGAAAATGATTTTATCTGGTGATATGGGTTAGATTATTGCTTTTTGTGTGTCTATTGTGTGATTTTTAAGATTACAATGAGGCTTGCAAATACTATCTTGTAATCCATTATTTTTACCTGATAACAATTTAACACTATTTGCATAAGCAAGCAAACTAGCAACAAGAAAACTAATAAAAAACTCTACACCTTAACTTCATCCTCCCACCTTTTAACATTTTGTTGTTTTTATTTATGTCTTATTGTACTGACTATGTCTTGAAAAGTTGTTGTAGTTATTAATTTTGATTGCTTTTTCATGTAGCCTTTCCATTTAGGAAAAGAGTTTTTTACACACCACAGTTACAGTGTTATAATATTCTGTGCTTTTTTTGGACTTATTATTATTAGTGAGTTGTATCTTCAGGTGATTATTAATTGCTCACTAATATCATCTTTTTCTGATTGAAGTATTCCCTTAAGTGTTCTTGTAGGACTGGTATGGTGTTGATGAAATTCCTTAGCTTTTGTTTGTCCTGAAAAGTCTTTATTTATCCTTCACATTTGAAGGATATTTTCACCAGATGTCCTATTATAGGATAATTTTATTTTCTTCAGCATTTTAAATGTGTCATGTCACCCTCTCCTGGCCTGTATGGTTTCGGCTGGAAAGTTTACTGCCAGATGTACTGGAGCTCCATTGTACGTTATTTGTTTATTTTCTATTGCTGCTTTTAGAATTTTTATTTTGTTTCACCTTTGGGAATTTGATTATGAAATGGGTAGTCTTTTTTTGGGCTAAATCTGCTTAGTGTTCTATAATCTTCTTGTACTTGGATGTTGATATCTTTCTCTAGATTTGGAATGTTTTCTGTTATTATCCCTTTGAATAAACTTTCTACCCCTACCTTTTGCTCTACCTCCTCTTTAAGTTCAATACGTCTTAGATTTGCCGTTTTGAGGCTATTTTCTAGATCCTGGAAATGCACTTTATAGTTTTGTATTCTTTTTCACTTCATCTTTTCTGACTTTGTATTTTCAAATAGCCTGTCTTCAAGATCAATAATTTTTTCTCCTGCATGATCCATTCTACTATTAAAGATTCTGATGAAATCTTCAGTATGCCAATTGCATTTATGAATTCCAGAAATTCTGGTTGATTTTTAAAATTTATTTCAATATTTTTGTTCAATTTATCTGATAGAATTCTGTATTCCTTCTGTGTGTTATCTCGAATTGCTTTGAATTTTATCAATACAACTATTTTGAATTATCTAAAATGTCAGATATCTGTGTTTCTCTGGGGTTGATCATTTATGATTTAGTTCATTTGGTGAAATTATGTTTTCCTGGATGGTGTTGATACTAGTAGATGTTCTTCAATGTCTGGGCATTGAAAAGTTAGATGTCTATTGTAGCCTTCACCGTCTGCTCTTATTTTTAGCCATCTTTTTGGGGAACACTTCCAGATATTTCAAAGAACTTGGGTGTTGTAATCTAAGCTGTTTCTGCTTTAGGGGGCACCACAAGCCTAGTAATCTTTCAGACTCAAAGGTGCTCTGCCTTGATGTTCTTGAACAAGATCACAAAAAACTCTGAATTACCAGGCAGAAACTCTTGTTCTCTTCCTTTACTTTCTTCCAAAATATATAGTTTCTGTCTGTTCTGAGCCACTTATAGCTGGGGGTTTAGTGACACAAGTACTCCTGTATCCACCACAGCTATGACTGTGCTGCATTAGACCTGAAGCCAGCACAGTGCTGGGTCTCACCTAACACCTGCTTTAACCATTCTTTTGCTACTGCCTATGTTCACTCAAGGCTCTGGAGCTCTACAATCACCAGGTGGCAAAGCCAGGGTGGCCTATGTCTTTTTCTTCAGGGACATGAGGTCCCCCAGTCGCTCGGTGGGTTTAGAAGTGACATCCAGGATTTAGAGACTACAGTCTAAAACCTTAGAAATCTAACTGGTGTTCTATTGTATTGCAGCTTAGTTTGCACTCGATGCACCAGATGCAGTCTTTCCCACTCTTTCCTTTCCTTTCCAAAGGCAGAGAACCCTTACCCAATAGCAATTGCCACACCTGGCCAGGAGCAGTACTGCCAGACTACCACCAATATTCCATTAAGGTCCAAAGGCTCTTAAGTCACCTTGTGGTGAATGTTTCCTGGCCTGGGATTTATTCTTTAGAGCAGTGGTCTCCCACCTGGCCCAGAGGAGGTGCAGAAATATCATCCAAGAGTCAAGTCCTGGAATCCGCGACTTTAAGATCCTGCTTGTTGCTCTATCATGCTGTTGGCAGTTTTGGTACTCAAGGTGCAAGACAAAGTCCCTTTTACTTTTTCCTCTGCTTTTCTCATGCAGGAGGAGTTTTGTCCAGTAGCCAGCACAACTGGTATTGTGCTGAGCCTCACCCAAAGCCAGCAAATCTCAGAGGCTCACCAAAGCCCTTGATGAAGTACCAAAGTATCGCTGCTGGTTATTCAGGGCCCAAAGTCTCTTCAGTCAACAGGTGATAAATGCTGGCAGAACTGGGTCATTTCTATCAAGGCAGCAGGTTCCTTTCTGGCTCAGGTTGTGTCTAGAAAAGTCATCTGGGAGCTGGGTCCTGTAAATAGGGGCCTTATGACTGTGACCTGTACCCTATCCTGCTGTGGCTAAGCTGTTATTCAAGATGTAAGACAAAGTTCTAACCACTCTTTCCTGTTCTCTCTTCAAGTGGAAGGAAGTGGTCTTTTTGAAGCCCTTAGCTGTGCAGCCTGGGTTTAAGAGAGGAGTGTTGTCAGCACTCCTTTTGGCTGCCCCAGCTGATGTCTCACTATGCCCCCACCCCCCACCCAGTTCACTGTCTCTAGGCCTAGTTCAGCACAAGGACTCACCTAAGAGCTGCAGTCCTTATGGGCTAGGCTGTCTTTCAAGTTTACTTAGAGACTGAGAGCACTTTGGCACTCTGTGGTGAGGTTTTCAAGCGCTCATGTTTGGTCTGCTGTAATCGATGATTCCCCTGTCTGGGGCTGGTTTGAATGCTCCCTCCATATGCAAGCATCAGCTGAATTTGAACTTGCTTTTTTTTTTTTTTTTCTGCTTTAACAGAACAGCACTGGGTTCAATGCCCTACAATTGCTGTGTTTTTTTCTCCCCAAGCACCCAGAGAGGCTCTCTGTGCTATGCTGCTTCGGCCTGTGTTTGAGGAGAGGTGGTGTCAGTGACTCAAGTCTGCTTTTTTCTATCTCTTCCGTCCCTCTTTCAGTGATATAAAGTTAAAACCAGGTACTATGAGTGCTCAACTAATGTTTTGTTCTCATGAAGTTGTTTTTTCTGTGCAGATAGTTATTAACTTGGTGTACTTGTAGGAGGGATGATTGGTGGAGCTTCCTCTTTAGGCATCTTGCTCTGCCTCTTTAAGTAAATTCTTGTATAAAGTGTAAGGTATATGCTGACATCTTATTTTTCATATGGATATTTAATTATTTCATCACTTGTCAAAAGTCTATCTTTAATCCAATAAATAACTGTTTTTATCTTTGTCAATAATTGGTTAATACTTTTTAATTCAATTTATGGCCTCCAAAAGTGCTAGGATTATAGACATGAACCAACTCACCTTGCCTGGGATTACATTCTTGATTTCTTGTTCAGATGCTTTGCTGTTGGCATATAGAAATGCTACTAATTTTTATATATTAATTTTGCATCAGAAAACTTAATTTATCAGTTCTAATAGTTTTATGGTGACATATTTAAGTTTCTCTAAATATAAGATTTGTGATATGGTTTGTCTGTGTCCCCACCTAAATAAATCTCATCTACAGTTGTCTTTCCCATAATAACCACATGTCATGGGAGGTACCCGGGGGGAGGTAATTGAATTATGGGGGTGGTTACCCCCATGCTGCTGTTCTCATAACAGTGAGAGTTCTCATGAGATTGGATGATTTTATAAAGTGCTTTTCCCCCTTTTACTTGACACTTCTTGCTGCCGCCCTGTGAAAAAGGAAATATTTGCTTTCCCTTTCACCATGATTGTAAGTTTCTGAGGCCTCCACAGCCATGGTAAACTGTGAGTCAACTAAACCTCCTTTCTATATAAATTACTCAGCCTCGGGTATGTCTTTATTAGTAGTGTGAGAACAGAATAATACAGTAAATTGGTACCAGGAGGGAAGCGCTGCTAACAAGATACACAAAAATGTAGAAGTGACTTTGGAACTGGGAAACAGGCAGAGTCTGGAACACTTTGGAGGACTCAGAAGAAGACAGGAGAATGTGGAAATGTTGGGAACGTCCTAGAGACTTGGAGGGCTCAGAAGACCGGAAGATGTGGGAAAGTTTGGAACTTCCTAGAGACTTGTTGAATGGCTTTAACAGAAATGCCAATACTGATAAGGACAATGAAGTCCAGGCTGAGTTGGTCTCAGATGGAGATGAGGAACTTGCTGGGAACTTTAGTAAAGGTCACTCTTGCTATGCAAAGGGACTGGGGGCATTTTGCACCTGCCCCAGAAATCTGTGAAACTTTGAATTTGAGAGACATAATTTAGGGTATTTAGTGGAAGAAATTTCTAAGTGGCAAAGCATTCAAGAGGAAGTAGGGCATAAAAGTTTGAAAATTTTGCAGTTTGACGATGTGATAGAAAAGAAAACTATTTTCTGGGGAGAAATTCAAGCTGGCTGCACACATTTGCATAAGTAACAAGGAGCTGAATACTAATCACCAAGACAATGAGGAAAATACCTCCAGAGCATGTCAGAGACTTTCACACCAGCTCCTCCCATCACAGGTCCAGAGGCCTAGAACGAGAAAACTTCCCTGGATGAGTTTAACCCTTCCCTCCTCTCCCCCACACCCCTGCTGTGTGCAGGTTGGGGGTTGGGACTTGGGTGCCCTGCATTCCAGCCACTCCAGCCATGGCTAAAAGGGGCCAAGGTACAGCTCACACCATTGTTTTAGAGGGTGCAAGGCCCAAGCCTTGGCAGCTTCCATGTGATGTTGGACCTGCAGGTGCACAGAAATCAAGAATTGAGGTTTGGGAACCTTCAGCTAAATTTCAGAGAATGTATGGAAAGGCCTGGATGTCCAGGGAGAAGTTTGCTGCAGGGTCATAACCCTCATAGAGAACTCCTGCTAGGGCAGTGTGGAAGGGAAATGTGGGATTGGAGCCCCAGTGCAGGGTCCCTACTTGGGCACTGCCTACCGGAGCTGTGAAAAGAGGGCCACCATCCTCCAGGCCCCAGAATTGTAGATCCACTGACAGCTTGCACCATGCACCTGGAAAAGTCACCAATACTCAATGCCAGCCCATGAAAGCAGCCAGGAGGGGGTCTGTACCTTGCAAAGCCACAGGGTCAGAGCTGCCCAAGGCTGTGGGACCCCACCTCTTGCATTAGCATGACCTGGATGTGAGACATGGAGTCAAAGAACATCATTTTGAAACTTTAAATTTTAATGACTGCTCTATTGGATTTCAGACTTGCATGGGGCCTGTAGCCCCTTTGTTTTGGACAATTTCTCCCATTTGGAATGGGCGTATTTACCCAATGCCTGTACCAATATTGTATCTAAGAAGTAACTAACTTGCTTCAATTTTACTAGCTCATGGGTGAAAGAGATTTGCCTTGTCTCAGATGAAACTTTCGATTTGGACTTTTGGGTTAATGCTGGAATGACTTAAGACTTTGAGGGACTGTTGGAAAGGAATAATTGTGTTTTGAAATGTGAGGAGATGAGATTTGAGAGGGGTCAGGGCTGGAATGATATAGTTTTTCTGTGTCCCCGCACAAATCTCATTTTTAATAGTAGTTCCCATAATCCCCACATCATGGGAGGGACTGAGTGGGAGGTAATTGAATCATGGGGGCAGTTATCCTTGTGCTGCTGCTGTTCTCATGACAGTGACTTAACTCTCACAAGATTTGATGGTTTTACAAGGGTTTTCTCCCCTTTTACTCAGCACTTCTCCTTGCTGCCGCCATGTGAAGAAGGATGTTTTTGTTTCCTCTTCTGCCATGATTGTAAGTTCCTGAGGCCTCCCCAGCCACGCTGAACTGTGAGTCAATGAAACTTTTTTTTCTTTATAAATTACCCAGCCTTGGGTATGTCTTTATTAGCAATGTGAGCATAAACTAATACAATCTGAAACCAAAAATGATTCGATTTCTTTTGTTGCCATTTAGAGGCTCTTTATTTTGTTTCCTTAACTAATTGTTCTAGCTAGAATTTCCATTGCTATTTTTAATAGCTGTGGTGAAAGTGAGCATCCTTGTCATGTTTCAGATCTTCAAGTGAAGTTGGTTTTCCTTTATTCAATATGATACTAGCTGTGGGTCTGACCTATACGGATTTTATTGTGCTGAGGTAGGTTTTTTCTATTTCCAATTTTTCAGTGTTTTTAGGAAAGAAACAATGTTGATTTTTTTATAATACTTTTCCAGCATCAATTAAAATCATATGGTTTGTATTTTTCATTCTGTTGACATGACATATTAAATTGATTGATTTGTGTATGTTGGAGCATCATTGCATTACTGGGATAAATCACAGTTTGTAATAATTAATGGACATTTTAATGTGTTGTTGAATTCAGTTTGCTAGTATTTTGTTAAGGATGTTTGCATCCATACCCATCAGATATATTCGTCTTTTCTTCTCTGAAGTGTTTTTGTCTGGTTTTGGTAATAATACTGGCTTCATAGAATGAGTTTGAAGTATTCCTTCCCCTTCTATTTTTGGAATAGCTTGAGTAGGTTTGTATTAGTTTTTTAAATATTTGGTAAATTGAGCAGTGAAGTCCTTGAGTCGTGGGCTGTTCTTTAAAGGGAGACTTTATTACAGCCTTAATCTCATTACTTGTTATTGATCTATCTACTCAGGTTTTGAATTTCTTCATCATTCAATTTTGGTAATTTGTATGTGTCTAGTAATGTATCTATTTCTTCTAAATTTTCCAATTTATTGGCATATTGTTGCTTATAGTTGTCTCTAATGATCCTTTAAATTTCTCCAGTATCAGTTATAATGTCTACATTTTAATTTTTCATTTATTTGGGTGTTCTGTTTCTAGTTTAGTCTAGCTAAAGTTTTGTCAACTTTGTCTATCTTGTATTTGCTTTTTTTAAATGATTATTTGGATTCATAATCTATGTGTTTTTTTTTAACTTTTATTTAAGGTTCAGAGGTACACATGCAGGTTTGTTTTATAGGTAAACTCTTGTCATGGGGGTGTGATGTACAGATTATTTCATCACCCAGGTACTATGCTTAGTACCTATTAGTTATTTTTATTTATCCTCTCTTTTCTCCCAACCTCCACCATCAGGTTGGCCCCAGTGTCTGTTGTTCTCCTCTTTGTGTCCATGTGTTCTCGTAATTTAGCATCCACTTATAAGTGAGGACATGCAATATTTAGTTTTCTGTTTTTGCATTAGTTTTCTAATGATAATGGTCTCCAGCTTTATCTATGTTCCTGTAAAGGACATAATTTTATTCTTTTTCATGGCTGCATAGTATTTCATGGTATATATGTACCACATTTTTAAAATCCAGTCTTCCATTGATGGGCATTTAGGTTGACTCCATGTCTTTGATATTCTGAATAGTGCTTCAGTGAACATATAAATACATGTTTCTTCATGATAATAGAATAATTTATATTCCTTTGAAAATATACACAGTAATGGGATTGCTAGGTCAAATGGGAGTTCTGCTTTTAGCTTTTTGAGGAATTTTCAAACTGTTTTCCACAATAGCTAAACTAACTTACACTCCTAGCAGCAGTGTGTAAGGTTTCCCTTTTCTCTGCAACCTTGCCACAATCTGTTATTTTTTGACCTTTTAGTAATAAACATTCTGACTAGTACAAAATAGTATCTCATTGTGGTTTTGATTTTAATTTTTTTTAATGATCAATGACATTGACTTTTTTTCTTATGCTTGTTCACTGGATATATTAAAATCACTTTTGAAAAGTGTCTGTTCATGTTCTTTGTTCACTTTTTAAAGGCATTTTTTTTCTTCTAAATTTATTTAAGTTCCTTATAAATGTTGGATATTAGACCTTTGTCAGAGGTATATTTAAAAAAATTTTCTCTCATTCTGTAGGTTGTCTGTTTACTCTGTTGATAGCTTTTTTTTTTTTGCTATGCACTATGCAGAAGCTCTCTAATTTAATTAGATCCCATTTCTCAATTATTGCTTTTATTGCAATTGCTTTTGACTTTTTTGTTATTAAATCTTTGGCTGTTCCTATGTTCAGAATGGTATTTGTGAGGTTTTTTTTCTAGGGTTTCCCCACCCACCGCTCACCCCGAGATGGAGTCTTGCTCTGTCGCCCAGACTGGAGTGCAATGGTGCTATCTTGGCTCACTGCAACCTCTGCCTCCTGGGTTCAAGCGATTCTCCTGCCTCAGCCTCCCGAGTAGCTGAGATTACAGGTGTGCACCACCATGCCTGGCTAATTTTTTGTATTTTTAGTAGAGAAGGGGTTTCACCGTGTTGGCCAGGCTGGTCTCAAACTCCTGACCTCAAGTGATATGCCCACCTCGGCATCCCAAAGTGCTGGGATTACAGGCATGAGCCACTGTGCATGGCCTCTAGGGTTTTTATAGTTTTGGTTTTTACATCTAAGTCTTTAATTCATCTTGAGTTGATTTTTGTTTATGGTATAAGGCAGCATCCAGTTTCAGTCTTCTGCATATGGCTAGCCAGTTAACTCAGCACTATTTATTGAATAGACAGATATTTCCGCATTGCTTGTTTTTGTCAGCTTTATCAAAGATCAGATGGTGGTATGTGTGTGACCTTATTCATGGGCTCTCTATTCTGTTCCCTTGTTCTATGTGTCCGTTTTTTTTTGTTTGTTTGTTTGTTTTTTTTACCAGTACCATGCTGTTTTGGTTACTGCAGCCCTGCAGTACAGTTTGAGGTTTGGTAGAAAAATTTCTTCAGATTTGTTCTTTTTGCTTAGGATTGCCTTGGCTATTCGGGATATTTTGTTGTTGTTCCATATTAACTTTAAAATAGTTTTTTTTTTATTTCTGTGAAGAATATCATTGATAGTTTGATGGGAATAGCATTAAAATCATAAACTGCTTTAGGCAGTATGGACACTTTAACAATATTGACTCTTCTTATTCGTAAGCATGGAATGTTTTTCTATTTGTTTTCCATTTGTTATCAAATTTTCTTAGTGTTTGCTTGTCTGAAAAGTATCTTATTTCTTCTTTGCTTATGAAGCTTACATTGGCTAGATATAAAATTACTGCTTAAAATTTCTTTCCTTCAAGAATTTTAAACATAGTCCCTCAATCTCCTCTGGCTTGTTGGGTTTCTGCTTCATGGTCTACTGTTAGACTTGTGAACTCAGAAAATCTGAGACAGGTCTCAGTTAATTTAGAAAGTTAATTTTGCCAAGATTAAGAATGCACCTATGACACAGCCTCAGGAAGCCCTGACATGTGCCTGAGGCTGTCGGGTCACAGCTTGGTTTTATACATATTAGGGAGACATGAGACATCAATCAGTATATGTAAGAAGTACATTGGTTTGGTTTGGAAAGGTGGGACATCTTGAAGGGGGGTTTCAGGTCACAGATAGGTGAGACACAAACCCTTGCATTATTCTGAGTTTCTGATTAGCCTTTCCAAAGGAGACAATCAGATATGCATCCATCTTAGTGAGAAGAGGGTAACTTTGAATAGAATGGGAGGCAAGTTTGCCCTAAACAGTTTCCAGCCTGAGTTTTCCTTAGTGATTTTGGGAGATATTTTCCTTTCACAGATTGATGGGCTTCCCTTTTTAATTGACTTGTTCTTTTTTTCTAGCTGCCTTTAACATTTTGTCTTCCATTTTGACCAAGATGATTATGTATCTTGGGAATGATCTTCTTTTGAAGTATTTTTTGGGGTTCTCTGCATTTCCTGAATTTGAATGTTGGCCTCTCTAGCTAGGTCAGATAAATTCTCATTAATGATATCCTGAAATATGTTTTCCAAGTGGCTTCCAGTTGTCCCATCTGTTTCAGGGATGCCAATGAATTGTGGATTTGGTCTTTTTACATAATTCCATATTTTTTGAAGGTTTTGTTTCTTCTTTTTTGTTCTTTTAAAAAAATTCTTATCTGACTTTCTTATTTCACAAAGCCAGTCTGTAACCTCCGAGATTATTTTGCCAGCATTGCCTTTTCTGCTGGTCATACTTTCAGTTGCCTTATGAAATATGTATAGAGTGTATTTCAGCTCTTTCAAGTCAATTACATACTTTTCTATACCGGCTATTTTGTCTTTCAGCTTTTGTATTGTTTTATTGTGATTCTTAGCTTCCTCGGATTGGGTTTTAACATTTATATACCCCATTTTCAAACTCACTGAATATTTCTTCTGCTTGATCAGTTCTGCTATTCAGAGACTCTGATGAATTTTTCAATTGTGAACTGATTTTTTTAAGCTCTGGAATTTCTGCTTGCTTTTTAAAATTATAGCAATCTCTTTATTAAATTTCTCTGATAATATTCTATTCTGAGTTCCTTCTCTGTGTTATTTTGAATTTTGCTGTACATGTTCAAAACAGCCACTTTGAACTCTGTTTGACATATCACATGTCTCTCTAACTCTGGGATTGTGTACTAGTACTTTTAGTTCATTTAGTGAGGTCATGGTTTCCTGAGTTTTCTTGATGCTTTTGAATATTTACTGATGTTTGGGCATTGAAGAGTTGGATATTTATGCTAATCTTCATAGTCTGGGGTTTTTGGACTTCTTGAAAAGTCTTTCTATGTTTAAAGGTAACATAGAAGTGTTGTGATCTAAGTATTTGGTCACTGCAATTATATCTACACTAGGGGGCATCCAAAGCCCACTAACACTGTGACTCTTGCTGACTAGAGGTATCATTTTGTTGGCCTTGGGTAAGATCTCAGAGAATTCCATGGATTACCAGAGAGACTCTTCCCTCACTCCTGCAAAAATGGAGTCACTCTGTATTGGGCTGCCTGGAGTTGGGAAAGAGGTGATGTCAGCAGTCCTGTGGAAACCACATCTAGGACTGTGCTTGGTCAAGCTTGAAATCTGCATGGTATTGGGTCTCTCTCAAGTCCTATGGTAACTACTGCTTGGCTATCACTGATGTTTATCAAAGGCCCAAATGCTCCTTAGTTAGCAGGTGGTGAATTCTACCAGGACTGAGTCTTTCCTTTTAGAACAGTGGGTTCCTTCTGGCCCAGTGTGTGTCTAGCAATGCTAACCAGGAGCTAAGGCCTAGAATTGGTGACTTCAGGAATCTGCTTGGTGATTTATTTTACTATGGCTAAGCTGGTACCTAAGTTGAAAGACAAAGTCCCAAAGTCCTCTTTACAGTTTCCTCTTCGTTTTGCAAGCAGAAAGAGTCTCTTTCCTAGTTGCACTGCCTGAAGTTGGGACAGGGACAACATACTCTCTCGGCTGCTCCAGTTGATGTTTCACGGGGGCACATGCACCACAATTCTATTGGCTCCAAGCCCAGTGCAATTCCAGGACTTGCCCAATGAATGCAGTCCTTTTGGCCTAGACTGCCTTTCAAATTTATTCATGAACTCAGGGCACTTTATTCAGCCAGTGCTTGGGCAAACTGGAACTCAGATTCCTACTGCTGGGGCAGAGAATTCTCCTCTGGCTGTGGTTACTCTAAATGCTCCCTCCATGGGCACTGGCCAAGTTCTACCCTGTGTTGTGTTCTGCTGTGACAGGGCAGTGGTGACTTCCAATGCAAAGTTCCACAATCACTTTACTTTCCCCTCTCAAGCACACTCATTCTCTCTTTTCACGCTCCTTGGGGAAGGGGGAAGGATTGTGTAGGCAATACAAAATTGTCTTTTCTGCCCTTTTCAGTTACTCTTTCCTTGATATTATGTTAAAACCAAATACTGTGATCACTCACCTGATTCTTTCTTGGTTCTTATAAAGGTGCTTTCTTGTGTGTACAATTGTTCACTTTGGTGTGACTATAGTAAGATAATTGCTGCTGGCTTCTATTCAGCCATCTTACTCCACCTCCTGTCTCAAGTTAGACTTTCAAAAGCCTCTTGAGCCTGAAGAGCCAAGCCAAGGATTTCATAACAGATTGTGCCTGTAATGCCTGTGTGTATTGGGTAAATTTTTTTTCTTGGAGTTTTCCATAGATCTTGAGGTTCTCACCTGCTAGAAAGTGACATTCTTTCCTTACGACAAGATCAGGAGTCCGGTAAAAAAAAGCCATGTAGACAAGGTACAAGCTGTCTTTTTCTACATCTATTGGCTTTATAAAGTCAATGTCAATTATTAAAAGCAGTCTGATCACATTTTAAAGTATAAAGTTCCAATCAAATCCTTGGTAAAAATAAGTATTGTCTTCAGTTGTGTCCTGTTACAAAAGAAAACAGATTCTAATGTATTTATGCAAATAACTATATTGCCATAAAATAAGAATACTCACAAATAACTTTTGAATTATGAGAAAATCAGATAGAGAGAAAAGGAAGCTCTTCAATTTTGAACAGAAAAGTGTACTTTACCCAGTTGTAAGCTATACATAGCTGGGATAAAAATGTTTTCTTCAATCTGGAAAGCAAAATATAATACGAATCATCAATGTTTCCCCATAAGTTTAACACCATGTATATAATTCTTGTTCTGCTCGATATTGATTTGGCAATCTTTATGAATCCATCAGGGATTTCTAAAATTAGTATTCTGGAAGTTTTTACCTAGTCCAATAGTATAATCTTCAAAGTTACCCAAAACTTATACTCAAAAGTATGATTGTCAGGGACTTTTTCATAAATTTCCTAGAAAACACATCTTTTTAGGATTTATAAAGAGCTTTTAGAAAAATAAGCATCAAAATAAAACAATTTACTACATATATCAAGACATATCAGATTCTTAGAAATCTCATGCAATTTTGGAACACATATGAATAACATCTTCATACAAATTTCACTGGTTTTATGTTGCTATAACAAAATACCTGAGGCTAGATAATTTATAAAGGAAAGAAGTTTATTTTGGCTCACTCTTCTGCAACCTGTACCAAAAAAAAAGGTGTCAGCACCTGCTTCTGGTGAGGCCTTAGGAAACATAATCATAATGGAGGGTAAAGCAGGATCAAGAGAGAGAGCAAGAGAGAGAGGAGGAAGATACTAGATTCTTTTCAATAACCAGATCTCACCAGATCTGACAGAGTGAGAATTTACTAATTACTGTGAGGAGGGCATCGAGTCAGGCATAAAAAATGTTCCCACATGACCGAAACACCTCCCATTAGGCTCTACCTCCATCACTGGGCATCACATTTTAATATGAGATTTAGAGGTGACAAACACCCTAACTGTATTATTCCACCCCTATCTCACAAATTTCATGTTTTTCTCACCTTGCAAATTATAATAATCTCTTCCAAATAGTCCACAAAAATGTTAAGTCATTCCAGCATCAACTTGAAGGTTCAAAGTCCAATCTCATTTGAGACTCAAGGCAAGTTCCTCCCACCTATCAGTCTGTAAAATCAAAATTAATTTATTTACTTCCAAGATACAATGGCAGTACATGGACTGGGTTCACATTCTTACTCCAAAAAGAAGAAATTAGGCAAAAGAAAGAGGCAATGTTTCCTATATAAATAACAAGCCCTATTACCACAGGTTCAATAGGCAATGCCACTGTGGGGACTATGTTTGGGGACTCCAATTCCATATTTTCTTTTGTCACTGCCCTAGTATAGTCTTTCTGCAGTGTCTCTGCCCCATGGAAGGCTTCTGCCTAAGCATCCAGGCTTTCTGATAGTTTATCTGAAATCTAGGTGGAAGCTGCCAAGGCTTACGGTTTGCACCCTTTGAAGTGGTGGTTAGAGCTAGACCAGCTAGGATGCAGGACTTACTTTCCCAAGCCTGTGCAGGGCAGTGGGGCTCTGGGCCTGGTCTCTGAAACCATTTTATTTTCCTAGGCCTCTGGGACATGATGAGAGAGGCAGCCTGGAATACTTCTAAAATATCTTGAAGGCACTTTACCCATTGTCTTGGCTGTTAACACTTAGCTCTCTTTTAGTCATGATTATTTATCTAGCAAGCGATTGCTCAGCAGCCCTCTTTGATTCTTCTCTGAAACACTATTTTTCTCTACTACATGGTCAGGTTGAGAATTTTCTAAATTTTGATGCTCAGCTTCCATTTTAATTATAAGTTCAAAATTTAAGTCATTCTTTTGCTCCCATACATAATCATAGGCTGTGAGAAACAACCAGGCCACGTACTGGTTGCCTTTCTACTTAGAAATTTCTTCCACCCTACTAGGTCATCATTCTTAAGTTCAAACTTCTAAAAGTCTCTAGGGCATGGACACAAAGTCACTTTGTGTGTGTGTGTGTCTGTGTGTGTGTGTGTGTGTGTGTGTGTGTGTGTGTGTGGTGATGTTACAAAGGTGAACTTTGCTCCAGTTCCCAATAAGTACCTCTTTTTCATCTGAGACCTCATCCAATTGGCCTTCACTATATCATAATATGGTAGTCTATATTACTATTTGCATTTTGGTTGTAACCACTTAACCAGTCTCTAAGAAGTTTCAAACTTTCTCTCATCTTTCTCTCTTCTTCTGAGATCTTTAAATTCTTCCAACCTCTGCCTGTTACCCAGTTTCAAAGCCACTTTCTCATTGTAAGTTACCTTTATAGCAATTTCCAAGTCCTCAGTGTCAATTTTCTGTATTAGTTGATTTTGTGTTGCTATAAGTAAATACCTGAAGCTGGGTAATTTACATTTAATAAAAGGCTGGACATGGTGGGTCACACTTGTAATCTCAACACTTTGGGAGGCCGAGGAAGGCAGATCACTTGAGGTCATGAGTTTAAGACCAACCTGGCCAACATGGCAAAACTCTGTCTCTACTGAAAATACAAAAATTAACCAGGCATGGTGGCACATGCCTATAGTCCCAGCTACTCAGGAGGCTGAGGCAGGAGAATCACTTCAACCTGGGAGGTGGAGGTTGCAGTGAGCTGAGATAGCACCACTACACTCCAGCTGGGTGACAAAGTGACACTCTGTCTCAAAAAAAAAAAAGTTTTATTTTGGCTCATGGTTCTATATACTGTACAAGAATTAGCTGCTTCTAGTGAGGCCTGAACTATATTGCAAATACTCAAAAAAATGTTAAACACCATTTCTTACTTGACAGTGCTTCTTTTATGATTTTAACAAACCAAACAAGCCAATATGTTCTCCTGAATTTCCAACTACACTATTTAAAATGTCCAAAATATAGTTCAAGGTCAAAATAACTAAATTTATAGTTAAAAATTTGATTTTGAGAAGTGTCTCTATTATAAAACATTTAAAACACTTGGTATCAAAATAAGAATAGTTTAAAACACTTTATCAGAATAAAATCAAAGGCCACTGTAAAATAAAAGTCATCTACTTAACCAAAGTGGTAATTCGAATGTTTCAAAATGGAAAAATCTTTACTTTTCGGTAGAGTGGAGAATCAGTTTTCCTCATAATCAAAAGACCTAATAGACATAACATGAGACCAACGGAATCTGTCTCTTGCTGCCTTTTACTTTTTTTGCATTTTACTAAAAAGTTAAAAAAACACCCTCTATTATTTTTTATTAATACTATACAAAAATATTGTGTAACAAATAAAATGAAATTTTACTTTTTTAACAATGTATTATTAATATAAAACCTAATATTAGCAAAACCTTATAATATGAATAGATC
This sequence comes from Homo sapiens, assembly GCF_000001405.40. NCBI lineage: Eukaryota > Metazoa > Chordata > Mammalia > Primates > Hominidae > Homo > Homo sapiens. The sequence continues at coordinate 94,756,649 of NC_000023.11, forward strand.
TATCATCTCAATTAAATTGATCACACACAATAAGATTGTTATAAAACTTTTACAACCTCTTATAATTTTTTTCCAACTTTCTGTATCCATCTTGTTTTATGCATCATTTTTATTGTGTCAATTTAAAACAACTCTTAAATAACCTTTAAACCAGGAAAATTACATTTTCTTTAACACAAACCACATTATTATGTCTTTCTTATAACTTTCCTTACTAAAAACACATCCTACTTTTCTTGTACACTTTGCATACAGAATTGAGTTTTTTCAATATTTAGTATTTTTAATTAAACCTATTAATTACAATTTTAACTCTTGATAACCCTAATGGCCAATGGGAAAATAAAAAAAAAATCTAGGAAGCAAGCAATTTAATGGTTACGTCTCAGGTGCAGAGCCCAGAAAAGAAGACAGAGCTGTGAAGACAATGGTTGGGGAATCTGACCCTACTCAGCATGGCCAATAGGCGTAGCTTGACCATTGAGGACATATTTGGCTTAGCTCTAGCCTGTACTTGGAGGCCTAGGCACTCTGGACACACATATGTCTCAAGTCCTTACCACGGCCAGTTGTCTAGACCTCAGAATCTGAAGGCTCAAACCAAAGTCACAAGCAAAGAAAATAAGCCAATGTCAAAAATATGACAAGAACAGCTGTTTTATGACCATAAACACTAACAAAGAAAATATCAATTTGACCAGTAGACCCAGCCAGAAATACATAAAATTAAGTTTAATACTTACAATTCTGAAAACATTTCTATTTTGTTTTGATAGCAATTTCAAAATTAACTTGATTTTAAAAAGATTACAAAGTCATGTAAACTTGAAAACTCTTTGGGCTAGTTATTTAATTTATGATTACTCATATAAGTCAATGTAGACAATATATAGATATGTATACACATGTATACATAAAAATACAGACAGGCAAAATAAAAATCTTACACCTTTTATTTTAAATCTATAGCCATGAGACATGTACAATTTGCCATTTAAAAGGACAGTTGGCTTAAATTGCGAATCTATAAATGAAACAAGTTTGTCTGTTCCACATGGCCAGAGGCCTTACTGAGTTTGAGAAAAAAACAAGGTAGTAAATTTACATTTCAAAACACGGAAAGAGAATTTAAGGTTTTTAAAAGGAAGAACTTGAGTTTGTTAGTGGAAGAATAAAAATGAATGATAAGATAAAACAAAATTATAGGAATTTAACATAGGACTTTATATGGAGATCCATTTCATTTGTATAGGTAGCTTCTAATTTAGTCTTCGTTTTGCAAACTGGACTAATGAGCTCAGAGTATAGTGCATCAATGAATAGCACACACCAAAAAACATTTTGTACTTATTAAGGCCTAATGTTTGTATATGGGAAAAACAGGCATTGCTGGAAGGGAGAACATCTAAATTCTTCAAACTCAAGGATTCCATTTTTTTACACTGAGTCCCAGGTCTCCAAAAGTGGGAAACACCGTAGGACTGAACCATGCAATGTTTCTACAGTGTACATCACTACAATAATGTTTTCCTGAGGCTGGTAAGTGACCAGTGCCAATTGTCCCATTCTGTGATCAGCCCGTTCATCACAAGAGTCTTATCCCACAGTGGTGAGTGTTTTCACAGCCTTCAAGTGTTCAAGCTGACCTTTGTTATCTAAACATACAAAAACAAAGAATGAGTAGTGCTCCACAATAATAGCCATTCACTGCCAACAACTGCTGTTAGCCACCTTCAAAAATGTAACTGTTGCTAGTGACTTGCCAGCCATTGCATATACAAAGGCCAAGTGCTCTCTCACAATACAAAGTAACTCCTCATACTCACAAAAGCCAAAGAAATTAGGTAATGCAGTGCCAAAGAGAGCAGAGCTTTCTACCTATGAGGAACCTACACATGACTCCTGGGGCTCCACAAGGAAAAGAGGGGATCCCCAAAAGAGAATCTGTGGTGTCTTTCTTCTGTGTTCTTTGAGTGGTCTCAGAGTCATTCCTTGTAGACCTTTTCATGTGGTATTGAAGGATGCAAAACGGAAAGAGGAATAGAAATAAATGGGAGAACAAGTCTTAAAAGAGCCAGTTGAAGATTTTTAGCTTTCCAAAGGCCAATAAAATTTTACATTTATTTTTTTTTAGCAGAAATCATTCCAACAAAAAAGGGAGCAAACAGAGGGACCTAAACATATAATGAAAAGGGTATTTAGGTGACTAAAAAAAAAAATTCCCAAAACAGGATTTAAAAAACAAAAGAATCAGAAAGGCCATTTGAAAAAAAAAAAGAAATTATGACCTGAATACTAGCTTTTGATTAAGCTGACTTCTTGACTACAGAGCTATTTAAAAATATCTTTTCAAATTTCACTAAAAACAAAAACCATATGATTATCTCAATAAATGCAGAAAAGGCTTTTGATATAATTCAATATCACTTCATGTTAAAAACACTCAACAAAGTAGGCATTGAAGGAAATGTTTCTTCTTCCAAGTTAAAAAACTTATATCTGCAGATACTGGTTTTCTGACTGAAAATTAAACCCAAATCACAACAGTGAAAATGCATGATCTAATTTCTAGACTATATGTAGTGTAGAGTGCCTCTTTTCTAAGTCCCACAGGGAATCTGAGGCAGATAGTTTGAATGTACAAAGGATTTTAACTTTGTTTTAGGTCTAACTTTTGCTCTTTAATTCCATCAAGAGAATTTCTAAGACTGGCCATGATACAATTTTTTTTTTTTGAGATAGAGTCTCACTCTGTTGCCTAGACTGGAGTGTAGTGGCGCAATCTTGGCTCACTGTAACCTCCACCTCCCGGGTTCAAGCAATTCTCCTGCCTCAGCCTCCTGAGTAGCTAGGACTACAGGCGCACACCGCCTTGCCCGGCTAATTTTTTGTAATTTAGTAGAGAATGGGTTTCATCGTGTTGCCCAGGCTGGTCTCAAACTCCTGAGCTCAGGCAATCCGCCCCCATCAGCCTCCCAAAGTGCTAGGATTACAGGTGTGACCCACTGCACCAGACCAGCCATGACATTGTTATGCATCTTTCTTTTAATTTGATTGTCCAATAAATACAAATAAAGCATTTGTATAGAATAATAGATCTCTAAAGTCTTTCTTTTTAAAAAATTTAAGAGTCTTCATACTTCAAAGGAGACATTTTGGCCACTGATGATTAGAACTTCCAGTGGTGCGCTTATTTCAATAGCAACTCAATTCAATACATGTCTTAATGGAAAGTGCAGGAGGTAATTTTCCAAGTACAGAATAAGTTTTTACTATATAACAAAGAGGTGTTCCTGGAGGGGGCATAAAAGAGGCGGTTCCAATAATCTCCTAATAATTCACTCTCAGAAATAGGCTAAGATAGAAAAAGCCTCTTGTTGTCACAGATGGTTAAGTATGGTATTTGTGAGTGTCATTCCTTCAGTACTTTACAAATTTGTGGGAAGCTTACAGTTACAGACCCATTAATTTGATGCCTGGTAGGCCCTCTTGGGATTAGACTTTCCCAGGAGTAATCAGGCAAAAATGATTGAGCTGACAGAAGCCCCTTATGGATGGGACGTCTTAAGACAGACTCCCTTGAGACACTAGCACATTCAGAGCAAAGAGGGTGCTGCTTAAAATCTCAGATGTCTCAGGTTCCCAGCCATATTACAGACTTACCACTAGACTTCACCCCAAAGTCACACCCCATAAATGATGGAGACTAGAAAAGCGTTCTCCCACTTGATTACTAGTCAAGCTCTCAGTGACATAGAACAAGAGAGGGGAAGCTCATCTGGTTTTTATTTTGGGGACCTACAACAAGTTTGTCTAAATAGACTCTGGTGTGGTCAGAAACACAAAACTGACCAGTGTGCAGGGTCAGCTTGAAAAATGCGTTAATGGAGGTTTTAAGCCTATGTTTTACCCTATGATACTTCTCTTTGACATAACAAGACAGAAAAAGACAAAGGAAAACAATATTTCTAGGAGGAAAAGTATCAGCTAATATGAATACTTAGAGCAAAAACTAAAACAGAAGAACTATATCTGATACTAGTCACGCAAATAGTTTTCTTCCATTAATCATAATTTTGGAGAGGAAAAAGTGAAAAACAGTGAGTTTTACCATGAACTCAACCAGATTCCACAGAGCTAGAGGCTAATGACCTGATTGGTAAAACTTTTTTGCACTTCTGCTGGCTTGTCAGGCCTTGGGTTTTCTTCACTGTGGCTTTCGGAAGGGTGGAGTAGTTTTGGTATACTGCTCACAGTGCCAAAACTGTAGGGGCGAAGCAAAACTTTCCTTTAGTCCTCTGGAGGGTCACTGAAAAACAACTGACAAAAGCAGATAAATAGAAGAAAAGTCACATAAATTTATTATGGTACATGGGAGGAAAAATACAGAGTGATTACCCCACCACACAATACGGTACAGGGGCTTATAAACCCTACTTGTTAGGAGAAAAAGAAATGGGAATGAAGTTTGGATGATTTTACGGGAGTAGTCACTGATTTTTAGGGCAATTTAAAGGGTTTGAAGAACATGCAATGGCCTAAGACAAAGTTTGTTGGATCCACAGATCAGACAATCATTTGTGACATATTTGTCCAGGTGTGTTGACAGACTTCAGTATTTCTACCTGTGATATAATTTCAGTTAATAAAAACTCAGGGACACAACCTGAGGTAATGTTTATCTGGGCTTCAGTCAGATAAGGAAACTTCGGAGAACAACTTTATCTTGTGTTTTTGTGGAGACAGATAATTGAGAAACAGGATGGGGGGAATGTCAGAGAGGCCTTGAGGGTTCTTCAGTTCAGCATGTCAAAGTGCCAACTTTTTGAGTATTGGTTTCTCAGCCCTGACCTATGTCAACCAACATTTTCTAAAATTTTTCAGGGAAATTTCTTTCAGATTTTAAAAATATATTATATCAAAAAGGGAATGATTAGTTTAAGGTTTTTTTTTTTTTTTTTTCACTGAGGCAGAGGTGCAATGGCACAATCTCGGCTCACTGCAACCTCCGCATCCCAGGTTCAAGTGATTCTCCTGCCTCAGTCTCCTGAGTAGCTGGAATTACTGGTGCCCACCACCACGCCTGGCTAATTTTTGTATTTTAGTAGAGACAGGGTTTCACCATGTTGCTCAGGCTGGTCTCGAACTCCTGACCTCAAGTGATCCGCCTGCCTTGGTCTCCCAAAGTGCTGGCTGGCCTCAGTTTAAAGATTTTAATAGAATAAAATTAGTAAGAAATTAAGAAATATATAAACTTAATTAATTCTGGTTTAATTTCCTTAAATTGGCTGAGTTTTAAAACACACTATTTTTTTACTTATTCACATGTTGTATAAACTATGTTTTTGATAATTTATTTTTTTTAAAAATATATATTTGTGTGTATAAATTGAGTTTAACTCTGTTATGTTTATTAATTTAAATAAATAAAGCATTTTTTAATATTCTGTCCACTTCTTAGATGTATGATTTTCAAGGAAGGACTTACTGCTGAAACTTTTATGAGTAATAATATTAGTGAGAAAAAAAACAGCTTCAAACTCCTATCAGGAGAATGGTTTTAAAGAAACATGGAAAATTGAGCTACTGATGTGATAATTTGTCAAATAATGCACAGTATTTTGCAAAAGGTCAGGATTTAGTAGAGTCTCCATTATCTCAAGTTTAGAAAATCTATCGAGAAGAAAATCTGTGATCATCTTCTATTTTTACATAATTTAGTAATACTTTCAAACTTTTAGCTTGATTTCTTGATAACTGAACTATATAGTGGTGGGAGATATAGCTTTGCAAAATATTTAAGTTCTAGAATAAGCAGTTATGCACCAGTGTATCCCAAACATTAAAATGAATGCAGGGGAATCTGTTAAAATTTAGATATCTGGGCCCCATCCCAAAGTTTTTCTTACTATTTTTTCTGTGTATAATTTCTTATAATTAGTAGTGAGTAAATTTCAGTTGGCAAGATCAGATGTGCAAGAAGTGTCACATTATTTACTCTAGTACAATGTGGTTTCTGACTCTACACACCAATTCAATGCATTTTTCTCTGAGGTCTGGCAGCTTAGGTTTTGGTCTCTGCTGCATCAAAATCACAAACAGTTCTGTAATCTTTCTGGGTTTTTTCTTTTCTGTATTTCAGGTGCAAAATAAGTTTTAATTTAGGTAAAGAACATTTCTTTCACTTTTTTACCAGGACATTTTGCCTATGCTCTTGACTCTGCTCTAGCTGATGACTTTTTTCTTCCACCTGGCCACATATACTCCCTAAGGCAGTATACCCTAACTTCAACTTGTGTCAATAGTTATATGTTAAGGAGTATTTTATGGAGAAAGAAGCAAACAAAGGCAAGTACCTCAAAATATTATCTCAAACACTTATTTCAAAGGTTTACTTTGTATTTTTCATTGTTTTGTGTGATATGTTGTAGAACAAAAAAGTAAAGTATGTGTTCAATGATTTCAAAGGTTCTAAATGTACTGAAAAAAATGCAACTGGCATCATTTTTAGGAAACATGAAACCTAAATATGTACTCAGACTATTATTACTATGTTTGAGAATTGAGTGTCCATAAGAATTCATAACAACTGTGGGAGACCCACTGTCACCTGGTACGGAGTTTGTAAGGGTTAGTAGATTATTTCCTCATATTATTTCCCGATGAACGAGTGCACAGGTCAAACATGCATACAGAGCAAATTCTAGAACTGTTTATTGATGAAAGCAAGTCCACTCTTTTTCTTCTCTATAGATAATTACCAAAATATCCACAAATATAATTGAGAAGATGAATGAGATTCTGTAGGCCATGCTTGGAAATCTTTAGAAAAAATATATAATAAATGGTCTCTCATATATATATATATATATATTTTCAAAATTCAAGGAATAGATATTTTATTCTCTTTGACCCTCTGTGATTCTCTCGTCTCTCTTTTTCTCTTTTGTTATACTTTAAGTTGTAGGCTACATGTGCACAACGTGCAGGTTTGTTACATATGTATACATGTGCCATGTTGGTGTGCTGCACCCATTAACTCGTCATTTACATTAGGTATTTCTCCTAATGTTATAACTCCCCCATGCCCCCACCCCATGACAGGCCCCAGTTTGTGATGTTCCCTGCCCTGTGTCCAAGTGTTCTCATTGTTCAATTCTCACCTATGAGTGAGAACATGCGATGGTTGGTTTTCTGTCCTTGAGATAGTTTGCTCAGAATCATGGTTTCCAGATTCATCCATTCCCCTCCAAAGACATGAACTCATCGATTTTTATGGCTGCATAGTATTGCATGGTGCATATGTGCCACGTTTCCTTAATCCAGTCTATCATTGTTGGACATTTGGGTTGGTTCCAAGTCTTTGCTATGGTGAATACTACTGCAATAAACATACGTGTGCATGTGTCTTTATAGTAGCATGATTTATAATCCTTTGGGTATATACCCAGTAATGGGATGGCTGGGTCAAATGCTATTTCTAGTTCTAGATCCTTGAGGAATCGCCACAAAGTCTTCCACAATGGTTGAACTAGTTTACACTCCCATCAACAGTGTAAAAGCGTTCCTATTTCTCCACATCCTCTCTAGCACCTGTTGTTTCCTGACTTTTTAATGATTGCCATTCTAACTGGTGTGAGATGGTATCTCATTGTGGTTTTGATTTGCATTTCTCTGATGACCAGTGATAATGAGCATTTTTTCATGTGTCTGTTGGCTGCATAAATGTCTTCTTTTGAGAAGTGTTCGTTCATCTCCTTTGCCCCCTTTTGATGGGGTTGTTTGATTTTTTCTTGTAATTTGTTTAAGTTCTTTTTAGATTCTGGATATTAGCTCTTTGTCAGATGGGTAGATTACAAAAATTTTTTCCCATTCTGTAGGTTGCCTGTTCACTCTGATGGTAGTTTCTTTTGCTGTGCAGAAGCTCTTTAGTTTAATTAGATCCCATTTGTCAATTTTGGCTTTTGTTGCCATTGCTTTTGGTGTTTTAGACATGAAGTCCTTGCCCATGCCTATGTCCTGAATGGTACTGCCTAGGTTTTCTTCCAGGGTTTTTATGGCTTTAGGTCTAACATTTAAGTCTTTAATCCATATTGAATTAATTTTTGTATAAGGTGTAAGGAAGGGATCCAGTTTCAGCTTCCTACATATGGCTAGCCGGTTTTCCAAGCACCTTTTATTAAATAGGGAACCCTTTCACCATTGCTTGTTTTTGTCAGGTTTGTCAAAGATCAGATGGTTGTAGATGTGTGGCATTGTTTCTGAGGGCTCTGTTCAGTTCCATTGGTCTATATCTCTGTTTTGGTACCAGTACCATGCTGTTTTGGTTACTGTAGCCTTGTAGTATAGTTTGAAGTCAGGTAGCGTGATGCTTCCAGCTTTGTTCTTTTTGCTTAGGATTGTCTTGCAAAATCTTTTTTGGGCTCTTTTTTTGGTTCCATATGAACTTTAAAGTACTTTTTTTCCAATTCTGTGAAGAAAGTCATTGATAGCTTGATGGGGATGGCATTGAATCTATTAATTTCCTTGGGCAGTATGGCCATTTTCACAACATTAATTCTTCCTATCCATGAGCATGGAATGTTCTTCCACTTGTTTGTGTCCTCTTTTATTTCGTTGAGCAGTGGTTTGTAGTCCTCCTTGAAGAGATCCTTCACATCCCTTGTAAGTTGGATTCCTAGGGATTTTATTCTCTTTGTAGCAATTGTGAATGGGAGTTCACTCATGCTTTGGCTCTCTGTTTGTCTGTTACTGGTGTATAGGAATGCTTGTGATTTTTGCACATTGATTTTGTATCCTGAGACTTTGCTGAAGTTGCTTATCAGCTTAAGGAAATTTGGGGCTGAGACGATGGGGTTTTCTAAATATACCATCATGTCATCTGCAAACAGGGACAATTTGAATTCCTCTTTTCCTAATTGAATACCATTTATTTCTTTCTCTTGCCTGATTCCCTGGCCACAACTTCCAACACTATGTTGAATAGGAGTGGTGAGAGAGGGTATTTCTGTCTTCTGCCAGTTTTTAAAGGGAATGCTTCCAGTTTTTGCCCATTCAGTATGATATTGGCTGTGGGTTTGTCATAAATAGCTCTTATTATTTTGAGATATGTTCCATCAATACCTAATTTATAGAGAGTTTTTAGCATGAAGGGCTGTTGAATTTTGTCAAAGGCCTTTTCTGTGTCTATTGAGATAATCATGTGGTTTTTGTCTTTGGTACTGTTTGTGTGATGGATTACGTTTATTGATTTGCATATGTTGAACCAGCCTTGCATCCCAGGGATGAAGCCAACTTAATCTTGGTGGATAAGCTTTTTGATGTGCTGCTGGATTCGGTTTGCCAGTATTTTATTGAGGATTTTTGCGTCAGTGTTCATCAGGGATATTGTTCTAAAATTCTCTTTTTTTGTTATACCTCTGCCAGGCTTTGGTATTAGGATGATGCTGGCCTCATAAAATGAGTTAGGGAGGATTCCCTCTTTTTCTATTGATAGGAGTAGTTTCAGAACGAATGGTACCAGCTCCTCTTTGTACCTCTGGTAGAATTTGGCTGTGAATCCATCTGGTCCTGGACTTTTTTTTGGTTGGTAGGCTATCAATTATTGCCTAAATTTAAGAGTCTGTTATTGGTCTATTCAGGGATTCAACTTCTTCCTGGTTTAGTCTTGGGAGGGTGTATGTGTCCAGGAATTTTTCCATTTCTTCTGGATTTTCTAGTTTATTTGTGTAGAGTTGTTTATAGTATTCTCTGACAGTAGTTTGTATTTCTGTGGGATTGGTGGTGATATCCCCTTTATCATTTTTTGTTGTGTCTATTTGATTCTTCTCTTTTTGCTTGTTTATTAGTCTTCCTAGTGGTCTATCAATTTTGTTGATCTTTTCAAAAAACAGCTCCTTTTTTGAAGGGTTTTTTGTGTCTCTATCTCCTTCAGTTCTGCTCTGATCTTAGATATTTCTTGCCTTCTGCTAGCTTTTGAATGTGTTTGCTCTTGCTTCTCTAGCTCTTTTAATTATGATGTTAGGATGTCGATTTTAGATCTTTCCTGCTTTCTCTTGTGGGCATTTAGTGCTGTAAATTTCCCGTTACACACTGCTTTAAATGTGTCCCAGTGATTCTCGTAAGTTGTGTCTTTGTTCTCATTGGTTTCAAAAAACATCTTTATTTCTGCCTTCATTTCATTATTTACCCAGTAGTCATTCAGGAGCAGGTTGTTCAGTTGCCATGTAGTTGTGCAGTTTTGAGTGAGTTTCTTAATCCTGAGTTCTAATTTGACTGCACTGCAGTCTGAAAGACTGTTTTTTGTGATTTCTGTTTACATTTGCTGAGGAGTATTTTACTTTCAACTATGTGGTCAATTTTGGAATAAGTGCAATGTGGTGCTGAAAAGAATGTATATTCTGTTGATTTGGGGTGGAGAGTTCTGTAGATGTCTATTAGGTATGCTTGGTGCAGAGCTGAGTTCAAGTCCTGGGTATCCTTGTTAACTTTCTGTCTCGTTGATCTGTCTAATATTGACTGTGGGGTGTTAAAATCTCCCATTATTATTGTGTGGGAGTCTAAGGCTCTTTTTAGGTCTCTCAGGACTTGCTTTATGAATCTGGATGCTCCTGTATTGGGTGCATATATATTTAGGATAGTTAGCTCTTCTTGTTGAATTGATCCCCTTATCATTATGTAATGGCCTTCTTTGTCTCTTTTGATCTTTGTTGGTTTAAAGTCTGTTTTATCAGAGACTAGGATTGTAACTCCTGTGTTTTTGCTTTCCATTTGCTTGGTAGATCTTCCTCCTCCCCTTTATTTTGAGCCTATGTGTGTCTCTGCACGTGAGATGGGTTTCCTGAATACAGCACATTGATGGGTCTTGACTCTTTATCCAGTTTTCCAGTCTGTGTCTTTTAATTGGAGCATTTAGCCCATTTACATTTAAGGTTAGTACTGTTATGTGTGAATTTGATCCTTTCATTATGATGTTAACTGGTTATTTTGCTCGTTAGTTGATGCAGTTTCTTCCTAGCCTTGATGGTCTTTACAATTTGGCATGATTTTGCAGTGGCTGGTACCAGTTGTTCCTTTCCATGTTTAGTGCTTCCTTCAGGAGGTCTTGTAAGGCAGGCCTGGTGGTGACAAAATCTCTCAGCATTTGCTTGTCTGTAAAATATTTTATTTCTCCTTCACTTATGAAGCTTAGCTTGGCTGGATATGAAATTCTGGGTTGAAAATTCTTTTCTTTAAGAATGTTGAATATTAGCCGCCACTCTCTTCTGGCTTGTAGGCTTTCTGCCAAGAGATCTGCTGTTAGTCTGATGGGCTTCCCTTTGTGGGTAACCCGACCTTTCTCTCTGGCTGCCCTCAACATTTTTTCCTTCATTTCAACCTTGGTGAATCTGACAATTATGTATCTTGGGGTTGCTCTTCTCGAGGAGTATCTTTGTGGTCTTTTCTATATTTCCTGAATTTGAATGTTGGCCTGCCTTTCTAGGTTGGGGAAGTTCTCCTGGATAATATCCTGCAGAGCGTTTTCCATCTTGGTTCCATTCTCCCCATCACTTTCAGGTACACCAATCAAACGTAGATTTTGTCTTTTCACATAGTCCCATATTTCTTTGAGGCTTTGTTTGTTTCTTTTTGCTCTTTCTTCTCTAAACTTCTCTTCTCACTTCATTTCATTCATTTGATCTTCAATCACTGATACCCTTTCTTCCGCTTGATGAAATCGGCTACTGAAGCTTGTGCATGTGTCACGTAGTTCTTGTGTCATGGTTTTCAGCTCCATCAGGTCATTTAAGCCATTCGTCTAATCTTTTTTCAAGGTTTTTAGCTTCCTTGCAATGGGTCCAAACATCTTCCTTTAGCTTGGAGAAGTTTGTTATTACCGACCTTCTGAAGCCCGCTTCTGTCAACTCATCAAAGTCATTCTCTGTCCAGCTTTGTTCCGGTGCTGGTGAGGAGCTGCGATCCTTTGAAGGAGAAGAGGTGCTCTGGTTTTTAGAATTTTCAGCTTCTCTGCTCTGGTTTATCCCCATCTTTGTGGTTTTATCTAACTTTGGTCTTTTTTGTTGGTGTTGATGCTATTCCTTTCTGTTTGTTTTCCTTCAAACAGTCAGGTCCCTCAGCTGCAGGTCTGTTGCAGTTTGCTGGAGGTCCACTCCAGACCCTGTTTGCCTGGGTATAATCAGCGGATGGCTGCAGAACAGCATATATTGCTGCCTGATATTTCCTCTGGAAACTTCATCTCAGAGGGGCACTTGGCTGCATGAGGTGTCAGTTGGCCCCTACTGGGAGGTGTCTCCCAGTTAGGCTACAGTGGGGTCAGGGACCCGCTGAGCCAGGCGTGGGATATGATCTCCTGGTGTGCTGTTTGCTAAGACTATTGGAAAAGTGCAGTATTTGGGTGGCAGTGTCCCAATTTTCCAGGTACTGTCTGTCACGGCTTCCATTGGCTAGGAAACTCTCTCATCTCTTAATATACAGTATATCTTTAAAGCACCACAGAATCTTGATAATTCTCAGAACAATCTTTGTTGGATGCAAAAATATATAGTTCCTAAGTCCATGCTAAGAATCACTACCAATATAAGAATGAATTCACTAGTTATTTTATTAATTATCAAATTAGCAACTACAATATAGGATTAGTATGTTTAATTTAAGCAATAAAAAGCAGAATTTGTAAAGGCATGTCTATAGAATACAAACTGAAGTTTAAATTTTTACTTTTCTCAATACCTAACTTTTATAATTCATCTAAAAGAGTAACATTGCCATCTTATGGTCTGCTGTTGAAGTAACTTTAAATATGTAAAGAAAACTGATGAATCCTAACTCGTAATAACTATGTGATTTTTTTCATATTTCAAATTATTCACAGACATAAAAAGGTAAATTAGAGGACTAGATATTCTGGCATTTATTTAGTAACATATGGCACTTAGTAGCACAGAGTATCAGCACTTTAATAATCAACATATATTCTAAATATTAAAAGTGTCATTTTAAGAAATACTATTCATATTTTTATGTAATACTAGGTATCACTTATGAGGACACCCAGACACAGGGAAGTTGAATGACATGTATGGAGCCACAAAGGTCATAAGTGGCAGATCAGGGATTTGAAAAAAGACCACTCTGATAACAAAGAGCATGTTCACAAAGGGTACATTACACTGTTTAGCTCTACCAATGGATTAAAAATGGCACAGTCTATTAAAGATAATGATAGCTAATATTTACTGAGTACATTGTATTTTAACTTGTGCTAAACACTTTTCACACTTTATCTCATTTAATTCTTAGCTTTTGTAAATGAGGATCCCAAAGAGGTCAAGTGCCTTGCTCAAAGTCACACAGCTAGCAATTTTAAAATCATAATAGCAAGCTAGGATTACTGAATCCAGAATCTAAACCTCACTTAAAATCTATATAGGTGGTCAAGTGTAGTGGCTCATGCCTGCAATCCCAGCACGTTGAGAGGCCGAGGTGGGCGGATCATGAAGTCAGGAGTTCAAGACCAGCCTGGCCAACATAGTGAAACCCCGTCTCTACTAAAAATACAAAAAAAAATTAGCCATGCATAGTGGTGCATGCCTGTAATCCCAGCTACTCAGGAGGCTGAGCCAGGAGAATCGCTTGAACCTGGGAAGTGGAGGTTGCAGTGAGCCGAGATCGTGCCACTGCACTCCAACTTGGGCAACAGATTGAGGCTTCGTCTCCAAAAAAAAAAAAAAAAAAAAAAAATCTGCATAGGTATAGATACTGAATCTAATAGTCTAATTTGACTAAATTGAAATATTGTATCTGATCCTTCAATGACACTAAATATTAATACCTGTTTATTCCTTCGTAAAACCTGATATTAGTATTCTTTCTCCTCCTCTAACTTCTTTGGTCTCCTTTGAAATCTTATCTGCCTCTGAACAACCATTAAATATTGAATGAATCAATATCCCTAGGATTCATTGTCTTCTATCGTTTTCTCTTTTCTTAAACAATCTCATCCATGACCAAAACTTCAATTACTGCAGTAGGCAGATGACTTCTAAATGTATACAAATAATGCTGAACATTTTTCTGAATCTAGAACTGTGCATTTCATTGCCTATTTTTATTTCCTCTTGAATGCTTTAATACATCGCATACATAACACTCGCAAGGCCAAATTAATGATGTTCATCTCCAAGCCTCATCTTTTTCTAGGGTTACTTACCTCAGTGAATAACACAACTGTACATGCATTTTTTGATGCCAGAAACTAAGAAGTAGTTTTTAACCCATTGTTTTATTTCTCTCATATCAAGTTCATTATTGTGTCCTAATATTTTTACTTATTAAATATCATTCAAATATGCCCAATCCTTTTTCTCTGGCACAAACACCTAAGCCTAAACCTTCCATAATTTTTTATCTGGGCCTTGGAAATCACCTGCTCTGTTTCAGTATTTACTCTTGTTCCCTTTAAATCTCTTATGCACGCTGAAGTGAGGTATTTATTTATTTGTAAGCTTTTACTTAAGTTTATATACAGAAAAGTGCATCAATAAGTGTTATAGAGTAAATGGTGTTCATCTATAATTCATATGTTGACACCCTAAATCCCAATATGACTGCATTTGGAGACAGGTTTTTTGGAGGTAATTAGGGTTAAATTAGGTCTTATGGGTGGGGCCATAATTCAATAATATTGATTTTCCCATAAGAGAATGAGACACCAACTGTCTTTCTTTATCTCTGTGTTCACTGAGAAAATGTTATGTGAGGACACAATGAGAAGGCAGCCATTTTCAAGCCAGGAATAGATGCCTTCTAAGAAACCAGCCCTACAGCCACCTCAGTTTTGAACGCCTATCACCTAGAACTGTGAGAAAATTAATTTCTGCTGTTTAAGTGACCCAAACTGTGGTAGGTTGTTACGGCTGCCCCAGCTGACTGATATAGATCTGGGTACTGTGAATAAGGGTGCTGTTGTAACAAATACCTAAAAATATGAAAATAACTTTGGAACTGGTTGATGGGTAAAGGCTAAAATAATATATTTCTCAAAATAGATAAAACCTAGATTATCACAAATAAATTATTGGTAAAAATATGTGTGTTAAAGACAATTCTGCTGAGGGCTCAGGAAGAACTTAGAAGAGTTAGAGAAGTATCTACTATTATCTTAGAGAATTATATATTACCATGAACAGAATGTTGATAGAAACATGAACATTAAAAGTGCTTTTGGTGAATTAACAGGTGGAAATGGAGGAACATGCTTTTGAAAACTGGAGGAAAGGTGATCCTTGTTATAAAGTGACAAAGAGCTTAGTTGAACTGTATTTTAGTCTTTTATGGAAGGTAGAACTCATGACTAAAGAGTCTGAATACTTAACTGAGAAGAACTTTTAAGCAAAATGTTAATGTTTTGGCCTGACTTCTCCTTTCTGCTTATAGTAATTGTGAGAGGAGATAAATAAATTTAAGTAAGAAGAAACCAGAATTTGAAGATTTGAAAAATTATTGGCCTATTCTTATTTCAAAAAATAAAAAAGCATGTTACAGATAAAATACCAAGGGTATAATCACTCCATTAAGAGATTATCCATTATTCTAATCAGACATCTCAGCAGAGGCCAGGAGTAGAGATGTGATTATAACAGCAAATATACTCCCAGTTTAAACTAAAGGTGACATAGAAAACAAGATGAAATGAAGGAAGTCTATTGGACTTCTGAAATTTTACAGTATGAGACAATAGGGCTATCCACCTGAGAACACACGTGATCCTTCATGTAAAGAGAAAAATGACACTGAAGGGAATTTATGTGTCATTTTGGTTTTCACTGCCAGCATAAACCTAGAGCATACAAGACCGGGGGAATGACTATTTTCTCGTTAGTCACAGAGTGTGGAAATACCTTCTCAGTTCACCAGGCCAGGATTATGCTACCCAGTTCCTCAATGGAAAGGCCACCCCACAGAGCCATGTGAAGAAGGCCTCATCACAGTCAAAGAGGTGTGTCCATGGTGCAGATCCAGTGGGGCTAGGTCCGTGTCTAGGGCCATTGAGGTGACACCACCAGAGGAGGAAGCATCCAGCCACAAAAGATAATTCTTGAGGGTTTGGATCATAATCCAAAACAACACAATCCCCAATGTTAAAATTCTAAAAAATCAAGATTGCCAAAGTATAATTCCTAAAGTCTAAAATTCCTAACATCTAAAATCCCCCAAATCACAATAACAAGATGGTTACCTCATGTTAAGCGAAACTATTACCCTGTTATTGTTTTTATTTGGAAATTATGTATGGCTTAAATATATGCATATGAATGAATGTGGACTTAATTTTAGGTGTCAACTTGACTAGATTAAGTGATATCTAGATACCTGGTAAAGCATTATGTTGGGTGTGTCTGTGAGGGTGTTTGCAGAGAAGATCCCCTTGAGAGTCTGAGTGAATTAGATGCAGAAGATCTACTAACCATATTGTCAGGCACCATCCAATTGGCTGGATGCTTGGTGAGAGCAAATACAGAAGGCAGATTGTACTTCAAAATTTACACAGGCGATTCCTCCATGTCCTGAGCTTTTTGGCCTGAGCAATGCTACCAGAGAGCATCCAAGATTCCCCAACTTGCAGATGGCCTGTTGTGGGAATTCTCAGTCACTGTAATCACATGAGCCAATTCCCCTAATAAATCATCTCTCATATGTCTATGTAAATACCTGATTGGTTCTGTGTTTCTGGAGAAACTTAACACAGACTTGGTATTGGGCAACCCAAATATTACTCCTTCTTACTGGATTTCTTACTACACAGTAGAAGAGATCTTTAAAATTCTTCCTTGGCAAAAGGCTGTGATAAGTTAAATGTAAAAGTATACTTAGTGGTGAAAGATAAGAGTTTAAAAGCTAATTATAATTGGTGTTACAAAAGCAGAAAATCACTTAATTGTGACAGTCAAGCAATAATCAGAATTTCAAATAGACAACATATAAATTTTGTAGACCATAACCACTCTCAAAATACAAGTGGAATGAGTGTTTTGAATATCAAATAAGTAAAAGTACTGGTAATAAATAGAAAAAAACTTCCAAGTTATTCAATTATGTATGAATTCTGACTTTTCATGAATATTGCCATGTTTGCCTTCAAAAAACAACTTTCAACAGACAATAAAAAGAATTCAACAAACTCAGCAAACTTCTGAACAAAAACCACCTGCTGATATTGAAGTTCCTCCAGTGTTATAAGACACATTAAATGATGAACTATTATGGATTAAGGATTTGGCTATCAAAGAAGATAAGCTTATATTTACTACTAGATTTAACGTAGAAAAACTAGTACATCCTTTACTTTGGCTAATGGATGGCACTTTCCAAACTCTCTTTACTGTTTTTTTAATCAGCTAGGTACAATTTCTCTGTTGGATCAGAAAAAAAATGAGAACTTATTTACTTGTTTATATATCAATGACTGGAAAAAGTGAAGCAGTTTGTAGATGCTTATTTGAACATTTGGTTCAGTTGAATCGCCTAACCTTAATGATGGATTTGTAATTAGGTGTGATCAAGACTTCTTAAGTGAATTTCAAGGTATTACCAATATTTTGGTGTTTTTCCATTACCAATATTTTGTTTTACCAATATTTTATAGTACCAATATTTCCAGTGCATTCGGTGGAAAATTCAGATGAGTGGATTAGCCACATGATATGGCAAGGACAAAATTTTCAGTTTAAAAGTGCATCTTTTTTTTTTTTTTTTTTTTTGGATTGGTATTTCTTTCAGCTGATGCCATTCCAGAAGCTTTTAATGAATTAAAGCCACATATGCCTGAAGAAGACCGTAAAGTTACTGACTGTTTCAGAAATAATTTTGTGCATGATAGGATAGAACAACGCTTAGGCAAAAGTGCTCCTGTTTGATTACCAGTATTGTTTCCATCAAATTTGTGGTCTGTGTGTAAGTACATTGGGAATAAATTTTCACATACCCAAAACAACATAGAAGCATGGCAGTGAAGATAGGAAAATTGCATAGGGAATGCTCATGTCAATATACATCAAATCACAGAATTATTTCAGAAAGAGCAGCACTACATGGAAAATGAATTTAAATGTATTCTTCAAGGAGAGTCATGTCTAAAAGGAAAAATAAGCTATCCATTGTGATGCAAGACTTAAAAAATATAGTTAATAATTTTGAAATTTGGCTAGCTCTTATTAACCACATCTGTGTGATTGCCCAAAATCTATCCTGCATTTTTATATGTCAAATTTCCTCTTCAGTTTTTTTACTTTAGTTTTTTGCATTTTAAATTGTCAGATTATTATTTAGAATTCGGTATGCTATGTATTTCATCTTTGCATTATTTCCAATGTTGGAGGTATAAATTGTGAAACGACTTTTAGAGTGTTCTAATTTGTTTTATGCATTTCTTTTTACAAATCTGACTCTATAGAAAGTGCATTATTACAAGGTTGACTTTGTGTATAAGCATTGTGTGCATATGTAAAAATATTGAAACTTCCTCAATAAATGAGATATTTTCATACATATGTATTTGTGAAAAATTAAATTTCTTGAAATCTTGACTCTATGGGCAGGGTGGGGTTTCACTATGATTCTCCAGGCTGGCCTCAAACTCCTTGGCTCAAGGGATTCTATTGCCTCAACCTCTTGAGTACCAGAGAATAAAGGTGCATGCCACTCCAGACAGCATCCCACTGCAGTTCTTGATGGATCTCCTCAAAAGACTCAGATTGTTCCTCATGGTATTTCAGATGGCTTAAATGATAATTCTTGGTGCAAACAACTAGCAAACATAGTCATAGGCATTTATACATTTCCATTTTGACCTATTTCTTTATAAACAGCTTATATCTGCTCATAACCGTTATACTGGTGCAACTGTTGTTCATACACCAGCTTGTTAATGCTTGCAAAACTTGCTATGTTTTTATTGCCTATGCTGTTGTAGGTGGACTATAAGGTATTCTTTGTATTTTTATATGTTTGTTAAATAAATTCCCTTTTAAAAATATAAATGAGTACTATTAATGCTATTTTAAACAACTGTTTTTGAATTATATTTTTGGGATTTTACTTTTTCAACACTTTTAACATTCGAGATTAGGCATATGGAATTGTGATTGTGTCTTTTGGTCTTTTGGGATTATGACTAGCTCTCTATTTATTTATTTATTTATTTATTTATTTATTTATTTTTCTGTAACAGAGTCTCGCTCTGTCACCTGGAGTGTAGTGTTGGGGCTTGATTATGACTAATTGCAGCCTCAAACTGAGCTCTAGGGATCCTTCCACCTCTGCCTCCTGAGTAGCAGGGACTACAGGTGCACACCACCAAGCTGGAAAATTTTTAAAGATATATATATATATATATATAGTATTTTTCTCTGTAAAAAGAACATCTCAGTTATGTTGCCCAGATTGTTGAAGTCCTGGGCTCAAAGGATCCTCGCACCTCAGCCTCCCAAAGCACTGGGATTACAGGCAAATACACCAAAATGTCAGTGTAAATTCACACACTTTTACATACACAGATATGCATAAATACAATAATTCAAAGTGACATGTAGACATATAACACAGGTACTTATGCATAAACACACAACTCAGACACAAACATATCTATTGAAATACACAATAATGTCGTGACCTTCTCACTAATGATTAAAATTCAACTGTTCACAATTGATTAAAAAAATGCTCATGCTTTAAATAATAGAAATGAAGAAATCCACTCTATAGCTACACTTCACTGCCACTTCGTTTCTTATGAGGTGATAATGTGAAGAAATCTTAAAGACTTAAAAGCCCAGGGAAGTTGGGGGCTTCTAGAATAAAGATCTGCTAAGTAAAATCACTAAAAGTGCACATTAGAAACATTCTGTAAAATTAGCTAAATTATTTTTATTTTTGTTTTTTTTAGAGACATTGTCTCACTGTGTCACCCAGGCTGGAGTGCAGTGACATGATACTACTTCACTGCATCCTCAAACTCAGGTGGGCTCAAGTGATCCTTTTGCCACAGCCTCCTGAGTAGCTGGATTACAGGTGCATGCCATCATGTCTGGTTCAAATTGTTTTCACTTTCACGCCCTGCTGGAAACTTGCTGCTGCTCTAATTCATGACTTGGAGAGGCAAAACTGAAAAAAGCTATTGCTTGGTTCAGGTGTTTTGTGAGAATCCAGAAAAAAAAGGTCTGAACTGAAAATCTCCATCTCCATCACCCAAATTTTAAACTGGTACACTGTCCAAAAGACACTTGGCGTTGTTCCCTAATGAAAAGCCAAAAACACCAGACTGTGCAATTATGGATGGTTCAAAGGTATGTTCTTGGTTAGCAACAGTAATGTTTCATAGCCTCAGGCTATCACAGAGGCTTTGGAGCTTTTTGATACTTATGATTGTACTCCATACATTTTTTAAAGATATCAGTGAACATTTTTATTGTGTTCTTTTAGCACTTACTTCATGGAGGTGATCTCTCCTTTTATAAAGGTCAATTCTACATCTTTGCTCTGTATTTGCTGAGTATATATCTTCTCCATCTGTTTCAGATGGCCCTCAGCTTTGTTGAAAGTGTATTCTTGATAGAGAGACTCCTGATATACCTAATATGTTCAGAAGTATAGTGCTCAGGCGCTAATATTCAACACCATCTCTGGTTGCAGTCCTGCCAATACCATAGCTTTATATTCCTCTGATGGACTGAGTTCTGTGAGGACAATATCTAGCCAGAAAGATTATTTGTGCAGGCAAGACAGATAGCTGGTCAACGACTAAACTCAGAACGGACATACTGACCACAGAAGATGTGAGAACAGGTGGTGACCCATGCAAAACCAGAAAGTTTGATGTGACGTTATCGAAAATTATGAAGCAGCATGTCTTCACAAAAAGACATAATAAGATAGTGAAGTCTCTGGAAGCTGAAAAGAGTCCATAAAAGAAAACTTCAGTCATCATTTATTGTACATCCAAGATTTATAGCAACAAAGAGGTCCAGTCTGGAAGAGTGAGACTCAGATCTAGTTTTGGTCTTCTGAAATTTTACTTCTCTTGTATTACATGTATTTACCTTCTATCTAAGAATCAAGTTGAACTACAAGGATCTATCAGATACCTAGAATCATCTCTTTATGGTCCCATCAGCCTAATTTAACCCTCCCTATTGAGAATGTCCAAATCCCAGCCCACTTCATTTTCAAGGGATCTCCAGACGTTATAGAGGCTTTCACAAGGCCAACTTTGGGCTGGCACACAGACAGCCAAAGACCCAGGCTATCCCTCCTCAGTTGAATTCATCTTCAATCAGCCCACCAAAATGGAGAAGGAGAGTCATTCTGTTTTTCTGGAGCATCATTAGTACAGAACAGAATTGTTTTCTCAGTCATTCCAATCAACTGTTGAAAAGTTCACTTTTTAAAAATATAGTTAAATTCTAGTCAACAAAGAAAAATACATAAACATGGTTTTAGAATAAAGTCAAAACTAAATGTATATCTAAATATTTAAATACAAGCATATTTCCTCCTTTTATATTGCCCATAATTGCAATACTAAAAGCAACAGATAGTAAAGCAATTAAAAGCCAACCAAAAGGCCTCATTATATAAAACTCAAAATATTACATTTAAAACATTTATATATTTATTTATAGATAGATAAGTAGGTTGTAGGTGTATCTACCTATTTATTTAACTGCATATACATTTTTATAAAGTGAGATAAAACTTCTTAGGTAATAAGACCTGTTGAAACAATTTCTCCCCACAAGAAACTACGTGGTGGGTATTAAAGTTTACCAAGTGGCTTATATAATTATCCTTTGCCCAAAGAATTTTACCTATAAAATGACTGAAATTGATGGGGAAAGGAGGCAAATGGAATATAGATTTAGTTGTTATGGAGGTTGATATGAAATATGTGACTGAAGAAAAAAGATACATAACAACAATTTTTGGCATTGGAAATTTTATAGTTCTAGATTAATGTATTGAAAGCAAAGTTTTGTATTGGTTCCATATGAAATTTAAGGTAGTTTTTTCTAATTCTGTGAAGAAAGTCAATGGTAGCTTGATGGGGATAGCATGGATTCTATAAATTACTTTGAGCAGTATGGCCATTTTCATGATATTGATTCTTCCTATCCATGAGCATGGAATGTTTTTCCATCTGTTTGTTTCGTCTCTTATTTCCTTGAGCAGTAGTTTGTAGTTCTCCTTGAAGAGGTCCTTCACATCCTTTGTAAGTTGTATTTCTAGGTATTTTATTCTGTTTGTAGCAATTGTGAATGGGAGTTCACTCATGATTCAGCTCTGTTTGCCTATTATTGGTGTATAGGAATGCTTGTGATTTTTGTACATTGATTTTGTATCCTCAGACTTTGCTGAAGTTGCTTATTGTATAGCCAAGAAAATCCTAAGCAAAAACAACAAAGCTGGAGGCATCATGCTACCTGACTTCAAACTATACTACAATGCTACAGTAGCCAAAACAGCATGGTACTGGTACCAAAACAGACATATAGACCAATGGAACAGAACTGCAGCCTCAGAAATAACAGAAATAGATTACACACGTCTACAACCATCTGCTCTTTGAGAAACCTGACAAAAACAAGCAATAGGGAAAACAGTCCCTATGTAATAAATGGTGTTGGGAAAACTGGTTAGCCATAGGCAGAAAACTGAAACTGGACCCCTTCCTTACACTTTATACAAAAATTAACTCAAGATGGATTAAAGATTTAAATGTCAGACCTAAAACCATAAAAACCCTGGAAGGAAACCTAGGTAATACTATTCAGGACATAAGCATGGGCAAAGACTTTATGAATAAAGCACCAAAAGCAATGGCAACAAAAGCCAGAATTGACAAATGGGATCGAATTAAACTAAAGAGCTTCTGCACAGCAAAAGAAACTATCATCAGAGTGAACAAGTAACCTAGAGAATGGGAGAAAGTTTTTGCAATCTATCCCTCTGACAAAGGGCTAATATCCAGAATCTACAAGGAACTTAAACAAATTCACAAGAAAAAAAAAAACCCATCAGAAAGTGGGTGAAGGATATGAACAGACACTTCTCAAAATAAGACATTTATGTGGCCAACAAACATATGAAAAAAAAGCTCATCAGCACTGGTCATTAGAGAAATGCAAATCAAAACCACAATGAGATACCATCTCACACCAGTTAGAATGGCGATCATTAAAAAGTCAGGAAACAACAGATGCTGAAGAGGATGTGGAGAAACAGGAACATTTTTACACTGTTGGTGGGAGTGTAAATTAGTTCAACCATTGTGGAAGACAGTGTGGTGACTCCTCAAGGATCTAGAACCAGAAATACCATTTGACTCAACAATTCCATTACTGGGTATATACCCAAAGGATTATAAATCATTCTACTATAAAGACACACACACACACGTATGTTTATTGCAGCACTGTTCACAATATGAAAGACTTGAAACCAACCCAATTGCCCATCAACTATACTGGATAAAGAAAATGTGGCACATATACACCATGAAATACTATGCAGCCATAAAAAATGTTTAGTTCATGTCCTTTGCAAGGATATAGATGAAGCTGGAAACCACCATTCTCAGCAAACTAACACAGGAACAAAAAACCAAACACCGCATATTCTCACTCATAAGTGGGAGTTGAACAATGAGAATACATGGACACAGGGAGGGGAACATCACACTCCAGGGCCTGTCAGGGGCTGGGGACTAGAGGAGGGATAGCATTAGGAGAAATACATAACGTAGATGACGGGATGATGGGTGCAGCAAACCACCATGGCATGTGTATACCTATGTAAAAAACCTGCATGCTCTGCACATGTATCCCAGAACTTAAAGGATAATTTAAAAAATAAAAATTTAAATTTAAAAAAACAAAGCAAAGTTATTATTCTTTACCACAAAAGAAAAACAATGACTTTGAAGGAAAAGGTGTCTCAGTTTTTAATTGATATAGTAACTCAAGTGAAACCAATAATTTACATATACTCGTAGCATTTACATATTTTTTCTCAAAAGTTTAAATACTTCTTTAAGTTAAAAATTATATATTAAGCACTCAAAATATATCAAATGTGCTAAGCACCTAATGCGAGATAGCATATTTAATCCTCAGAAGAATCCTATGAAGCAGATACTATCTTTATTCTAA
Source organism: Homo sapiens (assembly GCF_000001405.40). Lineage (NCBI taxonomy): Eukaryota > Metazoa > Chordata > Mammalia > Primates > Hominidae > Homo > Homo sapiens. The sequence continues at coordinate 94,780,852 of NC_000023.11, forward strand.
TTTTACAAAAAAAAGTTTGTGCCTCAAAGAACTAATTTACTAAAACTAATACAGTTAGTAAGTGGCAGAACCACGCCCTAAACCAATAATTATCTTATTTTATGGTCTTGTTTTTATGCACTATGCTTTGGGATGTTTAGATGCAAGTTTGAGATCTCATTGTCATGTAGCTGTGTGGTGTCTATGTTTATTTGTGCCATGCCTAGTACTGTTTCTAGCCATGGTAAATGCTATATGTATTGTAGCTCTTAACTCCTACTTCACAGACCTATACTGAGACTAAAGTTAAATAACATATGTAATTTGGATGTAAAATCCAAAATTTAATATAAATGCTAATGATGTTTAGTATTACAATCCATGTAGCCCATACATGTAAAGAAAGCAAATTTGCACTTGAATGAAAGAAAAGCAAGAGTAAATAAGTAAAATCAACATACTGTTGCCATATCACCTCCATTGATCCAAAATCAATCAGAGAAAACGTTGAATTTCCAAAACCAAAGACAATTTATTATGGACATAATATTGAATAAGTTTACACAAACTACAAACACAATATGGTGGGTGGGTTTGGAACACATTCAATTTCAACACCTCTTACCTAGATCTTAATAAAGCTATTAGCTAAAAAAACAAGGAATGACCTGTGAATTTGATTTTTTTCTATGAAAATTCAAATTTGGCAGATCTCCTTCTTCTCTTCCACAATATTCTTGTCCCATGATTGTGACCATTTAAAGAATTATAAAATAGAATTACAATTTGCATTTTTTTGTTTCTGCACTATAATATCTCAGAATTTATAATTGATTTTAAATACATAATCTATTTTCAGATATATTGTTAAGTATAAAGGGTGAAGGGATAGAGAAGATGCTTTCTCTAATGTATTTTTGTCAAACATTTTGTAGAGAATCTTTCCTTACTTCAAAATGTTTCCTAAAATTGGAACTTTGTTGTTGTGTCCTGATATTTCAGATAGAGTACTTAGTCTGTTAATACATACAGGTTTAAATTACCAAATTCAAGGAGTTCGGCTACCTCAAATTATTAATTTGTTTTTGTTTATTTACAGTAAGTAAATTCACTTTTTTTATAATACTAAAATAACCAAAACAATTGATGGTATCAATCAGGTTACTTCAAGTAACTGAAATAATTCTACTGCAGTAAAACAATCAATAGATTCAGATATGGTTTATTTGATTTAGTTGTAGAAGTGATGAAACCAATGAGATCACATCTAAAATATGTCTAAAGTGATACTATATGATTTCTATGCACAAGTTTTTGAACAGCATTATAATGAAGAAAATAAACAGACTTCTGGATTAGTATTTTGAAGAGGCTTAAAATAAAAGAAAGTAGGCTGGGCGCGGTGGCTCACGCCTGTAATCCCAGCACTTTGGGAGGCTGAGGCCGGCGGATCACGAGGTCAGGAGATCGAGACCATCCTGGATAACATGGTGAAACCCCATCTCTACTAAAAATACAAAAAAATTAGCCGGGCGTGGTGGTGTGTGCCTGTAGTCCCAGCTACTCGGGAGGCTGAGGCAGGAGAATGGCGTGAACCCAGGAGGTGGAGCTTGCAGTGAGCAGATATCTCGCCACTGCACTCCAGCCTGGGCGACAGATCGAGGTTCCATCTCAAAAAAAATAATAATAATAAAATGAAAGAAAGTAATAAACAGTAACTAAACATTAAATGTACAAATTTATTTTTTCTGAGATTAAAAAAAACTGGCAACATCAAGTACACAGGAATAATTAGATATATCTAAAACAAGGTAGATAGGAGGCAGGAATAACTTACAGCTCTCACTCAGATGGACAGAGCAGTGTTTGGAGACTCACATCGTGAACTTTTGCTCCAAGAACTACCACAGGAACGTACCAGGAAAGCTGAGAAGAGCCACAGTAAAAGAAGCAGCTTGCCACTGCAGTCTCTGTGAGACCGCCAAAAATCCGTGAATATCCAAAGTGTGAAAGGGGGAAAGGCCACCCCTTAAAACACATCCTCACTGGAGAACCTGAAGGTCCAGCTCCCAGGAGAAGGATTTAACTTAGCTGGAGCAGAGTTGAATTTAGAGAGGCTAGCGAAATACAGGGACAGAAAAGCAAATGGGGCGAACTCTGTGGGCACTCTCAGTCCCCAGGGATGCCATTTCTGGCTTTGTACCACAGTGGTCTTTGGGAGGGCTGCCAGTGAAATTGGGAACAAGACACAGGGAGAAGGAAACTCTAGGGGAGGGGGCGAACTGGGAGTTCAGCTGTGAGCACAGAAGCCATGGCAGGCAGGAAGGCATGAAACCTGAAAGCCCTGCTTGCCTTCTCTGTGGGGAGGCTTGCAGCCTAGGGCAAGTTCTCAGACCTGCTCACTGGCTGCCTAAAAATAGACTCAGCCATGTAGGGGGTGGGGGGCACCATGAGAGTGAGACTGACCTTTCTGGCTGCATGGAAGCTGAGTGAGGCCTGTCACTCCTGCCTTTCCCCCACTTCCCTGGTGACATGTATGACACAGCAGAGACAGCCATAATCCCCCTGAGAACATAACTCCATTGGCTTGCGGACAATACCCCAATCCCCCACAGCAGCCACAGCAACCCTCACCCAAGAAGAGTGTCAACTCAGACATGCCTAATCTTGCCCCCATGTGATGGTCTTTTTCTACCTGTCCTAGTAGCCAAAGACAAGGACATAATCTTTTGAGAGCTCTATGGCCCCACCCACTGCCTAAGAAACCAAAATACCCACTGCAGGCAACCCTAGGGTAAGGTTGTATCCTCCATGTACTACCACAACTGATGCTCTCTTGAAAGTGCCACCTCCTAGCTGGAGGCCAACCAACCCAAAACCAGCACACAAAACAAAACTACAACCAAGGACAATCACAGAGTCCACCTCACTACCCCACTACTTCCAATGGAGCCAGCACTGGTATCCATGGCTGAGAGACCTGAAGATGAATCACCACACGGACTCTCTGAAGACACTCCCCAGCACCACCCCAGAGCCCTGTAGCTCTGCTGGGTGGCTAGACCCAGAAAATAAGTAAAAATCACTGCAGTTCGGGTCTCAGGAATCCTCTCCATAGGAGAAGGGGGAGAGAACTACATCAAGGGAGCGTCCCATGAGAAAAAAGAATCTGAACAGTAGCCCTTGAGCCCCAGATCTTCCCTCTGACATAGTATACCCAAATGAGAAGGAACCAGAAAAACAAATCTAGTAATATAGCAAAACGAGGTTCTTTAACATCCCCAATAGATCACACTAGCTCACAAGCAATGGATCAAAACCAAGAAGAAATCTCTGAGTTGTCAGAAAAAAATTCAGAAGATTGATTATTAAGCTACTCAAGGAAGCACCAAAAAAGGTGAATACCAACTTAAAAATAAAAATAAAAAAAATGATTGGAAAAATCTCCAGAGAAATAGCATAAATAAAAAACAATCACAACTCCTAAAAATGAAGTAGAAACTTAGAGAAAGTCAAAATATATTGGAAAGTCTCAACAATAGAATTAAACAAATAAAATAAAGAACTTCAGAGCTCAAAGACAAGGCTTGAAAATTTACCCAATTTGACAACATCAAATTAAAAAATTAAAAAATGAACAAGACATCCAAGAATTTTGGGATTATGTTAAACATCCAAACCTAAGAATAATTCATGTTCCCAAGGAAGAAGAGAAATCTGAAAGTTTGGGAAACATATTCAAGAGAACAATCAAGGAAAAATTCCTGGTCTTGCTAGAGATCTAGACATTGAAATACAAGAAGCTCAAAGAACACCCCCAAAATTAATTACAAAACAGATCATCGGGTAGACACTTGGTCATCAGGTTATCTAAAATCAAGATGAAGGAATGAATCTTAAGAGCTGTGAGGCAAAAGCATCAGGTAACCTATAGAGGGAAATCTATCAGATTAACAGCAGATTTCTCAGCAGAAACCCTACAAGCTAAAAGCGATTGGGGTCCTCTCTTCACCTTCCTAAACAAAACAACTATCAGCCAAGAATTGTGTATTCAGCTAAACTAAGCTTCGTAAATGAAGAAAAGATAGTCTTTTTTCAGACAAACAAATGCCGAGAGAATTCGTCACTACCAAGCCAGCACTGCAAGAACTGCTAAAGGGAGCTCTAAATCTTGAAACAAATCTTCAAAATATACAAAAATAGAACCTCCTTAAAGCCTAAATTTCACAGGTCCTATAAAACAACACAATGAAAAGAAACCAAGGTATTCAGGCAACAAATAGCATGATAAATAGAATACTACCTTACATCTCAATACTAACATTGAATGTAAATGGCCTACATGCTTCACTTAAAAGATATGGAATGGCAGAATGGAAAAGAATTCATCAGCCAAGTACCTGATGTCTTCAAGAGACTCACATAACACATAAGGACTTGCATAAACTTAATGTAGAAAGATATTCCGTGCAAATGGACATCAAAAGCAAGCAAGAGTAGCTATTCTTATATCAGAAAAAAACAGACTTTAAAGCAACAACAGTTAAAAAAGACAAAGAAGGACATTATATAATGATAAAAAGACTAGTCCAACAGGAAAATATCACAATCCTGAATATATATGCACCTAACACTGAAGCTCCCAAATTCACAAAACAATTACTACTAGGCCTAAAGAAAATGAGATAGACTGCAAAGCAAATATAGTGGTTGACTTCAATACTCCACTGACAGCACTAAACAAGTCTTCAAAACAGAAAGTCAACAAAGAAACAATGGACTTAAATTATACCTTATAATGAATTTATTAACAGATATTCATAGAACATTCTACCCCCAAAATGCAGAATATACATTCTTTTCATTAGCACATGGAACATATTCCAACTTAGACCATATATTAGGCCACGAAACAAGTCTCAATAAATTTTAAAAAATATAAATTATAGCAAGTATGTTCTGTCCAGAGTGGAATAAAATTAGAAATCTACTCATAAAGAACTCTCAAAACCATGCAAGTACATGGAAATTAAATAACCTGCTTCTGAATGATCATCGGATCAACAATGAAATTAACATGAAAATTTAAAAAATTCTTTGAACTAAATGATAATGGTGACACAACCTATCAAAACCCCTGGGATACAGCAAAAGCGTTGCTAAGAAGAAAGTTTACAGCATTAAATGCCTACATTAAAAAGTCTGAAAGAGCACAAATAGACAATCTAAGGTCACATCTCAAGGAACTACAGAAACAAGAGCAAACCAAACCCAAAGCTGGCAGAGGAAAAGAAATAACAAAAATCAAAGCAGAAATAAATAGAACTAAAACAAACAAAAAAAAGGTACAAAAGTAAGTGAAACAAAGAGCTGGTCCTTTGAAAATATAAACAAAATTGATAGACCATTAGCGAGATTAATTAAGAAGAAAGAAGACACAAATAAGCTCAATTAGAAAAGAAACAGGAGATATCACAACCAATACCACAGAAATACAAAAGATTACTCAAGACTACTATGAACATTTTTACATGCACAAACTAGAAAACCTAGAGGAGAAGGATAAATTCCTGGAAATATACAACTCTCCTAGTTTAAACCAGGAAGAAATAGAAACTCTGGACAAACCAATAACAAGCAGCAAGATTAAGAAGGTAATTAAAAAATTGCCAATAAAAAAAAGTCCGGGACCAGATGGATTCACAGCTGCATTCTACCAAACATTCAAAGACGAATTGGTACTAATTCTAATGTCACTATTCTGTGGAATAGAGAAAGAGGAAATCCTCCCTAAATCATCATATGAAGCCAGTATCACCCTAAAACCAAAACCAGGGAAGACCATAACAAAAAGAAAAAAAAAAAAGAAAAAGAAAAAGAAAACCACAGACCAATATCCCTGATGAACATAGATACAAAAATCCTCAACAAAATACTAGCTAGCCAAATCCACCAACATGTCCCAAATATAGTCCACCATAATCAAGTGGGTTTTATACCAAGGATGCAGTGATGGCTTAACATCCACAAATCAATAATGTAACACACCACATAAACAGAATTGAAATAAAAAATCACATGATCATCTCAAAAGATGAAGAAAAAGCATTTGACAAAATCCAGCATCCCTTTATGATAAAAACTCTCATCAAAATAAGCATAGAAGGGACATAACTTAAGGTAATAAAGGCATCTATGACAAACCCACAGTCAACATTACACTGAACAGAAATAATTTGAAAGCATTCCGCCTGAGAACTGGAACAAGACAAGGATGCCCAGTTTCACCCTTTCCATTAAACATAGATTGGAAGTCTTAGCCAGAGCAATCCAGACAAGAGGAAGAAACACAGAGCATCCGTATAGCTAAGCTATGAGGGTGCAAAGGCATAAGAATGATACAATGTACTTTGGGGACTCCAGGGAAAGGGTGGCCGGGGTTGGGGGAGAGTAGTAAAAGACTACACATTGATTGGGTAGAGTGTACGCTGCTCGGGGCAGATGTGCCAATATTTCAAAAATCACCACTAAATAACTTATCTATGTAACCAACCACGACCTGTTTCTCAAAAACCTATTGAAATAATAAAAATCAAATTCAAAAAAGGGACCATTAATGTTTGAAATCGAAATTGACAATCAATAGACATGTAACATGTAAGAAATTAGTATGCACAATCTTGAATTACTATCATCTTCCTCAGAAAGGAGGCAAGAAGTGGACTGGCATCAAAGTTTGAAATTCAAATGATATAAAATGAACTAAAAAGTAAAAACCTCTGAAGTCTTATGTAGGTGTTTTAGCTGAGACTGCCTACCCCTCTCACAATGATAATAAATGTAGAAAGAAAAAAAATAGTGACCAGGAAATGTTTTGAACTTTGTAGGCAGCCTGAATCCCTTTGAAAATTGGTCTTTAAAAAACACTAAAACTTTTGAAACCCCAGTGTTTAGAAATAAACTTATTAAGGCTAACAAAATGTTTATCAGTATGTACTAAACCTGCACATACATTCATTTTCTTTGGGCCAATGCTAAGTTACAATGCCAAATTTTATTTTAGTTGGTAATGACTTGGACCATTTGACATGTTCATGAGAAAGCGCTTCTCGAGTAACTAGCCTAACCAAATTTAGGTAGGATTAAAACTATTGAATTGTAGTAGGAGTGGAAATTCAATTCAATTATCATGTAACTAGGTTGGACAGGATTTTTATAAAGTCATGAAGTATAAATATTTATTCACACTAAGATCTAATACTTTTAAGAATCTCAAAAGTAAAATTCTATGAAAAGAAAAATAAGCTATTGACAGAATAGTTTTTAAATTACTTCATGAAATGTAATATATACGACATTCTCCTATAATGTAAGTGTAGATGAATTATATAAAAAAAACCTTTAAGAAGTCTAGTAAATGATGCACAGTTGATTTAAACCACATGCCTTTTAAGGTCATTTTGCCTTTTTGACTTTGTGGATGGACCTGGATCAAAACAAAACAAAACAAAATAAAATATAACAAGTAAACAAATGAACACAGCAAAATTAACAGCATAATAAATTACTTCTGCTTGAATTCAATTTTAATCTAATTTTCCAGTTGGCATCATGACACCCCTGGTAGATTTAAATTTAAATTCAGTGTCATTTTTTTCTCAAAAAGTTTTCTTTTCTCTGATGGTTTTATCTATTGCACATGGCACAAAAGCCTGTTATTGCCAATTTAGACATAAAAAGTTAACAATGAGATGGCTTATTTTCTGCAGGCAGTTATTTATAAAAGATGCATTTCTTCTGATAGAATTGACAATGCATAAACTATTTTTCTTAATGATTCATGACACTCTGAACAATATACCTTCTCTTCAGGTGACAGAAATAATTATAGCAAAGTCTGCTCACAGAATTTACATCCATTAAAAAAATATTAATTATTTTGGCTCTCTCAAAATCTAAAGTGGAGCTGTAGTGGGAAAAAATATTAAAAATAATTAAGAAAATGAGTTCCTGGATCACAAAAGGAAAATAATTCCTCTTGTAAAGATTGTCCCATCTTATTTTAAAATTTTATTTATACATGCAGACTAGAATTGAAGTTTTAAGCTGGTAATAAGTAGTGTAATAAATTTTCTGTTCATATGCAATAAAATTTTTATTAGAAATACAGAAGAAATAAATACAATTGTCAGATTCCTGGAATCCAAATTAAAACCAAGTAAAAAGTAGCCTCATAAATAACACAGAGGGACAGAACAGGAAAAGGCAACCTCCTGTAGACAATCAAAAAGTGTAGCTGGGAGATTTGCTTGAAAGAGTGTCTGTTCCTCATCCTACCAAATCACTCTATAGCTCAGATTATCCAGCATCTACTTATGTAATTATTTTATTTTTAAAAAGACCATAATTTAGAAAAACATAATTAAGCTAATTTTAGTAGTAACAATTACAAAGAGAAGCATATACTTTTAAAATGTTGATTTTTCAACATGATCGCTCAAATACCGTGCCATGCCATTTTTGTGTTCTTAAGGGTAAGAAACGATGGATATTTTCTCACCTAGTCTTAGCTTTCCCTATTATGATCCCATCAAAAGGAAGACAGACATATAATCTAAAGATGATCTTTTATTTACAGAGAAAAACCAAAAAATTATTGCCTCTTACTCTCATAAATGCATATTCTATAGTAATTAGAAGTACACACCACAAGCAATATTGCTTAGGAAATTTCAGTTTTTTCACGACACATTTATCGATTTGAAGTAATACTCTATCTGTCCTTTTTTTTTTTTTTTTTTTTTTTTGAGATGGAGTTTTTGCTCTTGTTGACCGGGCTAGAGTGCAATGGCGCGATATTGGCTCACCACAACCTCCGTCTCCAGGTTCAAGTGATTATCCTGCCTTGGCCTCCCGAATAGCTGAGATTACAGGCATGTGCCACCATGCCTGGCTAATTTTTTTGTATTTTTAGTTGAGATGGGGTTTCTCCATGTTGGTCAGGCTGGTCTTGAACTCCCGACTTCAGGTTATCTGCCCACCTCAGCCTCCCAAAGTGCTGGGATTACAGGCATGAGCCAACGCGCCTGGCCTTTGGCTGTTTACATGTGAGATTCTACTGTATTCTGAATAAGTCAAACACCATCCCTCTTATTTACAGACATTATAAATAGATTTAGGGTCATCTAAAAATTAAATATGATAATGTAATCCCTATTTCTGTATATCATACATAAAATCTAATATTTGTGAAGAGGAAGGGAAAAGGGAGAAGGGAAAGAAAAAGGAAGGGAGAGGTTCAGAGAAATATCTTAAGATGATACTTACTGTGGCAAAACATTTTTTCCCTGACAGTTTATTTTTATTTTTTATTTTTTATTATACTTTAAGTTATGGGATACATGTGCAGAACATGCAGGTTGTTTACATAGGTATACACGTGCCATGGTGGTTTGCTGCACCCATCAACATGTCATCTACATTGGGTATTTCTCCTAAGGCTATCCATCCACTAACCCCCACCCTCTGACAGGCCCTGGTGTGTGATGTTCCCCTCCCTGTGTCCATGTATTCTCATTTTTCAACTCCCACTTATGAGTAAGAACGTGTAGTGTTTGGTTTTCTGTTCCTGTGTTAGTTTGCTGAGAATGATGGTATCCAGCTTCATCCAAGTTCCTGCAAAGAACATAAATTCATCCTTTTTATGGCTGCACAGTATTCTGTGTTGTACATGTGCCACATTTCTTTATCCAGTCTATCAATGATGGGCATTTGGGTTGGTTCCAAATCTTTGCTATTGGGAATAGTGATGCAATAAACATACGTGCGCATGTGTCTTTATAGTCGAATGATTTATAATCCTTTGGGTATATACCCAGTAATGGGATTGCTGGGTCAAATGGTATTTCTAGTTCTAGATCCTTGAGGAATCACCACATTGTCTTCCATAATGGTTGAACTAATTTACACTCCCACCAACAGTGTAAAAGCATTCCTATTTCTCCACATCCTCTTCAGCATCTGTTGTTTCCTGACTTTTTAATGATTGCCATTCTAACTGGTGTGAGATGGTGTCTCATTGTGGTTTTGATTTGCATTTCTCTAATGACCAGTGATGATGAGCTTTTTTTCATGTTTGTTGGCCACATAAATGTCTTCTTTTGAGAAGTGTCTGTTCATATCCTTTGCCCACTTTTTAATGGAATTGTTTGCTATTTTCTTGTAAATTTGTTTAAGTTCCTTGTAGATTCTGGATATTAGCCCTATGTCAGAGGGCTTGATTGCAAAAATTTTCTCCCATTCTGTAGGTTGCCTGTTCACTCTGATGGTAGTTTCTTTTGCTGTGCAGAAGCTCTTTAGTTTAACTAGATCCCATTTGTCAATTTTGGCTTTTGTTGCCATTGCTTTTGGTGTTTCAGACGTGAAGTCCTTGCCCATGCCTATGTCCTGAATGGTATTGCCTAGGTTTTCTTCTAGGGTTTTTATGGTTTTAGGTCTTACATTTAAGTCTTTAATCTGTATGGAGTTAATTTTTGTATAAAGTGTAAAGAAGGGGTCCAGTTTCAGTTTTCTGCATATGGCTAGCCAGTTTTCCCAACACCATTTACTAAATAGGGACTCTTTCCCCCATTTCTTGTTTTAGTCAGGTTTGTCAAAGACGAGATGGTTGTAGATGTGTGGCATTATCCCTGAAGCCTCTGTTCTGTTCCATTGGTCTTTCTGTCTATTTTAGTACTAGTATCTTGCTGTTTTGGTTACTGTAGAATTGTAGTATAGTTTGAAGTCAGGTAGTGTGATGCCTCCAGCTTTGTTCTTTTTTCTTAGGATTTTCTTGGCTATTCAGGCTCTTTTTTGTTTCCAAATAAAATTTGAAGTAGTTTTTTCTAATTCTCTGAATAAAGTCAATGGTAGCTTGATGGGGATAGAAAATAAATAAGTTCTTTGAAACCAATGAGGCCAAAGACACAACACACCAGAGTCCCTGGGACACAGCTAAAGCCATGTTTAGAGGGAAATTTATAGCACTAATTGCCCACCGGAGAAAACAGGAAAGATATAAAATTGACACCTTAACATTACTATTAAAAGAACTAGAGAAACAAGGGCAAAAAATAAAAATTCAAAAGCTGTCAGAATACAACAAATAACTAAGATCAGAGCAGAATTGAAGAAAATAGAGACATGAAAAACCTCTCAAAAAATCAATGAATCCAGGAGCTCGTTTTTTGAAAAGATTAATAAAATAGACTGCTAACCAGACTAATAAAGAAGAAAAGAGAGAAGAATCAAATAGACACAATAAAACATGATAAAGGGGATATCACCACTGATCTCACAGAAATACAAACTACCATCAGAGAATACAATAAACACCTCTACACAAATAAACTAGAAAATCTAGAAGAAATGGATAAATGCCTGGATACATACACCCTCCCAACACTAAACCAGGAAGAAGTCGAATACCTGAATAGACCAATAACAAGTTCTGAAATTGAGGCAGTAATTAATAGCCTACCAACCAAAAAAGCCCAGTACCATGTGGATTCACAGCCGAATTCTACCAGAGGTACAAAGCGCAAAGCGTAGCTGGTACCATTCCTTGTGAAACTATTCCAAACAATAGAAAGAGGGGCTTCTCCGTAACTCATTTTATGAGGCCAGCATCATCCTGAAAGCTCGCAGAGACACAACACAAAAAGAAAATTTCAGGCCCATATCCCTGATGAACATTGATGCGAAAATCCTCAATAAAATACTGGCAAACCGAATTCAGCAGCACATCAAGAAGCTTATCCACCACGATCAAGTTGGCTTCATCCCTGGGATGCAAAGCTAGTTCAACATATGCAAATCAATAAATGTAATCCATCACATAAACAGAACTAATGACAGAAACCACATGATTATCTCAATAGATGCAGAAAAGGCCTTCAACAAAATTCAACACCCCATTCATAGTAAAAACTCTCAATAAACTGAGTATTGATGGAACGTATCTCAAAATAATAAGAGCTATTTATGAGAAACCCATATCCAATATCATACTGAATGGGCAAAAGCTGGAACCATTCCCTTTGAAAACCGGCAAAAGACAAGTATGCCCTCTCTTACCACTCCTACTCCACATAGTATTGGAAGTTCTTGCCAGGGCAATCAGTCAAGAGAAAGAAATAAAGGGTATTCAAATTGGAAGAGAGGAAGCCAAATTGTCTCTGTTTGCAGATGCCATGATTGTACATTTAGAAAACCCATTTTCTCAGCCCAAAATCTCCTTAAACTGATAAGCAACTTCAGCAAAGTCTCAGGATACAAAATCAATGTGCAAAAATCACAAGCATTCTTATACACCAATAACAGACAAACAGAGAGCCAAATCATGAGTGAACTTCCATTCACAATTGCTACAAAGAGAATAAAATGCCTAAGAATACAGCTTATAAGGGATGTGAAGGACCTCTTCAATGAGAACTACAAAACCACTGCTCAAGGAAATGAGAGGACAAAAACAAATGGAAAAACATTCCATGCTCATGGATAGGAAGAAATAAATATCATGAAAATGGCCATACGGTCCAAAGTAATTTATAGATTCAAGGCAAAACATTTCTTAAGCATATCCTCAGAGACTCTGAGCATAGTTAGAAACATGATTTGATGACGGCTACAGATGTCTAGAGGTATATGAAAAAATATGTACAAAAATAGCAGCCTGATGACAGAAAAAATGCAGGTGGTTCTGAAGATCCAAATGATGGAATTTTAATAAATAGAACATTTATTTTGTGAAATATTCTATTTATATGGTTTATATAAGTCTTAGAATATTGGAAATACATTGTTTTTCATTTGTTATTGCCTTATTCAGTATGAAGTTAGGCTAATTTCTAAATGTCACATATCTGACCATGTGAAAAAGTTTCCTCTCTCATTATCTCCCCTCTCAGAAAATAATGTTTTAGATATTGTAATTGAGCGTTATAGGTTTGATGGTAAAGAGAGGCTTTAAGGTTGATGTGAGGACAAAAATCAGAATCTTTATTCCAGATGCTGATTTCAGAGGATCAATTTATAAATCTGAACTCTTCTAGGGGAATACATGCAACCAATGAGGAAGTTAATATTATACCTACTGTACAGGTAAAGACACTGAGACTCGGAGAGTTAAAAAAAACTTGCCCAAGATCAGCTTCACAAAGATGTTCACTTAAGCTTCACAAAGATGTTCACTTACATGAGTAATTTCCTTAGTGGTGATTTGTGAGATTTTGGCACATGTATCACCTGAGCAGTATACACTGCCCTCAATTTGTAGTTTTTTATTACTACCCCCTTCCCACACTTTCCCCTAGTCCCCAAATTCCACTGTGTCATTATTATGCCTTTGCATCCTCATAGCTTAGTTCCCACTTATGAGTGAGCACATACGATGTTTGGTTTTCCATTCCTGAGTTACTTCACTTAGGAATATACCTAACCAAGGAAGTGAAATTCTCTTCTAGACATTGGCTTAGGCAATGGATGTGGTGAACAGGGAACACTTCTACGCTGCTGGTGGGAGTGTAAACTGGTACAACCACTATGGAAAACAGTGTGGAGATTCCTTAAAGAACCAAAAGTAGAACTACCATTTGATCCAGCAATCCCACTACTGGATATCTACCCAGAGGAATAGAAGTCATTATACAAAAAAAAAAAAAAAAAAAAGATGCTTGTACACGCATGTATATAGCAGCACAATTTGCAATTGCAAAATTGCGGAACCAACCCAAATGCCCATCAATCAACTAGTGGATAAAGCAACTGTGGTATATATATAGAATGAAATACTACTCAGCCATAAAAAGGAATGAAATAATGGCATTCTCAGCGATCTGGATGAGATTTGTTTTTGTTTTTGTTTTTGTTTTTGATACAGGGTCTCAATCGTGTGCCAGCGTGCCCAGCTAATTTTTGTATTTTTTGTAGAGACAGAGTTTTGGCATGTTGTCCAGGCTGGTCACAGTCTCCTGAGCTACCCAGATTAACAACAATTTTACAAAATGCACATATGTAGGGGCAAATACAATGATCCGGTTCTTTATAAAAGAACTATTTTATGTCTGAAGTTAGCAATTAGAAACACTAATGATAAAACATTTTTAAAAACAAAATAAGCTTTTTAAAAATTATACGTATTTTGGTGGGCCACAGTGGCTAATGCCTGTAATCCCAGCACTTTGGGAAGCTGAGGTGGGAGAATCACTTGAGTCCAGGAGTTTGAGACCAGCATGGATAACACAGGGAGACCTCATCTCTACTAAAATATAAACAAAATTAGCCAGGCATGGCGGTGTGTGCACCTATAGTCCCAGCTACTTGAAAGGCTGAGATGGGAGGATTGCCTGAGCCCAGGAGGTTGAGCCTGCAGTGAAGTAAGTTCTTGCCACCGCCCTCCAGCCTGGACAACAGAGTAAGACTTGTCTCAAAAAAAAAAAAAAAAAAAAAATTTCCATCATCCAGGAATACTAACAGTTAATGTATTGTTTTAGTCTAGATTTTGGCCTCTTTATAATTTTTTATCTGACATTTTAATTGATAATGCAGTATATGTAAAATTATGTATCTTCCTTAACAAACTGAATATAATACGCATTTCAAAATCATAAAATATGTTTTCCAGACATAATTGAAGACTGTGTAATAGTCCATTTGATAAAATATATATTTTATTTTAACTACTGTGTTAATGTTGGTTAGTTAGGCTATTTATAACTTTATTATATAGACATGCCACTGTGGAAGATATTTTTGAATTAATCTTTTACCACATTCTCAATCATTTAATTAAATAATATAGAAAATGTGAAATTTCTGAGCCAAAAAAACACCATTTTAAGATTGTTTATATTGATAAATTATTCTTCAGAAAGGTCGTATTTAATTATGGGCTCATTAAATATTTTTAACTCTATTTTAACTAAACATTAGCAAATACATGATATTATCAGTTTTTAATTTTTTTTTTTTTTTTTTTTTTTTGAGACAGAGTCTTGCTCTGTCGCCCAGGCTGAGTGCCGTGGCACAATCTCGGCTCACTGCAACCTCTGCCTCCTGGATTCAAGCAATTCTCCTGCCTCAGCCTCCTGAGTAGCTGGGATTACAGGCATGTGCCACCACGCCCGGCTGATTTTTGTATTTTTAATAGAGACAGGGTTTCACCATGTTGGTCAGGCTGTTCTCAAACTCCTGACCTTGTGATCCACCTGCCTCGGCCTCCCAAAGTGCTGGGTTTACAGGTGTGATTAATTTTTTTTAATTTGATTAAAATTGCTGTCTCAGCTTAATGTTTATTTCTTTTTCTAAATCAGAGCTTCATTCTTTTTTACTGGTGAATCATTTTTACTGGTATATCATTGTATGTATATACCACATTCCTTAATCCATTAATCCTTTGATGGATTTTAAAATTAATACCATTTTTAATTGATACATAATAATTATACATATTTATGGGATATAATGTGATATTTCAATATATGTCTACAGTATGTAATGACCAAATCAAGGTAATTAGCACATCCATCACCTTGAATTATTAACCATAATCACCCTATAGCTCTATAGAACACTAGAATTTATTTATCCTATCCAGTTGTAATTTTGTATCTATTAATCAACCTCATCCTATCCCTCACTTCCTCCTACCTTTCTCAGCCTCTAATAACCACTATTCCAACCTCTACTTCTATTATAGCAACTATTTTAGTTTCCACATATGAGTGAGAAGATGCAGTATTTCCCTTTCTGTGCCTGGCTTATTTCACTTAATATAATGTCCTCCAGGCTCATCCATGTTGCTGTACATGACAGGATTTCATTCATTTTTAATGCATGAATAGTATTTCATTGCATGAATATATCACATTTTCTGTATTCATTCATCTGTTGATGGACACAGGTTGATGCCATATCTTAGCTATTATGGATATCACTGCAATAAACATGGAAGT
This sequence comes from Homo sapiens, assembly GCF_000001405.40. Lineage (NCBI taxonomy): Eukaryota > Metazoa > Chordata > Mammalia > Primates > Hominidae > Homo > Homo sapiens. The sequence goes on from NC_000023.11 coordinate 94,796,823, forward strand.
ACAGGTATTTTTTGACATACTGATATTCTTTCATTTGGGTATATACCCAATAGCAGGATTGTTGAATTATTTGGTAGTTGTATGTTTAGTTTTTTGAGGAACCTCCATAATGTTTTCCATAATGGCTGTACTAATTTACATTTCCACCAACAGTATATGAAAGTTCACCTTTCTCTGTATCTTTGCCAGCATTTGATATTTTTTGTCTTTAGGATAACAAGAATTCTAACAGAGGAGAGATGACGTCTCATTGTGGTTTTAATTTGCATTTTCCTCATGATTAGTGACATTTTGCATTTATCTGATGATAAGTGATGTTAAGTATTTTGAAAATATATCTGTTGGTTATTTGTATGACTTTATTTGATATGTATTGACATTATTTGCTCACTTTTTCATCAGATTATTATTATTTTTCTGTTGAGTTGTTTGAAATTCTTGTATATTCTGGATATAATTCCTTATCAGATGAATAGTTTGTGAATATTTTATTCCCATTCTACAGGTTGTCTCCCTTCTGTGGATTGTTTTCATTGTGGTGCAGAGATTCATTAGTTTCATTTAATCCCATTTGTCTATTTTTGTTTTTGTTGTGTGTGTTTTTGAGGTCTTATTTATAAAACATTTTCCCAAACCAAACTCCTGAAGCATTTCCTCTACGTTTTCTTTTAGTAGTTTTATCGTAGTTTCTGGTCTTACTTTTAAGTTTTTCATCTATTTTGAGTTAATTATCGAATATGGTAAGACATAGGGTTCTAGTTTAATTCTTCTGACTATGAATATCCAGTTTTATCAGCATCAATTATTAAAGTGACTGTCCTTTCCTCAAAGGATATTCTTGAGATGTGTCGAGAATCAGTTGGGTGTAAATACATGGATTGATTTCTGGGTTATCTATTTCTATTCAATGGGTCTTTGTGTCTGTTATTATATTTTTATGTCAGTACCATGTTGTTTGGGTTACAATAGCTTTCCAGTGTGTTTTAAAGTCAGGTAGTGTGATGCCTCCAGTTATGTTCTTCTTGCTCAGGATTGCTTTTGCCATCCGGGGTCTTTTGTGATTCCATATAAATTTTATAATTGCTTTTTCTATTTCTGTGAAGAAATTGGTATTGTAATGGAATGAAATTGAATCTATAGGTTACTTTGGGTAGTACGGTCATTTTGACAATATAAATTTATTCTATTCATAAACATGAAATGTCCTTACATTTTTCCATGTCCTCTTCAATTTATCAGTCTTTTATAGTTTTCATTGTAGAGGTATTTCACCTCCCTGGATAAAGAAGGTAAAGAAATAAAAGAAATTTATTCCTAGGTATTTTTTAGGTATTATTTTATTGTTTTTAGGTATTGTAAATGTGATCGCTTTCTTGATTTCTGTTTTTGGGGTATTGTTGCATAGGAATTCTATTAATTTTTATTTTGATTTTGTTTTCTACAACATTTCTGAATTTATCATTCTAAGAGTTTTTTGGTGGAATCTATGTTTTTCCATATATCATATCATGTAATCTGCAAACAGGGACTTTGATTTCTTCTTTTTTAGTTTAGATGCCCTTTATTTCTTTCTCTTGCCTGATTGCTCTGTTTAGGATTTCCAATACTATGCTGATTAAGAGTGGTGAAAATAGGCATCCTTACTTTGTTTCAGTTCTTAGAGAAAAAGATTTCTACTTTTTCTTTTTCAGTATGATGTTAGCTATAAATATGTCACATATGGTTTTCATTATGTTCAGGTATGTTCCTTCTATACCTAATTTGTTGAGAGTTTCTTTATCATGAAGTGGTGTTGAATTTTATCAAAAGCTTTTTTCGTATCTATTGAGATAGTCATATAGTTTCATTATCTTGATGTGATGTACCAAGATTATTGATCTATGTATGTTGATTCATACTTGCATCCCTGGGATAAATTCTACCTTATCATGAGGCATAATCTTTTTGATGTTCTATTGGATTCAATTTGCTAGTATTTGGTTGAGGATTTTTGCATCTATGTTTGTCACAGGTGGTGGCTTTAGTATTACTTCTTAGTGTATCTTGTCTGGTTTTGGTAACAGCGTAATGCTGGCCTTGCAGAATGAATTTGGAAAAACTCCCTTGTCTTGCATTTTTAGAAACAGTTTGAGAAAAAATGGTATTAGTGTTTCTTTAAAAGTTTCAGGCCAGGCGCAGTGGCTCACGCCTGTAATCCCAGCACTTTGGGAGGCCGAGGCAGGCGGATCACGAGGTCAGGAGATCAAGACCATCCTGGCTAACACGGAGAAACCCCGTCTCTACTAAAAATACAAAAACTTAGCTGGGTGTGGTGGCGGGCGCCTGTAGTCCCAGCTACTCCGGAGGCTGAGGCAAGAGAATGGCGTGAACCTGGGAGGCGGAGCTTGCAGTGAGCCAAGATTGCGCCACCGCACTCCAGCCTGGGTGACAGAGCGAGACTCCGTTTCAAAAAAAAAGTTTCATGGACTTCAGCAGTGAAGCTATCTGGTCCTGAACTTTTTCTTGCTGATAAATTTTTATTATTGACTTAACTCCATTACTCATTATTTGTCTGTCCAGGCCTTCTTTTTTTTTTTTTGGTTCAGTCTTGGTAGCTTTTGTGTATCCAGGAATTTCAGGAATTTATCCATTTTCTCTAGGTTTTACAAATTGTTAGCATACAGATGTTTATAATAGTCTCTAGTTATTATTTGTATTTCTGGCATATCCGTTTTAATGTTTCCTTTTTCATTTTTGATTTTATTTATTTGTGTCTTATTTTTTATCTTAGTCAAGCAAATGGTTTATCAGTTTTGTTTGTCTATTAAAATAAATTATATTTTGTTTCATAGATCTTCTTATTTTTGTTGGTCTCAGTTTTGTTTAATTATTCTCTTATCTTTATTATTTCTGTTTTTCTACTAATTTGAGGTTGGGTTTGTTCTTGCCTTTATAGTTTTTTGAAGTCTATTGTTAGGTTGCTTGTTTGAAATCTCTGTGCTTTTCTGACATAGGCATTTATTGCTATACATTTTCCTGTTAATGGTGCTTTTGCTGTATCCTATAGGTTTTGGTATGTTGTCATTCTATTTTAATTTATTTTAATAAATTTTAAAATTTTTTCTAAATTTTTTGATTGACCCACTGTTCATTGAAAATTATGTTTTTTAAAATTTCCATATGTTTTTTGAAGTTTCCAAAGTTTCTCTTGTTATTGATTTTCACTTTTATTCCATGTGGTAACAAAAGATACTTGATACAACTTTGACTTTTAAAAATTGTGGAGATTTGTTTTGTGGCCTAACATATGGTCAATTCTACAAAATGTTTCATTTTCTGATGAAAAGAATGTGTAATCTGCAGCCTTTGAATTACATTTTCTGTAAATGTCTGTCAGGTTTCTTTTGTTTATAGTGCAGTTTAAATCCAATATTTCTTTGTTGACGTTCTGTCCAGATGATCTATCTAATGCTAAGAGTAGGGTGTTGAAATCCACTACTACTATTGTATTGTGATCTATCTCTTGTTTTAGATCTAGTAATATTTACCTTATTTATCTGGGTGCTCTAATGTTGAGTGCATATATATATATAATTGTTATAGCCACTTGCTGAATTGACTCCTTCATCAATATATAAAATAAACTTTGCCTCTTCTTACAGTTTTTGACATAAAGTCGGTTTTATAATATATAAGTATAGATGCTCTTGCTCACTTTGGTTTCTGTTTTCATGGAATATATTTTTCCATTTATTCACTCTCAGTATATTTGTGCCTTTATAGGTGAAGCGAGTTTCTTGTAGGCAGCATAAGTTGGGTTTTATTATTTTTATCCATTCATCCAGTCTATATATTTTAATTGAATAATGTAACTTATTTACATTCAAGGTTATTATAGCTAGATGAAGACATGTAGACATAGACCTGTTATTTTGTTGTTTTTCTGTTTATTTTATGTAACATTTGTTCTTTTTTTCCTCTCCTATTGTTTATATTTGTAGTTTGGTGGTTTTTTGTGTGCTAATATTTGATACCTTTCTCTTTCTCCTTTCTGTATCTGCTTTACTAGTGAGTTTCATGTGTTTTCATGAGGATGGTAGTTATCATCCTTTCTCTTCTAGTGTAAGAGTCCCTTAAGCATTTCTAGCAAGGCCAGAAATGATAATGAATTCTAGTGGTAATGAATTTCCTCCATTTTTTGCTTGTGAAGCAGTGACTTCAGTTTCAAGATGGCTCCATTCAACAGCAACTTAGGTCATGGGGTGGTAGGGAGTGCACAATGTGTGCTCCTACTCTAGTGTAATGCAGCTATATTAATCCAGGCACCTCTGCAAACTTGGCTTGAGCCTTTTGAGGACTGTGGGCTTCAGATTTCCTGTTCTACAGACTGAAGGTATCTGCAATGGCAATGGGAGTTGCCATTTACTTACCCCCCACCTTTTTTTTTGTTAGGAAACATCCCTACTGGCTTTGAGCCAATCCCAATAGGGGAGACAGGGCAGCAGAAGCAGGGTGCTTAATTCCCCATTCTATGTTGCCATGCTGGGCTTCCATGTTCCACAGGGATTTTGTCAGTCCTTTGCTGCACTCCAGCACTCTCCCTCAGATACTACAGTCAAATTGTCATTGTTTACCTATTGTTTTGCTATCTTTTTTTGTGGAGGGAGGGAATGAGTGCCAGACACATTTAATCAGTCATCTTGCTGATGACATTCTATTTCTTTGTTAATGAGATTGAATATTTTTTCTACATATATTTTTCTCTTGTATTTTTTTTTGTAGCAACTTGTTTTTGCATGTGGTTTACACCTTTTTAAACTGGTTGTTAATTCTTTTAATTTAATTTGCTTCATTCCTAATATTCCCCATTCTATATGGTCCTAATATTATGTAAGATGAAGTCACACAGTTTTCTAGGAGATAAGCTACAAATATTTTCTTAGTCAATGGGTGCATACATGTAGCACAACAATAAGCAGAACAGAAAAGACAGCACAAATATGCTAGTATATACTGTATTATCTACACAGCTTTGACAGAACTCATCTGGGAATAATACACAGGCAGTGTCTAGAAGCCTTTTTAACATTTAATCTCAAATTAACCATTTAGTAAATGTATCAGAGAAAACTAGATGTTCTCCAAAAGTCCTGTTCTTCTTTCCATAATAGACAATTGTTGCAGGTAAACAGTTTTTTGGTCAGGGATTACATTTTGCAGTTTTATTTGAAGCTAGATTTTGACATGTAATTACATTCTAATCAATGGAATCTTAGAGGATGTGATGTGTTTAACTTCTATGCCTGACCCACTAAAGCCTCCCATGTGAGAATGATTTTCCCCTTTGATGGCTGGATATCTATCCTTAGGGCAAGTTTGAAAGCCATTTGTTAAAGTTGGAAGAGCCTCCATCCACCAGAGTCCCGAATGACTACATGAAGCTCAGCACCCCCTCCTTAATCAGTAATACCAGCACTGGACTTTTACATGAGTGAGAAATAAGTTTCTATCTTGTAAAGCCACTAAAATTTGGGATACTATATTTTTTATAAGAACTAGCAACACTATAGCTTTATCCATCTCAAATTCTAAAGTATCTTTTTATTGTGTCACAAACATCTCTCAAATTTTTCCTCAGATGTTTATTCCAGGTGAAAGCAACTAGAACCAGGGTAGCTGTGATTTTACTTAGGTAGTTCTTACTTTGCTCTTTTGCAATATAAATATATTTCGGTTACCAGGTTTGGTTAAATAACAACATTCCCCCAACAATATGGTTCAAGCTTCAGTTACCATGAAATCGTTTATTATCCATTAGCAAATGCATACAGTACAAACTTTGCTTTTATCCCTTTATACCAAAAGTCACTAGATAAATAACATATGTACATCATGCTCAGTGGCTAATCAGATCACTTTTTTCAAATTTTGACAGTAATTTGTAACTGCATAGCTGTTATTTGGTTCATGAATAAGAACAGAAAGCCACTTATCGCTGGCTGAAAAAGTGTTAAATTCTACTTTAGATTGAAGAATGCCATAAAAAGTAAATCTCAATGAGTTAGGCTATGATTAAAGACAAAAAATATAATTTAGTTGCCACCTTGAAAGAAAACGGTAATTCCAAGGAGGCTGAAGAATAATGTCATACTGCCATTAAAAGGTGGTTTCATCCTTTCCGAAATCAGCATGGATTGATTAATGTTGAGCTATTTAGTGAGGCTGCTGGTACATATAAGAACATTGCTACACAATGTGCACCTGGATTATGATGGACATATATATTTAATGTTCATTAGACAAGTGTTTTTTAAATGCAATCCAAAGCACTTATAAGATGAAAAACATAGGTTTGTGAAATGGCTATTAAAGAGTTAAAAATTACTTATCAAAAGGTGATACAGACTGATTTATGTCACTCCTAATTCATCTGATAAAGTCCTGACATCCAGGGCCACAGAACATAATGATATTTAAAGATAGAACCATTCAACAGATAATTAAGATAAAATGAGGCCTTTAGGATGAACCCTAATTGGATCTCACCGGTGTTCTGATAAAAAGAGATTTGGACATACAGAGATACATCAGGGGTATGCACAAAGAAAAGGCCGTGGGATGACACAGAGAGAAGGTGGTCATCTACAGGCCAAGCAGAGGGGTCTCAGGAGAAATAACATATGCTGAAATATTTGTTTTGGACTTACAGCCTCCAGAACTGTGAGAAAATTAATTTCTGTGGTGTTTTGTTATGGCAGTCCTAGCAGAAAAATAAACTACCAAAGACAACATTATGAATCCAGACAAAGGAGTTTGATATATATATATCAAAATATATAGTCTATTATCTAAGGTAAACTTTCTGACAGGCCATTGAAGCTATACTTGGATATCATGTAATTTGTTTAGCTGAATTTTTGGAAAAAATATAAAACAAAGAATTGCATTGAAAATATTCAAGCATCAGGGAAGGAAGCAACAGGAGTAATATTCATGCAGTATGACAGAAATTTTTACCTTACAGGGCAAAAAACTGTGGGATTCAAATAAAGATAAATGGAGTCATAGAAGAAATAGCTCACTGTGAGAATGCTGACACTACCAATGTTCAAGAGACTCTAGATATGATGCCGGAAGAACTCAGTGGAGGCAAACTTATCAATATTAATAGGAAAAGTGTTTGTGATGAAAAGAATGAAGATACCTCACAGGTAGTGACATGGGAAAGAAGAAAAGAAGCTTGGAATTAAAGGAATTCATAGTAATATTACATGACATTGAAATTATAATGGTAAAATGGACAAAAGGTTAAAATTACTGTTGAAAACTGATCCAAATTTAGAAAGGAGCATGACAATTTTGCCTAAGCCTACTAAAGTTTTTCACTCTGTTGTAAGTTATGTTTAGAAGAAGGCAAGCAATGTTCAAATTATGCTTGATAACTTTTATTACAAGAAAAGTTTCTAATGTTTTAAAATGTGTAATAATTTAATTACTAGTTTTTCTCTTTTTCAATTCCCTATACATTTATAACTAAAAGTAAGACAGTTTTTAATGTTTTAACAAAATTTTTAAAGGCCATAGAACAATGTGATTAATTTTTCTCATTAATTCCTAAGGTTGCTTTGCAGTTTCAACTTGCATGATCATTAATATAGTCCCACATTAGAGTGTAAAGTGAAAACTCCCTGAATGTTATTTCATTTGTATATGATATTTTTCATTGTATTAGCATTTAACTGAAGAGAAAGGCTTGAAGTTGAAAGTATAATTGGGAGTTGGCCCAGGTACAATTTTGACTCAGTTGCATCACGTGCTCCATTTACTCTTTCATCACCTCATATTTATAATCAAATATTAATTTACAAATTTGTAATTTTATTTTATGTGTATGTCTTTTAAGTTTTTGGTGACATGTAGACAGCTCTCTGAATTCACTGATTTAAAACAGTTTAAATTTTGGTAACTAGCCGTGATACTTTAATCTCCTCTAGAATGACATATTTTCTTGCTGGTAAATACTACTTTCTCATTCAATATTTCCTCACCTTTAAAATTAATCTTTTACTTCTCAGTTTATTTATTTTTTCCTTCCTATATACAAACAAAATAATAGGAATATATGTTATTATTATTATTATTAGTTCTTTATACCAAATCATTTTAAATATAAATATTGCCAATACCTGCTCCCAAATGGGACATTTTCCTTACCAGGTTCAACTGTTAACAGTCAGTTGCAAAAACTTTTTATGCCTAAGAATACCTTTCACCATTTATTAAATAGGGAATCCCTTCCCCATTGCTTGTTTTTCTCAGGTTTGTCAAAGATCAGATAGTTGTAGATATGCGGCATTATTTCTGAGGGCTCTGTTCTGTTCCATTGATCTATATCTCTGTTTTGGTACCAGTACCATGCTGTTTTGGTTACTGTAGCCTTGTAGTATAGTTTGAAGTCAGGTAGTGTGATGCCTCCAGCTTTGTTCTTTTGGCTTAAGATTGACTTGGTGATGCGGGCTCTTTTTTGGTTCCATATGAACTTTAAAGTAGTTTTTTCCAATTCTGTGAAGAAAGGCATTGGTAGCTTTATGGGGATGGCATTGAATCTGTAAATTACCTTGCACATATACACCATGGAATACTATGCAGCCATAAAAAATGATGAGTTCATGTCCTTTGTAGGGACATGGATGAAATTGGAAATCATCATTCTCAGTAAACTATCACAAGAACAAAAAACCAAACACCACATATTCTCACTCATAGGTGGGAATTGAACAATGAGATCACATGGACACAGGAAGGGGAACATCACACTCTGGGGACTGTTGTGGGGTGGGGGGAGGGGGGAGGGATAGCATTGGGAGATATACCTAATGCTAGATGACGAGTTAGTGGGTGCAGCGCACCAGCGTGGCACATGTATACATATGTAACTAACCTGCACAATGTGCACATGTACCCTAAAACTTAAAGTGTAATAATAATAAAAAAAGAATACCTTTCACTTATTTTAAAGTAAGTACGTGTATTTATTTCCCAGTGTATTAATTATCTCTTCTTAATTTAAATGTCTTGCTAGTTGAATACCTAAAAAAAAGAATGGCAATTTCTCTTGATTTCATTGCATTTCAGTGCACTCTGATGTACCAAAAATAAGGTACCTATAAGGAGCATTTAAAATGGCCTGTAAGACCATATTGCAGTTATCTCATAAGCTTTATGTTTTTCTGACTCATTTTTTGGAGATATAATCCCTTGAATTATCCAATGTTTATATAACATTGCATTATGTTCCTCCTGCCATAGTTCTTACAGATTTCCAGAATTAAGAAATACTATGTCTAATAACCTGAACTCATGTTTTATTTCTGCAGTCCTCTCCTCCAATCTACCTCAACTTATTTGGTCATTCACTACCTACACTTTGTAATTAAGAAAAACTGTCATCCTTTCATTATCTTAACTTCCTGTATCCCATTTTTAATCTACCTCTTCCTATGGTTTTGCCTTCATTACATTTTAAACCTCATTTCAACAATCCTTAGAAATTACACTATATTGATCCCACCTCACTTTTAGTATCCATCATGCTCTCCCTTCCCTCATTATTAAAATGAAATTCACTTGTCAAACATAATAATTATTCCCTTAAATATAACTGATCACTCTCTCCTTCTTTCTTTCTCTCTATGTGTCTCATCTTTGAATTTCCTTTATAAGACTTCAACCCTAGTTGAATCAACCCATCCACCTTTTTCATATTCCTACTCAAAAAGATGAACACTCCTTCCTCATCTTTAGTCTCAGCTGATACTTTTGCTTTATTTGTACACAATATTTCTTCACCCAGGTATTACATATAGTACCTATTAGTTATTTTTTCCAACCCTCTCTCTTCTCCCACCTTCTAACCTCAGATAGGTCCCAGTGTCTGTTGCTCCCTTCTATGTGTTCATAGATCCATTCATGTTTCTGCAAAGGACATGATCGCATTCTTTTATATGACTGCATAGTATTCTATGGTGTATATGTACAACATTTTCTTTATCCAGTCTACCAGTGATGGACATTTTGGTTGATTCCATGTCTTTGCTATTGTAAATAGTGCTGCAGTGAACATACACATGCAAGTGTCTTCATGATAGAACACTTTATATTCCTTTGGGTATATACCCAGTAATGGGATTTCTCAATAAAACAGTAATTCTCTTTTTAGCTCTTTGAGGAATTGCCACATTGCTTTCCATAATGATTAGAATAATTTACACTATCACCCAAAGTGTATGTGTTCCTTCTTCTCTGCACCTTTCCAGCATCTGTTATTTTTTGACTTTTAAATAATAGTCATTTTGACTGGTGTGAGATGGATCTCATTGTGGTTTTGATTTTCATTTTTCTAGTGATCAGTGATGATGATCATATGCCTGTTGACCACATATGCCTGTTGATTCTTTCTACCCATGAATATGGAATGTTTTTCCATTTGTCCACATCATCTCTGATTTGTTTGAGCACTGTTTTGTAGTTCTTATTGTGGAGATCTTTCACTTTCCTGGTTTGCTGTATTCCTAGGTATTTTATTCTTTTGGGGGCAACTGTGAATGTAATTTTGTTCCTAATTCGACTCTCACCTTTACTACTGTTGATGTACAGGAATCCAGGAATCCTAGTAATTTTGGTACATTAATTTTGTTTCCCGAGACCACTGAATTTATTAGCTAAAGGAGCTTTTGGGCTGAGACTATGGAGTTTTCTAGATATAGGATCATGTCGTCTGCAAACAGGGATAGTTTTACTTCCTCTCTTCCTATTTGGATGCCCTGTATTTCTTTATGTTGACTGATTACTCTGGCCTGGATTTCTAATACTATATTAAATAAGACTCGTGACAGAGGACATCCTTGTCTTGTGCTGGTTTTTAGAGGAATTGTTGCAGCTTTTGCCCATTTAGTATGATGTTGACTGTGGGTTTGTCGTAAATGGCTCTTATTATTTTGAGGTATGTTCCTTTAATAACTAGTTTATTGAGAGTTCTCAATGTGATGGGGTGTTGAATTTCATTGAAAGCCTATTATTATGCATCTATTGAGATAATCATTTGGATTTTGCCTTTAGTTCTGTCTATGTAATGAATCATATTTATTGATTTGCATATTTTGAACCAACCTTGCATCCCAGGAATAAAGCCTACTTAATCATGTTGAATAAGCTTTTTCGTATGCTGCTGGATTCAGTTTGCCAGTATTTTGTTGAGGATTTTTTTCATCAATGTTCATCAAGGATATTGGCTTGAAGTTCCTTTTTGCTGTTGTCTTGCTGCCAGGTTTTGGTATCAGGATAATGCTAGCCTCATTGAATGAGTTAGAGAGGAGTCCCTCGTCCTCAATTTTTTGAAATATTTTCAACGGAAATGGTACCAGCTTTTCTTTGTACATCTGGTAGAATTCAGCTGTGAATTTCTCTTGTCCTCAGCTTTTTTTGGTTGGTAGGCTATTTATTACTGACTCAATTTCAGAACTCATTATTTGTCTGTTCAGTGATTCAATTTCTTCCTGGTACAGTTTTAGGGGGTTTATGTGTCCAGAAACTTATCTATTTCTTCTAGATTTTCTAGTTTATGTGCACAGAGGTTTTCATAATATTCTCTGATGGTCATTTGTAATTCTGTGGGGTCAGTGGTAATATCTCTTTTGTCATTTCTAATTGTGTTTATTTAGATCTTATCTTTTTTTCTTTTTTATTAGTCTAGCTAGTGGTCTATTTTATTAACTTTTTCCCAAAAAGAGTCTTGGTTTTTTTCATCCTTTGAATGTTTTTTTCATGTCTCAATCTCCCTCAGTTAAACTCTGATATCATTATTTTTTGTCTTCCTCTAGCATTGGGGCTGAATTTCTCTAGGATCTCTAGTTCTTTTAGTTGTTTTATTAGGGTGTCAAATTGAGGGTTTTTTTTAACTTTTTGATTAGGGCATTTAATGTTGTAATTTTCCCCTTAACACTGCCTTAGCTGTGTTCCAGAGATTCTGATATGTTGTCTCTTTCTTCTCAATAATTTCAAATAACTTTTTTTTTTTTTTTTGACGGAGTTTCACTCTTGTTGCCCAGGCTGGAGTGCAGTGGCGCAATCTTGGCTCACTGCAACCTCTGCCTCCTGGGTTCAAGCGATTCTCCTGCCTCAGCCTCCTGAGTAGCTGGGATCGCAGGCGCCTGCCACCACGCCTGGCTATTTTTTTGTATTTTTAATAGAGACAGGGTTTCATCATGTTGGCCAGGCTGGCCTCAAACTCCTGACCTCAGGTGATCCACCCGCCTTGGCCTCCTAAAGTGCAGGGATTGCAGAACTTCTTTATTTCTGCCTTAATTTTATTATTTACCCACAAGTCATTCAGGAAAGCAAATTATTCAATTTCCATGTAACTTTATGGTTTTCAGCAATTTTCTTAGTCTTGACTACTAACTTGATTGTGCTGAAGTCCAAAGAGTGGTTGTTATAATTTCAATTTTTTGCATTTGCTGAGGAGTGCTTTATGTCTGACTATGTGATTGATTTTAGAGTATGTACCATATGGCAATGAGAAGAATGTATATACTCTGGTTTCAGGGTGAAGAATTCTGTAGATATCTATCATGTCCATTTAATTCAGTGGTGAGTACAGGTCCTGAATATCTGTGAATTTTCTCCCTCAATCATCTGCCTGGTAATGCCAGTGGGGTGTTGAAGTCTCTCACTATTATCATGTGGGAGTTTAAGTCACTAAGGTCTGTAAGAACTTGTTTTATGAATCTGGTTGCTACTGTGTTGTGTACATATATATTTAGGGTAGTTGGGACTTCTTGTTGAATACAACCCTTTACCAATAGGTAATGCCCTACTTTGTATTTTTTTTTATCTTTGTTGATTTGAAGCCTGTTTTGTCTGAAATTAGGATTGCAAACTTGGATTTTTTTTCCATTTGCTTGGTAGACTTTTCTCCATCTCTTTGTATGTGTGTCTTTGCATGTGAGAGGTCTCTTGAAGACAGCATGCCAATGGGTCTTGGTTCCTTATCCAGCTTACCACTGTGTGTTTTATAATTGGGACATTTAGCTCATTTATATTCAAGGCTTGTATTGATATGTGTAGATTTGATCCTGTCATCATGATGTTAGCTAGTTATTATGCAGACTTGTTTGTGTGGTTGCTTTTTAGTGTCACTGCTCTGTGTACATAACTTTGTTTCTGTAGTGGCTAATAATGGTTTTTAGTTTCCATATTTAGTACTTTCTTTAGGATCTCTTGTAAAGCATGTCTGGTGTTAACAAACTTCTTCAGCATTTGCCTCTCTGAAAATAATGTTATTTCTCTTTCTCTTCTGAAGCTTAGTTAGGCCTGACATGAAAATCCTAGTTGGAATGTCTTTTCTTTTAGAATGTTGAATATTGGCTTCTGCTGAGAGGTTTGCTGTTAATCTGATGAGCTTCCCTTTTAGTTGAGCTGTTGTTTCTCTCTAGTTGCCTTAAACTTTTGTTATTTTCATTTTGACATTGAATAATCTGATAATTACATGTTTTGGGGATGATCATCTTGTGAAGTATCTTACTGAGGTTCTCTGCATTTCCTGAATTTGAATGTTGGCCTCTCTAGCTAGGTTGGAGAAGTTCTCCTGTGTGATATTCTGAAATCTGTTTACCAAGTTGCTTCCATTCTCTCCATCTCTCTAGTGGACACCAATGAGTCATGGATTAGATCTCTTTACATAGTCTCTTATTTCTCAGAGGTTTTATTTATTCCTGTTCAATCTTTTGTTTCTGTTTTTGTCTAACTGTCTTATTTCAGGAAGCCAGTCTTCAAGCTCTGAGAGTCTGTCCTCAGCTTGGTCTATTCTGCTATTAATACTTGGGATTGCATTATGAAATCCCTGTGGGGGGGATTTCAACCCTGCCAGATTGGCTATGCTTTTTCTCTACTGGCTATTTTGCCTTTTTGCTCCTGTGTCATTTTATTGTGACTCTTAGCTTCCTTGGATTGGGTTTCAGTGTCTTTCTGCATCTCAGTGATCTTCGTTCCTATCCATATTCTGAATTCTATTTGTGCCACTTCAGCCATCCCAGCCTGATCCAGAACTCTTGCTGGAGAGCTAGTGTAGTAATTTGGAGGAAAGAAGGCACTCTGGCTATTTGAGTTGTCAGAGTTCCTGTGCTGATTCTTTCTCATCTTTGTGAGCTGATTCCTTCAATCTTTGAAGTTGCTGCCCTTTGGAATTTTTTTTCTTTTATCCTATTGGATGACCTTGAGGATTTTCTTGTGGTATAAGTTGGGTTCAGCCAACTGGCTTTGTTTCTAGAAGATTTTAAGAGGCTCAGCTCACATCTCTTGGTCTGTGTGCTCTAACTCTGGTGGGCTAATATTGGGCCCTGACTTTGTTCTCTGGCTCCATGAGGTTAGAAACCCAATGTGCTGGTGGGGCCAAGATGTTCCCAGACCTCTAGTTCCAGCACTTCCATGGGTAGTACCAACAAAAGCATTTCTTAGGGTGTTGGTAGCAGATCTATCCTCATTTGCACTTGCCAGTGGCAGCAGCAGCACTGCAGGGTGCACACTCATGTCTGTGGCAGGTTGCTAGTGGGTGTTTGGAAACACCCAGTCTCTGCATGGGCATCTGGAGCAGTGTTAGAGACAGCACAGCTTACAGGGGGTGGTGGGAACCCACTGGCACCTGTGCCTGCAGTCATGCTGGTGCAGGTGTTAGTCTATGTGTGGGGCACTGGCAGCCACAGGACTGTATGTGCTCTCTGTGCATGTTCACACAGGCAGACATGGTCACTCAGGGCAGGAGAAAATCCACTGTTCCCTGTGCCTAGTTTGCCTCTGGTGGCTGTGTTGGCACAGTAATGGGACATGGCAGAAGGGCAGAGCTGGCAGGCTCTATTCCTGATGAAATACCCACTGCAATGGCAGTATGGTGGGGGAGGAGTGGCAGAGTGCACTCCTTCAGGCAGCAGTGGCAGAGCAGGGTGCACACACAAAAAAGTGCTAGAGGGGCAGGGAAAGCAAAATCCATCTGTGTTTACATGCCCCAGCAAAGCAACGTGGGTGATGGTCATAGGCCCAGGGGCACCTAGAGTGGAAGGGGGGAGTGGGCAGGCTGGTGCATGACCACAGGGATCACCCCACTGGAGCTTTCCACTGGTCAGGTGCAGTCGGCCGGCCCAGGAGATATGATGTGGTCCCCTAGGGCACCTGAGGTTGCACTGCAGGCAGGCACTGACAGGCTGTCTTTCTTCCAACCATGCTCAGTGCCTTCCCTGTGAAGATCTGTTAGGAGTGCAAAAGTCATCCTGATCTTTGGTGGCAGCTGTTCCACCTAGTTATGTCTAGTTGGCCATCTTGCCCAGATACTTTTGCTTTAATTTGCACTGAGAAAATAAAATAAACGCAGTCAAGAGATATTTCCTAGCAGCCCTCATCACTTCTACCCACCTACCAGAATTATTCCTCACTTACTCTTTATTTCCTGTGACTAATATGAAAAAAATGTTCATGATTCTTGTTAAGACCGATCACTCCACTTGAGCATTAGGTACTACAACTGTTGCTGTTTCCTCAAGGCTATCTTCACAACTATTTCTTTCTGTCTTGCAATCATTTATAATTATGCACTGCATCATTCTCTCCATTGGTTTATGTGTCTGTTTGGTATGAGCACCATGCTGTTTTGATTACCGTAGCCTCGTAGTATAGTTTGCAATCAGGTATTGTGATGCCTCCAGCTTTTTGCTTTGTAATTTTTGCTGAATAGCCTTGGCCATTCAACCTATTGCTTGGTTCCTTATGAATATAAAAACAGTTTCTTCTAATTAAGTAAAGAATGTTATTGGGAGTTTGATGGGAATAGCATTGAATCTGTAAATTGCTTTGGGCTGTATGGGCATTTAAAAAATATTGATTCTTCCCATCCATGAGAATGGAACTTTTTTTATTTGTTTGTGTTATCTCTGATTTCCTTAAGCAGTGTTTTGTAATTTTCACTATACATATCTTTCATCTCCTTGGTTAGCTGTATTTCTAGGTCTATTATTCTTTTTGTGGCTATTTCAAATGGGATTGCATTATTGATTTGGGTCTGGGCTAAGATGTTGTTGGTGTATAGGAATGCTATTAATTCCTCAAGGATCTAGAGCTAGAAATACCATTTGATCCAGCCATCCCACTACTGGGTATATACCCAAAGAGTTATAAATCATGGTGCTATAAAGACACATGCACACGTATGTTTATTGTGGCACTGTTCACAACAGCAAAGACTTGGAACCAACCAAAATGTTCACCAATGACAGACTGGATTAAGAAAATGTGGCACATATACAGCATGGAATACTATGCAGCCATAAAGAAGGATGAGTTCATGTCCTTTGTAGGGACATGGATGAAGCTGGAAACCATCATTCTCAGCAAACTGTCACAAGGACAAAAAACCAAACACCACATGTTCTCACTCATAGGTGGGAATTGAACAATGAGAACACTTGGACACAGGAAGGGGAACATCACACACCGGGGCCTGTTGTGGGGTGGGGGGAAGGGGGGAGGAATAGCATTAGGAGATATAGGAGATATACCTAATGTAAATGACGAGTTAATGGGTGCAGCACACCAACATGCCACATATATACATATGTAACAAACCTGCATGTTGTGCACATGTACCCTAGAACTTAAAGTATAATAAAAAGTTTTTTCATACAATGATTTTGTATCTTGAAAATTTGCTGAAATTTTTTTATCAGATTGATGAGCTGTTGAACAAGACTATGGGGTTTTCTTGATATAGAACCATATCATCTGCAAACAGGATTATTCAACTTCTTTTATTCCTATTTGGATGCCTTTTATTTCTTTCTCTTCCCTGATTGCTCTGCCAGGACTTCCAGTACTATGCTAAATATAAATGGTGAGAGAAGGCATCCTTGTCTTCTGCCAGGTTTCTAGGGGAATGCTTCCAGCTTTTGTTCATTCACTATAATGTTGATTGTGGGTTTGTCATACATGGCTCTTATTAAAGAATGTTTCTTCAATGCCTGATTTCTTGAGGGTTTTTCACATGAAGGGATGTTGAATTATTCTAAAATCCCTTTCCGCATCTATTGAGATGATCATGTGTTCGTTATTTTTTTTAAGTTTCCTTTATGCGGTGAATCATTTATTGATTTCCATATGTAGAGCCAGGAATGAAGCCTAATTGATCACAGTGGATTCATTTTTTGATATGCTGCTGCATTCCATTTGCCAGTATTTTGTTAAATATTTTTATATCACTGTCGATCAAGGATATTGGCCTGAAGTTTTCCCTTTTTGTTGTTTTTCTGCCGGTGCACTGACAAGACAGCACTGGCATGGTGGGGTGCATGTGCACACAGGTACCAGCTGGGAAGAGAAGTTAAAGTCTGCCCTTGCAAAGTAATGTGGGGGGTGGCTGGAAATGAGTGCTTGCTGGCAAAAAAACATGAGGGAGTCTGTGATGGATGGAGGGCACAGGAGGGCTGGTGTGCACCAGCAGGGGCTGCTCCACTGGAGCTTTCTGATGGTCAAGTCTGGCCTATCAGTGCAGGAGCTATGATGTCTGACTTTGAGAGGCATCCTGGCCGGGCACAAGGCTGCACTGCAAGCAGGCATGGCCAGGCTGGGGCCCTGGTTGAGGGCAGCAGATAGAGGGGTGCTGAGGTTGACCACTTCTTATGGGCAAGATTGCCATGCACTGTTAAGGTCTGACAGTTCCCCTAAGGTTAAAGTCTCCTAGGGAACAAAGCAAACCTTGGGGGATGGGCATCCCTGGCTTTGCTGCCCTACAGACACTCTCACACCAAACCCTCTGGGCTCCAAACTAGCTGAAGTTTTGCCCCTAACACCTCTCTAAGCAACTCTCCCTGCCAGGTCAAGTGTCTGTAAGGGGTTGTGGGATCTCCTTCTGCCAGGATTCCAGATGTCCATAGCAAGAGTTTGCTGCTCCACACCTGCTCAAATCACCCCTTTCCCAGGAGTTGTTGGAAGCCATGGATGAGTCCCAATGCACAGTAGCTTTATGCCAATCTTTTCTTACAGTTTCATTCTCTCTGCTAAAGAGAGAATACATGCCGTCAACCTTTTCCACTAGAACCTATAGCATATTAATCATTTGTTTTACATTTCATGCTTGATAGTTTCAACATCTGTTTCATATCTGAATCACATTCTGTTCATCGCTTTTACTTTTGGCAGTGCTTTGTTTTGTTTAGTTTGCCTTTTTTATATGCCTCAGTTCTTTTATAGTGTTGAAAACTGGACATCATACATGGAAAAGTTATGACTGAGGTAAATATTGTATGCCTAGAAATGAGCACGCTTTAAAAAAGAAATTAAAAAACTTTGCTAGGCATTTAGTGTGGAGCTTTGAACCAATCTAATCAGTAGTTGAGCTTAGTTTGGGTTTTGCTGTTGCTATATTTTCTCTCATTGTGACACAATCTTTAAATTCTTTAGTGTTACCTTGTGTTTTGTGTAGTAGCTGGTTTTCCAGAAGATTTTAAAAAATATCTGCTCCACCTTCAGCTTCAAGTCTTTTTTTTTTTGTACTGTGCTTCAGAGATGATCTCTGAGCAGCAGTAGAGTGCTGCTATTCCTTAGGCTGGTAATACCAACATGGGGAACAATTATTGTTAAGATTAAGCCTCAGTTTAGACAGGCACAGTGTCCCTAATCTTGGCAGTGGAACTTTTCAGTGATCGTGATCCTTTCCTGTCCCAAGCTGTTGGTTTGGGCCCAACACTCTTTCTACCCCTTGCCCAGGGGTAGATATTTTTGTTTATTTATTCATTTTCATTTCTTTTTTTATGTTAATTTTCCTCAGTTGCAAAGTGTTTTTATATTTATTTAGAGGGGGCATAGTCTCCTCTTCATTCTTCCTGTTATCTTAAGAATTCTGTTTCATAGGAGAAATGGAGAAGAATACAAGTGAGGCTTTGTGCCTTTTCCACGACAGCTGCTGTAACCTTTCCTTAAGCCTGCACTAAGAGAGATAATTTCTGAAGACTCCTTGTCCCCATTCTTGTTTGTGAACACCTAGTGAGGTCAGTAGAGAAGAATATGTGATTTGGTGCAAATTATCCTTGTATCTGCAACCCCTCGGAGGTAATGTATTCTCTCTCTGGTCTACCCTCAGCCTGTAGCAATACATTAAAAAATAAAATTTTTAAGAGTGTCTGGAAGCCTTTGTTCCAGGTAGGTAAGGGCTTTAGCCTTTTCACAGATTTCAAGTTATTTTCCCGTGACCTCAGCTCTATCATGAGTTCAAGACGTGTTGTAAATTTGTAGATTGGCTGGCTTTTTTTTCTCCTTCTACCTCCCCGCCCTTCTGCTTTTCCTTCTCTTCCTGTTCCCTCACTTCTTCCTTCTACTACTTTTTTTTTTTTTTTTTTCTTGAGATGGAGTCTAGCTCTGTCACCAGGCTGGAGTGCAGTGGCGCGATCTCAGCTCACTGCAACCTCCACCTCCTGGGTTCCAGCAATTCTCCTGCCTCAGCCTCCCAAGTGCCTGGGACTACAGGCACGTGCCACCAAGACCAGCTAATTTTTGTATTTTTAGTAGAGATGGGGTTTTACCATGTTGGCCAAGATGGTCGCAATCTCTTGACCTCATGATCTGCCCCCCTCAACCTCCTAAAGTGCTGGGATTTCAGGCATGAGCCACTGCACCCGGCCTCTCCTTTCATTCCTTCTCCTCCTCCTTACCCCCAACCCCTGACCCTTTCATCTTGTAAGAGTGGAAGAGATCCTCTCTATCCAGCTCTCTATATTCTGTGAAAAAAATAGATCTCAGGACCCTAAGCTCACTGTTTCAAAGGAAAAGTTAAGCTTGGGAACTGAGTCACTCAATACTGTCTCCTTTTTGTTCCCAAAGAGCTGCCATTTCACAACCCTTTGTCATAACCTTATACGTAAACCATGTTACCACAATGAAAGAAGGCCATATATCTTCCCAGTTGGTCTCTCTCTTAATGTGCTCACAAGAAAAGACCTTGTGAGCCCCTAAATCTTTCAGGATACATATCTTTTCTATAAACTAGCCCTAAAATTGAGTCCTGCTAAATCTCAATCTGAGGATTTCAATTATGATCTAATCTTCACAAATACAGAGCAAGGACAAGACTGGAAATTATTTCTCCCCCTACACTGAGATGAATGCATAACTGACTTTTTCCTCTGCTCACTCTTTTCACATGCTTGCCTTATCTTATGTAAAATTGAGATGTACAGAGCCCTTATTAGAGCTTCACAAAAATGTAACCATTTGCCTCACTGCCTGCCCTCTTCATTTTTCCCTCCTGCTTGCTCTTTCCTCTTTAAATATGAAGTTCCCCATTTGAAAAGCACAGGACACAGATGCTCTTGTGACTTGTGTTTTTCCTGGGTGTATCCTCAGATTTGGGAAAATAAATAATGATCTTCTTTTAACACCTTATTTAAAACTGAACTTTCTAACCTTTGACAAGTCTTAACTTCTTTTCCTGTTTTGCTTTTTCCGTCCTTAATACCCCTAATCACCATCTAACATAGTATGTATATTACTTATTTGTTTCTATCCTCATTTTTAATTCACTAGAATGCAACCTCCACGAAGATAAGAATTTTTGTTTGTTTGGTTGTTATTCACAGTTGCATTCTTAATAAATAGAAGGGTTCCTGGCCTATAGTACGTGTTCAATAAACAGTTTTTGAATAAATAATGAATAATGGTGAATATAAATAGAAACACCCTGAAGCTTTAAGACTTGTGATTCATTGATTTTTTAAAATTATAATTTTACATTCTTTCTGAAGAGATATCATCATACTGTGATTTTCCTGAGTGTCAAATTGTGATAATTCTTCCATTTGGGGCTGCTTCATTTTATCCTTGAGTGAAAGCTCAGATGTGGGACATGCCTAAAATGAGGTAAATATGTATCTCAAAGATTGGCACACTTTTTCTGTAAAGGGACAGATAGTAAATATTTTAGTCTTTAGTCTTTGCCAGCCACATATATTTCTGGTAACTTTTTTTTGTCTTTTTAAAAATTACTCTCTTAAAATGTTAAAAATGAACAAAATGAAAAAAAACCTTAACTAAAAAGTTGCACAAAAACAGACCTAGATTTGGCACAAAGGCCATAATTTGGTGACCTTTAATCTAGACCAAGATGCTTCCAACTCGCAATTTGCTTATATGCCCATCTGCTCTGTCAGAGTAACTGCAGATGTACTCTTCAGGATCACTCATCAAACACCCAATAAAATTAGATATTTTCCTTCCTTCCAAAGGTACCCAAATCAACATCACACATTCATAATCGTTACCCATAGAACAAAGCTACATCATGCCCCATCTGTACCTTGGATCAAGTTCTCAATAGGACAGTGTTCATTCCCTGGAATCAATATTTGTACTCATATAACATTCCACAGCAATAATAAATTTTGTTCCAAATTTGTTCTCATAATTTTAAAATATGGTCAATTAAAATATATAACCACTTCTGTTTGAGCCTGAAGATGTAGAGCTGAAAATAAAGTTGGTCTCACAATTATAACATAAAAAGAGATGAATATTCTTCAAATTAATATTTTTTCTTTAATCCACTAGAGAACTGAGGTTGCAGGGCAATCAAGTAACCCCAAAACTGGAGACAGACAGGTGTCTACAAGAAGAAACAAGTCATTAATATTTGTACACCTGAGGCAGAAGTGCTAGCTGCCAGAAAAGTTTCAACAAATTGCTAAATGCTAAGTGGTCTAGCATACATGAGTATGAAGCCCGTAGTGGCTGCATATACAATCAGGTTAATACTCTCTTGCAAGTTTTTCTTTCAGCAATTCACAAGGTGCTCACAGGAAAGATCAGAGAAAATTTTGGGAAAGATTTCCAGGAGTCTTCTGAGGGGAAAACAGGAGCCGCTTTCACTACTCTGCCCAGACCCATACCTTCAATTTGCCCAATACTATAAAAATCTTAATCTGTTATTCAAGTCTTCCTACGATACTAAATTTGTAATTTAAAAATATATTTTATGCATTTGTGCTGTTTTTATAAGATAATATTTTCCTTGCTCTGTGTCTTTAAATAATTTACTTACTTATTGAGTCTACAATGTGATTATCTGTTTACTTCAGTGGATAAAATGTTTTCTTTCATCTGGATCTATGTACACTTAGACATTGTATTAGAGTTTTCTAGAGGGACGGAACTAATAGGATATATATATCCTATTAGTTATATAGATATATATCCTATATAAATATCCAATAGATATATATAATCCCATATCCTATATATATCCCATATATATATATCTCCATATATCCATAGATCATGATATATCCATATATAAGGACATATGGATATCTATGGAGATATATATATATATATATATATATATGAGAGTTAATTAAGTATTAATTCACATGATCACAAGGTCCCACAATAGGCCATCTGCAAGCTGAGGAACAAGGAGAGCCAGTCCAAGTCCCAAAACTGAAGAACTTGGAGTCCGATGTTTGAGGCTAGGAAGCATCCAGCATGGGAGAAAGATGTAGGCTGGGAGGCCAGGTCAGTCTTGTCTTTTCAGATTTTTCTGCTTGCTTTATATTCTAGCCACACTGGCAGCTGATTAGATGGTGCCCACCCAGATTTGGGGTGTGTCTGCCTTTCCCAGTCCACTGATTCAAATGTTAATCTCCTTTGGCAACACCCTCACAGACACACCCAAGATCAATACTTTGCATCCTTCAATCCAATCAAGTTGACACTCAGTTTTTATTTATTTATTTTTTTTGTTTGAGACAGAGTGTCACTGTGTCATCCAGGCTGGAGTGCAATGTTGCGATCTCGGCTCACTGCAACCTCCACCTCCTGGGTTCAAGTGATTCTCCTGCCTCAGCCTCCCAAATAGCTGGGAGTATAGGCACCCACCACCACGCCCTGCTAATTTTTGTATTTTTAGTAGACACGGGGTTTCACTGTGTTGACCAGACTGTTCTTGAACTCCTGACCTTGTGATTTGCCTGGCTCGGTCTCCCAAAGTGCTGGGATTACAGGTGTGAGCCACCGTGCCTGGCCCAGACACTCAGACAAGTCTACCCCTTGTCAACTTGAACCCATACACATCTCCTGAGATTATACATAATCTTCAAATAAAGACAATAATAAGGTCATAATTACAGTTAATGTAATACAATTATGCTATGTACAACTGAAAACGTACCAATCCCCAACCCAAATGCTATTATATAAAGTTGACAATACTTAAATGCTGACTTGAAGTCAATGAATCTTGTGTCACATGACAAAGAAAAAATGAAATAAAATGAAGATATTTTCTTAGTACAAGTGTATACATGCACAAATATGTTTTTAACAAAAGAAAGAGGTAATACTCATGACAATTAAAGTCCTCATTTCTGCAACTGGTCACGTGGCCATAGCTGGTATTTATGACTACCTTCTACTACTCATTTTTTATTCCCTTTGCATTCATCAAGCACCTCAGCAGGTCATGGGTGTTTTTTTTTTTTTCCTAGTGGAGTGACCCAAACCTTCATTCCTGAGGGGTCTGGGCCATTTGTAGTTCTGCCTGGATTGAGCAGTTGTAGTTTCCCATTGACCTTAATCACAGGGCATGGTAATACTAAGAGACACCCTGATGGATCTCCTGTATTCCCTATAAACTCTTCTTTACCTCAGTTGTGCACTAGTAGACTGATTTTATCTTGATAGTCTGGGTCAATCACCCCAGCCAACACTGTAACTCCCTTCTTAGCCTGTTGACTTAAAGGTAGGAGGAGCCCAAAGTGTCCAGGTGGCAAACTTAACTTTCAGTTTAATGGAATTGTTGTTATGTCTCCTGGTGGCTGCATTCCTCCCTCTGGAACTAAGACTTCGAGGAATATAATGTTGCAGGAACAGGAAGCAAAAATTTTGCTAGTGGATCACTAGGGGTGATGGTGAGTGGTGACACTTCCACTTCCACCCCTTGATTCCTGGACCCATGAATCCTGCCTACGAGATAAACAGTACCATATATTGGACACTGATTCAGAGCCAACATGGCCTTCTGGAGAACTTTGCCCCAGCCCTGCAAAGTATTGTCACCTAGTTGGTGTTGTAATTGTGACTTCAAACGGCCATTTTACCGTTCTATTAATCCAGCTGCTTCAGTATGATGGGGAACATGGTAAGACCAGTCAATTCTATGAGCATAAGCCCACTCTTACACTTCTTTAGCTGTAAGGTGAATGCCTTGGTCAGAGGCAATGTTGTGTGGAATACCATGACAGTGGATAAGGCACTCTGTGAGTCCACGGATGGTAGTCTTGGCAGAAGCATTGCATGCAGGATAGGCAGACCCACATCCAGAGTAAGTGTCTATTCCAATGAGAACAAACCTCTGCTCTTTCCATGATGGAAGAGGTCCAATATAATCAACCTGCCACCAGGTAGCTGGCTGATCACCCAAAGGAATGGTCCCATATTGAGAGCTCAGTGCTGGCCTCTGCTGCTGGCAAATTGAGCAGTCAGCAGGTCAGCCTTGGTGAGTGGAGGTCCATGTTACTGTGCCCATGAGTAACCTCCATTCCTGACACCATGGACATTTTGTTCATGGACCCATTGGGTGATAACAGAGATGACTGGGGAAAGAGGCTAAACAGTGTTCACAGAATGGGTCATCCTCTCCATTTGATTATTAAAATCATCATCTGCTGAGGTCACCTGTTAGTGAGTACTCACAAGGGATACAAATATCTTCACAGTTTTTGACCACTCAGAGAGGTCCATCCACATACCACTTCCCCACATTTCTTTGTCACCAATTTTCCAGTCATGCTTCTTTCAAGTCCCTGACCATCCAAACCAAACCATTAGCTACAGCCCATGAATTGGTATATAATCGCACATATGGCCATTTCTCCTTCCATGCAAAGTGCACAACCAGGTGCACTGCTTGAAGTTCTGCCTACTGGTAAGATTTCTTTTCACTGCTGTCCTTCAGGGATGTCCTAGAAAGGGGCTGTAGTGCTGCAGCTGTCCACTTTTGGATTGTACCTGCATATCGTGCAGAACCATCTGTGAACCAGGCCCTAGTCTTGTCTTCCTCTGTCAACTGATCATAGGGAACTCTCTATGAGGCCATCGGTGCAGGCTGGGGGAGAGAAGGCGGAGCTCCAGGAATGGATATCATAGGCATTTGAGCCATTTCCCCATGTAACTTACTTGTGCTTTCAGGGCCTGCTCGAGCCCAATCATGTATATTCCACTTCCATTTGATGATGGGATGCTTCTTTGCACACCCCACTTTATGGCTAGATGGGTCAGAAAGCACCCAGTTTATGATAGGAAGTTCAGGTTGCATAGTGACTTGATGATCCATAGTCAAGCATTCAGTTTACACCAAAGCCCAGTAACAGGCCAAGAGCTGTCTCTCAAATGGAGAGTAGTTATCTGCAGAAGATGACAGGGCCTTGCTCCAAAATTCTGTAGGCCTCCATTGTGATTCACCTATGGGGGCATGCCAGAAGCTCCAAACAGCATCCCTGTCTGACACCGACACCTCAAGCGCAATTGGATATGCTGGGTCATATAGCCCAAGTCACAGAGTTGCCTGGACCTGTTTCAGAGCCTTCTTCTGTTCTGGACCCCACTCAAGACTGGCAGCCTTTTGGGTCACTCAATAAATGGGCCAGAGTAACACATCCAAATGTGGAATATTTTGCCTTCAAAATCCAAATAGGCCCACTAGGCTTTGTGCCCTTTTCTTGGCTGCAGGAGGGGCCGAATGCAGCAAATTATCCTTCACCTTAGAAGGAATATTTTGACATGTCCCACACCACTGGACTCCTAGAAATTTTACTGAGGTAGAAGGTCCCTAAATTTCAGTCAGATTTATTTCCCATCTTCTGGCATGCAAAAGTCTCACCAATAAGTCCTGTGTGTTTGCTACTCCTTTCTCACCTGATCCAATCAGCATAAGGTCAACAATGTAATGGACCAGTGTGATATCTTGTAGAAGCAAAATATGACCAAGGTCTCTCTGAATAAGATTGTGACACAAAACTGGAAAGTTGATATACCCTTGAGGTAAGACAGTAAAGGTATATTGCTGGCTTTGCCAGCTGAAGGCAAATTGCTTCTGGTTGGCCTTATGGACAGGAATGGAGTAAAGGTGTTTGCCAAGTCAATGGCTGCATACAAGGTACCAGGAGATGTGTTAATTTGCTCAAGCAATAAAACCACATCTGATACAGCAGCTGCAATTGGAGTCATCACTTGGTTAAGCTTACAATAATCCACTGTCATTATCCAAGATCCATTTGTCTTCTACATTGGCCAAATGGGAGAGTTGAATGGGGACGTTTTGGGAATCACCACCCCTGCATCTTTCCAACCCTTGATTGTGGCACTGATCTCTGCCATCGCTCCAGGGATGTGGTATTGTTTTTGATTTACCATTTTTCTAGGTATGGGCAGCTCTAATGGCTTCCATTTGGCCTCTCCCACCATAATAGCTTTCACCCTAAAAGTCAGGGAGCCAAGGTAGGGGTTCTGTCAGCTGCTAAGTATGTCTATGCCAATTATGCATTCTGGCACTAAGAAAATGACCACAGGATGAGTCTGGGTACCCACTGGACCCACTGTAAATCAGGCCTGAGCTAAAATCCCATTAATTATCTGACCTCCATAAGCCTGACCTTTAACTGGAGGACCACAATGACGTTTTGGGTCCCCTGGAATCAATGTCATCTCAGAGCCAGTGTCCAATAGTCTCTGAAATGTCTGATCATTTCCCTTTCTGCAATGCACAGTTACCCTGGGAAAAGATCAGAGGTCTCCTTGGGAAAGAAGGGGAGAAAGATTAACAGCATAAATAGTAGCATAGAAGGGTCTTTCCTCAAAGGGACCTAGCCTTCCCTTCATTCAAGGGGTTCTGCATCTGTAAACTGGCTCAAGTCTGGAAATTGATTGAGAGGCCATGATCGCCTGTTTCTATAATCCAAATTAGTCTTTTGTCCATTTGACCCAGAAGTTTTCTGCTTATATAAATTCAGTAGGAATGTAGTAAGCTTCCTATCAATTTCACTTTTAGGGTCACTGTGATTAATTAGCCAATGCCAGAGCTCTACATAAGTCAGACTATTCTGATTACTGCTTTGCCTCTGCTGTCTATTATGATAGCTACACCCATCTTGCCATTGACAGTTGAGTGCCACCACTTGACCCCTGCCACCTTGGGATCCAATAATTCCCATTGTATTTAAATTTTTTAGTTGAGTGAGTGTGGTTCCCACTCTTAGACCTGACATACAGAAAAGAATAATTACAGGGCTCTTCAAAAATGCAAGTGCTGTCCTCACAATCTATTTTGCAAAACAATGGCCAAAGATATATTTTCTGGACCCTCCCAGCTGGTATGAGTAGGTTTAAAGTGACTAATCCACTCCACAATCCCAATCTCCCTAAGCCTTTGGATCCTTTCCTCTACATTAACCCAAGAGAGATCAGGCATTTCCAGCTTGCTTACAGTGGGCCATCTTTTAATGCATATTTCAGCTAACCAAGCAAATAAATTATTAGACCCTTTTTAAACTCACTGAGCTGCCACAATAAATACAGGGTTTCTACTTAGTGGGCAAATTCAATAAATTCAGCTTGATCAACTCTACGTTTTCTCCACCATTATCCCACACCCTTAATATCCATTTCCATGCCTGTTCTCCAGATTTCTATTTATATAAATTAGAAAACTCAAGCAGTTCTTTTTGAGTGCTGCACACCTCCTCATGGGTCACACTCTGAACCTCACCTCTAGGGGCCTGCTGGGACTTGAGTCAAGTTATAGGTCTAGAAGTAAACAAGGGTATTGTGGGCAGCTCCTGGGGAGAATCAATATTATCTTGCCCGGCAACTGCCTCAGGGGAGGGCATCACTGTTGCCTCAGGGAGCAGAGGGTTAGTCTCCTCAGACAAAGGTGGGAAGGCTCATGGCAGCATGGGTCAGGGAGGGAATGTTGCCACTACCTGGGATGGGGAAGCTGTTTCTTCTGTCCAAAAAGTTCATCAGAGTTTACAAGATCAGTGTCCCCAGCTTCATCAAGGTCCCCCCAACATGTCCCCATACCAAGTTGCAGGGTCCTATTATTTTCCCATCAATGCCGTCACTTTAACTGTAGACACCTGGCGAGGTTGTACATGCACGTTTCATTTCAGGTCAGCCAATTGCATGATCAGAGCTTGTGTCTGTTTTTCCACAATTTCAGCTCTTTCTCTACAAAAGATAAGACTCTTATTCAGGGCAGTCTGAGCAGATTTGATGCTCAGTATCTGCTTCTGATGCCAGGAGTTAGAATCCCTGAGTTCATCATTTTCTTTCATCACTTTGTCCGCTGAACTTAGGAGCAACCAACCAACTTCATTATGTTCCTTGGTTCTTCACCTATGATCAAAGGTATTATGCATAGAGTCACTAAACTCCTTGCAAGTCACTAGCGGTGAATCAGGAGTTCCAAATGCATTAAATTTGCCAACTTTTTTTTTATTATTATACTTTAAGTTTTAGGGTACATGTGCACAACGTGCAGGTTTGTTACATATATATACATGTGCCATGTTGGTGTGCTACACCCATTAACTCGTCATTTAACATTAGGTATATCTCCTAATGCTATCCCTCCCCCCTCCCCCCACCCCACAACAGGCCTCTGTGTGTGATGTTCCCCTTCCTGTGTCCATGTGTTCTCATTGTTCAATTCCCACCTATGAGTGAGAACACACGGTGTTTGGTTTTTTGTCCTTGCAATAGTTTGCTGAGAATGATGGTTTCCAGCTTCATCCATGTCCCTACAAAGGACATGAACTCATCCTTTTTAATGGCTGCATAGTATTCCATGGTGTATATGTGCCACATTTTCTTAATCCAGTCTATCAGTGTTGGACATTTGGCTTGGTTCCAAGTCTTTGCTATTGTGAATAGTGCCACAATAAACATACGTGTGCATGTGTCTTTAGAGCAGCATGATTTATAGTCCTTTGGGTATATACCCAGTAATGGGATGGCTGGGTCAAATGGTATTTCTAGTTCTAGATCCCTGAGGAATCGCCACACTGACTTCCACAATGGTTGAACTAGTTTACAGTCCCACCAACAGTGTAAAAGTGTTCCTATTTCTCCACATCCTCTCCAGCACCTGTTGTTTCCTGACTTTTCAATGATCACCATTCTAACTGGTGTGAGATGGTAACTCATTGTGGTTTTGATTTGCATTTCTCTGATGGCCAGTGATGATGAGCATTTTTTCATGTGTCTTTTGGCTGCATAAATGTCTTCTTTTGAGAAATGTTTGTTCATATCCTTTGCCCACTTTTTGATGGGGTTGTTTGTTTTTTTCTTGTAAATTTGTTTGAGTTCATTGTAGATTCTGGATATTAGCCCTTTGTCAGATGAGTAGATTGCAAAAATTTTCTCCCATTCTGTAGGTTGCCTGTTCACTCTGATGGTAGTTTGTTTTGCTGTGCAGAAGCTCTTTAGTTTAATTAGATCCCATTCATCAATTTTGGCTTTGTTGCCATTGCTTTTGGTGTTTTAGACATGAAATCCTTGCCCATGCCTATGTCCTGAATGGTATGGCCTAGGTTTTCTTCTATGGTTTTTATGGTTTTAGGTCTAACATTTAAATCTTTAATCCCTCTTGAATTAATTTTTATATAAGGTGTAAGGAAGGGATCCAGTTTCAGCTTTCTACATATGGCTAGCCACTTTTCCCAGCACCATTTATTAAATAGGGAATCCTTTCCCCATTGCTTGTTTTTGTCAGGTTTGTCAAAGATCAGATGGTTGTAGATAGGCAGCATTATTTCTGAGGGCTCTGTTCTGTTCCATTGGTCTATATCTCTGTTTTGGTACCAGCACCATGCTGTTTTGGTTACTGTAGCCTTGTAGTATAGTTTGAAGTCAGGTAGCGTGATGCCTCCAGCTTTGTTCTTTTGGCTTAGGATTGTCTTGGCAATTCAGGCTCTTTTGTGGTTCCATATGAACTTTAAAGTAGTTTTTTCCAATTCTGTGAAGAAAGTCATTTCTTCTTCAAAGTAGCTTGATGGGGATGGCATTGAATCTATAAATTATCTTGGGCAGTATGGCCATTTTCACAATATTGATTCTTCCTACCTATGAGCATGGAATGTTCTTCCATTTGTTTGTATCCTCTTTTATTTCCTTGAGCAGTGGTTTGTAGTTCTCCCTGAAGAGGCCCTTCACATCCCTTGTAAGTTGGATTCCTAGGTATTTTATTCTCTTTGAAGCAATTGTGAATGGGAGTTCACTCATGATTTGACTCTCTGTTTGTCTGTTACTGGTGTATAAGAATGCTTGTGATTTTTGCACACTGATTTTGTATCCTGAGACTTTGCTGAAGTTGCTTATCAGCTTAAGGAGATTTTGGGCTGAGATGATGGGGTTTTCTAGATATACAATCACATCATCTGCAAACAGGGACAATTTGACTTCTTCGTTTCCTAATTGAATACCCTTTATTTCTTTGTCCTGCCTGATTGCCCTGGCCAGAACTTCCAACACTATGTTGAATAGGAGTGGTGAGAGAAGGCATCCCTGTCTTGTGCCAATTTTCAAAGGAAATGCTTCCAGTTTTTCCCCATTCATTATGATATTGGCTGTGGGTTTGTCATAAATAGCTCTTATTATTTTGAGATACGTCCCATCAATACCTAATTTATTGAGAGTTTTTAGCATGAAGGTTGTTGAATTTTGTCAAAGGCTTTTTCTGCATCTATTGAGATAATCATGTGGTTTTTGTCTTTGGTTCTGTTTATATGCTGGATTACATTTATTGATTTGCAGAGACAAAATAAAAACAGAGAATTTTAGACCAATATCCCTGATGAACATCAATGCAAAAATCCTCAATAAAATATTGGCAAACCGAATCCAGCAGCATATCAAAACGCTTATCCACCATGATCAAGTGGGCTTCATCCCTGGGATGCAAGCTTGGTTCAACATATGCAAATTTGCCAACTTTCTGAACAGTTCACACCAAGGACTCTCAGTGTTCTCTGTACTATTAGAAGTAGAGTCCTTAGCATTTTTTAGTCTAATAATATTAAACAGCCAACTCCAGAAACCCCAAAATGAAACAACTGTATCCTTAATATTCTGTTCCTCTAGGCCCACTCCTGGTACAAAAACCTGTATTAGTCAGGGTTCGCTGGAGGGACAGAACTAGTAAGAGATTATCTATATCTGTACCTATACCTATATCTATGTCTATTTAGATAGATATATGAGTTTATTAACTATTAACTCACACAATCACAAGGTCCCACAATAGGCTGCCTGCAGGCTGAGAAGCAAGAAGCAAGGAGAGCCAGTCGGAGTCCCAAAACTGAAGAACTTGGAGTCCAATGTTCGAGGCAAGGAAACATCTAGCATGGGAAAAAGATGTAGGCTTTGAGGCTAGGCCAGTCTTGTCTTTTCAGATTTTTCTGCCTACTTTATATTCTAGACACAGTGGCAGCTGATTAGATGGTGCCCACCCAGATTAAGGGTGTTTCTGCCTTTCCCAGTCCACTGATTCAAATGTTAATCTCCTTTGGCAACACCCTCACAGACACACCCAGGATCGATACTTTGCATCCTTCAATCAAATCAAGTTGACACTCAGTATTAACTATCACAAACATGATAAAACAAAGGTAATTGAATTTCAGTGAAACAAGTAGTTTTAAAAATTTGTCAATTGTTTGAATATTAAATGTTTCTTTAAACGGAAGCATTTAATATTTTTTCATCATTTTTATCATTTCTATTGTAATCTTACTTTTAATTTTATGCATTCAGAACTAAGATAAGTAAAATTATCCTAAATTTATCAAACATTTGGGGAAGAAAAATATATATTCATCTAAGTAATTCAATTGTAACTGTTTTTATGTGTAGGTAAGTAAGTAGAAATGAAGAACTCTGGTAGAATGGAGGAGAAAAAGACTAGTTTTGAGTAGCATTGATTAAGAAAATTTTCATGGAACATATACACTTTGAACTGAAAATTTGATTAGCATTTATGACTAGGTCTTTTGTCTTAAAGTTGAAGATATTGGATAAAATCCTAAATGGATATACCAGATCTCACAGTGCCAGCTCTTTTACAGTAAATAATTTGTTTTATGTTCCTGGTTCCTAAAACAGAACCTCTAATACTTCTGGATTTCCTGAGTGATAGAAATATCTTTGTTATTCCCGGTAGGTCACTCAGACCACACCTGAATTTATGTTAATGAGATGACTCATGATGGACCCCTAGGTAGTTGCAAGATGGGTGCCCGCCATGCTGAAAAGACCAAATGTATGATTTGAAGACTGGGCTTCTGAGCCGTGTGATATTGGTCTGACCTCCCAACCTCCAGAAAAAAGAAGGGAGTGGAGATTGAGTTCAGTCACATGGCCAACAACTCAATGAATCATGCCCAAGTAATAAGACTCTTTAAAAACTCGGGACACCTGCCGTTTGGTTGGGCATCCTGATTGGTGATACAAATCAATGTACCAGGAAGGTAATAAATTCTGAGATTACAGAAACCTTTCATTTTGGATCCTTCCAGACATTGTATATGTTTCTTAACTTGACTAATCCTAATTTGTATCCTTTTTCTTTCTTTCTTTCTTTTCTGTTTTTGAGACAAGGTTTCACTTTGTCACCCAGACTGGAGTGCAGTGGGTGATGGTAAGTAGATCACTGCAACCTTGAATCCCCTGGACTCAAGTAATCCTGTTGCCTCAACCTCCTTAGCAGCTAGGACTGCAGGCACACCACTACATCTGCTATTTTTTTTTTCTTCTTACTTATTTTTTTTTTTTTTTTTTTTTTTTTTTGTCGAGGCAAGGTTTCACTATGTAGCACAGGCTAGTCTGTAACTTCTGGCCTCAAACTATCCTCCAACCTCAGCCTCCCAAACCACTGGAAGTACAAGAATGAGCCACTGTATTCGGTATTTAATTTGATTTCTTTATAATAAAACTGTAATAGTAAGTGTAGCACTTGCCAGATTTCTATTTGCTCTAGAAAATTATAGAACCTGGGAGAAGAGCAGAAACCTCTAAATTTGTTGCCAGTTTATCAAAAGTTCAGGTGACCTCAGAAACCCGGAACTTGTGACTGGTGACTGAAGTGAGAGGAGTTTGTAAAAGACTGGGTCCTTAACCTGTGAAATTTGACCTAATTCCAAATAGTGTCAGAATTACACTGCAAAACCCATAATTAATTACTATATATTGTAAATACTATTCTAGTGCAAAATACTATATGAACAGTAGGTAAGACACCAGCCAATAGAAGCAGAGAGAGAAAATCAGAGAGAGTAAATTAGAATTATCCCTGTAGTTAAATATGAGTAGATATAGGAACTAGTCCCAAAGTGAACTCATCCACAGTCCAGTGATTGTTTCCCTACAAAAACAAACAACAAAAAATCCACCTGTTGTTAATAGAATATTCCCTTCAAATTAATTAGTTGAGTGACCAATGGTGATACAATCAGCTTCTTAGACCTAATAAAATTATTATCTCTTGGCCCAATAAAATATATGGAGTAACCAATGATTGACTCTCAAATTATTTTAAAAAAAATTCAATGAGAATAAAAGACTGAGAACTATTTCTGCAATGGAAAAGCTGCATTATATTTTTCGGTTTCATTTAGGCTGGCTGTAAAATTACATATTAGTAGAAGAAAATAATAAAACAAGTTTTGGGTATCTACATATACCTTTAGCCAGAGCTTATCATTTAATTAATTCAGCTGTTGGGTCAATAATATATTTTTAAAAGCTTTAAGGCTTCAAAACACAGACCTAGAACTGCTGAATACTGAATGTAAAAGTATGCAGCAACATATTGTAAATGCTGAAGAAAATAAAATTTTCTTCCAGGATGACTAATAAGAGTAATTTTTGAGTCATATAACAAACATAGAGATCTATCTGGTTTCTCTGAAATATATCATCTGCAACATCAATTTTTCATTTTCAGTTTCCATATACTGTAGCTTTTCTCTGAAATCCTATGAAAAGGAATATGGAAATAGCATGATAAACAGATCTACCATACTCAATCTCTTCAAAAGCATTTCTTCGAAAGATTGTGTTACTCTGATGACTTGTTCCAGTACTGGGAAACTATTGATATTCTGAAGTATTTGTAACCAACAATTTCAACATACGAAATTGGAGTTTTTTTGTTATGAGTTTTGGCTTCACTATTACTTCAAGTAGTTTCTTTTGAGTTAAATTTAGGAATATATAAAACAGATATTTTAAAATGCAAAATGTGACTAATCCAGACATTCAAAATAAGTATCATTTATATTTTTATCTAATACTTAAAAGATACACTGCTTATTTGGGATTGGATTTTACTATTTTATAACAGGGAGTGCAATGAGAATATTGTGTAATGTTTGGTAGTTTTCAGTTACTCAAACTTTTTAATACAATTTCTCCCTCAATGGAACAATGTATGTCTGAATAATATTATCCATAAGCTAGAGACCTGGGAAGCCTATTAAATATTAATCAATAAGTAAGTTAAGCAACTCTAATTTAAAAGAATATAATTAAACATTATTACCATAGGAATGTAAAAATTAGTAGGCAGGTACTTTAGAGAAAATTCATACAAGACAGCAGTTGTAATTTTAACATGAAACCAATAGATGACACTAGAGGGTAAGAATTGCAAACTTTCTTTTTAAGCCTGGAAGCTGATAGTTGCCTTATTATGTTAGTTACTAAGCTGATACATGTTAATATGTGCTGATAGGTGAGTATGAGTGGAGAAAAAAGAAACTTCATAAAAAGCATTGTACTAATAGATATGCTCTAACATATATATGTATATATTTACACATATACATACATATCTATTAGGATTACTTTTGCAGTACAGCCTAAGTTAATAGACGCAGCAGAACAAGAATTCAGAATAAAATGAAATATACGTTTATTTTTAAAAATTGCCTTTTCCTTCATTTTAGCATATCTATCACCACACAAAATCACAACACAAAAATAAACGTGAATAGGAATAACATTAGAAAAGAAAGGAAGTCTCATCAAATGCACAAAGTAGAATTCTATTCATATTTGCATTATGAAGAATATTCATTTGTTGGCTTAAGATAATTTTAGGTGTTAGAAGAAGAAGACAGTAATTACTCTAAGACTTGAATGTGAAATGTTAACAACAAAAATAATTTCCTGGAATTCCCTATATATCATTATTTGTCGATAGATCCTAATTACTTGTATATAGACAAAACACATATTTAGGTTTGATATGTATAGATATGTTTATAAGTCACAGATCTATAAATTCATGTAAACAAAAATGGAAAGGAGACAGGAAAGGAGTAGTAAAAAGTGAACTTAAACTTACTGACAATTCTGTACCAAACACTGTGCTAGGCAATTTTATATATTTAATTTATTTCTCAAAGCAACCCCATTTGGAAGACAAAATACTTATCCCCATTTTCCAGATGAGTAAAATGAACCTCAGAGAGTTTAAGCATTGTGCCTAAATGATAAGTTAGTAAATGGTAGAATTGGGACTCAAACGCATCTGGATTTATTGGAGACAAGAGTTTGTATTACTTTTGCTTTACTAACATGCATCTCCAAACTCAGAGCCATACATAAGAGTCTACAGATTTCATTGGTTGAAAACATGAGGAGTCATGATTACCTCACTTAACATATTTGCATGCCTCTTAACTCATTTTATTAACTACAGAACCACAATTAGACCAACTTAAGAAGTAAGTACTACTTTATTTCTGGGTAAAGTAGCTATCCTGAAATTGCTAGGCATCAGATTATTTATATTCTAGTTCTAGCTCTGACACTAATTAGATGTGTGCCCTTATTCATGTAATTTAGCCTCATTAAAACTCAGTGTTCTTGCCACTAAAATAAGGAGAGTTAAAGTAGATCAGCATTTCAAAAATCTTTAAGTACTAAAATACTTTTTATTAGAAAAATTAAGGGAAATTCCAACTTATAAAATAGATAAAAGTAGAATTTGGATGGGGAATAACTTCCAATGTTGAGATCCCAAAATTCTACTTTATCAGCCTTTTGCTCTCAATTCCTCTCAGTAATCCGTGAGGCAAGTCTATAAAGTTAGAAAATCACTGTACTAGACTGAATCTAGAGTTAATTTCAGCTTGAAAATTTTATGATTCTTTGATACTTAATTTTACTAATCCAAAAACATGTCAATCTGATATTGGTAGAATTAGCAGACTTTATAAATGTTATTTTTATAAAATATAATTGCAAAAGAATCACACTTCAAAAAGGAGGTTACATGTCTATAAATATGTTAATTAAAAAAAAACTTTTGAACTGCTAATATGACAACAGCCATGTTGCATGCACTTAAGTTATGATGGTGAATAAAAGCAGATTATTCTGTGATCTTCAATTTTATAATCTGGTGAATGAAATAGACATTATTAAAATAATCAAAATCACCAACAGAAGATAATTATAAATTTTAACAAAACTTACAAAAATAAGAGTAATATAGAGTTAGGATATCACACTTATTTGATCAAAGTGACCTCTCTAGAAGATATGGAAATATTTCCTGGAGAAATTGATACTTGAGTTCAGGAGTGTAATATAAACAAGAGTTAAAGTAGGAAGGGAGACAGAGAGGTCCTTTATGAGAGGGAGATTAGTGAGTAAAAGTCACTGAAGGAAGGCCAGAATGGCTGGAGTGCAGAAAATGAATGGGATCATGAGATCATATGTGACTAAAGAGGTTGACAAGGGCCAAACTATATAGAGTAAGGTGTACTCTTTCAAGGAGTTTTAAATTTACCCAGTAAGATTTGGAACCTGCTAAAGGGATTTGGAGTGAAAAAAAACTTGAGAGAACCCAATAAAATAAAGAAAAATAAGCCACCTGAGAAATTAAACTTTTCTGTCTAATCATTATGTCAAATAAGTTCTGTGGTCTTCTGGAAAGCAAGTGGAAGATGAATAAAGCCAGGCCATATAAACAATACAGGAGGAGTTTCTCAATGTTGTAAACTTGACCTTTCACCACTTTCAAAATTCTGTGAGAAAAGAGTTTTAAGGTTTTAATCTGTAAGCAATGCTCAAATAAATAAGGTATCATTAGCTAAAGCCAAGTGTGTCAGTTCCTCTAGACATCATTCTGCATTCCACTTAGGGATATGAACCTCAAAGAATCTTTATCATTGTAATCTGTGAGTTAGAATACTATGGCTCTCACTACTAGTCTTGACTAATCTCCTGTGCTCTTGTTAACATTTCATCAATGTGCTCTCCTGCAGTCCTAACATCATTGCAGATTTACTACATTAGAAGTTGCCCATGAAGAGAATAATTTCAAACTGTGTGGTCTATGAAGCACATATGGTTTTAATTACATGCCACGTACAGTGTATGTATTTGTCAGGGCTTATGTAACAAAATACTACAAACTACGTGGCTTAAACAACAGAAATTTATTGGCTTACAGTTCTGGAAACTGTAAGTCTGTAATCAAGGTGTAGGCCTGGTTAGTGCCTTCTGAAGGCTATAAAGAAAAGATCTGTTCCAGGCCTCTTGGCTCATAGATGGCCATCTTTTTCCTTTGGTCCTTCACATAATCTTCCCTTTATGTGTGTTTATGTCTGTCTCTGTGTCCAAATTTTCTTTTTTTCTAAGGGTAACAGTCATATCGGATTGTGGTCCTTCCTAATGACATAATCTTAACTAATTATATCTGCAATGACCCCATTTCCAAATATGATCACACTGTGAGGTACTGGAAGTTAGGAGTTCAATATACAAATTTTGTGGGGACATGATTCAATCAATAGTATATAGTAAGTATATTTTATGTGTATTGTTTAACTCCAATGTATATTTCTAGTAAAATATTTTATGTTTCAAATGAGTTCAAAGTTTTAGTTTTATTATCCAGCATGTTTCCAAGTTTCATGTAACTGTCATTGTGTGAAAGAATTTATTTACCTAAGGGCTCTCATGGAAAATCCAAGATGGGTAAGATGCTCAGAACAGCATGTATTCGTGCATACTGTAACTTTCTGGGTAGCATGTGTGCCCATAGTAAAGACAAGGTAACTTACTTCACACAGAGAATGATCGCAGTTGCAAAAAAAGTTATAAATTATTCTAAAATTGGTATACCTACTAATTGTGGATATTAGCAAAATTCCACTATTTTATAAAAAGTAGTATTATGGCTTAAAATTCAAAAAAATATTAGCTTGGAATAAAAAGCCATCTCTATTTTTTATTAAGTTCTATATATTTTTATTAAGACATTCTTAGAATTTTTGTTTATATTTTATGAGTTTATTATGGTTTTAAGACAGGTACAGTTTTTTTGTATACAAATCTTGTATCTAGTTAACTTGCTAAGAGTCCTAATTCTTGTTTATTTTTTCTGTTTTTAATTTTTAATTTTTGAGAGTACATAGTAGGTGTATATGTTTATGAGATACATGAGATGTGTGAGATGTGTTGATACAGGAATGTAATGTAAAATAAGCACATCATGAAGAATGGGGTATCCCTCCTCTTCAGCATTTATCTATTGACTTGCAAACAATGGAATTACATTATTTAAATTATTTAAAAATGTATAGATATGTTCTTATTGACTATAGTTCCCCTGGTGTGCTATCAAATAGTAGGTTTTATTCATTCTTTTTATTTTTTGTACCCATTAGCCATTCCCAACCCCCACCACCAGCCCCCACTACCCTTCCCAGCCTCTGGTAACCATCCTTCTACTCTCTAGGTCCATGAGTTTCATTGTTTTGATTTTAGATCCCACAAATAATTGAGTACATGTGATGTTTGTCTTTCTAGGTCTGGCTTATTTCACCTATAATAATAATTTCAGGTTCCATTCATGTTGTTGCAAGTGACTGGAGCTCTTTTATTTTTAAGGCTGAATAGTAATCCACTGTGTGTATGTACCACATTTTCTTTATACGTTAATCTGTTTATGAACACTTTGGTTGCCTCCATATCTTAGCTATTATAAACAGTGCTGAAACAAACATGAGAGTGCAGATATCTCTTCGATATACTGATTTTCTTTATTTTGGGTATACACCCAGCAGTGGTATTGCTGGATCATATGGTAGCTC
The DNA here is from genome assembly GCF_000001405.40 of Homo sapiens. NCBI lineage: Eukaryota > Metazoa > Chordata > Mammalia > Primates > Hominidae > Homo > Homo sapiens. The sequence goes on from NC_000023.11 coordinate 94,836,050, forward strand.
TATTTTTAGTTTTTTGTAGAACTTCCAAACTCTTCTCCATAGTGATTGTACTAATATACATTCCCACAAACAGGGTACAGTGGTTCCCTTTTCTCCACATTTTCATCAGCATTTGTTATTGCCTGTCTTTTAAATGTAAGCCATTTTAACTCAGGTGAGATGATATCTCATTGTACTTTTGATATGAACTATTCTGATAATCAGTGATGTTGAGCACTTTTTTGTATGCCTATTTACCATTTGTATGTCTTCTTTTGAGAAATGTCTATTCAAATCTGTTGCCTATTTTTTTTATCAGATTGTTAGATTTTTTCCCTATAGAGTTGTTTGAGCTTCTTATATATTCTTGTTATTAATGCCTTGTCAGATGGGTAGCTTGTCAATATTTTCTTCTATTCTGTGGGTTGTCTCTTCACTTTGTTGATTGTATTCTTTGCTGTCCAAAAGCTTTTTAACTTGATGTGATCACGTTTGTCTGCTTTTGCTTTGGTTGCCTGTGCTTTTGGAGAATTGCTCAAAAAATTTTTGCCCAGACCAATGTCTTGGAGATTTTCCCCAATGTTTTCTTGTAGTAGTTTCATGCTCTGAGGTCTTAGATTTAAGTCTTTAATCCATTTTTATTTGATTTTTGTATACGATGAGAGACAAGAGTCTAGTTTTATTCTTTTGCATATGGATATCCAGTTTCCCAGCATCATTTATTGAAGATAATGTCTTTTCCCCAGTGTATGTGCTTGGCATATTTGTTGGAAATGAGTTAACTGTAGGTGTGTGGATTTCTGTTAAATTGGTCTATATGTCTGTTTCTATGCCAGTACCATGCTGTTTTGGTTGGTATATCTCTGTAGTATAATTTGAAGTCAGGTAAAGGGATTCCTCTAGATTTCCCTTTTCATTTTTTAAAAATGTTGTGAGTACACAATAGGTGTATAAATTTATAAGGTAGATGAGATGTTTTGATACAGGCATGCAATGTGAAATAAGCACATCATGCCAAATGGGATATCAATCACCTCAAGCATTTATTCTTTGAGTTACAAACAATCCAATTACACTCTTTAAGTTATTTTAAAATATATATTATTATTGACTGTAGTCAATCTATTGTGCTATCAAATAGTAGATCTTATTTATTCTTACTTTCTTTTTTAATCCATTAACCATCCCTACCTCCCACCTCAACCTCCTCGCTACCCTTCCCAACCTTTGGTAACCATTCCCCCAGTTTTGTTCTTTTTGCTTAGAATAGCTTTGTCTATTCTGGGTCTTTTGTGGTTCTATATAAATTTTAGGATTTTTTTTTTCTATTTCTGTAAGAATGTCATTGGTATTTTGATAGGGATTTCATTAAACCTCTAAACTGCTTTTGGTAGTATGAACATTTTAACAATATTAATTTTTCCAATTCATAAACATGGAGTTTTTTTTATTTTTTGGTGTTCTCTTTAATTTCTTTCATCAGTGTTTTATAGATTTCATTATAGAAGTGTTTCCCTTCTTTGGAAAGTTAATTCCAAGGTATTTGATTTTACATGTAGCTATTGTAAATGGGATTACTGTTTTATTTTTTCCACATTGTTCACCTTTGGTATATAAAAATGTTACTGATTTTTGTACATTATTTTGTATCCTACAGTTTTACTGAATTTGTTCATCAGTTCTAATAGTTTTCTTGTGGAATCTTGAGGTTTTTCCAAATACAAGATTATATGCTCTGCAAGGAAGGATAATTTGAGTGTTTCCTTTACAATTTGGAAGCCCTTTATATCTTTCTCTTGTCTGATTGCTCTAGCTAGGACTTCCAGTATGTTGAATAACAGTGGTGACGGTGGGTATCCTTGTAGTGTTCTAGATCATGGAGGAATGGCTTTCAGTATTCTTCATTCAGTGTAATATTAGCTGTGGGTCTGTCACATATGGCTTTCATTATGTTGAGTTATGTTTCCTCTATACCTATTTTTTAAGGGGTTTTTATCATGAAGGGACATTACATTTTATCAAATCCTTTTTCAGCATTAGGTTAAATGATAATATGGCACTTCATTCTATTGATATGATTCATCACATTGATTTGAGTGTGTTGAACCAAACTTGCATCCCATGGATAAATTCTATTTTGTCATGAAGAATGATCTTTCTAATGTATTGCTGAATTCAGTTTGATTGTATTTTTGAGTATTTTTGCATTAATATTCATCAGAGATATTGGCCTGCAGGTATTTCGTTTGTTTCTTTGTTCTTGATGTCTCTTTGTCTGGTTTTAGTATCAGGCTACTACTGGCCTCTAAGAATGAGCGTTGAAGTATTCCCTCCTCTTCTATTTATTTGCATATTTTGAGTAGGATTGTTATTAATTCTTCTTCAAATGTTTGTTAGAATTTAGCAGTGAAGCCACCAGATCCCAGACTTTTATTTACTAGGAGACTTTTTATTACGGCTTCAATATCATTACTTGTTGTTGGTCTGTTCAGGTTTTGGATTTCTTCCTGGTTCAATTCTTGGTAGATCATATGTGTCAAGGAATTTGTTCATTTGTTCTAGATTTTCCAATTTATTGGCATATAGTTGCTCATAGTAGCCACTAATGATCTTTTGAATTTTTTCAGTGTCAGTTGTAATGTCTCTTTTTTATTTCTGATTTCATTTCTTTGGATCTTCTCTCTTATTTTCTTAGTCTGCTAAAGGTTTGTCAATTTTGTTTAACTTCCAGAAAACAAATTTTTGGTTCATTGGTCTTTTTATTGTTTTTTTATTTACATTTTATTTATTTTGCTATGATCTTTACGATTTGTTTTCTTCTAATTTTTGGTTCTGTTTTGATTTTCTTTAATATGCATCATTAGATTGTTTATTTTTAGTTGTTCCCCTTTTTTAATGTTCTTATTTTTTATGAAGCTTATAGCTATAAACATCCTTCTTAGAACTGCTTTTGCTGTATCGCATAGTTTTGTTATGTTGTGCTTCCATTATGATTTGTTTCCAAAAAATTTTAAATTTCAGTCTTAATTTCTTCATTAATACACTGGTCAATCGGGAGCATAGGGTTTATTTTCCATGTGTTTGCATAGTTTTCAAAATTACTCTTGTTATTAATTTCTAGTTTTATTTCATTGTGTTCCAAGAAGTTGCTTCATATTATTTTACCTTATTTGCATGTTTTTTTTTTTTAGATATATTTAAATTCTGGGATATATGTGCAGAACGTGCAGGTTACATAGGTATACATGTGCCTTGGTGGTTTGCTGCAACAATCAACCCGTCATCTACATTAGATATTTCTCTTAATGCTAGCCCTCCCCTAGCTCCCCACCCCCTGACAGGTCCTGGTGTGTGATGTTCCCCTTCCTGTGTCCATGTGTTCTCATCGTTCAACTCCCACTTATCAGTGAGAACATGTGGTGTTTGGTTTTCTGTTCTTGTGTTAGTTTGCTGAGAACGATGGTTTCCAGCTTCATCCATCTCCCTGCAAAGACATAAACTGATCTTTTTTTATGACTGCATAGTATTCCATGGTGTACATGTGCCACATTTTCTTTATCCAGTGTATCATTGATGGGCATTTGGGTTGGTTCCAAGTCGTTGCTATTGTGAATAGTGCTACAGTAAACCTGAGTGTGCATGTGTCTTTAGAGTAGAATGATTTATAATATTTTGGGTATATACCCAGTAATGGGATTGCTGGGTCAAATGGTATTTCTGTTTCTAGATCCTTGAGGTATCGCCACACGGTCTTCCCAATGGTTAAACTAAATTACACTCCCACCAACAGTGTAAAAAGTGTTCCTGTTACTCCACATCCTCTCCATCATCTGTTGTTTCCTGACTTTTTAAGGATCACCATTCTAACTGGCGTGAGATGGTATCTCATTGTGGTTTTGATTTGCATTTCTCTGATGGCCAGTGATGATGAGCTGTTTTTCATGTTTGTTGGCCACATAAATGTTTTCTTTTGAGAAGTGTCTGTTCATATCCTTTGCCCACGTTGTGTTGGGGTTGTTTGTTTTTTTTTCTTGTAAATTTGTTTATGTTCCTTGTAGATTCTGGATGTTAACCCTTTGTCAGATGGATAGAGTGCAAAAATTTCCCCCCTTTCTGTAGGTGGCCTTTTCACTCTGATGGTAGTTTCTTTTGCGTTGCAGAAGCTCTTTAGTGTAATTAGATCCAATTTGTCAATTTTGGCTTTTGTTGCCATTGCTTTTGGCATTTTAGTCATGAAGTCTTTGCCCATGCCTATGTCCTGAACAATATTGCCTAGGTTTTCTTTTAGGGTTTTTATGGTTTTAGGTCTTACATTTAAGTTTTTAATCCATCTTGAGTTGATTCTTGTGTCAGGTGTAAGGAAGGCGTCCAGTTTCAGTTTTCTGCCTATGGCTAGCCAGTTTTCCCAACACTGTTTATTAAATACAGAATCCTATCCCCATTGCTTGTTTTTGTCAGGTTTGCCAAAGATCAGATGGTTGTAAATGTGTGGCATTATTTCTGAGGCCTCTGTTCTGTTCCATTGGTCTATATATCTGTTTTGGTACCAGTACCACGCTGTTTTGGTTACTGTAGTATAGTTTGAAGTCAGGTAGCGTGATGCCTCCAGCTTTGTTCCTTTGTTCTTTTTGCTTAGGATTGTCTTGGTTATACAGGCTACTTTTTGGTTCAATATGAAATTTAAAGTAGGTTTTCCTAATTCTGCAGAGAAAGTCAATGGTAGCTTGATGGGAATAGCATTGAATCTATGAATTACTTTGGGCAGCATTTTCACGATACTGATTCTTCCTATCCATGAGCATGGAATGTTTTTCCCTTTGTTTGTGTCCTGTCTTATTTCCATGAGCAGTGGTTTGTAGTTCTCATTGAAGAGGTCCTTCACATCCCCTATAAGTTGTATTCCTAGGTATTTTATTCTTTTTGTAGCAATTGTGAATCGGAGTTCACTCATGATTTGGCTTTCTGTTTGTCTATTATTGGTGTATAGGAATGCTTGTGATTTTTGCACATTGATTTTGTATCCTGAGACTTTGCTGAAGTTGCTTATCACTTTAAGGAGATTTTGGGCTGAGAAAATGGGTTTCCTAAATATACAATCATGGCATCTGCAAACAGAGATAATTTGACTTTAGAGAGACAATCTCTCTTCCTATATGAATACCGTTTATTTCTTTCTCTTACCTGATTGCCCTGGCTAGAACTTGCAATACTTTGTTGAATAGGAGTGGTGGGAGACAGCATTCTTGTCCTGTGTTGGTTTTCAAAGGGAATGCTTCCAGCTTTTGCCCATTCAGTATGATATTGGCTGTGGGTTTCTCGTAAATAGCTCTTATTATTTTGAGATACGTTCCATCAATACCACGTTTATTGAGAGTTTTTAGCATGAAGGGGTTGTGAATTTTATCGAAGGCCTTTTCTGCATCTAATGAGAGAATCATGTGGTTTTTGTCATTGGTTCTGTTTATGTGATGGATTATGTTTATTGATTTGCGTATGTTGAATCAGCCTTACATCCCAGGGATGAAGCCGACTTGACCGTGGTGGATAAGCTTCTTGATGTGCTGCTGGATTCAGTTTTCCAGTATTTTATTGAAGATTTTTTCATCGATGTTCATCAAGGTATTGTCCTGAGATTTTCTTTTTGTTGTTGTTGTGTCTCTGCCAGGTTTTGGAATCAGGATGATGCTGGCCTCATAAAATGAGATGGGGAGGATTCCCTCTTTTTCTGTTGTTTTGAATAGTTTCAGAAAGAATGGTACCTACTCCTCTTTTTACCTCTGGTAGAATTCAGCTGTGAATCTGTCTGGTCCTGGGCCTTTTTTGGTTGCTAGGCTATTAATTATTGCCTCAATTTCAGAACTTGTTATTGGTCTATTTAGGGATTTGACTTCTTTCTGGTTTAGTCTTGGGTGGGTGTATGTGTCGGGGAATTTATCCATTTCTTGTAGGTTTTCTAGTTTATTTGTGTAGAGGTGCTTATAGTATTCTCTGATGGTAGTTCGTATTTCTGTGGGATCGGTGGTGATATCTCCTTTATTACTTTTATTTTGTCTACTTGATTCTTTTCAATTTTCTTCTTTATTACTCTGGCTAGCGGTCTATTTTGTTAATCTTTTCACAAAACCAGCTCCTGGATTCATGGATTTTTTGAGGGGCTTTTCGTGTCTTTATCTCCTTCAGTTCTGCTCTGATCTTAGTTATTTCTTGTCTTCTACTAGCTTTTGAATTTGTTTGTTCTTGCTTCTCTAGTCCTATTAATTCTGATGTTAGGGTGCCAATTTTGGATCTGTCCTGCTTTCTCCTGTGGGCATTTAGTGCTATAAATTTCCCTATGAAAACTGCTTTAGCTGTGTTCCAGGGATTCTGGTACGTTGTGTCTTTATTCTCATTGGTTTCAAAGAACTTATTTATTTCTGCCTTAATTTTGTTATTTACCCAGTAGTCATTCAGGAGCAGGTTGTTCAGTTTCCATGTAGTTGTGTGGTTTTGAGTGAGTTTCTTAATTCTGAGTTCTAATTTGATTGCACTGTGGTCTGAGAGACAGTTTGTTATGATTTCTGTTCTTTTGTGTTTGCTGAGGAGTGTTTTACTTCCAATTCCGTAGTCAATTTTAGAATAAGTGCAATGTGGTGCTGAGAAGAATGTATATTCTGTTGATTTGGGGTGGAGAGTTCTGTAGATGTCTATTAGGTCTGCTTGGTCCAGAGCTGAGTTCAAGTCCTGAATATTCTTGTTAATTTTCTGTCTCGTTGATCTGTCTAATATTGACAGTGTGGTATTAAAGTCTCCCACTATTATTGTGTGGAAATCTAAGTCTCTTTGTAGGTCCCTAAGAACTTGCTTTATGAATCTGAGTGCTCCTGTATTGGGTGCATATATATTTGGGATAGCTAACTCTTCCACTTGCATTCATCCCTTTACCATTATGTAATGCTCTTCTTTGTCTTTTTTGATCTTTGTTGGTTCAAAGTCTGTTTTACCATAGTCTAGGATTCCAATCCCTGAGGTTTATTTTTTCTTTCCATTTGCTTGGTAAATCTTTTTCCATCCCTTTATTTTGAGCCTATGTGTGTCTTCGCACATGAGATGGGTCTCCTGAATACAGCACACCAATGGGTCTTGACTGTATCCAATTTGCCAGTCTGTGTCTTTTAATTGGGGCACTTAGCCATTCATATTTAAGGTTAATACTCTTGTGTGTCAATTTGATCCTGTCATTATGATGCTAGCTGGTTATTTTGCCCATTATTTGATGCAGTTTCTTCATAGTGTCAATGGTCTTTACAATTTGGTATGTTTTGCAGTGGCTGGTACCAGTTTTTTCTTTCCATATTTAGTGCTTCCTTCAGGAGCTCTTGTAAGGCAGGCCTGGTTGTGACAAAATCTCTCAGCATTTGCTTGTCTGTAAAAGATTTTATTTCTCCTTCACTTATGAAGCTTAGTTTGGCTGCATATTAAATTCTGGGTTGAAAAATCTTTTCTTTAAGAATGTTGATTCTTGGCCCCACTCTCTTCTGTCTTGCAGGGTTTCTGCAGAGAGATCTGCTGCTAGTCTAATGGGCTTCCTGTTGCGGGTAACCTGACCTTTGTCTCCAGCTGTCCTTAACATTTTTTCTTTCATTTCAACCTTGAAGAATCTGATGATTATGTGTCTTGGAGTTGCTCTTCTGTGTTCTCTACATTTCCTGAATTTGAATGTTGGCCTGTCTTGCTAGGTTGGGGAAGTTCTCCTGGATAATTTCCTGAAGAGTGTTTTCTAACTTGGTTCCATTCTCCCTATCACTTTCAGGTACACCAATCAAATGTAGGTTTGGTGTTTCACATAGTCCTGTATTTCTTGAAGGCTTTATTCGTTCCTTTTCATTCTTTTCAATCTAATCTTGTCTTCATGCTTTATTTCATTAAGTTGATCTTCAGTCTCTGTTATCCTCTCTTCCGCTTGATCAATTCAGCTATTGATACTAGTGTATGCTTCATGAAGTTCTCGTGCTGTGTTTTTCAACTCCACTAGGTCATTTGTGTTCTTCTCTAAACTTGTTACTCTAGTTAGCAATTCCTCCAACCTTTTATCAAGGTCCTTAGCTTCCTTGCATTGGTTAGAACATGCTCTGTTCACTCGGAAGAGTTTGTTATTACCCATCTTCTGAAGCCTACTTCTGCCAATTCGTCAAACTCATTCTCCGTCCAGTTTTGTTTCCTTGCTGACGAAGAGTTGTGATCCTTTGGAGGAGAAGAGGCATTCTTGTTTTTTGGAATTTTCAGCCTTTTTATGCTGGTTTTTCTTCATCTTCAGGATTTATCTACCTTTGATCTTTGATGTTGGTGACCTTCAGATGGGGTTTCTCTGTGGACATCCTTTTTGTTGATGTTGATGCTATTCCTTCCTGTTTGTTAGTTTTCCTTCTAACAGTCAGGCCCCTCTGCTACAGGTCTGCTGGAGTTTGCTGGAGGTCCACTTCAGACCCTGTTTGCCTGGGTATCACCAGCAGAGGCTGCAGAACAGTAAAGATTTCTGCCTGTTTCTTCCTCTGGAAACTTCATCCCAGAGGGGCACCTTTCAGATGCCAGCTGGAGCTCTCATATATGAGGTGTCTGTCAAACCCTGCTGGGAGGTGTCTCCCAGTCAGGAGGCCTGGGGGTCAGGGAATCACTTCAGTAGGCAGTCTGTCCCTTAGCAGAGCTTGAGCACTGTGCTGGGAGATACACTGCTCTCTTCAGAGCCGACAGGCAGGAAAGTTTAAGTCTGCTGAAGCTGCGCCCACAGCTGCTCCTTCCCCAAGGTGCTCTGTCCCAGGGAGATGGGAGTTTTATCTATAAGCCCCTGACGGGGGCTGCTTCCTTTCTTTCAGAGATGCCCTGCTCAGACAGGAGGAATCTAGAGAGGCAGTCTGGCTACAGCGGCTTTGCAGAGCTCTGGTGGGCTCTACCCAGTTCAAACTTCCCTGCAGCTTTGTTTACACTGTGAGGGGAAAACCACCTACTCAAGCCTCAGTAACAGTGGATGCCTCTCTCCTCACCAAGCTCAAGCATCCCAGGTTGACTTCAGACTGCTGTGCTGGCAGCGAGAATTTCAAGCCAGTGGATCTTAGCTTGCTGGGCTTTGTGGGGATAGGATCCACTGAGCTAGACCACTGGGCTCCCTGGCTTCAGCCCCTTTTCCAGGGGAGTGAACTGTTCTGTCTCGCTGGCGTTCCAGGTGCCAATGGGGTATGGAAAAAACTCCTGCAGCTAGCTGGGTGTCTGCCCAAATGGCTGCCCAGTTTTGTGCTTGAAACCCAGAGCCCTGGTGGCATAGGCACCCAAGGGAATCTCTTGGTCTGCGGGTTGCGAAGACCATGGGAAAAGCGCAGTATCTGGGCTGAAGTGCACCATTTCTCAGGGCAGAGTCCCTCATGGCTTCCCTTAGCTAGGGAAGGGAGTTCCCTTGCCCCTTGTGCTTCCCTGGTGAGGTGATGTCCCACCCTGCTTTGGCTTGCCCTCCGTGGGCTGCATCCACTGTCTAACCAGTCCCATTGAGATAAGCCAAGTGCCTTGGTTGGAAATGAGAAATCACCTGCCTTCTGCACTGATCTTGCTGGGAGCTGCAGACTGGAGCTGTTCCTATTTGGCCATCTTGCCAGCCACTCCCTTTATTTGAATGTTTTAAGACTTGTTATCTGACCTAACATGTGGTCTATCCTTGAGAGTGATCCATGTGCTGAGAAAAAGAACGTGTATTTTGCAGCTTTTTGATAAAATGTTCTGTAAATATCTATTACATCTATTTGTTCTATAGTGAAGATTAAATCTGATGTTTCTCTGTTGATTTTCTGTCTGGAATATCTGCCCAATGTTGAAAGTGGGGTTACTGAAGTCTCCAGCTATAATTGTATTTGGTCTTATGTCTCTATTTCTATCAATATTTGCTTTATATATCTGGGTGCTGTACTGTTGGGTGCATATATATATATATATATACACATAGGTTTTTAAAATTATTTTATACTATTGCTGAGTTAACCCCTTTATTATTATATAGTGACCTTCTTTATCTTTTCTTATAGGTTTTGTCTAGAATTTTGGTTTGTCTAAATATAGCAACTCCTGTTATTTTTTTTTTGTTTTCATTGTCATAAAATATCTTTTCATCCCTTTATTTTATTTCTATTTGTATCTTTATGGGAGAAATGTGTTTCTTATAAAAAACAAATCAATAGGTCTTGCTTTATTAGCCACTCAGCTAGTATTTTGGTTGAGGAGTTTAGTCCATTTACATTCAATGTTATTGGTAAGTAAGGACTTACTCCTGCCAGGTTATTATTTGTTTTCTGGTTGTTTTGTGGTCTTCACTTTCTTCTTTCATTTCATCTTGTCTTCCTTTAGTAAATGTGATTTTTTTATTGGGATATGTTTTTGTTTCTGGCTTTTGACTTTTTGTGTATCCATGGTATGTTCATTTTTTGTTTGTGGTTACCATGAGGCTTGCAAATACTATATTGTAACTCATTATTTTAACCTGATAACAATTTAAAATTGTTTTCATAAACAAATAAACAAGCAAAAAGAAAACTAATAAAAGCCACCTTAACTTTGTTGACACACTTTTTAATTTTTGTTTTTTTAATTTATTTTTTTTTGTGCTATGTCTTGAAAAGTTGTAGCTACTATTTTTGCTTGTTTCATTGTTTAGTCTTTCGCTTAGGATAAGAGTAGTTTACACACTACAGTTACAGTGTTATAACATTCTGGGTTTTTTTTCTGTGTACTTAGTATTACTAGTGCATTTTGTACTTTCAGGTGGTTATTTATTGCTCACTAATGTCCTTATCTTTCTGTCATTGTGGGAGAGGAATGTTCAGTGGAGCTTTCTATTCCACCATCTTGCTCTGCCTCTCTTTTTTTCTGTTTTTAATTTTAGGTTTTCTCAGCAAAAATCTCTATATATTCTGGATATTCAATGAAGGAATGGAAAGTCTTTCCAAGATATTGTAATGAAATATATCAATAATCATTTGGGAGAAATGAACTTAATGCCATTTTTTAGTATATAAAAATAATTCAAAATTCAAGAGGAATCCTATTCACCATTAATCTTCTAGAGGAACATATAAAAGTACATTTTTGATTCTACAAGTAGGTGAAAGTTCCATAGATGATGCAAAAACTAATAACTATGAAGGAAAATGTATAAATTATAATCATCAAAAGTTACTGGTAAAAAATAAAAAGGCAAGTCATAAATAAGATATTTGCTTAAATATTGTGTATTTGTGCATGAGAGAGACACTTAAAACTCAATAACAAAAAAGACAACTCAATAAAGATTGGTAAAATAATTTAAAAGGCATGGTTTATACATGAACCCCTAGTAAGCATGGATAAAGTATTCAATATCTCTAGTTATAAGGGAAATGAAAATTAAATTCACAATAAAATTCTACTACTCACCTATCAGAATGCCTAAAGAACAAAAACAAAACCAAAGCAGAATGACATACCAAATGCTTGTGGCAGAGAATCTGAACTCTCACATATCACTGGACAGAATGTAAAATGGTTGAACCATTTCAAGGTAACATTTTGCAATTTCTCATAAAGTTACTACATATACCTACACAGCAATTCCACTTCTACGAATGTATCTAAGAGAAATAAGAACACATGCTCACCCAAAGACTTGCAAAGCATTTTTAAAAAGCTTCATTACAACAGGGAAACATCTGAAATATCCCAAGTGCTCACCTGCGAGGGAATGGAGACACAAATTTTGATATTTTTATGTAAGGAAATAGTACTCAAGAAAACAACAAAAATCTACTAATATATGCAACAACATAAATGACTCTCACAGACATGTTGAATGAAAGAAAAAGCTGGACATAAACTAACCTACAACATATGCTTTCATTTATATCAAATTCTAGAACAGGTAAACTCACTTACAGTGATAGAAATCAGAAGAATGCTTTCCTGTGATTGAGGGGGAATTGACTAAAAAGGACAAGTAGAAACTTTGAGGTGACTGAAACATTCTGTATTTTGAGGGGGTATTGCTGGTTACATGAAAGTATGCATTAGCAAAAACTCATAAATGTATATGGTTTAAATTGGTTCATTTGACATTTATTGTAAATGAGCAATACTTGGTCAATAATTCAATCTGCAAAATTCTCAGTTATTACTTTTTATCTTTCTCTTTGACATAGATACATTTATTTATTTTATTTATGTTGAGATAAAATAATCATTTAACAGTGAAGGTGAACTAAGTGCATTTTCACAGTTTAGTGAAAATCATTAGATAATGGATTTTCGTAAGAAGAAATACAAACTTGAAGGAAAGGATGGCTAAAAAGGCTATAGTTACCAAAGTAAATTCTAAAACAAGTTGGTAAATTTTAATAATAGTAATGACAAATATAGTAATTACAAATAGTAATTACAAATATACATACAAAAGCACACACATAGGCATACATATATATGTGTGTATATGTGTATATATATGTATACATTATTTTGTTAACAAAGTGGGGCTAAAGAATATAAAAGAGTGTGAAAGACAAGAGGAGAAATGGAAAGTTAAAACATTCTCAAATTTCTTATAAAGGTCTAGCAGATATTAAAATACTGATGTAACGGGACTTTTTAAGAAAAAAAGCAAAGAGTTTGTTATGTATACCTGCTATATATTAAGAATTGCAACATAATAGAATTATGATATCTGAATTTAAAAAAAATTGTAGGGAGAGGGTGGTAAGAAAGATTGAGAAACAAAGCAAAATCATTTAAGAAAAAGAAAAAACACTATTATATAAACATAATAAATATAAACAGAGTAGACTCACATCAAAATACAGAGACTCAGATTAGATTTTAAAACTCAAATATAGGATATTTACAATAAACACACATGAAATGCAATAGTATAGGAGGAAGGTAGAAAAAGGTATATAAATACAAATAAAGGAAAGTTGTTACAGCAATATTAATATGAGACAAAACGTAAGGAAGATGAAAATCAGTGGCAGAAAGAAAATAGAGGCATTTCTTTATGATAAAAGAAAAATCTACTAAGAAAATGAACAATCAGAAACTTCCATGCCTTTAAAATTCCAAGCAAAAATGAAGAGAATAACATTATATCTTTATAGTGAGAAATTTTAACACAATCCTTTTAAACACAACTATTAGGAATATAACTTAGAAAATGATTTTTTTTAGCAGAATAAGCTCAATCTCTTTAAATATACATAAATGATTCTATATAAAAATATAGGTAATATGTATTATTTTCAAGCACACATGAATCATTTACAAATATTGACCACAATTTCATATATGAATGATTTTACTTCTGTTAAGTGCACATGGTGGATGAGGAGGTGAAGGAGAAGGGAGGAAACAGATTTGGTGAAAAGATTATAGGCAACAACTTTCATTACTTATACATCCATGTATTTCTCAGATACTGTCAAATGAGGCCATCTTATTTTTGTAATTTTATTAAAGCAATAAAAGTTGCTTTAAAATAAATTAAAACTTTAAGATTACAGAAAATTTAAAAACAATTCAAACTTGCTCTATTTTGCTTCATTTATTTTGATGGACGATGAACGGCAATTTGGAAAAATAATTTTTATTTTAATTTTCTGAATTTATATGTGAACTAGTTGTGATTTAAAAAAATCTTAAATGGACATTCATTTATAAAATATATGTTAACATATGAATCAAGAGTCCTGTTATGCTTCTAAACAAGGACTAGACTAATACACCACATATATAATATGATACATAATATTTACTAATTCAGATGAAATTTACCTTTCTGCTTTCAGCTGTAGCAATTACCTTGAGTAAGCATTCTTACCTCTTGTGGTACTTTCCAAAAGTGATAATATACATGAAATTTTATATGTGTAACTTGCATTTCAAAGCAAATACTAGGCTTGATTACTCTTTTCACACATTAGAACAAATAAATATAAAATTTTTACTTCAGTTTAACCTAAAGTTTTGTTATTTTATTTTTTCTGGTTTCATGAAAGGGGTCATTAACTGTTATTTGCCATGCTTTATGTATAAACAGTATACACAGATGTGCACACATACACACACACAAGTGTGAATCTATGCAAGACTTAGGTTTAATAAAATTAAATCTGTGATAGCTAGTTTAATCCAACATATAAAAGGCATTTCTAAAATAAATGAAAGCATGATTATTCTGCCCTCGCCACATCACTGTCATCTCCCACCATGCAAAGGCATAAGTTAAGAAGAGAATGTCAACCCTAACATTTCTCTCATATGAAGTTGATCAAATCAGGCACACAATAACAGTTAAAAAAGTAGCGATATTTTTTGGAAGAGTCTCCTTGACTCTTTTCATTTTTTTTTTCAATTTAAATCATGATCAGACTTTAAAATGAAACCATTAAAGTATTTATTTGCTAAATTCTATTTTAAACAAAGACCCTGATTTTGAGGTACGTTAAACATGAATTTATTTCCAAGATGACAATTACCCTTTACATGGACAGATAGATCTTGATATTTTAAAAAAATTAATATATCAATATATTTCATTTCATCTGCTCTTTTTTGGTCAAGAAAACATCTGTACAAAAGTAAATCAGTAAGTGAACCCATCATATTCTTTGTTGAGAAATCAAATTAGTTTTGGCTTTGATTGCAGTAATTACAGAAATCATAGTAGTCAAAGATATATTCTGTATATCATTCTAAAGATTTTAAGTGATTGTTTTCGAAATGGATAATTTTAAGCTAATTTGCATAATACCCAAAACATCAAAGTGACATGTTTTCACAGTCATAGCTTAATTACTATATTTTGCAGACCTGCTGATAAAGCCTACAGGAATTCTAATTAACTGTGATTCTGCCTTGCTCTCTGTGTTGTACAAACTACAATTCTCAGCTTGTGTGCTCCAGAACTATGACTTGCTCAGCCAAGGATGAATACAGCTGCTGGCCTCTTGGCTCACATCCAAATGGAAAAACCTGCCAAATTTTCTAATCAAAGTCTGTTTGCTAGCCTTTCTCTTTTTTGTTTTCTAGTTCAAATCTTACCATTAGAAGTTTCCAAATGTGGCCTAAAGAAAATAGCCTTGTTTCTAATAGTAGTAGTAAAGGCATAATTTCATATGGCCATTTACATTTAGGGATTTAAAATATAGTCTCTTGATGCAAACAGTAAATAAATACATTTTCCCAAGGCTCTGGTAATAAAATTAGGCAATGGGGATCATTTCTAGCACTAAGTGTAGTGCGTGTTTTTCTTGGCTCTTTAACTAGAAACCTGCATTTTATTTTAAGGTCTCACATGAAATAGAAGCACATGTGGTACATGAAATTTCTCTTGGATGATATATTAAAAGACGTATTAAATTGATAGCATCTCTTGAAGTCAAATAATAAAGGAGGGGGTAAGTAGAATTTTTCATAATACTTTTTAAGTTTCAATTTCTGAAATATTTAAAGATAAAGACCTTTTCTTATATACAAAATTATTCACAAACAACATTGTTATACTATTATTTCTTCCGAATTGTAGACTGTGTTCCATAAGGGAATATTGACTTTTAGTTTCTTATGAAATCTCACTCTGGTATCAGAGATCATACCACAGGGGTCATACTTATTTTTATGATTTAAACTGTCAGTCAAATGTAACAATTTTCAATTATCTAATATTTTAACCTTCAACTTTGATCACAAACTATACATTATATGCAGGATATAAAAAGTATATTTTATTCATAAAAAATGTGAACACTGGCCAGGCACGGTGGCTCACACCTGTAATCCCAGCACTTTGGGAGGCCGAGGTGGGCGGATCACGAGGTCAGGAGATCGAGACCATCTTGGCCAACATAGTGAAATCCCGTCTCTACTAAAAATAATAATTAAAAAAATTAGCCAGGCGTGGTGGCATGTGCCTGTAATCCCAGCTATTTGGGAGGCTGAGGCAAGGGAATCGCTTGAACTCGGGAGGCGGAGGTTGCGGTGAGCTGAGATCGCGCCACTGCACTTCAGCCTGGCGACAGAGCAAGATTCTGTCTCAAAAAAAAAAATAAATAAATAAAAGGTGAACATTTTTATTATTCTCTATTTTCTATCAAAACAAAGAGCCTGTAAACAATATCAAATTGCCAATCTAGATTGGTCAATGTAGTCATTGAACCGAAAGTTTCAGATGGATCTTTTATATTTCATTCTACTCTAATGAACCTAAAAGCATACAGTCCAAAACAGTAAATTGATTATTTTGATAAAGAAACAATATTGGTTAATGTCTTCAATAGAGAATCAGAATGGGAAAATGCATTATTTTTTCTTACATTTAAATATCAATTTTAAGAGATATAAATTGACCTAAAATTTTCTTCTAGAATGACCATTCTGGCTTTGTCCTTATTGAGCTATAATCTTTGTCTCTGGAGTCATTACTCCCTATTTATAATCATATTTCAGGCTCTGCTACCAAAGCAGTGCTTATGAGGGAACATATAAAAACTTATTGTTACATTGCTTATTAGTTCAACATTCATTCATTCATTCAAGGAACATTTATTGAGTGACTACTCTGTGCTATACACAGAAGAGGTGCAATTAACCAAAGAGACCATTGTATCTGTTTTCATGGAACTTTGCTTTTGGTTTCAGGTTTCCCTTGTGCTATACTCACAATAACTAGATATATGCACTTTCCCTCCCAGGCTCTATCTATCTATCTATCTATCTATCTATCTATCTATCTATCTGTCTATCTTTCATCTATCTAATCTATCTATCTGTATATCTATGTTAGTATATTGATAAATAAGTATATATATACATATATATGTGTGTATATATATATATATATATATATGTATATATCAGCAGGTGTATTCACCTCCTAATCCCAATAACATATCTGAATATACTTTTGGATATTCTATGTACAAAAGAATACCATAGTTAGATAATACTTTCATTTGTTTCTTTCAAAATATAATCCTTTTTATGTCTTTATTCTTGCCTTATCATAATGGGTTGGGTCTCCAGCACAATATTAGATAAAAGTGAGAGTAATGAGCATCTTTGTGTCATTCTAGATGTCAGTGGAAAATAATTCATCATTTCACTATTAAGTGTGATGTTTGCTGTAGGATAATTGTAGATACGTCTTACTAAGTTGAAGATTTTTTTTCTAGTCCAAATCAGTTTTTATTTAAAAAGGATGCAACAATTTATCAAATCTTTTCTGCATATGTTAAATTTATTACATTGTTTTTCTATTTGTTTTGACAATGTGGTAAAATATGTAGAGTGATTTTCAATTGTTAAATCAACTTTTCTATTTTGGGAATAAACTAAAATTAACTTTAATATATTACCCTTTTTCTATATTGTTCACTTTATTTTCATAAGATTCTAATGATGAGTTTTGCATTGAAATTCATGAGTGAGATTATCCTATGATAAGATTGCCATTATTTTTTATTTCAATGTTTAGTACATGCATCTATTAAAGCAATCTTGGCCTCAAGTTATTTTTAGAAGGGTTCTTAAATTACTAATTTAATGTCTTTAAAAGTATGCAACTAACCACAATTTATACACACACACACAAAAAAAAACAGAAAATAACAAAATGGCAGGATTAAGTGCTTAATAATCAATAATTACATTAAATTTAAATAGACTAAACTCTCCAATAAAAAAAGCATAGGGTGGCTTCATGGATAAAAACAAAAAAGACCTGTTTGGAAAAAAAAAAAATTGGCAGATGGGAGGCAGGACTAGCCTGCAGGTCCCACTTGGATAGACAGAACAGTGTGTGGAGACCCACATCATAAACTTTTGCTTCAAGAACTACTGCGGAAACATACCAGGATAGACGAGAAAATCCAGAGACCCTTTGAAGGAAGAGGTTTGCTGCTGCAGTCTCTGTGAGACAGCCAAAAAACTGTGAGTGCCCAAAGTGTGAAAGGAGAAATGCACACCCCTGAAAACACATTGTCCCTGGGGAACATGAAGGTCTAGATTACATAAGAAGGATTTGACCTTACCTGAAGCCGAGACAAATTTAGCAAGCTGAGAGAAATATAGAGATAGAGGAAGCAACAGGAAGAACACTGTGGGCACTCTCGGTCCCCAGGAAAGCCATTTCTGACTTTGTCTCACAGGGGTCCTTGTGGAGGACTGCCAGTGGAATTGGAGAAAGATCACAGGGAAAATAAAACTTCCAGCTGAACTTTGTTACAATTGTGACCAAAAGTGAAGTTTTCTAAACACAATTTGGTAGAGGGGGCGACCTTGGAATTCAGATATCAGCACAGAAGTGGTGGCAGACAGTGAGGTGGGAAACCTGAAAGACCTGCTTGCTTTCTCACCTGGGAGGGTTGTAGCCTGGGGCAAGTTCTCATACCTGCTCCCTGGCTGCCTGGAAGTAAACTCAGTGCTGTTGTGGGGGCATGATGAGGGTGAGACTGGCCTTTACAGTTCCATAAAAGCTGTGTGAGGCCTGTCACTGCCAGCTTTCCCCCACTTCCCTGGAAACCTGTATGAAGCAGCAGAGGCAGCCATAATTCCCCTGGGAACATAACTCCATTGGCCTAAAGCCACACCCCTATCCCCCACAGCAGCTGCAGCAAACCCCACTTGAGGAGAGGCTCAGCTCAGACATGCCTAACCCTGCCCTACCTGATGGTCTTTCTCTACTCACCCTGGTAGCCAAAGACAAAAGACATAATCTCTTGGGAGCTCTATGGCCCTGCCCAATGCCTGTGAAACCTGAACACTTATCCAGGAGACCCTAGGGCAAGCTTGTATCTTCTCTATACTACCACAGCTGATGCTCTTTTGAATGCAACCATATTCTGGCTGGAAGCCAACCAACACAAAACCAGCACACTAAAAGAAAATACAATCAAAGACTCTGTTACAGAGTTCACTTCACTTCCCTGCCACCTCCATCAGAGCCAGTGCTGGTATCCATGGCTGAGAGACCTGGAGATAAATCACCTCACAGGACTCTTTGCAGACACTTCCCAGTACCAGCCCAGAGCATGGTGCCTCTGCTGTGGGGTGGGTGAGATCTAGAAGAGAAATAGCAATCACTGCACTTTGGCTCTCAGGAAGCCCCCTCCCTAGAGGAAGGGGAGATCACCACATCAAGGGAGCACCCCATGGGACAAAATAATCTGAACAGCAGCTCTTGAGCCCCAGATCTTTCCTCTGACATGTCTACCAAAATGAAAAGAAACCAGGAAAACAAATCTGGTAATGTGACAAAATGAGGTTCTTTAACACCCTCAAAGGATCACAATAGCTCACAAGCAATGAATCCAAACCAAGAAGAAAGCTCTGAATTGCCAGATAGAGAATTCAGAAGGTCAATTATTATTAGGCTGCTCAAGGAGGCACCAGAGAAAGGTGAATACCAACTTAAAAAATAAAATAAAAAAATTACAGAATATGGATGGAAAAATCTCCAGAGAAATACATAGCATAAATTAAAAAAAAAGTCACAACTAGAAATGATGAACACACTTAGAGAAATGCAAAATACACTGGAAAGTCTCAAGAATAATTGGTGTTCCCGAGGAAGAAGAGAAATCTGAAAGTTTGGAAACCATATTTGAGGAAATAATTGAGGTAAACTTCCCTGGTCTTTCTAGAGATCTAGATATCCAAATACAAGAAGCTCAAAGAATAACTGGGAAATTTATTGCAAAAAGATCATTGCCTAGGCACATAATCATGAGGTTATCTAAAGTCAAAACAATGGAAAGAATCTCAAGAGCTGTGAGACAAAGGCATCAAGTGACCCATAATTGAAAACCTATCAGATTAACAGAAGATTTTTTAGCAGAGACCCTACAGGCTAGAAAAAATTAAATTCTATCTTTAGCCATCTTAAGCAAAACAATAATCAGCCAAGAATTTTGTATCTAGTGAAACTAAGCTTCATACATAAAAGAAAGATACAGTCTCTTTCAGACAAATAAATGCTGAGAGAATTTGCCACTACCAAGCCAGCACTACAAGAATTGCTAAAAAGAGATCTAAATCTTGAAACAAATCCTCAAAATACATCAAAATCTCACAGGACCTGTAAAACAGTAACATAATGCAGAAAAAAAAGAGAAAAAAAAACACAAGTTATTCAGGCAACAAATAGCACAATGAATAGAATAGTACCTCACATCTCCAGTACTAACATTGAATTGTAAATGGCCTAAGTGGTCCACTTAAAAGATACAGAATGGCAGAATGAGTAAGAAATCACCAACCAAGCAACTGCTCTTCAAGAGATTCACTTAACACATAAGGACTCATATAAACTTAAGTTCAAATGGTGGAAAAAATATTCCATACAAATTAACACCAAAAGTGGGCAAGAGTAGCTAATCTTAAATCGGACAAAACAGTATTTAAATAAACAACCATTGAAAAAAATAAAGAGGGAGATAATATGATGATAGAAAAAAACTAGTCCAACAGGAAAATATTATCATTCTAAATATATATTCACCTAACACTGGAGCTCCAAAATTTATAAACAATTACTACTAAACCTGCAAAATGAGATAAATAGAAACACACTAATAGTGTGGGACTTCAACACTCCAGTGACAGAACTAGACAGGTAATAAAGAAAAAAAGTAAATGAAGAAACAATGGACTTAAGCTGTACCTTATAACAAATTTACTTAAGAAATACTGACAGGACATTGTGCCCAACAACTGCAGAATATACATTCTACTAATCAGCACATGGAACATTCTCCAAGATAGACCATATGATAGGCCATAAAACAAGTCTAAGTAAATTTAAGAAAACAGAAATTATATCAAGTACTCTCTCAGATCACAATGGAACAAAAGTTGAAAATCTACTCCAAAAGGAACCCTCAAAATCATGCAAATACATGAAAATTAAATAACCTGCTCCCAAATAGTTGTTGTCAACAATAAAATCTCGATAAAAATTAATAAATTTTTTGAACTGAATGAAAATAGTGACATAACCTATCAAAACCTCTGGGATACAGCCCAAGTAGTGTTAAGAGGAAAGTTTATCAGATTAAATGCTTACATCAAAAAGTCTGAAGGAGCACAAATAGACAATCTAAGGTCATACCTCAAGGAACTAAGGAAACAAAACCAAACCAAACTAACAAACCAAACCTAAACCCAAATGAAAAAAAGAAACAGCAAAAATCAGAACAGAGCTAAATAAAGTTAAAAAAAATATATATAAATAAAACAAAAATCTGGTTCTTCGAAAAGATATGATAAAATTGATAGACCATTAGTGAGATGAACCAACAAAAGAAGAGAAAGGATCCAAATAAGCTCAATTTGAAATGAAATAGGAAATATTAATACTTGACCACAGAAACACAAAAGATTATTCCAGGCTACTATGAACACCTTGATGTGCACAAATTAGAAAACCTAGAGGAGATGGAAAAAAATTTAGAAATATACAACCCTCTTAGATTAAACCAGGAAGAAATAGAAACTCCGAACAGACCAATAACAAGCAGTGAGACTGAACTGGTTATTAAAAAATTTGCCAACAGAAAAAGTCCAGGACCAGATGGATTCACAGCTCAATTTTATCAGACATTCAAAAGAGAATTGGTTACAATTACATTGACACTATTTCAAAAGATATATAGAGAGGGAATCCTCCCTAAGTCATTCTATGAAGCCAGTGTCACCCTAATACCAAAACCAGGGAAGAACATAACAACAACAACAAGAAACAAACTACAGGCCATTGTCTTTGGTGAACATAGATGCAAAAATTCTCAACAAAATAATAGATATCCAACAGTATATCAAAAAAATAATCCACCATGATAAATGTGTTTCATGTCGGGGATGCAGGGATGGTTTAACATTCACAAGTCAGTAAATGTGATACACTACATAAACAGAATTAAAAACAAAAACTACATTATCATCTCAAAATTTGCAGAAAAAGCATTTGACAAATCCCAGCATGCCTTTATAATTAAAACCCTCAGCAAAATCAGCATAGAAGCGACATACCTTAAGGTAATAAAAGACATCTATGACAAACCCACAGCCAACATGACACTGAACTGATGTAAGTTGAAAGCATTCTCCCTAAGAAATGGAACAAGACAAGAATGCTCACTTTCACCACTTCTATTAAACACAGATCTGGAAGTCCAAGCCAGTGCAATCAGCAAGGGAAAGAAATAAAGGGCATCAAATCAGTAAAGAGGAAGTCAAACTGTAGCTGTTCACTGATGATATGATTGTATACCTAGAAAACCTTAAAGACTCATTCAAAGAACGTCTAGCTCTGATAAATTAATTCAGTAAAGTCTCAGGATACAAAATCAATGTACACAAATCAGTAGCACTGCTATGCACCTACAGCAACCAAGCTGAGAATCAAATCAATAACTCAATCCTTTTACAATATCTGCAAAAAACAAAACAAAACAAAACAAGTAAAACCTTAGGAATAGACCTAACCAAGGAGGTGAAAGTCCTCTACAAGGATAACCACAAAACACTGCTGAAAGAATTTGTAGACTACACAAACAAATGGGAATACCAATGATCATGGATAGGTAGAAACAATATTGTGAAAATGACTATAGTGCCAAAAGCAATCTACAGATTAAATGCAATTTTCATCAAAATACCGCTATCATTTTTCACAGAACTAGAAAATGCAATCCTAAAATTTATATGGAATAAAGAAAAGAGCCTGCATAGGCAAAGCAAAACTTAGAAAAAAAATCTGGAGGCATCACATCACCAGACTTCAAACTATACTATAAGGCTATAGCCACCAGAACAATATGGTACTGGTGTAAAAATAAGCATACAGATCAATAAAACAGAAGAGATAACCCACAAATAAAGCCAAATACTTACAGACAACTGATCTTCGACAAAACAGGAAAAGGACACCCTATTCAACAAATGGTGCTGGGATATTTGGCAAGCCACACACAGAAGAATTAAACTAGATTCTCATCTATCACTTTATACAAAAATCAACTCAAGATGGACCAAAGATTTAAATTTAAGACGTGAAACCATAACAATTCTAGAAGACAATATCAGAAATACTCTTCTAGACACTGCCTTAGGCAAAACTTTATGATCAAGGACCCAGAAGCAAATGCAACAAAAACAAAGATATACAGATGGGACTTAATTAAACTAAAAAGCTTCTGCACAGCCAAACAATCAGCAGAGTAAACAGACAACCCATAGAGTGGGAGAAAATCCTCACAAACTATGCATCTGACAAAGGACCATTATCTAGAATCTACAAGAAACTCAAATCAGCAAGAAAAATGCAAACAATCCCATCAAAAAAGTGGGCTATGGACATGAGTGGAAAAGTTTCAAAAGAAGATATACAAATGGCCAAAAACAGTATGAAAAAAATGCTCAACGTTACTAATTATCAGGGAAATGCAAATCAAAACTGCAATGCAATACCACGTTATTCCTGCAAGAATGGCAATAATAAAAAATAATAATAATTAACGTTGGCGTGGATGTAGTGAAAAGGGAACACTTTTACACTGCTGATGGGAATGTAAACTAGTACGAACACTATATATATAGTATGAAGATTCCTTAAAGAATTTAAAGTAGATCCACCATTTGATTCAGCAATCCCACTACTGGGTGTCTACTTAGAGGAAAAGAACTCATTATACAAAAAAGATACTTGTATACACATATTTATAGCAGCACAATTCGCAATTGCAAAAATATGGATTCAGCCCTAATGCCCATTAATTAACAAGTGCATACTGAAAATGTGAGATATATGTGTGTGTGTATATAGATATATATACACCATGGAATACTACTCAGCCATAAAAAGGGAACAAAATAATGGCATTTGCAGCCACCTGGATGGAATTTGAGATTATTATTCTAAGTAAAGTAACTTAGGACAGAAAACCAAATATTTTATGCTCTCATACATAAGTGGGATCTAAGCTATGAGGATGCAAATCCATAAGAATGATACAATGGACTTTGGTGACTCTGGGGAAAGGGTGGGAGGGGTTGAATGATAAAAGACTACCCATTGGGTAGAGTGTACACTGCTCGGGTGATGGGTGAACCAAAATCTGAGAAATCACCACTGAAGATCTTATCCTTGTAACCAAACAACACCTGTTCCCCAAAAACCTTTTGAAATAAAAAATAATAATAAATAAAAGAAGAAGAAATAAAAAACAAAACCTAATCATCTTTTACCCACAAGAAACACATTTTATATATAAAGATACACAGACAGTGAAAACAAATGCATTGAGTAGGATATTCCATGTCAATGGAAATAAAAAACAGAGCAGGAGTAGCGATATTAATATCAGACAAACTAGATTTCAAGACAAAAACTATAACTAGAGACAAAGTTTACTATATAATAATAAAGGGGTTAATTTAGCAAGAAGATATAACAATTTTAAATATATATGCACCAAACATTGGCACACCCAGATATATAATGTAAACATTATGAGAACTAAACAGAGAGACAGATCCTAATACAATAACAGATGGAGATTTTAACACCCTACTTTCAGCATTTCACAGATTATCCAGATAGAAAATCAACAAAGAAACATTGGTCATAATTTGCACTACAGACCAAATGAACGTAGTAGATATTTACAAAACATATTATTCAATAGCGGAATAATACATTCTTTTCCTCAACATATAAATTATTCTCAAGTCTAGACAATGTGTTAGACCATAAAATAAGTCTTAAAAAATCCAAATATATCAAAATTAAATCAAGTGTCTTATTCAACCACAATGGAAGAAAACTAGAAATCACTAATGAGAGGGATTTTGGAACCTACAAACTACATGATAAACAATATGCTTCTGAATGACCAGTGGGTAAATGAAGTAATTAAGAAGGCAATTTTAAAAATTCTTGCAACACATAAAAATGAAAACAAAACATATCAAGACATGTAAGATATGGTGAAGGAAGTACTAAGAGAGAAGTGCAGTTGTAATTGGCCAAATAAAAAAAGTCTTCAAATAAATGAACTAATAAAGAATCTGAAACAACTAGAAAAGCAAGGGCAAACCAAGCACAAAATTAGTAGAATAGAAAAATAATAAAAAAATTAGAGCAGAAATAAATGAAATTGAAACAAAAAACCCAAAAGATCATCAAAATAACTAACTGTTCTTTTAAAAGATAAAAAGAAATTTGACAATTATTTAGCTAGACTAAGAAAAACAAAAGGGAAGACCCAAATTAGTAAAATCCAAGATAAAAAATGAGACATGACAACTCATGTTGCAGAAATTACAAATACTATTAGAGGCTACTGTGAGTAACTGCAGGCCAACAAATTGGAAAGCTTAGAATAAATGGATACATTTTCTAGATACATACAACCTACCAACATTGAACAATAAGGAAATCTAAAATCTGAATAGACGAATAACAAGTAATATAATCAAAGCCATAATAAATTTTTCTCAGCAAAGAAAAGCCTGGGACCTGATGGCTTCCCTCATCCATCTTATCAAACATTTAAAAAAATAGTACAATCTTAATTCAAACGATTCCAAAACATCAAAAAGAACAGAATACTTCCAAACTCATTCTGTAAGGCCAGTGTTATTCTGATACTGAAACCAGACAAAAACATATCAAAAAAGAAAGTTACAGGCCAATGATTCTGATGAACATTGATGTAAAAATCGTAAACAAAATACTTGCAAACCAAATTCAACAACCAATTCAAATAATTATTTATTATGACAAAGTAGGATTTATTTCACAGATGCAAAGATGTTTCAACTATGCAAACTAATCAATGTGATACATAATATCAACAAAACGAAGGGCAAAATCCACATAATCCTTTTCACTGATCCTGAAATAGTGTTTAATAAAATTCAACCTCCTTTAATGATAAAAAATTCTCAAACAACAGGGCATGGAAAAAATATGTCTTCAAACAATAAAAGCCATATATGACAAGCCCATGTTTAGTATCATAATGAATGGGAAATATTGAAAGTGTTTCCTTTAAGATATGGAACAAGACCAGGATGATCGCTTTTGCTACTGTTACTCAAGAGAATACTGGAAGTTCTAGATAGAGTAAGCAGACAAGAGAAAGAAATGAAGGGCATTCAAATTGAGAGAAGTCAAATTATCATTGTTTGCAGATGATATAACCTTGTTTGAAAAAAATTTAAGACTCCACCAAAAATTTATTAGAACTGATAGACAAATTTAGTGAAGTTGCAGGATACAACTCAGTACATAAAAATAAGTAGCATTTCTGGCGAGAGGAGCCAAGATGGCCGAATAGGAACAGCTCCTGTCTACAGCTCCCAGCGTGAGCGACGCAGAAGACGGGTGATTTCTGCATTTCCATCTGAGGTACCGGGTTCATCTCACTAGGGAGTGCCAGACAGTGGGCACAGATCAGTGGGTGTACGCACCGTGCACGAGCCGAAGCAGGGCGAGGCATTGCCTCACTCAGGAAGTGCAGGGGGTCAGGGAGTTCCCTTTCCTAGTCAAAGAAAGGGGTGACAGACAGCACCTGGAAGATCGGGTCACTCCCACCCGAATACTGCGCTTTTCCGACGGGCTTAAAAAATGGCGCACCAGGAGATTGTGTCCTGCACCTGGCTCCGAGGCTCCTACGCCCACGGAGTCTCACTGATTGCTAGCACAGCAGTCTGAGATCAAACTGCAAGGTGGCAACGAGGCTGGGGGAGGGGTGCCCGCCATTGCCCAGGCTTGCTTAGGTAAACAAAGCAGCCGGGAAGCTCGAACTGGGTGGAGCCCAGCACAGCTCAAGGAGGCCTGCCTGCCTCTGTAGGCTCCACCTCTGGGGGCAGGGCACAGACAAACAAAAAGACAGCAGTAACCTCTGCAGACTTAAATGTCCCTGTCTCACAGCTTTGAAGAGAGCAGTGGTTCTCCCAGTATGCAGCTGGAGATCTGAGAACACGCAGACTGCCTCCTCAAGTGGGTCCCTGACCCCTGACCCCCGAACAGCCTAACTGGGAGGCACCCACCAGCAGGGGCACACTGACACATCACACTGCAGGGTACTCCAACAGACCTGCAGCTGACGGTCCTGTCTGTTAGAAGGAAAACTAACAAACGCAAAGGACATCCACACCAAAAACCCATCTGTACATCACCATCATCAAAGACCAAAAGTAGATAAAACCACAAAGATGGGGAAAAAACAGAACAGAAAAACTGGAAACTCTAAAAATCAGAGCACCTCTCCTCCTCCAAAGAAATGCAGCTCCTCACCAGCAACGGAACAAAGCTGGATGGAGAATGACTTTGACGAGCTGAGAGAAGAAGGCTTCAGACGATCAAATTACTCTGAGCTATGGGAGGACATTCAAACCAAAGGCAAAGAAGTTGAAAACTTTGAAAAAAATTTAGAAGAATGTATAACTAGAATAACCAATACAGAGAAGTGCTTAAAGGAGCTGATGGAGCTGAAAACTAAGGCTTGAGAACTACGTGAAGAATGCAGAAGCCTCAGGAGCTGATGCGATCAACTGGAAGAAAGGGTATCAGCAATGGAAGCTGAAATGAATGAAATGAAGCAAGACGGAAAGTTTAGAGAAAAAAGAATAAAAAGAAATGAGCAAAGCCTCCAAGAAATATGGGACTATGTGAAAAGACCAAATCTACGTCTGATTGGTGTACCTGAAAGTGATGGGGAGAATGGAACCAAGTTGGAAAACACTCTGCAGGATATTATCCAGGAGAATTTCCCCAATCTAGCAAGGCAGGCCAACGTTCAGATTCAGGAAATACAGAGAACGCCACAAAGATACTCCTCGAGAAGAGCAACTCCAAGACACATAATTGTCAGATTCACCAAAGTTGAAATGAAGGAAAAAATGTTAAGGGCAGCCAGAGAGAAAGGTCGGGTTACCCTCAAAGGGAAGCCCATCAGACTAACAGCGGATCTCTCGGCAGAAACCCTACAAGCCAGAAGAGAGTGGGGGCCAATATTCAACATTCTTAAAGAAAATAACTTTCAACCCAGAATTTCATATCCAGCCAAACTAAGCTTCATAAGTGAAGGAGAAATAAAATACTTTACAGACAAGCAAATGCTGAGAGATTTTGTCACCACCAGGCCTGCCCTAAAAGAGCTCCTGAAGGAAGCACTAAACATGGAAAGGAACAACCGGTACCAGCCACTGCAAAATCATGCCAAAATGTAAAGACCATCGAGACTAGGAAGAAACTGCATCAACTAACGAGCAAAATAACCAGCTAACATCATAATGACAGGATCAAATTCACACATAACAATATTAACTTTAAATGTAAATGGACTAAATGCTCCAATTAAAAGACACAGACTGGCAAATTGGATAAAGAGTCAAGACCCATCAGTGTGCTGTATTCAGGAAACCCATCTCACGTGTAGAGACACACATAGGCTCAAAATAAAAGGATGGAGGAAGATCTACCAAGCAAATGGAAAACAACAAAAGGCAGGGGTTGCAATCCTAGTCTCTGATAAAACAGACTTTAAACCAACAAAGATCAAAAGAGACAAAGAAGGCCATTACATAATGGTAAAGGGATCAATTCAACAAGAAGAGCTAACTATCCTAAATATATATGCACCCAATAGAGGAGCACCCAGATTCATAAAGCAAGTCCTGAGTGACCTACAAAGAGACTTAGACTCCCACACATTAATAATGGGAGACTTTAACACCCCACTGTCAACATTAGACAGATCAACAAACAGAAAGTTAACAAGGATACCCAGGAATTGAACTCAGCTCTGCACCCAGCTGACCTAATAGACATCTACAGAACTCTCCACCCCAAATCAATAGAATATACATTTTTTTCAGCACCACACCACACCTATTCCAAAATTGACCACATACTTGGAAGTAAAGCTCTCCTCAGCAAATGTAAAAGAACAGAAATTATAACAAACTATCTCTCAGACCACAGTGCAATCAAACTAGAACTCAGGATTAAGAATTTCACTCAAAACCACTCAACTACATGGAAACTGAACAACCTGCTCCTGAATGACTACTGGGTACATAACAAAATGAAGGCAGAAATTAAGATGTTCTTTGAAACCAATGAGAACAAAGACACAACATACCATAATCTCTGGGACACATTCAAAGCAGTGTGTAGAGGGAAATTTATAGCACTAAATGCCCACAAAAGAAAGCAGAAAAGATCCAAAATTGACACCCTAACATCACAATTAAAAGAACTAGAAAAGCAAGAGCAAACACATTCAAAAGCTAGCAGAAGGCAAGAAATAACTAAAATCAGAGCAGAACTGAAGGAAATAGAGACACAAAAAACCTTTCAAAAAATTAATGAGTCCAGGAGCTGGTTTTTTGAAAGGATCAACAAAATTGATAGACCACTAGCAAGACTAATAAAGAAAAAAAGAAGATTCATATAGACAGAATAAAAAATGATAAAGGGGATATCACCACCGATCCCACAGAAATACAAACTACCATCAGAGAACACTACAAACACCTCTACACAAATAAACTAGGAAATCTGGAACAAATGGATAAATTCATCGACACATACACTCTCCCAAGACTAAACCAGGAAGAAGTTGAATCTCTGAATAGACCAATAACAGGATCTGAAATTGTGGCAATAATCAATAGCTTACCAACCAAAAAGAGTCCAGGACCAGATGGATTCACAGTCGAATTCTACCAGAGGTACAAGGAGGAACTGGTACCATTCCTTCTGAAACTATCCCAATCAATAGAAAAAGAGGGAATCCTCCCTAACTCATTTTATAAGGCCAGCATCATCCTGATACCAAAGCCGGGCAGAGACCAAACCAAAAAAGAGAATTTTAGACCAATATCCTTGATGAATATTGATGCAAAAATCCTCAATAAAATACTGGCAAACCGAATCCAGCAGCACATCAAAAAGCTTATCCACCATGATCAAGTGGGCTTCATCCCTGGGATGCAAGGCTGGTTCAATATACGCAAATCAATAAATGTAATCCAGCATATAAACAGAACCAAAGACAAAAACCACATGATTATCTCAATAGATGCAGAAAAGGCCTTTGACAAAATTCAACAACCCTTCATGCTAAAAACTCTCAATAAATTACGTATTGATGGGACATATCTCAAAATAATAAGAGCTATCTATGACAAACCCACAGCCAATATCATACTGAATGGGCAAAAACTGGAAGCATTCCCTTTGAAAACTGGCACAAGACAGGGATGCCTTCTCTCACCACTCCTATTCAACATAGTGTTTGAAGTTCTGGCCAGGGCAATTAGGCAGGAGAAGGAAATAAAGGGTATTCAATTAGGAAAAGAGGAAGTCAAATTGTCCCTGTTTGCAGACGACATGATTGTATATCTAGAAAACCCCATTGTCTCAGCCCAAAATCTCCTTAAGCTGATAAGCAACTTCAGCAAAGTTTCAGCATACAAAATCAATGTACAAAAATCACAAGCATTCTTATACACCAACAACAGACAAACAGAGAGCCAAATCATGAGTGAACTCCCATTCACAATTGCTTCAAAGAGAATAAAATACCTAGGAATCCAACTTACAAGGGATGTGAAGGACCTCTTCTAGGAGAACTACAAACCACTGCTCAATGAAATAAAAGAGGATACAAACAAATGGAAGAACATTCCATGCTCATGGGTAGGAAGAATCAATATCGTGAAAATGGCCATACTGCCCAAGGTAATTTACAGATTCAATGCCATCCCCATAAAGCTACCAATGACTTTCTTCACAGAATTGGAAAAAACGACTTTAAAGTTCATATGGAACCAAAAAAGAGCCCGTATCGCCAAGTCAATCCTGAGCCAAAAGAACAAAGCTGGAGGCATCATACTACCTGACTTCAAACTATACTACAAGGCTACAGTAACCAAAACAGCATGGTACTGGTACCAAAACAGAGATATAGATCAATGGAACAGAACAGAGCCCTCAGAAATAACGCCGCATATCTACAGCTATCTGATCTTTGACAAACCTGAGAAAAACAAGCAATGGGGAAAGGATTCCCTATTTAATCAATGGTGCTGGGAAAACTGGCTAGCCATATGTAGAAAGCTGAAACTGTATCCCTTCCTTATACCTTATACAAAAATCAATTTGAGATAGATTAAAGACTTAAATGTTAGACCTAAAACCATAAAAACCCTAGAAGAAAACCTAGGCAATACCATTCAGGACATAGGCATGGGCAAGGACTTCATGTCTAAAACACCAAAAGCAATGGCAACAAAAGTCAAAATTGACAAATGGGATCTAATTAAACTAAAGAGCTTCTGCACAGCAAAAGAAACTACCATCAGAGTGAACAGGCAACCTACAAAATGGGAGAAAATTTTTGCAACCTACTCATCTGACAAAGGGCTAATATCCAGAATCTACAATGAACTCAAACAAATTTACAAGAAAAAAACAAACAACCCCATCAAAAAGTGGGCGAAGGACATGAACAGACACTTCTCAAAAGAAGACATTTATGCAGCCAAAAAACACATGAAAAAATGCTCACCATCACTGGCCATCACAGAAATGCAAATCAAAACCACAATGAGTTACCATCTCACACCAGTTAGAATGGTGATCATTAAAAAGTCAGGAAACAACAGGTGCTGGAGAGGATGTGGAGAAATAGGAACACTTTTACACCGTTGGTGGGACTGTAAGCTAGTTCAACCATTGTGGAAGTCAGTGTGGCGATTCCTCAGGTATCTAGAAGTACAAATACCATTTGACACAGCCATCCCATTACTGGGTATATACCCAAAGGACTATAAATCATGCTGCTATAAAGACACATGCACATGTATGTTTATTGCGGCATTATTCACAATAGCAAAGACTTGGAACCAAGCCAAATGTCCAACACTGATAGACTGGATTAAGAAAATGTGGCACATATACACCATGGAATACTATGCAGCCATAAAAAATGATGAGTTCATGTCCTTTGTAGGGACATGGATGAAATTGGAAATCATCATTCTCAGTAAACTATCGCAAGAACAAAAAACCAAACACCGCATGTTCTCACTCATAGGTGGGAATTGAACAATGAGAACACATGGACACAGGAAGGGGAACATCACAGTCTGGGGACTGTTGTGTGGTGGGGGAGGGGGGAGGGATAGCATTGGGAGATATACCTAATGCTAGTTGACAAGTTAGTGGGTGCAGCAGACCAGCATGGCACATGTATACATATGTAACTAACCTGCACATTGTGCACATGTACCCTAAAACTTAAAATATAATAATAATAAATAAATAATTAAAAATAAATTAAAAAAATAAAAAAATAAAAATTAGTTGCATTTCTGTATGCCAACAGCTAAAAATCTGAAAAAGAAATCAAGAAAATAATCTCATTTACTACAGATACCAAAAAATAACATAGCTAGGAGTAAACTTATAATAACCATAGAAATGACAGATTTTTAAAATGAAAACTATAAAACAAATTAAATATGACACAAAAATTAGAAAAAATTAAATTCATGGATTAAAAGAATCAATACTGTTCACATGTCCATGCTACCCAGGCAATCTATAGATTCAATGCAATCCCAATCAAAATACCATTGATGTTCTTTACATCAATAGAAAAAAATTTAAATTCATATGAAATACAATAGGACCCAGAATAGCCAAGTGATCCTGAATATAGAAAGAAGAAATTTGGAGAAATCACATTACCTGACTTCAAATTATACTTCAGAGTTATATTAACCCAAATGTCAGGGTATTGGCATAAAACAGTTATGTACACCACTGGAACTGCATAAAGAACCCATAAGTAAATTCATACATCTATAATAAACTCATTTAAACAAAGCTGTCAAGAAACTACCTTGGGGGAAAAAACATTCTTCAATGAATGTTGCCAGGAAAATTGGGATATCTGTATGCAGAAGAATAAAACTAGACCACTATCTCTCACCATATTCAAACAGCAAATCAAAATGGGTTAAAGACGTAAATATAAGACCTCAAACTTTGAAACTTCTGAAAGAAAACTGGACAAACTCTCTCAGACATTCGTCTGGGGAAAAAAAAAAAATTATTGAGCAATACCCCACAACCATAGGCAACCAAAACATAAATGGACAAATGGCATACTATCAAGTTAAAATCCGCATACCAAAGGATACAATCAACAAGGTGAAAGGCAACATACAAAATGGAATTAAAATATTTGCAAACTACATCTCTTCAAATGATTAATAACCAGTATGTATAAGAAGCTCAAACAACTCATTATAAAAAATAATAATAAAATTTAAAAATTGGGCCAAAAATTTGAATAGACATTTATCTAAAGAGGACATACAAATGGCAAACAAGTATCGAAAAATTTGCTCAAAATGACTGATCATCAGAGAAATGAACAGCAAAACTACAATGAGATATTTTCTTAAGCCAATTAAAATGGCTTTTATCCAAAAGTCAGGTGACAATGAATGCTGGCAAAGATGTTGAGAAAAGAAAACCCTTGTACACTGTTTGTGGAAATGTAAATTAGTACCACCGCTATGGAGAACAGTAAGGAGGTTTTTTTAAATAACTGAAAATAGAACTTCATATGATCCAGCAATTCCACTTCTGGGTACATACCTAAAAGGAACTAAATCAGTATATCAAAGAGTTTTTTGCACCCCTATGTTTGTTGCAGCACTATTTACAATAGCTAAGATTTAGGAGTCAAGTAAATGTTCATCAACAGATGAATGTATAAAGAAAATGTTGTACATGTTAACGATGTGTTATTATTCAGCCATAAGAAAAATGAGATCCTGTCTTTTGCAACAACATGGACAGATCTGAAGGACGCTAACTTAAGTAAAACAGCAAGGCTTAGAAAGAAAAGCTTTGCGTTTTCTTACTCATTTGTGCGATGTAAAAATTAAAACAAGATAATAGAATGATATCAGAGGATGGAAACATTTGTGTGTGTGTGGGTGTGTGTGTGTGTGGTGGAAGAAGTGGGGAAGTTTACTGAAAAAATATAGTATGAATAAGATCAATATTTGATAGCACAAAAGGGTAAGTAAGGTAAAAAATAATTTTTTGCAAATTTTATAACTAAATATAAATGGAATGTTCATAATGCAAAAAAAAAACAGACAAATGCTTGAGTTGATGAATACTTCATTTACTCTGATGTGATTATTATGCATTGTATTATGGCATGTACCTCATAATTATATACATCTACTATGTACCCATAAATATTTGGAAAAAAAAAGTTAAAAAATCCAGGGAGAAGAGAAAAATAATAATATAAAAATTAAAGAAAGTATAAGGGACTAGTGGAATGTCATGAAATAGACCAATATACACATTATGGAAATCTCAGGGAGCAAAGAGAGAAAGTGTCAGAAAGAATATTTGAATAGCTTATGAATCTCAAAAAATCAAAGGAAGAAAATTAACATCCAAATTCAAGAAGTCCTGTGGGCTCGAGCTAGAAGTATTCAAAACAAATCCACATTAAGACATATTATAATGAAATTGTGAAATGTCAAAGACTAAGAAATAAATTTAAAAGCAGCAAAAGATAAATGACTCATCATATACAAAGAAGCCTTCATAATACTATCAGTAGATTTCTCAGCAGAAACCTTATGGACAAAAGAGTGAAATGATATATTCAAAGTGTTGAAAAAAATCTGAAAACCTAGTATTCATAGAGACAGGAGTCAGACGAATTCCTAGGCACAAAAGGGATGGGCCCCCAGTGAAACACAACCTTCGAGCCAATGACAGCCTGAAGCCTGAAAAACAAGCTGCCAGTTCTGAGTAGAATCTATGACCCAGGGTAAAAACTTTCTTGATTTCTTTTAGCCAAAGGGTGCTTTTTCAGGCCTGCCCATGGACTAATTAGCACATACTTCCTCCCACCCATGGACCAGTCAGCATGCACTTTCTCCATTCTGAGCCTATAAAAACCCTGGACTCAGCCACACATCAGGACTACCCACCTGCAGGTAGGAGCTACCCACTTTGGGTCTCCTCTATGCTGAGAGCCACTCTGTGGCTCAGTAAAACTCTTCTCTGTCTTGCTCACACTTCAGTTTTCTGCATAACCTCATTCTTCCTGGGTGTGGGAAAATAACTCTCAACCCACCAAACAGTGGGCATGAAAAGGGTTCTAACACATTCCTGGCTGGCTCACTGAGCTGCAGTCAGTGGCACACTCCCATTCACCAGACTGTGGGAGTGAAGAGTGAAGACCCTTCTGAGGGCCCAGACCTTGGAATTCCCCAAGCCAGAACTGTAACACGATAGTCTTCCCGCCAGCATCATGTGGCTACCCTACATGATGCTAAGTGGTGGCAGGGTTAGGCCAGCCCATGACCCACAAGCCAGAGGTTATGGGACTGAACGAGATAAAACATGCCCCTCCCCATTTGCTGAGCTGTAAGCAGCGGGAGAGAGCTGTAGCACACCACACCCCTGCCATGCCTTAGAGCTTCACAGTTGCTGGCGACTGAGTTTTCAGGTGGCACTATATTCCCCTTATCCAGATGCCGACGACTGCAGTGGAAGCTGCTAGCAGTATGCATGATCCAGCCACAGCGTTAAACAGAGCTGGTGCCTGAACCAGCACGTGGAGCTGCCCACCCCACTGCAACAGCTGGCATGACTGGCTGTGAGCAGTGGCCAGACCCCACACTCACTTGCTCACACAAACCTCACTGCTCCGCACTCGGCTTGCCTTCAGCAGGCATGGAATCTGGAATAGTAGTGCAAGCCGAGAGCTGCCTGCTGGGCTGAGTTGGTGGTACAAGCCCAGTGGGCACGAGTGAAACTCAAGCTGAGGCATCACCAGCCACAGAGGTTTCCGGCTTGTGAAGTGACATCCAAAGAATCCTGTGACATTTCATTATATCTGACAAAGTTCTACTTCAAACTGATGGCAAAATACAGACTTTCTCAAATAAATAAGAACTGAGGGAGAACATCACCACTAAACTTGACTTAGACTAAATGCTAAAGAAGTCCTTGAATTTGAAACAAAACAGTGCTAGACAAAAACACAAAATCATGTAAAAATAAAATTTGCATGTAAAGGTAAATATATAAATGAATACAGAATACTGAAATTTTGTTAGTCATATGTAAATGTCTTTTAATTCTGGTATAGATATTAAAAGACAAAGGTATAAAAACAACTATAACTTTAAAACATGTTAATTCATATACAATATAATAACGTAATTTGTAACATCGACAACATAAAGTGTTGAGCGGTGAAGTAAAAGAATAGACATTTTGTATGCAATTGTATTTAAACTATTATTAGCTTAAAATTGTTATAACTACAGGGTATTTAAGTTCTATAGTAACAACAAAAAAATTCTATAGATAGTACATAAAAGAAAATGAGATATGAATAAAAAAAGACACTAAAAATTTAACAAAACACAATGATAGCAAGATAGGCAAAAAGGAACAAAAGAGCTACCAGATAGAAAACAATTAACAAAATGACAGTAGTAAATATTTTGCTATTAATAATTACTTTAAATATAAGTACATTAAATTTCCCAATCAAAAGATGTACACTGGCTGAACACTTTAATAAAAAATTTCTACTATATTCTGTCAACTAGAGACTCATTTTAGATTTTAAAACCTACATTAGCTGAAAGTGAAGGGATATAGAGAATATCTTATGCAAATAATATCCAAAAGAAAGCAGGGGTCACCTTACTTATATCAGATAAAATACTCTTTAAGTCAAAAATTGTCACAAGATTAGAAGAATATTATACAATAACAAATTGTATATATACATACAATATATATAATATGTACAATAAATGCATCTATATATAGATATAGGCATCCAACATCAGTACACACTAATATGAAGCAAATATTTACAGGACTCATGGAGAAATAGACAGCAACACAAAATCTTATAAAATTTCAATATCTTACTTTCAATAGTAGATAGACCATACAGACAGAGGATCAACAAAGTAACAAATGACATGAAAACATTATAGACCATTTGGACCTAACAGGCATATATAACAGATCATTCCACCTAATAGCAGCAGAATACATGTTCTTCTCAAGTGCACAAAAAACATTCTCCAGAATCTGTTATGTTGCAAACTAAGTTTTAACTTAAGAATTTTAAGAATTTAAAAGTGTTGAAATCATGGCAAGTATATTTTAGGACCATGACACAATGCAATATATAGCAGATGAAAACTGGAAAATTCACAAATATGTGGAAAGTAAAATAACATTCTTGAGCAATCATTGGGACAAAGAAGAAATCAAATAGCAAATTAAAAATATACTGAGACAAATAAATAACATAAAACTATGGGATACAGCAAAATAAGTATCAAAATGGAAATTCATTGCTCTAAAACATTAAAAGAAAAAAAAGAAATATAAAAAAAGACTTTGTATCTTAAGAAAATAAAAAGAAAAACAAATTAAGCCCAGCATTAGCATAAGGAAGAAAACAGCAAAGATTGTGGCAGAGATAAATAAATCGGAGAATAAACAAATAAAAAAATAAGTAAATTAAATGTTTTTTTAGAATATCAACAAAAGCAACAAATCTTTAGCTATATTAAAAGATAAAGCAGCTTTAACTACAAAATCAGAAATGAAAAAGGACACATTAAAACTAATGCCACAGATATAAAAGGAATGATAGGCTACTATGAACAATTATATATCAACAAATTGGATCACTTTGAGGAAGTAAGTTCCTAGAAATACATAACCTACTAAAACAGAATTATAAATGAATAGAAAATCTGAACATATGAAAAACAAATAAGGTGCTTGAATCAGTAATCAAACATCTTTCAACAAAGAAAGGCCCGGGACCATGTGGCTTTACTAGATAATTCTACAAAATATTTTTTAAAAAATAAATAACAATTTTTCTAAAACTCTAAAAATTTAAAGGAAGAGACGGTCAAACACATTGTATTAGGCCAGCATTACTCTAATTCCATAGCTACAGATCTGTATGCATCAAAAATGTTTGCCTGTCATTTCTTTTTCTGTAGTGTCTCAGAAAAAGAAAATGACAGGCAAACATCTCTGATAAATATAGATGTGAAAATTCTCAACAAAATACTAGCACTCTGCATTTAACAGCACTTTAAAAGAAACATGCATCATTCAATATTTATTCCTGGGATGTAGGGTTGGTTCAAATTATAAACTTCAATCAATGTAATAAAATAAAATTAATAATTATGAAAAATAATAAACTAAAGGACAAAATTACATAATCATTTCAAGAGATGAAAAACAAGCATTTGGCTTAATTCAACACCATTCAATGATAGAAATTGTCAACAGACTACATATAGAAGGAATCCACCTGATCCTGATCAAGGCCATATATGTAAAGGCAACAGCTAGCATTACACTCACCAGTAAGAAACATATTTTTTTCCTCTAAGATTCTAAACAAGAGAAGGACACTCACTCTCACCAATTCTAATCAAAACAGTTAAGGAAATAATAGCTGAAGTTATTAGGCAACAAAAGGAAATAAAATTTATCCAAACAGAAAATAAATAAAATTACCTCATTTCGTAGATGACATGCTCTTATATGTAAAAATCACTAAAGATCACACACACACACACACACACACACACACACACACACACACACACCTTTTATAACTAGAAAGCAAATTCAGCAAGGCTTCAGGATACAAAATGAACATACAAAATTAGTTTTATTTCTATACAGTAACAGAAAATAATAAAACAGAAAATTAAGAAAACAATTTAATTTACAATGGTACTAATAAGAATAAAATACTTAGAAATAAACTTAACCAAGGAGGTGAAAACTTATACAGTGAAAACTCCAAAACATGGCTGAAAAAGTTGAAATTAGACAAAATAAATAAATCTCATGCTTATGTACTGACATATTTAATATCATTAAAATATTCATACCAGAAATAAAGCCTACTTGGTTGGTGGACTTGCTTTTTGATGTGCTTCTGAATTTGGTTTGCCAACATTTCATTAGGAATTTTGCATCTATGTTAGCAAAAAGATTGGCCTGAGTTTTTTTGGTGGTTGTTGTGTCTTGGCCAGGTTTTGGTATAAGGATGATGCCGACCTAACAGAATGAGTTAAGGACGACTGTCTTCTCAATTTTTTTTGAAACAGTCTCAGATAGTTTTAGTAGAAATGGCACAAGTTACTATTCCTATGTCTTGTAGAATGCAGCTGTGAATCAATCTGGTATAGGGCTTTTCCTAACTGGTGGGCTTTCTATTACTGATTCAATTTTAAAACTCATTATTTGTCTGTTTGGGGTTTCAATTTCTACCTAACTCAACCTTGGAAGGTTATATGTTTCCAAGAATTTCTCCAGTTGTTCAAGATTTCTAGTTTGTGTATGTAGGAGTGTTTATGATAGTCTCTGAGGGCTTTCCGTATTTCTCTGAGGTCAGTGGTAATGTCCCCTTTCTTATTTATAATCTAGTATATTTGGATTTTCTCTCTTTTTTTTTTTTATTAGCCTGGCTCACGTTCTTTCAAACCAACTTCTGGAATCATTAATCTTTTGTATGTCGCCTTCACATCTCAATTTCCTTTTGTTCAGGTTGGATTTTTGTTATTTCTTGTCTTAATGCTAGCTTTGCGATTGGTTTACTTTTGTTTTTGTAGTTTTTTTGGGTGTGATGTTAGGTTGTTAAATTCAGATCTTTCTAACGTTTTGATGTGGGCATTCAGTGTTATAAACTTTCCTCTTAACAGTGCTTTAGCTGTGTGCCAGATTCTGGTATGTTGTATCTTCGTTTCCACTAATTTCAGAGCATTCCTTGATTCCTGCCTTAATTTTACTGTTTACCCAAAAATCATTCAGGAGCAGATTCAATTTCCATATAATTATATGATTTTGTGTGATCTTCTTAGTATTGATTTATATTTGTATTCTGCTAGGTTCTAAGAGTATGGTTGGTTTGATTTCTTTTTTGTTGTCTGGTTTTTTTGTTTGTTTGTTTGTTTGTTTTTGTATTTGCTGAGATTTTTTTATACAACCAATTGTGTGATTGATTTTGGAGTATGTGCCATGTGTAGATAAGAAAAATGCATATTCTGTTCTTTTGGATGGAGAGTTCTCTAGATGTCTATTAGGTCCATTTGGTCAAGAGTCAAGATTAGGTCACAAAAATTTTGTTAGTTTTCTGCCTCAATGATTTGTCTAATACAGTCAATAAAATGTTGAAGTCTCCCACTATTATTGTGTGGATATCTAAGTCTTTTCCATATTCTCTAAGAATTTGTTTTATGAATCTCAGTGTTTCTGTGTTTGGTGCATATATATTTGTGATCGTTAAGTCTTCTTGTTAAACTCAATCCTTACCTGTATGTGATGATATTGTTGACTATTTTTTTGTCGTTGTTGATTTAAAGTCCGTTTTGTCTGAATTTAGCATAACAACTCCTAAGTTTTTGTGTTTTTCATTTGCTTGGTAGATTTTTCTCCATTCCTTCACTTTGTGCCTATGAATGTCATTGCATGTGAGATGGGCCTCTTGAAGACAGAATATATTTGGCTCTTGCTTCTTTATCCTATATGCAACTCTGTGCCTTTTACGTGAGGTATTTAGCCCATTTATGTTCAAGATTAATATTGGTATTTGTGGATTTTCTCTTGTCATTGTTTTGTTAGCTGATTATTATGCAGACTATATTGTGTAGTCACTTTATAGTGCCAATGGTCTCTAGCCATTGCTGGGGAGGTTTCACAATTGT
This sequence comes from Homo sapiens, assembly GCF_000001405.40. Lineage (NCBI taxonomy): Eukaryota > Metazoa > Chordata > Mammalia > Primates > Hominidae > Homo > Homo sapiens. Next base: position 94,876,907 of record NC_000023.11, read on the forward strand.
TTGGAGGTAAGAGGACACTGTGACTTTTTCAGTTGCCAGAGTCCTTTCACTGGTTCTTTCTCATCTGTGTGAGTTGATGTTCTTGTAATCTTTGAAGTTGCTGTGCTTTTGATGGGGTCTTTTGCTTTTATCTTTTTTCATGCTCTTAATGGTTTGATTGTGGTATAAAGTGGGTTTAGTCGATTGGCTTTATTTCTGGAAAATTTCAGGGAGCCAGTACTCAGCTTATCACTCATTGACTGCATGCTCTAACCCTGGTGGGCTGTTATTCTACCCCCAACTTTGCTCTCTGGCCCCTTGAGGTTAGGAGTCTGCTGTAATGCGGGGCTGAGCTAATCCAAGCCCACTGTCAACAGCACTCTGATGGAGGGAATACCAGCTAAAGCACTTTTTTGGAGTGAATTGGCAGCAGGATCTGTGATGTGTATGTGTTGGCCAGGGCGGTATTTAGGCACACACTAGTTGTGTTGATGATGTGGCAGGGTGCTCATGTGCCCATAGTGGCGAGGTGGTGGCATGCATGCATGTGCTCATGCTGGGAGTGGTGAGGGTGACAGAGTGCATGCACATACATACCACTGGGGGAGGCAAGGTGAGTTCCACTTATGCACTCACACCACCAATTTGCTTGGGGGTGGCTGTGGTGAGTATATGCCGGCAAAGCAGTGGAGGAGGCTGTGGTCGGGGGAGGCTGCATTTGAGTGGTTGTAACATGGTGGTGGCCAGTCTGTTGGAGGTCTTTCATGGATAGGTACTGTCAGCCAAGATGCTATGAAATTTATAGCACTAAATGCCCACATTAGAAAGCTGGAAAGATATCAAATTGACACCCTAACTTTACACCTAAAACAACTAGTGAAGCAAGAGCAAACAAATCTCAAAGCTAGCAAAAGACAAGAAATAACCAAAATCAGAGTGGAACTGAAGGAGATAGAGACAGGAGAAACCTTCAAAAATTAATGAAACCAGAAGCAGTTTTTTTTTTGAAAAAAATAATAAAACAGACTATTAGTTATTAGTCTATATTCTAAAAATAATAAAATAGACTATTAGCTATTAGTCTATTAAATAGTCTATTAGCTATTACTGAAAAAGTAAAATGGAGCTACACTAATAAAGAACAGAGAAGAATCAAATAGATACAATAAAATGATAAAGGAGATATCACCACTAAACCTACATAAACACAAACAACCATCAGAGAATACTGTAAACAGCTATATACAAATAAACTAGAAAATGTAGAAGAAAAGGATTAATTCCTGGACACATATACCCTCCCAAGACTGAACCAGGAAGAAGTGGAATCTCTGATTTGATTAATAATGAGTTCTAAAATTGAAGCAGCAATAAATAGTCTACCAACCAAAAAAAACCCAAGACAAGACAGATTTACAGCTGAATTTTACCTGAAGTACAAAGAGGAGATGGTATCATTTATTGTGAAACTATTCCAAACAATTGAAAAGGAGGGAGTCCTCCCTAACTCATTTTATGAGGCCAGCATTATCCTGATACCAAAACCTGGCAGAGATACAACATAAAAAGAAAGCTTCAGGCCAGTATCTCTGATGAACATCGATGCAAGAATCCTCAATAAAATACTGGCATACTGAATCCATCAGCACGTCGAAAAGCTTATAACTAAAGATGAAAACCACATGATTATCTCAATAGAGGCAGAAAAAAGCCTTTGATAAAATTTAGCATCCCTTTATGTTAAAAAATCTCATTAAACTGGGTATTGAAGGCACATACCTCAAAATAATAAGAGCCATTTATGACAGACCCACAGCCAATATCATACTGAATGGACAAATGCAGGAAGCCTTCCCCTTGAAAACTGGCACAAGACAAGAATTCTCTTTCTCACCACTCGTATTCAACATAGTATTGGAAGTTCTGGCCAGAGCAATCAGGCAAGAGAAAGAAATAAAGGGTAATCACGTAAAAAAGAGGAAATCAAATTTTCTTCATTTGCAGATGACATAATCCTATATCTAGAAAACCCCCTCAACTCAGCCCAAAAGTTTCTTAAGCTGATAAGCAAATTCAGCAAAGTCCCAGGATAAGAAATCAATGTGCAAAAACCACAAGCATTTCTATACATCAACAACAGGCAAGCAGAGAGTCAAATCATAAATGAACTCTCATTCACAATTGCCACAAAGAGAATAAAATACCTAGGAATACAGCTAACAAGAAAAGTAAAGGACCTTTTCAAGGAGACCTGCAAACCACTGTTCAAGGAAATCAGAGAGGACACAAACAAATGTAAAAACATTCCATGCTCATGGATAGAAAAAAAAATAATTTTGTAAAAAAGGTTATACTGGCCAAAGTAATTTATAGATTAATTGTTATTTTCATTAAACTAACATTAGCATTCTTCACAGAATTAGAAAAAAATTATTTTAAAATTCATGTAGAACCAAAATAGCCCATATAGCAAAGACAATCCTAAGCAAGAAGAACAAAGCTGGAGGCTTCATACTACACAACTTCAAGCTATAATACAAGGCTACAGTAACCAAAACAGCATGGTACTGGTACAAAACAGACACATAGAACAACGCAACAAAGTAGAGAACTCAGAAATAAAACTGCACATATACAACCATCTGATCTTTGACAAACCAGACAAAAACAAGCATTGGGAAAATCATCCCCTATTTAATAAATTGTGCTGGAAAAACTAGCTAGCCATATGCAGAGAATTGAAACTGGACTTTTTAAATTTTTTTTACACCTCATGCAAAAACTAACTGAAAATGGATTAAAATCTTAGATGTAAAACCCAGAACTATAAAAACCCTGGAAAAAAATCTAGGCTATATCAATCAGATCATAGACACAGGCAAAGATTTTATGATAAAAAAGCCAAAAGCAACTGCAACAAAAGAAAAATTGACATATGGGATCTAATTAAGCTAAAAAGCTTCTGCACAGCAAAAGTAACTATTATCAGAGTAAGCAGACAACTTACAGAATGGGTGAAAATTTTTACAATCTATCCCATCTGACAAAAGTCTAATTACATTACATGGGGAAAGGCCTCTCTATTCAATACATGGTGCTAGAATAACTGGCTAGCCATATTCAGAAGATTGAAACTGGACCTTTTACTTACACCATATACAAAAATCAATTCAACATGGACTAAAGCTTAAATGTAAAACCCAGAACTATAAACAACCAGGTAAACAACTTAGGCAATACCATTATATACATAGAAATAGGCAAAGATTTTATGACCGAGATACCAAAAGCAATCACAACAAAATCAAGAATTAAAATAAGATAGACTTACTTAAACTAAAGAGCTTCTCCACAGGAAAAAAAAAATACTATCAACAGATTAATCAGACAACCTAAAAAACAGAAGAAAGTTATTGCAAACTATGCATCTGATAAGGGTCTAATATGCAGGATCTGTAAGAAACGTAAACAAGTTAACAGGCAAGAAATGAACAATCACATTTAAAAGTGGACAAAGACTATGAACACACATTTGTCAAAAGAAGAGATACACACAACAAACAAGCATATGAAAAAATGCTCAGCATATCTAATCATTAGGGAAATGCAAATCATAACCACAATGAGATACCATCTCACACCAGTCAGAATGGCTAGTATTAAAAAGTTAAAAAATAACATGTGCTAGCAAGGTTGCGGAGACAAAGAAAAATATATACACTGTCATGGGAGTATAAATTAGTTCAACCATTGTGAAAAACAGAACCTTCATATACTGCTCTTGGGAATGTAAAATGATGCAGCTGCTATAGAAAACATTCAATAGTTCTTCAAATGATAGCACTTATAACTGCCACACAATTAATCAATTGCACTCCTAAGTATACACCCAAGAGAAATTAAAACATATGTTCATGGAAAAATTTGTACATGAATACTTATAGCAATAATTGTCCATTAAAGGATATACCACATTTTGCTTCTCCATTTATCAGTGAATAAACATATGAATTGTTAATTTTCATCCACCGATTAATGGATAAGTAAAATGTGATATATCCTTTAATGAAATATTATTCAGCCATTACAAGTTAAGTAATTATAACTGCTACATATATAAACCTAGGTAATGTTATGCTAAGTGAAAAAGCCAGACACAAGTAACCACACATTATATCATCTCAATTATATAAAATGTCAGGAATAGGGTAATATATAAAGACAGAAAGTAGATTAATATTTGCCTATAGATGTGGGGGGAGGGGAGGAAGGAAAATAGAGTAGTAGTAGCCAAAGAATATAGTTTCTTTCTCAGGTGATTAATATGTTCTAAATTAGTGCTAATGCTTGTAAATATCTCTAACTATATTAAACACAATTGAACTGTACAACTTAATTGGGTCAATAATATAATATGTAAATTATATCTCAATAAAGCTCCTCTAAAAACTCATTAAATGGTATACATAGAAATTGTACATTACACTTTTTATAAATATTACCTTCCCATAAAAAGAACTATTATCTCCTATTGAATTCAAGTTTATTATATGCATAGATGTTTGAGGTGTCTGAAAATTTCTCTTAAATACATGAAAAAGTAAAATGTATTGATGAAAAAATAGAAATAGGTATAAATACGTAACCGGGAAAATATAAGAAACTGTTCATTTAATTTTTTTTCGAGTGGCTTTAGCTCTATTCTTTCTTTTCTGTATTTTCTTGGCACATAATATTTGTACATATTTATGAGACACAGAGTAATATTTTAATACATATATAAAATTGGTAGACCAAATTAGGGTAATTAGCACACCCATCACTTCAAAGATTTATAATTTTTTGTTTTGTGAATATTCAAAATCCTCTCTTCTAGCTTTTTAAAATATATACACTAAATTATTTTTAACTATATTTACCTTACATTCCTATAGAACACCAGAACTTTCATCTCTCATCTAGCTGTAGCTTTGTATCTGTTAACTAACCACTGTATATCGTCTTCCCTGACACCATTTTAACTCTCGAATAACCACAGATCTAGTGCCTACTTCTTTGGGTGCAATGTTGTTTTTTTAGCTCCCACATGTGAGTAAGGACATGCGGTAATTATTTCTGTGCTTTGTATAATTCATTTAACATAACGTCCTTCAGACTCATCCATGTTGCCATGAATAAAATAATCTTTCTTTTTTATAGGTAAATTATATTCCATTTTGTATATATGCTAAAACTACATCATTCATCTGCTGATGAACATTTAGGTTGTCTCCATATCTTGGCAATTGTGAATAAAACTACAATAAACATGATGGAGCAGATATGTTTTTAATGTATTTATTATAATTCTTTTGAATAAATATCCAGCACTGGAATTGTTGGATCATATGGCAGTATTATTTTTAGTTTATTGAGAAACCTCCATGCTGTTTTTCATGCCTTTACTAATTTACATTTTTACAACAGTGTATAAGAGTTTCCTTTTCTCCATATTCTTGCTAGTACTAATTTCTCTTTTTGTCTTTTTGTTGATCACCATTCTAACTAGACTAAGATGATATTTCCTTATGGCTTTAATTCACATTTTCCTAAAGATTAGAGAAGCTTTTTTTAAAAAAAAAAATATAGATATAGAGTTGACCATCTGTATGTCTTCTTTTGAGAAATATCTGTTCAGATCCTTTGTCTAATTTTAGTCAGATGACAATGATTATTATTGTTTGCTGTTGAGTTGTTTAAGTTCTTTGTATATTCTAGCTATTAGTCTATTGTTAGATAGATGGTTTACAAATGTTTTCTCTCATTCTCCAGGTTTTCTCTTCACTCTTTTTTTTTCTTTGCTATACAGAAGATTTTTAGTTTGATATATTCCCATTTGTCTATTTCTGGTTTTGTTTTCTGTTATTTTGAAGTGTTACTTATAAAATCTTTGCACATGTTAATGCCCTGAAGGATTACCATTATATTATCTTCTGGTAGTTTCAAAGCTTAAGTCTTTAATGCATTTTGAGTTGATTTTTGTATGTTGTTAGACACAGGGGTCTAGGTTCATTCTCCTTGTGGATATCCAGTTTTCCCAGAATCATTTGTTAAAGATGATGTATTTTGCCCACTGTAAGCCCTCAGCACCTTTGTAAAAAAATCAGTTGGCTATAAACATGGATTTATTTCTGTGTCCTCTATTCTGTTCTATTGGTCTATGTGTCTGTTTTTATACCAATAACATGTTGTTTTTGTTACTATAGCTTTGCAGTAAATTTAAAGTCAGGTACTTTGACACCTCCAGCTTTGTTCTTTTTGTCAGTATTGGTCTTACTATTTGGGGCATTTTGTGCTTCCACATGACTTTTTGAAGTTTTTTAAAAATATTTCTTTGAAAATTTTTATTAATATTTTGATAAGAATTGAATAGGTAGATTGCTTTGGAAAGTATGGTCAAGTTTACAGTATTAATTATACTAATTCATGAGCATCAGATGTTTTGCCATTATTTTATGTGTCCTTATGAATTATTTATCCTTTTTTTGTCGGTTTCATTGTATAGATAGTTAATCTCCTTGGTTAATTTATTTTTAGTTTTTTTGAAACTATTATAATTGTTATTTTTTGTATGTTGATTTTGTATCCTGTCACTTTACTTAATTCGTTTATCAATTAGTTCTAAGAGTTTTTGGAAGAGTCTGTAGGTTTTTCTGCAAAGAGGGACAATTTGACTTTCATTTTTTTCCCCAATTTGAATTTTCTTTGTTTTTTTTCTTGCCCAATTGCTTCTGCTAGAAATTCCAGTACTATGTTAAATAAGAGTGGTGAGAGTGGGCATTCTTTTCTTGTTGCAGTTCTTAGAGAAAGGCTTTTGGCTTTTCCCCATTCAGTGTGATGTTAGTTGTGAGTTTGTTATATATGGCCTTTATTGTTTTAAGGTATGTTTTGCTAGACTCAATTTGTTGAGAGCTTTTATCCCAAAGGGGTATTGAATTTCATCAAATGGTTTTAGTGTATGTTGCGATGATCATTTTTTTTTAATTTCTTTCTCTTGAAGTTATATACCACATTTATTGATTTACATATATTTAACCATGCTTGTATTTGTGGGATAATTTCCACATGCTCAGGGGATGCTATCTTTTTGATGTGTTGTTGAATATAGTTTGCTACTATTTTCCTAACGATTTTTACGTCTATGTTCATCAGGGTTATTGGCTTGTAGTTTTTTCTTTTTCTTTTTCTTTTTTTTTTTTTTTTTTTTTTTTTTTGGTGAGGGGAAAAGTGGTATCATACTCCAGTTTTGCTATAAGGGCAATACTGTCCTTGTAAAATAAGTTTGAAAGAATTTCCTTGCCTTCAGTTTGTTTAAATACTTTAAGAGTTGATGTTATCTCGTGTTTAAAAGTTTTGTAGAATTGAGCAGTAAAGCCATCTTGTTTTGGACTTTTCTTTGTTGTTCAACTTTTTATTACTGAATCAATGTTAGTACATGTTTTGGTCTGTTCAGGTTTTCTGTTTTTCTCTCTTTCATTCTTGGTAGTTTATATATATCCATGAATTTACCTGTTTTCTCTAGGTTTTATAATTTGCTGGTGTATATTTGTTTATAGCATTCACTAGTGGTCATTTGTATTTTTGTAGTGTCAGTTGTAATATCCTCTTTTCTCTTTCCGATTTTATTTATAGAGATATTGCCTCTTTTTATTTAATTATTCTAACTAATGGTTTGATTTTATCCTTTCCAAAAACAATTTTAATTTGGTTGACCTTTTATTTTATTTATTTATTTATTTATTTATTTTAGTTTCTCTTCTGTTTACTTGTGCTCTGGTCTTTATTTCTTCTTTTTTTTCCTACTAATTTGTGGTTTGGCTTTTTCTTGCTTTTCTAGTTCCTCCATGTGCAATGTTAGGTTGCTTATTTGAAATCATCATACTTTTAAAAATATAGTTGCTTATTGCTATAAACTTCCCTTTTATTACTGCTTTTTCTGTATCCCATAGCTTTGGACATGCCATATTTTCATTATCCTTATTTTTATCATTAATTTTATTTATATTTATCATTATTTTATTGATGCAGTTGTCCTTCAGGAGCATGCTGTTTAATTTCCAAATATTTGGACAGTTTCCAGAGTTTTATTTGTTGTTGACTTCCAGGATTTTTTTATTGTGGTCTGAGAAGTTATTTGATATTACTTTGAGTTTTTATAGCTGTTTATACTTGTTTTGTGGATTAACATATGGTCTATTTTGGAGAATGTTCAATGTTCTGACAATAAGAATGTGTATTCTACAGGTATTGGAGAAATTTTTTTTATAAATTTTTACCTAGATCCCATTGGCCTGTATTAGTCTGTTCTCATACTGCTATAAAGAACTTCCGAAGACTGGGTAATTTATAAAGGAAAGAGGTTTAATTGTCTCACAATTCCGCATGGCTGGGAGACATCAGAAAACTTACAATCATAGTGGAAGGCAAAAGGAAGCAATGCACCTTCTACACAAGGTGGCAGGAGGGAGAATCAATGCAGGAGGAGCTACCAAACAGTTATAAAACCATCAGATCTTTTGAGAACTCACTCACTATCATGAGAACAGCATGGGGAAAACTGCCTCCATGATTCAACTACCTCCACTTGGTCTCTCCCTTGACATGTGGGGATTATGGGGATTATAATTCAAGATGAGATTCGAGTGGGGACACAAAGCCTAACAATCTCAGGTCTATATTGCATATTAAGTGCAATATTTTTTGTTGATTTTCTGTCAAGATGATTCGTCCTATACAAAAGCAGGAAGTTGAAATTCTCAATGATTATTATATCAGGGTCTATCTCTTTAGCATTAAGTGTATTTGCTTTATATGCCTTAGTGCTCTGGTGTTGAATGCATAAATATTTATAATTTTCATACCCTCTTGCTGAATTGATCCCTTTGTCATTATACAATAACCTTCTCTGTCTTCCTGTTATGTGTTTTTTTTTTTTACTTGGAGTTTACTTTTTCTGACATAAGTATAGCTACTCCTAGCTACTCTTGCATGCTCTTGGTTTTTGTTTGCGTAAAATATCTTTGTTCTTTTCACTTAAAAAGGTAAAGTGAATTTCTTGTAGGCAGCATATAGTTGAGTCTTTTTCTTTTATCCACTCAGCCAGCCTATACACATTTATCTGAGAATTTAAATTATTTATACTTAAGCTTCTTATAGATAGGTGAGGGCTTACTCTTGTTATTTTGTTAATTGTTTTCTGATTGTTTTGTATATTCTTTTTCCTATTTTTCCTCTTATTGTTTCTCATTGCAATTTGGCCATTTTCTCTACTTATAAGGTTTAATTATTTTGTCTTTCTCATATGTATATCTGCTCTACTACTGAGTTTTATACATTCTTGTGTTTTTATAGTGATATATATTGTTCTTTTCTTCCCAAATGTAGGAGTACTTTTAACATTTTTATGGGGCCAATCTAGTGGAGATTAATTTCCTCAGATTTTGCTTGTCTTTGAAAAACTTTGTCTTTAATTTCTGAAAGAAAAAAAAAAAAGCTTTGCTAGTTATAGTATTCCAGGCTCAAAATTTTTCCCTTTCAGCACTTTGAATATACTATTTTATCTTGTTCTGTAAGGATTCTACTGGGAAATATGCTGCTACTCTGGTGGATATTCCCTTTTACGTGGCTTACTATTCTTTTGCTGTTTTTGGAAATCTCTCTTTGTTTTTGACTTTTGACTATTTGATTTTAATGTGCATCAGAAAAGACATTTTTGAGTTGAATCTATTTAGAAATATTTGACCTTCCTCTATCATCTATCTATCTATCTATCTGTCTATCTATCTATCTATCTATCTATCTATCTATCTATCTATCATCTATGTATCATTATTTCAAGACTTAGGAAGTGTTCAGCTATTATTTTTTGAAAATTTTATGCCTTTTTCTACTTCTGCTACAGCTGCCAACAAGGAATACGTTTGTTTGCTTGATGGTATTCCATATGTCATGTAGGATTTCTTTATTCTCTTTCCGTTTTCTTTTCTTCTGTCCGACTGTATTCTTGTAAAAAAACGTGTCTATAAGTTTAGAAATTCTTCCTTCTGCTTAATTTATTTTATAGTTGAGTCTTTCTAATGTAGTTTTATTTCATGCATTGATTTTTTTAGTTTCATGGTTTGTTTTATTCTCTTTTATGACATCTTTTACTTAAAATTTCTTCACATCATGTATTCTGATTCCTTTGTGTTATTTATGTGTGTGTGTGTGTTTTAATTTCACTGAGTTTTCCTAAGATAATAATTATTAATTATTTTTATAGCATTTTATCAATTTCTTTTTCTTTGGGGTCTGTTATTAGTTGGCGATTATTGTGTTGCTTGGAGGTGTCATGTTTTCTCGCCTTTTGTATTTCTTGTGTCTCTACATCAATATCTTTACATCTGGTATAACAGTCATTTTTTTTCCAGTTTTATGGAGTAGCTTTCATAAGGAAATTTTTTTCCTGCAGTTGTATCTACAATGTTAGTTTGGTAGGGTATTTTGGTTTCAGTTCTGAGTGGGAGCCATAATGTAATCCCCATATAATTTTTGTTTTTGGTCTGTAATCAATGTCAGTGGTGTCTATGAGTTTCTCAGTGGCTTAGGCTGTGGATGCTGGTAGAGACAATGATGAGGCTTTGCTGGGGACAGAGACACTGAGAAGGCTGGTTCTCAGGCTCCTGTGATACACCTGAAGACCAGCTGTACTGGTGAGAGGCTTAAGTCAGACTGGTTATTTTCTTTGTGTGTGTGTGGGTGCTGGGGAGCAGGCAAGTTGCATTGGGTTGGGCAGTGGCAGAAGAAGGTCCCAGGTGGGCCAATTCTTAGATCCCTAGTTAGGGTGCATGAACACTGGTTGTTGTGGTGGTGGGCCAGGCAGGCCAGTGATCAGATTCTTGCATAGTGCATGTGGGCGCCAGTAGTATTGGTTACAGTGATCAATACAGGCTGGGTTTGGAATTTCTAAGTGACAATGGCATGTGTTGATGCGTGGCAGCCCTGCTGTTGAGAAGGCCTGGTTACGGTAGGTGGCAACAGCCCCAGAGAGGCAGCTCTTAGGCTATAGAAAGCACAAGTTTTGGCTTCTTGTTTTCTGAAGGTAACAACCCTGAGGTCTTGGACCATCTGTTTTCTGGGGTGTAGGGCATTAGGTAGGTTGGATGTCATGAACATGGGCACACTGTCATATTTAGCTAGTGTTGTGATGCTGCCACACTTTTTGTGGATATTGGGTAATATTGGTGTGATCCTGGGGATTTGGAGATGCAAGGTTTCTTGGTCTCCGGGGCAAGATATGGTTTGGTATTGATTCCATTGGGCCAAATGGTGCCATACTGCAGCAGCTAGGATCGTGGGGGTAGGTCAGATCTAGTGAGAATTTTCTATCTGGTATAGTGTAGTTGTGTAGACTTTAGGCAGCTTCTTTTACTAGGCTCAGAGCCTGAGAGGGTCCGGTTACCCTCCCATAGCTAGGATTACATGCATATGTGGTGGGAATAAGGTCTATTGGGACACAAAATGTTAACTTTAAAATTTAGGAAGTTAAAATATAAATGATTACTGCACCATTATTTCACTTGTTTTGCGATTATGTTTTCATATTAAAATGTTTAATAAATATGTAGATCACAGTAAATGAGTAATTAGAGAGTAATTTATAGCTTAAAATGCTTATAAGAGAAAATAAAAAGGTTTTTAAATCAATAATCTAAACTAAGAGTCAGCAAAGTTTATCTGTGAAAATCCATATAGTGAATCTTTTAGATTTTGTGGGTGAAGTTCCCAGGCCATTACCAATATTAACTGCCAGGCATATGAGTGAAAACAGTTTCAGATGATTCCTGCCCCAGCATCTGACTCACCTTCAGAGAGAAACAAAGATAATCCTTTCCTTTTATGCCCTATTCAAATTTAAAATCCAAAGACTTCATGGCATAATAAAATGATTATTTTAAGCTGTTGTATATTGTAGTAATTTATTGCTCAGAAATATTAGCTATACCATAAGTGTTAAACGGCACTAAACAAAAAATATTTTTGATTTATTAAGACTATGGTTAATTCACAATGTAGAATTCATGTCCTATTCTTTTTATAAAAGGTTATCTAAAATATTCTATGCAAAAAAATTTGGGAAATGCTGAGATATGAAAATGATTTTTCCCCCAATAGCAGGCAAATCACTAAATGTAACAGATAAATTATACTCATTTAAATAATACACAGAAACCTAGTATGACAAGTTAAATAAAATGTTAAAATTAAAACCCACAGAGACAAAAGAAAAATGGAAAATATTTTCAAGCTGTCAAAAGTCAAAGATTATTTTAAAAATTTTTCATTAAGTCTCAGTGGAAAAAGCTAAAAAATTAAAAGCAAACATCAAAGGACTTTCTTGGAATAGATTAGCATGTTTTTCTCAAATGAATGATAACTGAGCTAGCTAATTAAAAAGTAAAATTAGATGTTGTAGGATGGTTGTATTTTTATATTAAAAATGAGTCTTCTATTTAGAAAAAAAACCTTTATTTTTAGAGCAGTTTTAGGTTCACAGTGATATTGAGAAGAAAAAAACAGAGAGCTCCCATATACCTCCTTCCAATATACATGCAGAATCTCCTCTACTATAAACGTCACACACAGGAGTGGTATATATGTTACAACCTATGAACCTACATTAACTTATTATTATCACCCAATGCCCATAGTTTACATTAGGATTCAATCACGGTTCTGTAAATTGCACGGGTTTTGGCAAATTTGTATTGACATGTATCTAATATTTTATTATACAGAATAGTTTCACTGCCCTAAAAATCTTCTTTGTTCTGCCTATTCATCTGTCCCTCTCCTGTAGCCCCTGGGAAACATTGATTATTATACTTTTTTAACAGTTTTGCCTTTTTAAGAATGTCAAATAGTTGGAATAATGAAGTATGTATCATTTTATCTTGAATTCTTTCACTTGTTAATATTCATTTAAAGTTACTCTATGTATTTTCATGTGTTGATATCTGTTATTTTTAGTGATGAATTATATTTCATTGTCTGGATGAACCACAATTTATTTAGTCATTCACCTACTCTTTTAGTCAAGGTTCTCCAGATATCTATATAACTCTATCAATCTGTATGTCTATATAGATATATATATAGTCTATATAGATATATATAGAGATAGATAGATAGATTGATTGATTGATTGATTTATCAAAGGAATTGGCTCACTCAATTATGGAAGCTGAGAACTTCCACAATATGCCATCTGGAACCTGAAGAACTAGAAAAGTAGCTAGCATGGCTCCCAGTCCAAGTCCAAAGGCAACAGAATCAAAGAAGCCAATGGTGTAACTCTCAGTTCAAGGCCAAAGCCCAGAGTCCAGAGGCTATTGTTGCAAGTCCTGAAGTTCAAAAGCCATAGAACCCAGAGTTCTCAAGTCCAAGGGCAAGAGAGGGAGGGTGTATCAACTAGGGGAAGAGACAGGCAGAACTATGCATGCTTCTTCTGCCTTTCTAATCCATTCTGGTTGGCAGTTGACAGTATGGTGCTCACTCACATTGAGAGTGAATCTTTCCCACTCAGTACACTGACTTACATGCTTATCTCCTCTGGAAACACCCTCGCAGACACACATGGACGGCCCAATCATTGTAATAGAATGCCAAACAACCTGTTTTGTATTTCTTTTCTTTTCTTTTTTTTTTTTTTTTTTTTTTGGCAGAAGAGGAACAGCCTTAGTACTTACTGAAGCATTGACAATAGTTAATGCAATGATTGAAGTAGATAATGCTTTATCAGGAATTGATTAAGGGACAATGGTTTTCTGTTTTTACAATTTGAATTAGATATTTGTTCATTTAACATGAAAGTTTTCTGCTTATAAAGATTAAGTGAGAATTCCTATTTCATTTCTAGAAACATCATAATCAATTACCAATGCCATAATTCTACATAAGTCAGACTGTAATTAATATTTATTTTTCTGACATAGGATCAACTCTGTCACCCAGGTTTAAGTGAAGTGGCATAATTCTAGCTCACCGCACCCATAAACTCCTGGGATCAAGCAATGTTCCTTCCTCTTGCCTCAGAGTCGCTGGGACTACACATGCACACCACCACACTACGCTAATATATCTTTTCTTTTCCGTTGGAGAGACGGAGGTCACACTTCTATTGCCCAGGCTGGTCTTGGTATCTTGGCCTCAAGGGATATTTCTATCTTAGCCTCCTAAAGCCCTGGGATTATAGTCGTGATCCACTACACTTGGTCAGTCAGACTATTCTGATTGTTGCTCCACCTCTGTTGTTCATTATGGTAACTATGCCTACCTTGACTTTGGTGGTAAATGCTGCCAACTGGTCCCTGCAACACTGAGACCCAACTATTCCCATCACATTTATGTTTTCTAATTAAATGACTGCAGTTTCCACTGTAAGGTCTGACCTACAGAGAAGAGCAGTCACGAAGCTCTTCAAGAATGCTAGGGTACCATTCACGAATCTTTCTCAAAGTATTCTTGAAAGATATGTCTTCTGAACCCTCTAACTGTGAATGAGTGAGTTTTAAGTGACAAATACATTTTAGCATTTCAGTCTCCTTAAGCCTTTAAATCTTTTATTCCACATTAAACTAAGGAATATTGGGCATCTTGAACTCTATCATGGTGGGCCATCTTTTGATCCATGTTTCAGCCAACCAAGCAAACAAACTGTTGAAGCCTTTTCTAACTCACTGAGTTGCAACATTAAATGTAGAATCTCTGCTTTGTAGGCCCATATAAATAAATTTAGCCTGATTCAACTAAATGTTCCTTCCGCCATTCTCCTACACCCTTAATATCTATTCCTCCACATCTTCCCCAGATTTATGCTTGTATTAATTAGAAAACTCAAATAGTTCTTTTGGAGTGTGGCATATTTTGGAGTGTGTCACACTTTGTACCTCACCTTTAGTGGCCTGCTGGATTTTGAGTTTAGTTATGAGTTTTGAGTTTAGTTTAGAAATAGAAGAGAATGGAAGAAGTGAATCTTGAAAACAGCCAGCATTGCCTTTCTTGGAAATTGCCTTAGGGGAATTCATTATCGTTTCCTCAGGCAATGCAGAGTGAATTCCCTGGAACAGGGGCAAAAAGGCTCATACAACTCTATTAGATTTGGAAAAGCTGTTAAAAAATAAAGTGTAAAGCCCACCTACACTGGCAAAAAAAATACTCATCAGAATTTGGGAGCACAATGTTTGCAGCTTCAATAGAGTCATCCCTCACATCTGCATCTCAACTTGGAGGGTCATATTCTTTCCCAGTAATTGCTCTTACTTTAACAGTAAACACCCTAACTTACACAGAACCAAGAAAACCAATAATGTGGCTCAGTCTGAGTCCAAAATCCTCAGAACCAAGAAAGACAATGGTGTAACTCTCAGTTCAAGGCTGAAGGTCCAAAAGCCCAGGGAGCCACTGGTGGGAATCCTGGAGAAAAAAAAAAAAAAAAAAAAAAGCCAGGTGCGTGGCTCACGTCTGTAATCCGAGCACTTTGGGAGGCCGAGGCGGGAAGATAACAAGGTCAGGAGATCGAGACCATCCTGGCTAACACAGTGAAACCCTGTCTCTACTAAAAATACAAAAAATTAGCTGGGCGTGGGCGTGGTGGCCGGCGCCTGTAGCCCCAACTACTGGGGAGGCTGAGGCAGGAGAATGGCGTGAACCTGGGAGGCGGAGCTTGCAGTGAGCCGAGACCACGACACTGCACTCCAGCCTGGGCGACAGAGTGAGACTCCGTCTCAAAAAAAAAAAAAAAAAAGAATCTGGAACTCTGATTTTCAAGGTCAGAAGAAGAAGACCATCCTGGCTCTAG
The DNA here is from genome assembly GCF_000001405.40 of Homo sapiens. Classification (NCBI taxonomy): domain Eukaryota; kingdom Metazoa; phylum Chordata; class Mammalia; order Primates; family Hominidae; genus Homo; species Homo sapiens. The sequence continues at coordinate 94,892,763 of NC_000023.11, forward strand.
AAGAAAGAGACATAACTTGATTATTCTCTGCCGTTTTGTTTTATATCTTTCCATGTCTTCATACTTCACTTTCTTCACCACTAAATAATATTCCATTGTCTAGATTCTAGATGAACCACAGTTCATTCATTACCCTCCTGAAGAAGATTTTGCTTGCTTCCAATTTGTAGCAGTTAGGAATAAAGCTGCTATAAACATCTGTGTGCAGATATTTGTGTGAAAATAGATTTTCTTTTTAAACATTTTAATTAAAAATATATGTATATATTTATGTAGTCCAATGTGATTTTTAAATATATGTATACATGGTGGAATAATTAAATCAAGCAAATTAACGTATTCATTATTCCACCTACTTATCTTTTCTTTCCCCTTTGGGAAAACATTTAAAATTTACTCTTTTAGCAATTTTGAAATATATAATACACTATTATTAACTATGGTCAACATGTTCTGCAATTGAACACTAAAATTTACTCCTCTTGTCTAACTGAGATTTTGTACCCTTTGGCCAATATCTTTTCTTTCCCCATACCTACCCCCAGCCTCTGGTGACCATCATTCTACTCTCTACTTCAATGAATTAATAAACATTTTTAGATTTCACATGTAAGTGAAGTCATATAATATCTGTCTTTCTGTTACTGGCTTAGTTAATTCAGCATAATGGACATAGATTTTCTTTACTACTTTATATTCCTTTATATTACTTTTTTTTTAGTAACAAAGAGAGTGATTACTAGATTGTATTAGATTGCTGCAAAAGTAATTGTGGTTTTTCTGTTAAAAGTAATGGCAAAAATCACAATTACTTTTGCACCAACCTAATAAGAGTATATTTAGTTTTATAAGAAACTGCTATAACTTTCTTCCAAGTGACTGGACTCTTCCTTCTTCCTTCCAGCCACCAATGAATGAGAGTTCCTGTTGGTCCACATCCTCATCAACATTTGTTGTTGTATTTTAAATTTGGCATTTTAATAGGTATCTACTGAGATATCATTGTTGTTTAATCGTAATTCCCTCATGACACCTGTGTTAAACATCTCTTCATATGGTTATTTAGTCACCTGTGTAACATTTTTGGCGAAATGTCTGTTTATACCTTTTAAACATTTTTAAAACTTCTATTTCAGGTTCAAAGATACATATGCAGGTTTGCTGCATAGGTACCTTGCATGTCACAGAGATTTGGTGCACAAATTATTTCATTGCCCAAGTAATAAGCATAGTACTTGATAGATTTTACAATCTTTAGTAACTTCTCACCCTCCACCCTAAAGTAGGCCCCAGTGTCTATAGTTCCCTTTGTTGTTTCCATATGTACTCAATATTTAATTTTCACTTATATGTGAGAACGTGTGGTATTTGGTTTTCTGTTCCTGCATTAGTTGACTTTGGATAATGGCCTCCAGCTCCATCCATGTTGCTACAAAATACAAGATCTCATTTTATATGGATGCATAATATTTCATGATGTATATGTACCACATTTTCTTTATCCAGTCTATACTTGATGGGCACTTAGGTTGATTCCATGTATTGGCTATTGGGAATAGTGCTGTGATGAACATATGCATGCACGTGTCTTTATGGTAGAACAATTTATATTCCTTTGGGTATATACCCAGTAATGGGAATGCTGGATCAAGTGATGATTCTGTTTTAATCCTTTGAAATATGGCCAAACTGCTTTCCACAATGGCTGAACTAATTTACATACCTGCCAGTAGTGCATAAGCATTCCTATTTCTTCACAGCCTCACCAGCATCTGTTATTTTTTGACATTTCAATAATAGCCATTCTGACTGGTGTGAGATGATATGGCATACTAGTTTGACTTGCATTTATGTAATTATTAGTTATATTAACCATTCATTTATATGCTTATTGGCTGCACTAATGTCTTATTTTGAAAATTGCCTGTCCATGTTCTTTGCCCACTGACATGGTTTGGCTCTGTGTCCCCATCCAAATCTCATCTTGTAGCTCCTATAATTCCCATGTGTTGTGGGAGGGACCTGGTGGGAAATAATTGAATCATAGGGGCAGGTCTTTCCCTGCTGGTCTCGTGATAGTGAATGGGTCTCACGAGATCTGATGGTTTTAAAAATGGGAGTTTCTCTGCACAAGCTCTTTTTGCCTGCTGCCATCCAAGTAAAATGTGACTTGCTCGTCATTGCCTTCTGCCATGATTGTGAAGCCCCCCCAGTCACGTGGAACTGTAAGTCCAACAAACCTCTTTCCTTTGTAAATTGCTCAGTTTCGGCTATGTCTTTATCAGCAGCGTGAAAAAGGACTGATACACCCACGTTTAAATAGTTTTGTTTGGTTTTTGCTTGTAAATATGTTTAATTTCCTTACATATTCTGGATCTTAGATCTCTGTTGGATGCATAGTTTGAAAATGTTTTCTCCCATTCTGTTGGTCGTCTGTTAACTCTTTTGATCATTTCTCTCTTTTGCTGTGCAGAAGCACTTTCATTTAATTAGGTCCCATCTATCAATTGTTGTTTTTGCTGCAATTGCTTTTGGTGACTCATCATGAAGTCTTTACCAGGTCCTATGTCTAGAATGGTATTTCCTAGTTTTTTTTTTCCAGGGTTTTTATAGGTATTAGTTTTAGATTTAAGTCACTAATTCATTTTATTGATTTTTGTATATGGTGTAATAAAGGGGTCCAGTTTTAATCTTCTGAATATGGCTTGCCAGTTTTCCCAGCACCATTATTGAATGTGGAATCCTTTTCCCAGCACTCGTTTCTATAAATTTTGTCAAAGATCAAACTGGTGTAGGTGTGTGACCTTATTTCTGAGCTCTTTATTCTGTTCCATTGGTCATCATGTTTGTTTTGGCACCAGTACCATGATGTTTTGGTCACTGTAGTCCTATAATATAGTTTGAAGTCAGGTAATGTGATGTCTCTAGCTTTATTCTTTTTGCTTAGGATTGCCTTGGCTATTCGAGCTTCTTTGTGGTTCCACATGGATTTAAAAATAGATATCTAGTTCTGTGAAGAATGTTATTGATAGTTTGAAAGGAATAACATTAAATCTGTAAATTGCTTTGGGCAGTATGGTCAATTTGGCAATATTATTTCTTCCTATCCATGAGCATGGAGTTTTTTTGTTTTTCATTTGTTTGTGTCACTTGATTTTTTTCAGCATGATTTTGTAATTCTTTTTTTTTTTTTTACAGGCTTTCTACTTGGATTTTTATTTTTATTTATTTATTTATTTTTATTATACTTCAAGTTCTAGGGTACATGTGCACAACGTGCAGGTTTGTTACATATGTATACATGCACCATGTTGGTGTGCTGCACCCATTAACTAGTCATTTACATTAGGTATATCTCCTAACACTATCCCTACCCCCTACCCCCACCCCATGACAGGCCCCGGTGTGTGATGTTCCCCTTCCTGTGTCCAAGCATTTTCTCTGTTCAATTCCCACCTATGAGTGAGAACATGCAGTGTTTGGTTTTCTGTCCCTGCAATAGTTTGCTCAGAATGATGGTTACCAGATTCATCCATGCCCCTACAAAGGACATGAACTCATTTTTTATGGCTGCATAGTATTCCATGGTGTATATGTGCCACATTTTCTTAATCCAGTCTATCATTGTTGGACATTTGGGTTGGTTCCAAGTCTTTGCTATTGTGAATAGTTCCACAATAAACATATGTGTGCATGTGTCTTTATAGCAGCATGATTTATAATCCTTTGAGTATATACCCAGTAATGGGATGGCTGGGTCAAATGGTATTTCTAGTTCTAGATCCTTGATGAATTGCCACACTGTCTTCCACAATGGCTGAACTAGTTTACAGTCCCACCAACAGTGTAAAAGTGTTCCTATTTCTCCACATCCTCTCCAGCACCTGTTGTTTCCTGACTTTTTAATGATTGCCATTCTAACTGGTGTGAGATGGTATCTCATTGTGGTTTTGATTTGCATTTCTCTGATGGCCAGTGATGATGAGCATTTTTTCATGTGTCTGTTGGCTGCAAAAATGTCTTCTTTGAGAAGTGTCTCTTCATATCCTTCACCCACTTTGTGATGGGGTTGTTTTTTTCTCATAAATCTGTTTGAGTTCATTGTAGATTCTGGATATTAGCCCTTTGTCAGATGAGTAGATTGCAAAAATTTTCTCCCATTCTGTAGGTTGCCTGTTCATGCTGATGGTAGTTTCTTTTGTTGTGCAGAAGCTCTTGAGTTTAATTAGATCCCATTTGTCAATTTTGGCTTTTGTTGCCATTGCTTTTGGTGTTTTAGACATGAAATCCTTGCCCATGCCTATGTCCTGAATGGTATGGCCTAGGTTTTCTTCTACGGTTTTTATGGTTTTAGATCTAACATTTAAGTCTTCAATCCATCTTGAATTAATTTTTGTATAAGATGTAAGGAAGGGATCCAGTTTCAGCTTTCTACATATGGCTAGACAGTTTTCCCAGCACCATTTATTAAATAGGGAATCTTTTCCCCATTTCTTGTTTTTGTCAGGTTTGTCGAAGATCAGATGGTTGTAGATGTGTGGTATTATTTCTGAGGGCTCTGTTCTGTTCCATTGGTCTATATTTCTGCTTTGGTACCAGTACCATGCTGTTTTGGTTACTATAGCCTTGTAGTATATTTTGAAGTCAGGTAGAGTGATGCCTCCAGCTTTGTTCTTTTGGCTTAGGATTGTCTTGGCAATGGGGGCCCTTTTTTGGTTCCATATGAACTTTAAAGTAGTTTTTTCCAATTCTGTGAAGAAAGTCACTGGTAGGTTGATGGGGGTGGCATTGAAGATTTTGTAATTCTTATTGTAGAGATCTTTCACCTCATTGGTCAGCTGTATTCCTAGGTATTTTATTCTTACTGTTGCTATTGCAAATATGCTTGAGTTCTTGATTTGGCTTTTACCTTGGATGCTTTTGGAGTATAGGAATCCTACAGATTTTTTACATTAATTTTGTATCCTGAAACTTTACTGAAATTCTTTATCAGTTGAAGGGCATTTTGAGTCAAGACTAAGGGGTTTTTCTAGATATATAATTATGTGATCTGCAAAAAGGGAGAGTTTGACTTTCTTTTTTCCAACTTGGATGGCTTTTATTTTTTTCTCTTGCCTGATTGCTCTGGCTAGGACTTTCAGGACCATGTTGAATGGGAGTGATGAAAGGTGGCATATTTGTCTTCTTCTGGCTTTCAAGGGTAATGCATCCAGCTTTTGCTTATTCAGTTTGATGTTGGCTGTGGGTTTTTAATAGATAGCTTTTATAATTTTGAAGTATGTTTCTTCAATTTCTCTTTTGTTGAGGGCTTCAAATGTGAAGAGATGTTGAATTTATCAAAAACTTTGTCTGCATCTATTGAGATGATCATGTGGTTTATGTTTTTAGTTCTATTTATGTGATAAATAACCTCTGTTGATTTACATATGTTGAACCAACCTTGCATCCCAAGAATGAAGTTTACTTGATCCTGGTATATTAGCTTTATGATGGGCTGCTTGACTTGGTTTGCTAGTATTGTGTTGAGAATTTTCGCATCTGTGTTCATCAAGGATATTGGCCTAATGTTATCTCTTTTTTGTTGTGTCTCCAGCAGGTTTTAGTATCAAGATGATGCTGGCCTCATAGAATCAGTTGAGAAGGAATCCCTCCTCCTCAATTATTTGGAATAGTTTGAGTAGGATTGGTACAAGCTCTTCTTTATACATATAGGAGAATTTTGCTGTGAATCCCTCTAGTCCTGGGCTCTTTCTGGTTGGCAGGCTTTTTATTACTGATTCAATTTTTGGAATGCATTCTTGGTCTGTTCAGGGATTCAGTGTCTTTCTGGGTCAGTCTTGGGATGTAGTGTGTGTCTAGGAATTTGTCTACTTCCTTTAAGTTTGTGTACTTATGTGCATAGAGGAATTCATAATAGTCTCTATGGGGTTTTTTTGGTTTGTATTTCTATTGGATTAGTGGTAATATCTGCTTTTTCATTTCTGATTGTGTTTATTTGTATCATCTCTCTTTTTTCTTTATTAGTTTAGCAAGAGCCAATGGTCTAAATATCTTATTAAGTTTTTAAGTACCAGCTCCTGGGTACTTATAAAATATATATTTTTTTGCATCATAATTTTCTTGATTTTAGCTCTGATTTTGGTTATTTCTTCAGCTAGATTTAGATTAGTTTTCTTTGTTTCTCTAGGTTCTCTAGACATAGTTAGGTTGTTAATTTGAAGTCTTTCTAATTTTTTGATATAGGCATCTAGTGCTATAAAGCTTTTTCTTAACACTGCTTTGGCTGTGTCTCAGAGATTCTGGTATGTTTTATCTATTCTCTCATTAGTTACAAAGAATTTCTTAATTTTTGACTTAATTTCATTAATAACTCAAAAGGCATTCAGGAGCAAGTTGTTTAATTTTCATCTAGTTGTATGATTTTGAGCAATTTTCTTAGGGTTGATTTCTATTCTTATTGCATAGTGGTCCAAGAATGTAGTTGGTATTTTAAGCTTTTTTTTATTTAATAATCTGAGGATTGTTTTGTGTCCAATTGTGTGGTTGATTCAAAGTGTGTATCATGTGGTGATGAAAACGATGTTTATTCTTTTGTGTTTTTCATGGCGAGTTCTGTAGATGTCTATCAGGTCCATTTGATAAAGTATTAAGTCAGGTCCTGAATATTTTTGTTGATTTTCAGCCTTGATTATCTAATGCTGTCAGTTGGGTATTGAAGTCTCTAATTATTATTGTGTGAGAATCAGTATTTTTGTAGGTCTCTGAGAACTTGCATTATGAATCTCGGTGCTCCTGTGGTGAGTGTATTTATATTTAGGATATTTAGGTTTTCTTTTTGAATTGAATCCTGTACCATTATGTAATGCACTTCTTTATCATTTTTGGTCATCTTTAGTCTTTGTTTGTTTAAAGTCTGTTTTGTGTGAAATTATGATAGCAAATCCTGCTGCTTTTTGTTTTCCATTTGGTTGGTAGATTTTTCTCCATTCCTTTATTTGAGCCTATGAGTGTCATTACATGTGAGATGGATCTACTGAAGACAGTGTACTATGGGGTTTTGCTTCTTTATCCAACTTGCCAATGTGTGCCTTTTAACTGAAGCATTTAGCACATTTACATTCAAGGTTAGTATTGGTGTGTGTACATTTGATCATGTCATCATGTCGTTAGCTGGTTTTATGAGATCTATTTGTGTGATTACTTTATAGTGTCACTGGTCTATGTACTTAAGTTTGTTTTTGTAGTGGCTGGTAATGGTCTTTTAAAAATATTTAGCACTATTTTCATGACCTCTTGTAAACCAGGTCTGGTGGTAACAATTTCTTTAGCATTTGCTTTTTTTAAAAGGATCTGATTTCTCCTTCACTTATAAAGCTTAGTTTGACTGAACATAAAATTTTTTGTAGAAAATGCTTTTCTTTAAGAATGCTGAATATAGTCCCCCAATGTCTTCTGCCTTGTAGGGTTTCTGGTGACAGGTCTGCTGTTAACCTGATGGGGTTTCCTTTGTAGGTTATCTGCTTTTCCCTTCTGGCTATCTTTAACACTTTTCTTTCATTTCAAACTTGGAGAATTTGGTTACTATGTGTCTTGAAGACAATCTTCTTGTGTAGTATCTTGCAGGGCTTCTCTGTATTTCTTGAATTTGAATGTTGGCCTCTCTAGCAAGGTTGGGGAAATATTCATGGGCAGTATCCTGAAATATGTTTTCCAAAATCGCTTGGTTTCTTTCCCTGTCTCTGAGGCACATCGATGGGTCATTAAATGGGTTTGTTTATATAATCCCATATTTCTCAGAGGTTTTGTTAATTCTTCTTTATTGCTTTTTTCTCTGAGTTATTTCTGATAGCCAGCCTTAAAGCCCTGAGATTCTTTCCTCATCTTTGTCATTTCTGCTGTTGACATTTGTGACTGCATTATGAAATTCTTATAGAGTGTTTTTCAGCTCTATCATATTAGTTTCATTCATTTTTTATGATGGCCATTTTGTCTATCAGCTCCTGTATAATTTTTTTTGCAATCCTTAGATTACAATAAAATTCCTTGGCTTGGGTTTCATTTGTCTTCTGTATGTTTATGATCTTCATTCCTGTCCATATTCTGAATTCTATTTATGTCACTTCAGCCATGTCCACCTGGTTAGGAGCCATTGCTGGGATACCAGTGAAGTCATTTTGAAATAGAAGACACTCTAGCTTATTGAGTTACCACAGTTTTTGCGCTAGGTCTTTCTCATCTTTGTGGGCTGATGTTTCTTCAATCTTCGAAGCTGCTGACCTTTGGATTTTTTTAATTATTATTTTATTTGATGTCCTTGTGGGTTTCATTGTGGTATAAGATAGGATAAGTTGACTGTATTCATTTCTGGAATATTTTCTTGAGCCAAGGTTCAGTTCAGGACTCTTGGACTGCATGTTCCAACTCTGTAGGACTGTCATTGGCCCCCCAGCTTTGTGCTGTGTCCCTTGGAGGTTAGGAACTTTCCATGCCACACTGGAGTGGCCATATTTTTCCCAGACCTCTGATCACAACACCCCAATGTGTGGTGCCAGCCACAGGGCTTCATAGGTTGGTAGCAAAGGGACTTATCCTTGTTTTCATGTGCCAGTGGCAGTGGCAGCACAGTGAGGTGCATGCTCATTGGCTTCAGTGGGGAGCTGGCAGGTGCACAGGTGCCAGATGCCTTGTAGTCATTCACAATGACAGTGGTGGCAGCATTATGTAGCGGGATAGGGGCCTTGCTGCTGTCTGTATGTTTATTTGCACCAGAAATGGTGTTAGCACAGGGGTGGTGTGCCGGCTGGCACAGGACCGTGTGTGCTTTCATGCATGTATTCAAATTGGCAGCAGCTGCTGCTAAGTTTGGGGGTTTGTCTGCAGGTCTTTCTGAGTAGTTTTGCACTGGTGGCAGTGTTAACATGGGGACGGGTCACTGGCAGTCATGCAGCTGTCAGTCTCCATGCTCATAAAGGCTCTGATGGCAATGAAGGTGCATCAGGGGAGTGGGGTTGTGTGCACTAATATCAACAGCTATGACATAGTGGGGTGCACATACATGTGCACAAGCAGGGAAGGGGTGGTGAGGTCTACCTGCATGCATACTCACTGGCAAAGCAATGGTGAGGGTGGCTGTGGGCAAGTGCCTGCAGGCAAAGAAGCTCAGGGGAGGATGTGGTGGGGAGACAGAATGTATGGGCTGGTGCACATCCATGGGAGTGCTCTACTGGGCTCTCCATCAGTCAAGTATGGCTCTCCAGCACACAAGCTATAACGTGGGCCCCCAAGACGCATCCTATCTGGGCATCTGAGGCAGCACTGCAAGCAGGTGTGGACAGTCTGAGGCAACGGGAGAGGCCAGCAGACTGAGGGGTACTCAGGTCAGACCAGCCCCATTTTGTGGGCAAGACCACCCTTCTGTTTGGGTTCAACAATTTCCCTTGGGCTAAAGTTTCCTACGGGAGCAAGGCAAGCCTTTGAATATTGGCACCCTGGCTGTGCTCCAATACAGATGCTCCCACACTAACCCCTCTGGGCTCAGTACTAGGTAGAGTTCTGCTCCCACCACTTCTCTATGCAGCTTTACCTGCCAGCTCAAGTGGCCTTGAGGATCATGGACTCTCCTAATGGCAGATTTGCAGAGACCAATGGCAATAGCCAGTTTCTTCTTGCCTGCACAACCCACGCTTTCCCGAGGAGTCACTGGGGGTTAGGAATGAGTCCTGGTGCATGTTAGTCCCATGCAGGATTTCCAGCTTCCTCCCACTTTAGCCCACCATCTGTGTATTCCCTTTATACACTTTCAATGCCTTCCTTCTGAAGATCTTCTGGGAGTTTGCCAGTCTTTTCAATGTCCTGGTTCCTCGGTGGCAAATGTTACTCCCAACTGCATCTAGTAGACCATTTTGCCTCTGAGTCATATGCATATCTGATTTCTCCCTCTGATGTAGAAAATACCTTTTAAACATTTTTAACTGGGCTACTCACTTAGTTATTATTGAGTTTTAAGAGGTTTTTGTATATTTTGCTTAATGGTCATTTTTCATATATCTTTTGCAAGTATTTTCTCCCAATCTGTGGTTTTTACTTTCATTCCCTTGATGGTGCCTTTCACAGAACATAAGTTTTTATTCAAAGAGAATTGGGTCCAGGACATTCTGTACATAGCTAAATTTCTCCATACTCAAGTCTCATAGTGGGCCCTGTGGAACCCACACTTACAAAATTTGGCCTTCCATATATACAGGTTTAGCACCTCACAACACCATATTTTTATTAATTTTTGGTTTTAGACGCAGAACCTGCTAACACAGAGGGCCAACTATATTTATTGAAAAACATTGTGTATAAATTGACCCACTCATTTCAAATTCATGTTGTTCCAGGATCAACTGTGTAATGAAGTCTAGTTACCATGGATCATATTTTTGGTGTCGTATCTAAAATGCAATTGCCAAACACAATGCCATCTAGATTTTTTTCTCATGTTATCTTCTAGGAGTTTAGTTTAATAGTTTTGCATTTTACATTTAGGCCTACAATCCGTTCTGAGTTAACTTTTGTGAAACACACACAGTCTGTGTCTAGATTCTTCTACTTTTTGCTCTTCTTGTTCTTGTACTCTTTGAGGGTAACTGACATATCCTTGAGAGGGCATATTTCTAGGCTTTCTATTCTTTTCCATTGATCTATTTGTCTATTCTTTTCCCAGTATCACACTCTCTTAATTACTGAAGATTCATAGTAAATCTTGAAATTAGATAGTGTCAGATCTTTAACTTTGTTCTTCTCCTTCATATTGTATTGTCTATTTTTGATATTTTGCCCCTCCCTATAAAATTTAGAATAATTTTGTCAATATCCAAAAAAGGTAACATACTGGGATTTTGATGGGAATTGAGTTAAATCTGTAGATCAAGTTTGGAAGAATTCACATCTTGACAATACTAAGTTCCTATGTATGAGCATGGAATATCTCACCATTTATTTAGTTAATTGATTTCATTTATCAGATTTGTTTTAGTTTTTCTCATGAAGATCTTGTACACAGTTTGTTAGGTCCATACCTAAATATTTCAGTTTGGGGACTACTGGTATGTACAATACTGATTTTTTTTGTTTGTTTTTCAGCTAACTTTCTGTTGTGATTTCTTGTGTAATTTCATCATCATCCAAGAGCATACATTATATAATCTGTATTCTTTTAAATTTTATAATTTAAATTTCATAAAATGTGTTTTACGGCCCAGAATGTGAACAATCGTGGTGACTATTCCAGGGGTGCTTGAGAATTATGTGTATTCTCCTGTTGTTGGATAAAGTGGTCTAAAGATGTGGATAATTTCCAGTCGATTGATAATGCTGTTGAGTATAAATATGTCCTTATAAGGTTTTTGTCTGTTGTTTATCTCCATTTCTGAGAGAGCAATGTTGAAGTCTCTAACTATAATAGTAAATTCATCTATTTCTTCTTGCAGTTTTATCCATTTATGGTTCATGTGTCTTGTGCCCTTTAGGCACAAAAATGTTAAAAATTGCTATGACTTCATGTATAATTGATCTCTTTATTATTAGGAAATACATTGTTTTAATTTCTAATAATTATATTTTCTCTAAAGTATGCTGTCTAAAATTAATATAACTATTCCCACTTGATTACATTTAGCATAGTATACCTTCGCCCACCCATTTACTTTTAAAATATATGTGTCTTTATATTTAAAGTGTATTACTTATAGACAACATGTAGTTGAGTATTGTTTTGTGATCCACGCTGACAATATCTGTCTTTTAATTGGATATTTTAATTGGATTATTCAGGCCACTGATATTTAAAGTAATCATCAATATAATTAGACTAACATCTACCATATTGGCTACATTGTCTTTGTTCTTATTTTTGTCTTCCACATTTTTATGCTTTCATGGTTTATTGAGCACTTTATATGATTGCATTTTCTCATCTTTCTTAGCATAACAATTACATTTCTTTTCTTGGTTTCTCTTTTTTAAGTCATTGTCCTGGAGCTTGTAACGTATATTTGCAGCTAATCTAAATTCACTTTCAAATAACACTATACTGGTTCATAAGTCATGCAAGAGACTTATAATAACACAGTATTCCTAATTATTCTATCTCATTCCTTGTGTCATTACTGTCAGTGTTTCACTAACACATAAGCTAAAATTATGAATACATTGTTGCCCTTATTATTTTTAACAAACTGTTATCTGTTAGATCAAGTAAAAATAAGAAATGTAAAAGTTTTTGGTTTGCTTTCTCTTACTTATTTTCCACCACTCTTCCTTTCTTTATGTAGGCCAAAGCCTCTGACTCATGTAATTTATTTTCTCTCAGACCAACTTTGTTTAACATTTATTGCAAAGAAGGCCTACTGGTAGTAAATTCTCTCAAATTTTGTTTGACTTAGTTTTTATTCTCCTTCACTTTTGAAGAATAATTTTGCATGATACAGAATTCTGGGTTGGTGGTTTTGTTTTGTCTCTCTTAATCCTTTAAATATTTTTCTTTATTATTATTATTTTTTGCTTGCATAGTTTCTGAGAAGATGTTGGATATAAGTCTAGTCTTTACTTCTGTATAGGTAGTAACTATTTTGCTTTTAAGATTTGGAAGTTTCTATTGACGTAGTTTTAAGATCGCAGATTCTTTCCTAAGCTGAACTGAATCTACGAATGAGCCCTTCAAAGGCATTCATTTATCTTATAATTTTTACCTTTAAGATTTATTTTTTATTCTTAGAATTTCTATCTCTCTGCTTACATTACTTATCTCTCATTGCATGTTGCATACATTTTCTGTTAGAGCTCTGAGCATATTAATGATAGTTTTGTTTAATGTTCCTGGTCTCATTCTTCTAACATTTTTGCAATATCTGAATATTGTTCTGATTTTTACTTTTTGTCTTCAAACTGTGTTGTTCGCCTTTTTGTATGTCCTGTAATCTTGAATAGAAGCTAGAGATAATGTGCTAAGTAAAAGGAATTGTGGTAGGTAAGAATTTAGTGACGCAGTGGTATAATGAAGTAGGGGTGAAGTATCATTCTATAGTCCTATGGTTAGTCCTCAGTCTTCTAGTGAGCCTATTCACTGAGCCACGAACCTTAGAAGTGTTTCACAGTCCCAACTCCCACTTATGTGGGACTAGATGGGGTAGAGAGGGGTTGAGCTGAGTGTTTCTCTTCACCCAACTTGGTTCAATTCTCATAAAACCCCCATTAAGTTAGACTCAGGTAAAAAAAATTTTTTTGCACACAGGCCTTGTTTAGAATAACAGAATGGGAAGGCGTATTTACAAATGGTTATTTTCATCCTCTTGCTTCAGGAAGCATGAGAAGATTTTTCTGCACTCTTCACTGTAAGAACTACTACAGTGTCTGGAGTTGAAAGTCATAAAAATTTTGGTATACCTCTAAGAAGAGGCCCTCCTGCAGTCTTCAGTTCTCAGACTGAACTTTCAGAAATTTGTTAATTGTAGTTCAAGTTTTCTCCCCTGGTACTTGTTCCAGTTGAAGTTTTTCTCATCAGTTTCTGCTCAAGTAAGCTGTGGCTTACTGTATACACCTGTCTATCCCTTCAATTTTGGTGACACAAATTTTCCCTGTGATGTCAATGCTCTGATGGATCTAAAAAGAGTTTTGTTAGTTTTTTAGTTTGTTCAGTTTTTCGGTTGTTAGGATGGAGTGATCACTTCCAATATCCTTACATGCTGGACTGAATACTGAGGTTCCTGAATTTTCCTTTTCCTATAAACTATAATTTTATTATTTTCTATATAATTATTTTTTACTTTGTTGCCCTGAGTTTTTAAATTATTTTCAAGAAAACACTTAACTGTAGGCAGACCACCAATTATGTCTATATTCACATATAATATCGTAAACTTTATATTCATCTTAAGTAGTTAACTACATTTAATATGTATTCATCACTGGATATTCCATTTTAACTGTAGTCTTGTAGTATATTTATGTACAAATAATTATTTTATAAAGTGGAAAACATTTGCTATTGTACTATGTAAACTTAATTTCATCTATTTCATCTAATAATAGCTTATTTTGATGTTGAGAACTTGTTTATTGTTACATCAAAGCAACTGGAACAGCATGTGACATAAAATTTCACTTGATAAATATCTATAAGCAAATAAACAAGGAATAGAGATAGTATGTGTTTGTTACAATTCTTTGAAGTTTAGCTAAGAAAAGAACGAGGTTGTACAGTAGAGGTAGTACTAGGTAAAAAAATAATGTGTAATTTGATTGTTTTGGGGTATTTTTGCATAAGAACCCCTTTATAGAATGAGAAATAGTAGGGAAGAAATTGTTAATAATATAGAAGACAGAGATGATTTATAAGAGTAAAAGATCCAGAGAAGAGAGAAACGTAATAAAATTATTGAAAAATATTAAGGAAGTGTGGCCATATACTGACTTTGATAGAGTTTGAGAGTGTGTTTGACAATAGTGGTGCACTTCTGGAATAGTGGGTGCAAGTACTTTCCCCACAAAATTTTTTATTTAGTCTTTGCATATTTTAATTATTTAAGAAAAGCATTAAATAAAAAACGAAGTAAAACACACAGGCAAATAAACAAATAAATACTGTCCCTGTCCACCATAAAATATGTTTTGGAATTCACTTCTGGGATGTTTATTTTGTATTTTAAAAATTGTTCTTAACTCTGTACCACAACTCACTGCTTAAATTATTAACTTTATAGCACATTTGAATATCGTGGTATGATAGAATTGTTTTAATTTATTTTCCTTTTCAAAAATATTTTGTCTAGGCCTGATCATTCTCCCAGATAAAGGTTAAAATGATTATTTTAATTTTCATTAAATTAATGAAGAAATATATACAGAGAATTAACGTTTAGCAAATATTAAATTATTCATTCTAAAAAATAATGCATTCTTTTATATATTTTGGTCTTATTATATTTCCTTCAGTAAAGTTTTTGAGTTGTCTTCAAATAGACCCTGAACATCTTTTGTAATACTTATTCCTAGCTATTTTTTTATTGGTATTAAAAATAGAATGAAAACAACAACAAACAAAAAAAAGTATTGGTCACAGCTGTGGAAGAGGCCAAGATGGCTGACTAGAAGCTGCTATTGTAGGCTGCTGTCAGGAAAAGAAAAAATAATGGTGAGTAATTCCTCGATCTTAAACTGGAACATCCAGGTGAACACATCAGGATTTATCAAGAAAACAACTTGACCCAGAGAGAACAGAGAGGAGCAAGACAGGATGACTGCCCACCCAGAGGTACCACAGTGCCAGGGGAGGCTTCTCCACCCTGGGGAAAAGTGAGTGAGTGAGAGTTCCTGGGGACCCACACTTCTGCCATGGACCTTTGCAACCCTGGGCTCAGGTGATCTCCCCATGTGCCCCTTCCACTGGGACTTCCAGACTGACACGGAGAGCTATATGGAGTCTAGGCAGTCACCACTCATGCACACTGGGAGTCCTGGGAGCCTTAAACCCCCAGACATCCGGTCATTTGTGGCTGCTGCGCCAGCAGTGAGGGAGGCCAGGGTCTCTTGCATGCCCCCAGGGGACGGGCTGAATCCAGCTGACTGAGCAGTGACAGAAAGCAGGCCTTGCCTCTACTGCATCTCGCAGAATAAAGCCTACTGGCCTGGACCTCCCGCCACCCCACATCTGCACTCACCAGCTGGTAGCAGATCTGCACTCCCCTGGGATAGTGCTCCTAATGGGAGAGACTAGCCGTCATTTTTGCCATGTCACAGCCCCCACTGTTACAGCCTTCAAGCTCTAGATTAGGAAGTAGCACGAATCTCCAGCACAGCACAGCCATCCCATGGAAAAGCAGCAAGACTATTTTTTTTTATTTTCTTTTTTTTCCACAAGTCCTCAATTCTGCTTTTTCTCAGTGGGCAGAACCCCCAACCTGGGAATCCAGCCACCTCATGCCAGTAGCAACTTTGTACCTCCCTGAGACAGCTCCCAGAGGGAGAAGCTGACCGCCACTTTGCTATCTCTCAGCTCCCACTGCTACAGCCTTCAGTCTCTGGAGAGTATGCAGCGACTAGAGAGTGGCACGAATTCCCAGCACAGTGCAGCCATCCCGCAGAAAAGTGACCAGACTGTTTTTTATGTGAGTCTGGATCCCGCTTCTTCTCACAGGGCAGGATCCTCCCCTCAACGTGGGACTCCAGCCACCCTCGCCAGAGCTCTCAGAATGGTATGAGTTCTGATCTTCCCTGAGACAGAGCTGCCAGAGGGAGGGGCTGACCACCATTTTTACTGTCTTGCTGCCTCCATTGCTACAGCCTTCAGGGTCTTGATTATACGTGGTGGTTAGGAATTGGTGTGGGTCTCCAGCACAGTGCAGCCATCCCACAAGAAAATGGCCAGACTGTTTTTTGTTTTGTTTAGTTTTTGAAGGTTTCTCATCCTGCTTTTCCTCACTGGGTAGGACACCCTGACCTGAGACTCCAGCAACCCCCCATTTAGGCTCTCCAGACAGTAGTAACTCTGATCATCCCTGGGACAGAGCTTCCAGCGGGGGAGGCTGGCGGATTTTGTTGTCTCACAACCTGCCCCATTATATCCTTCAAGCTCTGGAGAGTACCTGGTGATTACAGAGTGGCATGAATCCCCAGCACACTGCAGCCATACATGGAAAAGTGGTTAGACTGTTCCTTATGTGGGTCCCTAATCCCACTTTTCCCTGGGTGGGTCCCCTATCCTGGGATTATAGCCACCCCTCACCAGAGCTCTTGGGCTGGTAGTAGCTCTGCACTTCCTCGCAATGGAGCTCCCAGAGGGAGAGGCAGGCCTCCGCCTGCCTGAGGTGATTTGAGACGGAATCTTGCTCTGTCACCCAGGCTGGAGTGCAGTGGCACAATTTCGGCTCACTGCAACCTCCGTCTCCAAGGTTCAAGCGATTCTCCTGCTTCAGCCTCCTGAGTAGCTGGGATTACAGGCACCCACCACCACACTCAGCTAATTTTTATTTTTGTAGAGATGGGGTTTCACCATGTTGGCCAGGCTGGTCTCGACCTCCTCACCTCAGGTGATTTGCCTGTCTTGGCCTCCCAAAATGCCTGGATTACAGGCATGAGCCACTGCGCCCAGCACTATCAACACCTCTATGCACACAAACTGGAAAATCTAGAAAATGTGGATAAATTTCTAGACACATACAACCTCCCAAGGTTAATCTAGGAAGCCTGCCAATCAGAAAAAGCCAGAACCAGAAGGATTCACAGCTGAATTCTACCAGATGTATAGAGAAGAGCTTGTACCATTTCTACAGAAATGATTCAAAAAAAAAAATTGAGGAGGAGGGACTCCTCTTCAACTCATTCTATGAGGCCAACATCATCCCAATACTAAAACCTGGCAAAGACACAACAAAAAAGGACAATGTCAGGCTAATATATTTGATGAATGTAGATGCGAAAATCTTTAACACAATATTAGCAAACCAAATCCAGCAGCCTATCAAAAAGCTAATCCACCATGATCAAGTAGACTTCATTCTTGAGATGCAAGCTTGGTTCAACATATGCAAAACAATAAATAAGATTCACCACAATCACAGAACTAAACACAAAACCCACTTGATCAACTCAATAAATCCACAAAAGACTTTCAATAAAATGTATCATCCTTCATCTTGAAAATCCTCAATAAACCAGATATTGATGGGACATACTTCAAAATATTAAGAGCCATCTACGAAAAACCCACATCGAACATGATACTAAATGGACAAAAGACGGAATCCCTTGAAAATCAGCACAAGACAAAGATGCTTTTTCTCATCATTCCTGTTTAACATAGTATCGGAAATCCTGGGCAGAGCAATTGGGGAAGAGGAAGAAATAAAATAAAGAGTGGAAGCCAAACTATCCTTGTTCGCAGATAATATAATACTGAATCTAGAAAATCCCATAGGTTCTGCCATAACTCCTTGATCTAATGAACAACTACACAAAGTTTCAAAATACAAAATCAATGTACAAAAATCTATAGAATTTCTATACACCAACAACGTCTAAGCTGAGAGCCAAATCAGGAACACAATTTCATTCAAAATCGCCACAAAAAATAAAATGCCTAGGAATGCAGCCAACCAGGGAGGTAAAAAATCTCTACAATGAGAATTACAATTCACTGCTTAAAAAAATCAGAAATGACACAAACAAATGGAAAATCATTCCTTGCTCATGGATAGGAAGAATTAATATCATTCAAATTGCCATACTGCCCAAAGCAATTTACAGATTTAATGCTATTACTATCAAACTACCAATAACATTCTTCATAGAATTAGAAGTAAATGTTTTAATATTCATATGGAACCAAAAATAGCCTGAATATTCAAGCAATCCTAAGCAAAGTGATATATACTATTTAATATATATGAATCACATTTTAATTCTTTGTTATACTATTAGTTTCAGTTTTCTGTCTCAAAACATTGACTAAAATTTCCAGAAATGTATTTAATAATATGGTTGATAGGGGCAATTTCTACTGTTTCTGATTTTAATAAAAATTTTTCTGTCACTGTGTTTTCACTAAGAATATATTTTGACTATTAGTTTATAGTTCTACAGTTCTATAGTTCTAAACATTTTTACAAGAATTATTTTATTGTATGAATTATTTTATAGTACCATATGATATAATTATCTTTTTCCTCATTTTACTCTAGAATAAATTGAGGCAAGAGATGTTTCTTAGTATGCTCATTGCTGCATAACTTTAAGCAATAGAGCCAAAATTCAAGAAAGAAGATCAGTCTGTTTCTAGAGTACATATTTTAAGTGCCTTTCTTTTCTTTGATTACTCAATGTTTTGGAGAAATGTATGGTACTATTCACCAAATGCTATTTTTTTTTATCATTTAAGAAAATGCTTATATTGGTTTCTTTCTTTGAATTATTAATGCAGTTTAATTTTACTGTTAACAAACAGAACCATCCTTGTATTCATAAGTTAGGATTTATAGATATCCTGTCATTAAATAAAGGAATGATTTTGTTAGGTAAGGGGTGACTGAGTGGTATAGACGTGAATGAGTAAATAATGAAGAACTCAAAAACATTGCAAACCTAGTATATTGGGTAGTATACACATATACATATAAATATATATCTTATAATGCATTTCTATATATGTCAGATATTCATAAATGTATCAATTATTTATATATTTGTAGTCTATTGGACTTTTGATTCTGTTTCTCTGAATAACTCTGACTAGTATAGGCAGTTTATATGTAGACATATGTTTTTGTCCATTCAACCCACTAAAGGCTTCAAAGCAAGATGTGGATAAACTAGACTAGTGTATAAATACAAATAGTAATATAGAAGTTTGGAGAATGTAGCAAGTCATTTACCTATGTTTATATCCATCCTGTCTTGCTATTAGTGGGAAGAGATAATCTTATTCTTATCTAACACTGATCATTAGAGGGGATTTTAACCAAACTCACTGTATATTTTAAATTTAACTATAATTTTAGCATCTGTCAACAGATATTCTACCTTTTTATACAATTCAAGTTGGTGACTCTTAACAATGTACTTCTTCTCTGGAGGTGGTAAATCAGAATCATAAAAGAGGGAG
This sequence comes from Homo sapiens, assembly GCF_000001405.40. Classification (NCBI taxonomy): domain Eukaryota; kingdom Metazoa; phylum Chordata; class Mammalia; order Primates; family Hominidae; genus Homo; species Homo sapiens. Next base: position 94,912,402 of record NC_000023.11, read on the forward strand.
TAGTAGCCATTATATTAATATTTTATAGAAAATGGTTGAAATTGTTTAGAAACAATAATGCCTATGAAACCATGAAAGTCAGAAATGTCCTTCTTTTCTGATATGTGTGTGTACATGGTTATTTGTCTGTATGTATGCTAATATAGCTATTTTTAACCTCAATCAACAAGTTAGCCAAGCTATAAATACAACTTTAATTATTTTTCTTTTAATTTAAAGTCCTTATTATGTTGAGGACAGTTTGGAGTTTTCCCACTTCACCACAATCAGGCTAAATTCCAGGGGTACATGTAATTTCAAGTCATTATAATGGGATTATATGTTTCTTGAATAATATTTTTATATCTTTTGTTCATCAGTGTGTTTATTATTTCAGGTAATCTTTTGTTTTAATCTACATAGATCATTACATTGATGTTATTCTTTCATTTCTGCTAGATTTTCTTAGATCCAGAGACTTCTTTCTCTAATGTAATCATAGGAGCTTAATAATTATGCTTTTCATTACCACAATGAAGCATAGAAATCTCTGATAGGCAAGGACTAACTTTTCCTGTGTCTCCACAAAACTATCTGAGGTCTTATTACCGTTCTGAAACTCTATGTACTAAACAGAGTCCATGGCACACCTCTGAGATTTACTTTCCCTCAATGCTTCCTATTTAATTTACCCATACAATTTCTCTTAAATCAAAAAGTCTATGTACGTATAATAGTCTGAGATCAAAGTGCCAGCAAACTCAGTGTCTGGTAAGGGCTTGCTCTCTGCTTCCAAGGTGGTGCCTTGGCGAAAGGGACAAACGTGGTTCCTTCACATGGAAGAAGGGGAAAAATAGCCAATCAGGATTCCTAAAACCCTTCTGTATGGGCACCGATTCAATTCATGAGACTAGATCTCTCATTTCCTAATTACATTCTAAGGACCTCACCTCTTAAATCTATTGCATTAAGATCTGCGTTTAAACATGAATATTGGAGAAAGACAATGAAACCACAGGAGTAACTAAGTCATATATGAAGGGCGACTGCTCTGAAGACTCATTGAACTTTGCATAAATGAAGCATAAATATTTGTGTTGTTAAGTTAGAAAAGTTTTGTTATTTGCTTGTTATTGTAGCATTACCTGATCTATCTGGAGTAACATGAGATAAAATTATAATTCAATTAATATCCAAAATAGTATATTAATGCATTATTTACCCAACTACCTACATATCTATTTATAAGCACATGTGCATGTACACACACATTAACATTTTGTTCTTGATTTCTAGGCCTTGCCTTACTAGGTAAATGACTAAGACAGAAATTCAATGATGAATTTCTTATTTCAAGTTTGTTTAGAACAAATGTTCTGGGACCATAAGTTAGTAGAGAGAAGTCTTATGGAAAATAAAATTAATAAGTGCAGTTTCATTATACACAAATGTCAGATAAATAAATCAGGTCAGACAAAAACCCAGCAATAGGAAATAAAATATTAGGCAAAAGCAGTAGCCTGTGCTTCAAGCCCAAGGTGAACAGATGAAATAGATTAACTAAAGTAATAAGTAGAAATAGTTGAAGTTAAAAAAAAAAAAGAAAAAGAAAATCTGAAGGGTGGGGAAAGATGGCAGAATAGAAGACCCACCAATGACCCTCCCTGCAAAGACCCTATTTAACAACTATCTACACAGAAAAAACAAACAAACAAGCAAAATGCCTTAATTAGAACAAACAATCAAGTGAGTAATTACAGTACCTGGTTTTATTGTATAAATCTCAGTGATGACCTGTTATAGCAGAAAGCAAAATCAGACCAAACTCAGCTGATGCCAACCCACAGAGGGAGTAGTAAAACCAGCCCTAGCCAGAGAATTGCTGATCCCAGTTGTCAGAACTTGAGCTCCAGGAAGCCTTGCCACCTAATGCTAAAGTGCTGTGGGGCTCTAAATACACTTAAAAAGCAGTCTGTGCCACAAAGACTGCAAGTCCTAGGTGAATTCTAGGGCTGAACTGGGCTTAGAGCCAGTGGACTGTAAGGGCACGTGACCTACTGAGACACTGGCTGGAGTGGTTAGGGGAGTGCTGGCACTACTCCTTCTCTAACTCCAGACTGCACAGCTCACTGCATCAAAAGACAGTCCTTTCTTTTGCTTAAGGAGATGAGAGGAAACAGTCAGGAGTAATTTGTGTTGTATCTTGGATACCAGCTTAGCCACAACAGGTTAGGATACTGGTCAGAGTTGTGAGAAAAAATAGGTCATTATACCATAATAAAAAAGGTCAATTCAGCAAGGGGATATAAGAATTATAAATATACCAGAGTCAAACACTGGAGCATAAAGACATATGAAGCAAATATGTTTAGAGCTAAAGAGAGAGAAAGACCCCAATAGAATAATAGATGGTAAGTTCAACACCCCACTTTTAGCTTAGAGAGATATTCCAAACACAAAATTAATAATTAAAAAAAAACCTTTACACTTAAGCTTCATTATAGACCAAATGAACATCATAGCTATTTACATAACATTTCATCCAACAGCTGCAGAACGCACATTCTTTTTCTCAGCACATGGATTAATCCCTAGGATAAACCATATTATGTTATAAAACAAGTCTTAAAAAATCCAAAAAATTAAAATAATATTAGGCATTTTATATGAAGAACGATGAAGCAAAACTAGAAATTAAAAACAAAAGAAATTTTGAAAACCACCCAAACACGTGAAAATTAAACAATATGCTCCTGATCAGTGAGTCTATGAAAAATTTTAAAAAATTAAAAAAAAATTTGAAACAAATGATAATGGAAATGTGACATACCAAAACCTGAGGAATACAGCAAAAGCAGTAATAAGAGGGAGGTTTATAGCTATAAATCCCCACATTAAAAAAGAAGATAAAGTTCAAATTAACAACCTGACAATGCATCTGAAATAACTTGAAAAGCAAAGGTAAGCCAAACCAAACTAAAAATTAGTATAGGAAAAGTAATAATAGAGATCAGAGCAGAAGTAAAGATTGAAATGGAGAAAAAAACACAAGAGATTAATAAAATAAGAAGTTTGGTTTTTTTATTTTTATTTTTTAAGTTAAACAAAATTCACAAACGTTTAGCCAGACTAAGAAAAAAACAGAGCATAACTGAATAAATTAAACCAAAAATAACAAAGGAGACATTCTGTGATCGTTTATATTAGGTGCCCACTTGATTAGATTGAAGAATGCCTAGATGACTGATAAAGTATTATTTCTGTCTGTGTCTGTGAAGGCGTTGCCAGAGGAGGCAGATATTTGGTCAGTGGACTGAGAGAGGAAGATCTACACTCAATGTGGGTGAGCACCATCCAGTTGGCTGCCATTGCAGCTACAACAAAGCAGGTGGAAAAATGTGAGATAACCTTGCTTGCCAAATCTTCTGGCTTCCTTCTTTTCTCAGTGCTGCATGCCTCCTCCTATTCCTCCTGCCTTTGGACATAGGACTTCAGGTTCTTTGGCCTTTGGACACTTGAACTTTTACCAGTGGCCTGCTGGGGACTCTTGGGCCTTTAGCCACAGAATGAGGGCTGCACTGTCAGCTTCCCTGGTTTTGAGGCTTTCAGACTTGTACTGAGCCACTACCAGCTTTCCTTTTCCCCAGCTAACAGAGGGCCTATAGTGAGACTTTGTCTTGTAATTATGTGAGCCAATTTTATATAATAAACTTCCTTTCATATATGCATACATCCTGTTACTTCTTTTCCTTTGGAGAACGCTGACTAATACAGATTTTACTTCCGGGGTAGTTCTGGACAAAAAGAATTTTAATGATGGATTTCTTTGGTTGGTTCTGGGGTTTCTGGATTTGGCTCTTTAAAATCTGATTAGACCTAAAAGTGCTAAGGACTCTACTTCTAATAGTATAGAGAATATTGATAGTCCTTGGTGTGAGTTGTTTACAGTTGTGCAAAATAAATGTATTTGATACTCCTGATTTCACTGCTCCTTAGAGGCAAGGAGGTTAGCTAATCTATACATGATACCTTTCAACATTTGTAGAGAACCAACAATACAGTAAAGTTGCTTAGTTGTCTCTAAGTTCATTGGACAAAGTGTTGAACGAAAAGGATAAGTTCAGGAATTCTATCTTCAGGCTCCAGCATCACATACTTAGCCTCAACGCTTCTAAGATTGCCCACAGTGAGAGTTGAATCTTCCTTAGACACAGGGCTAAAATTTTTGAAAATCAGACAGAATCTTTTATCATGCCAGTGGCTAATCTACAAGGAAACGTGCAGGCTTAGCCTTGTCAGGTGTCTACAGTTAAACTGAGGGCCTAAACTGGGAAAGAATGAGGCCCTGTAACTTGGGATGGGGACATGTGGAAGCACCCCAATGAAGCTGGGGACACGGACTTCCTCAATTCTCATGAACCTTTTTTGCCAGAGGAAATGGGCTATTCACACCCAGTGGTGTGTTCATTCCCTCTTCCACACAGGCTGCTATGAGCCTTTCCACATTTGCCTGAAGAGATTAACTATGCATTGCCTGAGGAAATAGCAATGGCCTCCTCTGAGGCGGTTGCCAGGCAAGACAATGCAAATTCTCTTCAGGACCCACCTCAACACCTCTCTTTACTTCTACACCTGTAACTAGACTGAAGTCCTGGCAGGCCCATAGAGGTGATGTTCAGAGTTTGACCCATTAGGATGTTCACTATACTACAAAAGAACTACTCGAGTTTTCTGATTTATATAAGCAGAAATCTGGAGAACAGGTATGAGAATGAATATTAAGAGTGGGATAATTGTGGAAGGAACATAAAGTTGGATCAGGCTGAATTTATTGATACGGGTTCATCAAGCAGAGATTCTGCATTTGATGTTGCAGCTACGGGAATTTTAAAAAATGTTCTTATAGTTTATTCGCTTGGATAGCTGAAACATGGGTCAAAATATGGCCCACTGCGAGTAAGCTGGAAATGCCTGATCTCCCTTGGTTTAATGTAGAAAAAGGAATCCAAAAGCTTAGGGAGATTGGAATGTTAGAGTGGATTTGTAAATTTAGCCCTACTAATTCCAACTGAGAGAACACAGAAGACATTTTCTTCATCAATACCTTGTGAAATAGATTTGTCAGAAGAGCAATGGCATCCTTGAAGAGCTGTGTGATCTCTCTTCTCTTTATGCCAGATCTTATGGTGAGAACCACAGTCACTCAATTGGAAAACTTAAATGCGATGGGAATAATTGGACCCTGAGGTGGCAGGGGCCAAGTGGCAGCACTCAACCGTCAAAGGCAAGGTAGGCATAGTTGCAGTAATAGACAACAGAGACAAAGCAGCAATCAGAATACTCTTACTCTTGTAGAGCTCTAGCATTGGCTAATTAATCATGGTGTTCCTGGAAGTGAAATTGATAGGAAGCCTACTATATTCTTACTTGATTGGTATGAGCAGAAAACTTCCAGGCCAAGTGAACAAAAGATTGATTTGAATGATAAAAAACAAAGAATCACAGCCCCTCAATCAATTTTCAGACTTGAATAAATTTACAGATCCAGAACCCCTTGAAAAAAAGGAAGGCTGAGTCACCTTGAGAAAGGACCCCACTACACTACTGAAAATTTATACTGTTAATTTTTCTCTTATCTTTACCCAGGGAGACCCCTGGGCTTTCATCAGAGTAACTGTTCAATGGGAAAAGAAAAATGATCAGACCTTTTGGGGATTACTGGACACTGGCTCTGAGCTGACATTGATTCAGAGGATCCAAAATGTCATTGTGGCCCTCCAGTTAGAGTAGAAGCTTGTGGAGGTCAAGTAATTAATGAAGTTGTAGCTCAGGCCCAACTTACAGTGGGTCCAGTGGGTCCCCAAACTTATCCTGTGTTCATTTCCTCAGTGCCAGAATGCATAATTGAAATAGACATACTTAGCAGTTGACAGAATCTCCACATTTGTTCCCTGACCTGGGGGTTGAGGGCTATTATGGTGAAAAAGGGCAAATGTGAGCTATTAGAGCTATCACTATGTAGAAAAATAGTAAATCAAAAACAATATTACATCCCTGGAGAGATTGCAGGGATTCTTGCACCATCAAGGACCTGAAAGATGCAGGGGTGGTGATTCCCACCACATTCCTGTGTAACTCTCATATATGGCCTGTGCAGAAGAATAATGGACCTTAAAGAAAGACAGTGGATTATTATAAGCTTAACCAAGTGGTGACTTCAATTGCAGCTGCTGTACCAGATGTGGTTTTATTGTTCGAGCAAATTAACACATCTCCTGGTTCCTGGTATGCAACTACTAATTTAGCAAATGCCTTTTTCTTCACCACTGTCGATAAGGCCCACAAGAAGCAACTTGCCTTTAACTGGCAAGACCAGCAATATACTTCACTGTCCTACCTCAGGGCTATGTCAACTTTCTGGCTCTGTGTCATACAGTTGTTTACTGAAATCCTGCTCACTTGTCTCTTCCACAAGATATCACACTGGTTTATTACATTGTTGAAATTATGCTGATTGAAACCAGGGAGCGAGAAGTAGCAACTACTTTGGACTTACCATTGAGATATTTGCATGCCAGAAGATGGAAAATGAATCTGATAAAAATTCAGGGACATTCTACGACACTGAAATTGCTATGGGTACAATGGAGAGGGGGCCTGTCGAGATATTCCTCTAAGGTGAAGAATAAGTTGTTCCATTTGGCTTATTCTACAACCAAGAAAGGCACAATGCCTAGTGGGCCTGTTTGGATTTTGGAGGCAACACATTCTTCATTTGGGTGTGTTACTTCAACTCATTTATTGAGTGAACCAAAAGGCTGCTAAATTTGAGTGAGGCCCGGAAGAGGGGAAGGCTCTGCAACAGGTCCAGGCTGCTGTGCAAGCTGCTCTGCCACTTGCACCATATGGCTCAGCAGATCCAATGGTGCCTGAGGTGTCAGTTGCTTATAGAGATGCTGTCTGGAGCCTTTGTCAGGCCCCCATAGGTGAATCCCAGTGGAAGCCTCTAGGATTTTGGAGCAAGGCCCTGTCATCTTTTGCAGATAACTACTCTCCTTTGGAGAGACATCTCTTGACCTGTTACTAGGCCTTGGTAGAAACAGAATGTTTGACTATGGGTCACCAATTTATTATGTAACCTGAACTGCCTATCATAAACTGGGTGCTTTCTGACCCATCTAGCCATAAAGTTGGATGTGCACAGCAGCATTTAATCATCGAATGGACATGGCATATACACAATCAGGCTTGGGCAGGTCCTGAAGGCACAAGTAAGTTAATGAGACAGTGGCCCAAATGCCCATGGTCCCTACTCCTGCCACCCTGCCTTCTCTCTCCAGTCCTGCACTAATGACCTCATATAGTTCACCATGAAAAGTTGACAGAGAAAGGAAGACTAGGTCCTGGTTTATAGATTGTTCTGCATGATATGCCAGCACCACCTGAAACTGGACAGCTGCAGCACTACAGTCCCTTTCTAGGGCATCCCTGAAAGACAGCGGTGAAGAAAAATCTTCCCAGTGGGCAGAACTTCAAGAAGTCAACCTTTTTTTTGCACTTTTCTTAGAAGGAGAAATTGCCAGACATGCAATTATATACTCATTCATGGGCTGTAGCCAATGGTTTGGCTGGTTGGTCAGGGACTTTGAAAGACCATAATTGGAAAACTGGTTAAAAAGGAGATTTGAGGAAGAGGTACGTGGATAGACCTCCTTGAGTGGTCAAAAACTGTGAATATATTTGTGTCCCATGTGAATGCTTACCAAAGTGTGACCTCAGCAGAGGAGAATTTTAATAATCAAGTAGATAGGATGATCCATTTTGCAGACACCACTCTGCCTCTTTCCTCAGCCAAACCTGTCATTGTCCAATGGGCTCATAAACAAAGTGACCATGGTGGCACAAATGAAGTTTACACATGGGCTTAGCAATATGGTCTTTCATTTTCCAAGGCTGACCTAGCTATGGCCACTGCAGAGTGCCCCATCTGACAGCAGCAGAGGCCAACACTGAGCCCTCGATATTGCACTATTCCTTGGGGTGATTAGCCAGCTACCTGGTGGCAGGTTGATTACATTGATTACATTGGATGTCTTCCGTTGTGGAAAGTGCAGCAGTTTGTTTTTACTGGAATACACACTTACTCTGGATATGGGTTTGCCTATCCTGCATGCAATGCTTCTGCCAAGACCACCATCCATAACTCGTAGGTTGCCTTATCTGCTGTCAAGGCATTCCACACAGCATTGTCTCTGATCAAGAAACTCACTTCACAGCTAAAGAGGTGTGACAGTTGTGGGCTTGTGCTCATGGCATTCAGTAGTCTTAATATGTTTCCCATTATTCTAAAGAAGCTGGCTTGATAGAATGGTAAAGTGGACTTTTGAAGTAACTATTTCAATGCCAATCAGGTGAAAATACTTTTCAGGGCTGGGAGAAAGTTCTCCAGAAGGTTGTGTATATCCTTGATTAGCATTCAATATATGGCACTGTTCCTTCCATAGCAAGGATGTGTGGTTCCAGAAATCAAGGAGTAAAACTGGAGGTGGTACCACTCACTGTCACCCCTAGTAACCCACTAGAAAAATTTTTGCTGCCTGTTTCCATGACATTATGTTCTGCTGGCCTAGAAGTGTTATTTCTAGAGAGAGAAATGCTGCCACGAGGAGACACAACAATGATTCCATTAAACTGGAAGTAAGACTGCCACCTAGCCACTTTGGGCTTCTTCTGGCTCCAAGTCAACAGGCTAAGAAGGAAGGTACAGTGTTTTCTAGGATGATTGACCCAGACTATCAAGATAAAATCCGATGCCACAACACAATTAAAGTAAGGAAGAGTATGTCTGTAACACAGGAGATCCCTTAGGGCATCCGTTTGGTATCACTATGCCCTGTGATTAAAGTCAATGAGATACTACAACAACTCAATGCAATCATGACTGCAAATAGCCCAGAGCCTTTAGGGATGAAGGTTTGGGTCACTCTATCAGGTGAAAAACAAAGATTAGCTGAGGTGATTTCTGAAGGCAAAGGAAATACAGAATGGGTAGCAGAAGAAGGTAGTTACCAATATCAGCTACAACCATGTGACCAGTTGCAGAAATGAGGACTGTAATAGTCATGAGTATTTACAACTTTTTTTGTTAAGACTATGTTTGTGCATGTGTTCAACTGTATTAAGAAAATATCTTTTGCTGACGAGGCTGTGGAGAAATAGGAAAGCTTTTACACTGTTGGTAGGAATGTAAATTAGTTCAACCATTGTGGAAGACAGTATGGAGATTCCTCAAAGATCTAGAACCAGAAATACCATTTGAGCCAACACTTCCATTACTGCATATATACCCAAAGGAATATAAATCCTTATACTATAAAGACAAATGTACAGATATGTTTATTGCAGCACTATTTACAATAGCAAAGACATGGAACCAACCCAAATGACCATCAATGATAGACTGGATATAAAGAAAATGTGGTACATATACACTGTGGAATACTATGCAGCCATAAAAAAGAATGAGATCATTCTCCTTTGCAGGGACATGGATGAAGCTGGAAGCCATCATCCTCAGCAAACTAGCACAGGAACAGAAAACCAAATACCACATGTTCTCACTCATAAGTAGGAGCTGAACAATGAGAACACATGGACACAGGGAATGGGACAACATATACCAGGGCCTGCTGGAGGGTGTGAGTCAAGGGGAGGGAACTTAGAGGATGGGACAACAGGTGCAGCAAACCACCATGGCACATGTATACCTATGTAACAAAGCTGCACATTCTGCACATGTATCCCATTTTTTAAAAGAAGAAATAAAGAAAAACAAGACAAATAAAATATCTTTATATTATTTTCTTTTTTATCCTTATGTAACATTAGATTTATCACTTCATAGCAGCATTTAATTATTTTTAACTTCAATAGCATTTAGGTTAAGGATTAGTGCACTTTTATTTGTATAAAGGATAGTTGTATTATGTTAGGTGTAATTATGACTTTATTATTACCTATATTTGGAGATTAAGTATAATTTCAGGAGATGCATATAGATGCCAAGTGGATTTGTGATGGTTAATATTAGGTGTCAACTTGATTGAATTGAAGGATGCCTAGATGGTTGGTAAAGTATTGTTTTTGGGTGTGTTTTTGAAGGTGTAGCCAGAGGAGATAGACATTTGAGTCGGTGGACTGGAAGAGGAAGACCCACCCTCAATGTGGGTGAGCACCATCTAATCAGCTGCCAATGTAGCTAGAACAAAGCAGGTGACAAAAGGTGGGGTGACTTTGCTTCCTAAATCTTCTGGCTTCTTTTTTTATTTATTTATTTTTTTCTCGATTCTGTATGTTTTCTTGTGTTACTCCTGCCCTTGGACATCAGTCTCCAGGTTCTTCGGCCTTCGGACTCTTGGACTTGTACCAGTGGCTTGCTGGAGGCTGTTGGGCATTCGGCCACAGACTGAAGGCTAAACTGTCAGCTTCCCTGGTTTTGAGGCTTTCGGACTCATATTGAGCCACTACCAGTTTCTCTCTTTCCCAGCTTGCAGACGACCTATTGTAAAATTTTCCCTTGTAATCATGTGAACTAATTTTACCTAATAAATTCCCTTCTATATGTACGTATATCCTATTAATTCTGTCCTTCTGAAGAACCCTCACTAATACACATTCCAACTGATACCTCAGAAATTCAAAAGATCACTAGTGGTTTCCACAAGCAAATGTATGCCAATAAATTGAAAATTCTAGAAGTAATAAACAAATTTCTAGACACATATAATCTACGGAGACTGAACAATGAAGAAATAAAAAACCTGAACAGACCAATAACAAGTAATAAGACCAAAGCAGGAATAAAAAGGCTTGGAGCAAAGAAATGCCCAGAACCCGATGGCTTCTGTGCTGAATTCTACCAAACATTTAAAGAACTAATACAAATTGTACTCAAATTCTTCCAAATATAGAGAAGGGAAGAATACTTCAAAACTCATTTTATGAAGCCAGTATTATCCTGAGACCAATACTAGACAAACACATATTTAAAAAAACTACAGTCTAATATTTTTGTTAAATATTGATGCAAAAGAAACATCAACAAAATACTAGCAACCAAATTTGACAACACATTAAAAAGATCTTTGAGTCAATCAACAGAAAAATAGATTACAAAAATATGGTTCATATATCCTGTCATTTGCAACAACATGGATGGAACTGGGGATTATTATTTTAAGTGAGATAATCCAGACACAGAAGGACAAACATTGTATGTTCTCATTTATTTGTGGGACCAAAAAATCAAAGCAATTTGACTCATAGGCATAGAGAATATAAGGATGATTACTAGGGGCTGGGAAGGGTAGTAGGGGCCTGGAGTAAGGTACAGATGGTTAATGGGTATAAAGAAATAGAAAGAATGAAGAGTACCTAGTATTTCATAGCACAACAGGATGCTTATAGTAAAAAATAACCTAATTGTAAATTTCAAAATAACTAAAAGAGTGTAATTAGATTATTTGTAACAAAACAGATAAATACTTGAGGGGATAAATACCCTATTATTTATGATGTTATTGTTTTTCACTGTATTCCTATATCAAAACATGTTATATACCCCAAAATATATACCTGTTATATACTCACAAAAATTAAATATAAAAAAATTTTAAAACATCATTTATCATACCAAGTGAAATTTATTCCAGGGATTCAAGGATGGTTCAACATATACAAATCAATCAATATGATACATCATAGAAACAGAATAAAGAGCAAAATCTATATGATCATTTCAATTGATGTTGAAAAGGCATTTCATAAAATTTAACATCCCTTCATGATAAATTCCCTCCATAAACTGGGTATAGCAAAAAACATAACTCTTCATAATGTAAGTTATATAGGACAGACCCACAGCAAGCTTCATAATGGATGAGAATAAAACTGATTCTTTATTCTAAGATCTGGAGCACAAAGATGCAGACTTCCACCACTCTTATTTGACAGAATATTGGAAGTCCTAGTGACAGCAATCAAGCAAGATAAAAAAAATAAGAGTATCCAAAATGAAAAGAAGAGGTCAAATTATTCTTGTTTGCTGTTTTTGTAATCTTGTATTTGAAAAAAAAACTAAAGATTCAGCAAAGAAACAATAAGAACTTATAAACAAATTCAGCAATATACAAAAATGTATCATTTCTATATGCCCACACTGAACAATTTGAAAAAAAAATCAAGAAAGTAATCCCATTTAAAATAGATACAAATAAAATGTAATATTTAGAAATTAACCAAAAAAGTGAAAGGTCTTTTCAATTAGAACTATAAAGCTTTGATTCATAAAACCAAAGAGGACACAAAACAATGGAAAGATGTCTCATGTTCATGGATTGAAACAATCAATATTGTTAATATGTCCATAGTTCACAGAGCAATCTATATATTTAATACAATCCTTATCAATATACCAATGACATTATTCAAAGAAATAAAAAAAAATCCTAAAATTTATATGGAACCACCAAAGACCCAGAAGAGCCAAAGCTATGTAAAGCAAAAAGAACAAAACTGGAGGAATCACATTACCTGGCTCATAAATTATAATACAGAGCTAAGTTAACCAAACTGATGTGGTGCTGGCATAAAAACTGAGAAATAGAAATGTAGAACAAAATAAAGAACCCAGAAATAAACGTATAGATCTACAGTGGACTCATTTTCAAAAAAGTTTACAAGAATATGCATTGGAGAAAGGACAGTCTCTTCAATAAATGGTGCTGAGAAATCTGAATATGCATATGCAGAGGAATGAAACTTGACACCTATCTCTCATCTTATTAAAAAATCAAACCAAAATGAGTTAAATGCTTAAATCTAAGACCTCAAATTATGAAAATGGTAAAATAAAATATTGGGGTCCAACATGGTGGCTCATGCCTGTAATCCCAGCACTTTGGGAGGCTGAGGCAGGAGGACTGCTTAAGCCCAAGAGTTTGCAACCAGCCTGAGTAACGTAGTAAGATCTCATCTCTACAAAAATGTGATAATAATAGTAATAAATTAGCTGCATCTGGTGTCACATGCCTCAGGATAAGGCAGAAGAATAGCTTGAGCCTGGGAGGTCGAGGCTGCAGTGGGCCATGATTGTGCCACTGCACTCCAACCAGGGTGACAGAATGAGATCCTGTCTCATTAAAAAAAAAAAAAAGAAAAAGAAAGAAAGAGAGAAGAAAGAAAGAAGAAAGAAAGAAAGAGAAAGGAGAAAGAAAGAAGAAAGAAAGAAAGAAAGAAAGAAAGAAAGAAAGAAAGAAAGAAAAGAAAGAAAGAAAGAAAGAGTGAAAGAAAGAATTGTGAAAATTTTTAAAATCATTGGACTGGGCAAAGAATTCTTGAGCAAAGAATACTTCACAGGCACATGCAACCAAACCCAAAATGGACAAATGGGATCATGTCAAGTTAGAAAGCTTCTGAACAGCAAAAGAAGCAACCAAGTAAAGGGATGACTGAAAGAATAAAAGAAAATATTTGCAAACTACTCATCTGACAAGAAATCAATAACTAGAATTTTTAATATATACAGTTGTTTTCTAATAAAACATATAAAAATACAATAATCTTATTTAAATATTGACAAAATATCTGAATAAGTATTTCTCAAAAGAAGACATACAAAGGAAAAACAATTATATAAGAAAGTGTTCAACATAATTGATTATCAGGGAAATGCACATTAAAACTATGATAAATATTATCTCACCCCAGTTAAAATAGCTTTTATCCAAAACACAGGCAATAATAAATGCTGGCAAGGATGTGGAGAATAGGGAACCCTCATATACTGTTGGTGGGAATGTAAGTTAGCACACCACCATGAAGACCAGTCTGGAGGTTCCTCAAATTCTAAAAATATAGCTACTATGTGATCCAGCAATCCCACTTTTAGGTATACACCCAAAAGAAAGGAAATCAGTACATCAAAGAGATATCTGCACTCCCATGTTTATTGCAGCTCTATTGAAAATAGTCAGAATCTGAAAGCAACGTTAGTGTCCATCTACAGATGAACAGATTAAAAATAATATGGTGTGTATACAAAATGAAGTAAAATTTGACCATAAAAAAATGAGATCCTGTCAATGGCAACAAGATTGATGAAACTGGAGGTCATTTTGTTGAGTGAAATAAGCCACAGAAAAAAAAAAATCACACGTTCTCACTTATCTGTGAGAGCTAAAAATTAAAAAGAGTGTATTCATAGAGATAGAGAGTAGAGGATGGTTACCAGATGCCGGGAAGGGCAGTCGGGGGCTGGGGGAAAGCAATGAGATGGTTAATAGGTACCAAAAAAAAAAAAAAAAAAAAAACAGAGTGAATAAAACCTAGTATTTGCTAGCACAACAGGATTACTGTAGTAACATTAATATAGTTGTTTATTTTTAAATAACTGAAAGAATATTAAATTGTTTGAAAGAAAATATAAATGCTTTAGATGATGAATGCCCTATTTACCCAGAGGTAATCATTACACATTGCATGCCTGTATCAAAATATTTCATGTAACCCATAAATATATAAACCTACTCTGTACTCACATAAAGTAAAAATAAAAAATAAATTAAAAAACAAACCTATTAAAGCACATTCTGGTAAAATTAGACATTTTTTAAATGAATAGACTCATAGAGGAAGACTTTTTCGTACTTACATTAAAAGTGAATAAGACCAAGGCAAAAGTTTGTGTTAGAGTAACAGATAAATAATATCAAAAATAAATTACAATGTTAAGAAATTGTGCTTAGGGAAGAGGGAAAAAATGGATCAGAAAACACAAACGCCAAACTGATATGATGTCAGAGACTACCGTTTGTAACAGAAACAGAGAAGAAAGAAATACTTTTTAAAAGTCAATATATTTCAGGTTTCAGAATAATTATGAAAATATTCTGCTTTTGAGTTATATAGTTCAGAAATTATAAAGCAAAAACCTTAAAATTATTATTTTTTTATTTTGTGCATATATAGTAGGTGTATATATTTATGGGGTACATGAGATATTTTAATATAGGCATGCAATGTGGAATAAACACATCATAGAGAATGGGGTATCCATCCCCTAATGCATTTGTCCTTTGAGTTACAAACAATCCAATTACACTCTTTAAGTTATTTTTAAATGTACAATTATTATTAACTATAGTAACCTATTGTGCTATCAAATAGTAGGTCTTATTAATTTTTTCTATTTTTTGTACACAATAACAGTCCTACCCCCACAGCCCCTCACTACCCTTCCTGGTCTCTGGTAACCAACCTTCTGCTCTCTACATCCATGAGTTAAACTATTTTGGTTTTTAGATCCTACAAATAAGTGAGAACATGCAATGTTTATTTTTCTGTGCCTGGCTTATTTCACTTAGTATAATAACCTCCAGTTTCATTCATGTTATTGCAAATGACTGAATCTCATCTTTTTTATGACTGAGTAGTACTACTTTTTGCATAAATATCAGAGTTTCTTTATCCATTCATCTGTTGAGGGTCACTTAGGTTGCTTACAAATATTAGCTATTGTAAACAGTGCTGCAACAAATATAAAACTACAGATATTTCTGTGATATCTTAATTTTTTTTTCTTTTATGTGTATACCCAACAGTGAGATTGCTGAATCCTATAGTAGCTCAGTTTTTAGTTATATCCGGAACCTGTAAACTGTTCTCCACAGTGGCTGTAATAACTAACATGCTAACCAACAGTGTATGAGGGTTCTCTTTTCTCCATATCCTTGCCGGCATTTGTTACTGCCTGTTTTTATGATACAAGACATTTTAACTAGAGTGAGATGATATCTCATTGTAGTTTTGATTTGTGTTTCTCTCATAATCCATAATGTAGAGCACCTTTTTATATGCCTGTTTGCCATTTGTATGTCTGCTCTTGAGAAATGTTTAGTCAAGCCTGTTGCCCATTTTTGATTGGATTATTATATTTTTTCCTATAAGTTACTTGAGCTCCTTACATATTGGTTATTAATTTTTTATTAGTTGGGTAGTTTGCATTTTTTCCATTCTGTGGACTGTCTCTTAAGTTATTTGATTGTATCCTTTGCTGTGCAGAAGCTTCTTAACTTAATGTGATCTCATTTGTCTATTTCGGCTTTGGTTGCTTGTGCTTTTAAGGCACTGCTCAAAAAAGTATTTGCCCAAACCAATGTCCCGGAGGTATTCCCCAATTTTTTGTAGTACTTTCATAGTTTGATGTCTTAGATTTAATTTTTTAATCTACTATGATTTGATTTTTATTATATGGTGAGAGATAGGGGTCTAGATTTATGCTTTGGGGTATGGATATCCAGTTTACCTAGAACCATTTATTGAAAAGATTGTCTTATTCCCAATAAATGTTCTTGGCACCTTTGTGAAAAATGCAATCACTGTAGGTGTGTAAATTTGTTTCTGGGTTCTCTATTCTGTTCCATTCATCTATGTGTATGTTTTTAATGCCAGTATTATGCTGTTTGGGTTACTATAGCTCTGTAGTATAATTTAAAGGCAGGTAATGAGATTCCTCCAGGATTTTGTTTTTGTTTGTTGTTTTTTCTTAGGATAGCTTTTGCTATTCTGAGTGCTTTGGGGTTTTGTATAAAATGTACAATTTTTTTCTATTTTGTGAAGAATTTCATTGGTATTTTGATAGGGCTTGCATTGCATCTATAGATTGCGTTGATAGTATAAACATTTTAACAATATGGATTCTTCCAATCTACGAACATTAAATATTTTTAATTTTTGTTGTTCTCTTCAATTTCTTTTATCAGTGTGTTATAGTTTTCATTATATAGATCTTTCACTTCTTTGGTTAATTTCTAAATATTTAATTTTATTTGTGGCTATTGTAAATGGAACTACTATTTAATTTCTTTTTCACAGTATTCACTGTTGGCATATAGAAATACTACTAATTTTTGTATGCTGATTTTGTATCATGAAACTTTACTGAATTTCTTGGTCGGTTCTAATAGTTTTCTTGTGCAGTGTTTAGGTTTTTCCCAATATAATATTTTGTCATCTGCAAACAAGAATAATTTAGCTTTTTCCTTTTCAATTTAAATGCCCTTTACATCTTTCTGGCTGCTCTAGCTAGGACTTCTGGTACAATGTTGAATAACGTTGATGTCAGTGGGCATTCTTTTTGTGTTCCACATTTTACAGGAAAAAATTTCTGTGTTTCCCAATTTAGTATGATGCTAGCTATGGGTCTGTTGTACATGGCTTTTATTATGTTAAGGTAAGTTTCTTCTATCTTCAGTTTCTTTGTGGGTTTTTTATCATAAAAGGATGTTGAATTTTATCGAATGCTTTTCAGCATCAATTGAAATGATCATATGGTTTTTATATTTCATTCTCTTGATACGGGTATTACATTGATTTATTTGTATATGTCAAACTAACCTTGCATTGCAAAGATAAATTCCACTTGGTCATAATAAATTATTTTTCTAATGTATTATTGAAATCTGTTTACTAGTATTTTGTTGAGAATTTTTGTATCAATATTCATCAGAGACATTGGCCTGTAGTTTTCTTTTATTGATGTGTCTTTGTCTGGGCTTGGTATCATAGCAGTACTAGCCTCGTAGAATGAGTTTGGAAGCATTTTCTCCTCCTCTTTTATTTAGAATATTTTTAGTAGGGTTGGTATTAGTTCTTCCTTAGATGTTTGGTAGAATTCAGCAGTGAAGCCATAGGGTCCCACACTATATTTTTTTTTTACGGGGAGACATTTTATTATGGCTTTGACTTAATTACTTTTTACTGGTATCTTCAGGTTTTGAATTTCTTCCTGGTTCAAACTTGGTAGGTTGTATGTATCTAGAAATTTGTTCATTCCTTCTAGATTTTTCCAATTTGTTGACATATAGTTGGTTATAGTAGCTACTAACGATCCTTTGAACTTCTGCATCATCAGAGTTAGGCATTTACTTTAGTCTTTCATGTCTGGGATTATTTGTAGCCATCCTTCTTGGGAAGGCTTTCCAGATATTTGAAAGGACTCAGATATTGTGATCTAAGCTGTATCTACTATAGTGGTAATCTCAAGCCCAGTAACAATGTGGTTCTTTCCCACTTGTAACAGCAACTCCTTGATAATCTTAGACAGAGTATAGGTGAATTATCTGGATTACCAGGCAGAGACTCTTGCTCTCTTCTCTTACTTCCTTCAAATTATACAAAGTCTCCATATCTGTTCTGAGTCACTGAAAGCTGGGGGGCAGGGGTTGGGAGTGACACATGCACCCCTGTGGCCACCACCAGACACCGTGTCAGACTTGAAGCCAGCACAGTGCTGGGTCTCACCCAAGGCCTACAGCAACCACTCCCTGGCTACTGCTCATTTTTACTCAAGGCCCTGGGACTTTACAATCAGCAGGCAGAAAAGCTATCCAAGCCTGTGTCCATTGCTTCAGGGTGGTGAAGTGTCCCAGGACCTGGTTGGGTTCAAAAGTGCTGTCCTGACCGGGCATGGTGGCTCACGCCTGTAATCCCAGCACTTTGGGAGGCCGAGGCAGGCAGATCATGAGGTCAGGAGATCGAGACCATCCTGACTAACACGGTGAAACCCCGTCTCTACTGAAAATACAAAAAATTAGCCGGGCGTGGTGGCGGGCGCCTGTAGTCCCAGCTACTCGGGAGGCTGAGGCAGGAGAATGGCGTGACCCCGGGTGGTGGAGCTTGCAGTGAGCCGAGATAGCGCCACTGCACTCCACTCTGGGTGACAGAGTGAGACTCCGTCTCAAAAAAAAAAAAGTGCTGTCCTAGGGTCAGGGACTAGAGTCAAAAATCTTAGAAGACTACTTGGTATCTATTGTACACCAGGCTGAACTGACACTGAAACCACAAGACAAAGTTTTTCCCACTCTTCCATTTCGTTTTTCAAAAGCAGAGAAGCCTTACCCCATAGCCACTAACACCCCAGGTCATGAGAAGTACTGCCAGATTACTGTTGATGTTCCTTTAAGGTCCAAGGTCTCTTAAGTCAGCTTGTCCAGAATGCTGCCTGGCCTGAGACTTACCCTTTAGTCCAATGGGCTTCCCTCTGTCCCACGGCAGGTCCAGAAATGCTAAAGGTCAAGTCCTAAAACTGGAAACCTTAAGAACCCACTTGGTTTTCTACCCCACTGTGGCCATTCCAGCACCTAAGGTGTTAGACAAAATACCCTTTACTTTTTCCTCTGCTTTCCTCAAGTAGAAAGAATTTTGCCCTGTAGCCACCAAAGCTGGTAATGTGCTTAGTCCTCATCTAAAGCAGGCTAGTCTTAGAGTCTTACCCAAGGATTTGGATGTAGCACTTGGGTATGTCTGCTGGTTATTCAGGACTCAAGGCCTCGTCACATAGGTGATGAGTGCTGACAGGACTGAGTCCTTTTCTTCAAGGCAGCAGGTTTCTTTCTGGCCCAGGGTGTGTCTGTCTAGAAATGTTATCTGAGAGCTAGGATTTCAGGATTCTGACCAGTGCCCTATCCTGCTGTGGCTGAGCTGGTATCCTAGATGCCAGACAATGTTCTCCCCACTCTTTTCTCTCTTCTCCTCAAGTGGAAGAAAAGGGTCTCTTGTGAAGCCATGAGCTGTGAGCCCTGGGTTTAAAAGAGGGCTGATGCCAGCACTCCCTTGGCTGCCCTAGCTGGTGTGTTAATATGTCTCCTGCCCCTCAGTCCACTACCTCTGGGCCTAGTTTAGCATTAGGACTTGCCTAAGAATTGAAGTCTCTGTGGCCTTGACTTCCTTTCATGTTTACTTGGAGACATGGAATGCTGTAGCCCTCAGTGGTGAAGTTTGCAGGCACCCAAGTTTGAACTACTGGTACTGGCGATTCCCCTTTGGCTAGAGCTGGTTTAAACGCTCCTTCTGTTTTTAAATGTCAGCTGAGATTGGCCAGTTTTTCTTTCTGCTGTAACAGGACAGCACTGAGTTCAATGCCTCATAATTGCTGTGTTCTCTCTCCCCTAGTGCCCACAGATGCTTTCTGCACTGACTCATTGTAGCTGGGGGTAGGGGTGTGAAGGCATCAGTAATTCAGGACTTTTTTCTATCTCTTCAGTTCCTCTTTCAGTGATATATCCTCTTTCAGTGATATGAAGTTACAACCAGATACTTTTAGTGCCCACGTAATATTTGATTCTTATGAAGTTGTTATTTTGGTGTAGATAGTTGTTAACTTGGTGTCCTTGCAGGAGAGGAATGATCTGTGGCGGTTTCTGTTTCACTATCTTGCTCTATATCCCAAACTTTGTTCTTAACTATAGAAAACATTTAGATTATGTCAAGTGGAAGCCAGCATGCTCTTGCACATTCTGCCTTTGTACATGTGATTTTACCCTTGGAAATGCCCTTTCTACTCATGCCAATCCTATTATTAGAGCTGGCTAACTGCTTTTCAGCTTTGAAGTTTCAGTTCAAATTTCTTACTTTCTTCCCCTTTGTCTTCTTTTATCTCCTCCCTAGCACTCTGTAGATATTTCTGCAAGCAATATGTCATTAACTTGTAAGTGACATATTTTTATGTCTGAATCCTTCACTAAACTATGAAACTGTGTAGAGCAGGAAGAATGTATAGTGATTTTACAGAGTCAACAACAAAGTTGCTCTTGGCTGGCACCTACCTTTATATAATTGTGTTGGATAACTTTTAAATTCTTTGGTACCTAACTGTCTTTTGTGTGATTAAGATTTTGTTATAAAAATACGTGGTAAAGTAGTAATTATTATAAAATAATAAAGAGAATACTTGGACTAAGTTAGCAATTTACTGAAATCTTGCTTGTACAACAAAACAACTCTGCTGGTGCATTTTTCCATAGAATAAGATACAATTAACTGCTAAAAATGCTGATTAAATAGAATCTTGGGGCAAGTACTCGATTGGAAATTATAAAGATAATCAGACCTATGCTAAGTTTCAAATATACCTGCACTTATTAATATAGTTGGTAAAATGTTTATTCATTCTTTTTGTTTGCAATGTTTATTCAACCCAGGGTATAGCCAAAAGATAATTTGATCAAGTTCTTCATACTCAAGGGCTGAAACTAGAAGCTTTATATTAACATATCAAAAAGAAAAGTCAAGCCTTTATTTGTATTTCTCTCACATGAGGAAATACAGTACCTAAAACCCAAAACATATATATATATATATACACCCCATTTTCGGGAAATATGAACTTCTGTCATCTTATAATCTGCCTTCAAGCCACCATTGACAGAAAACATCATTTTATATAGCAAAAGATAAAATATTAGAATCCTGAAACACTGTATCTCTTTTACAAATTAATAACCATGACAATATGTAGTCAAACCATGTATATAAACCAAAATAGTGCCTCTTTGTAAACTCTCTAGGGTACTTTTACAAAATACTGCATAGGGATTGTGCTTCATGAAGCACATTAATATTAATATATGTCACATGGCTAAATCCCTGTGCACTGCTTTAAAAAGTACTTTGTTGCATGTAATTGGAAATGATTTTCTTTAAATCAGCTTCCTCCCTAGAAAGCTGCTGCTAGTGACAACACCACCCACTATTGCCAACACATTATCAATGCTGTTTTGTAAACAGTAACAACTAGATAGGCAAGTATTTATTCCTTCGCTAAAATATTCTGGCTGCTCCCATCTCATCTGATCATTTTTTTTTATTTGGCATATAGGTAATAATACTGCATAATAAAGTTATCTTATTACCATTCATTCTAATGGAAGTTTATTAGAAAAACTGCATTGCTAAAAATTGTATTTTGCATTCTGCCCTGACGAGTGATGGAAACAAAAGAAAATTGATACCTAGTCACTCCTCACTGATTAGCAAGAAGAAACGTGGCATTGAACCTGCCGGAGTAAGGAGTAATGTTTCATATATATATATACGTGTATATATATATATATATATATATACACGTATATATATATATATGTGTATATATATATGTGTGTGTGTATATATGTGTGTGTGTATATATATACGTATATATATGTATATATATGTGTGTATATATATATATATATATATATATATATATATATATATATATAAAATTCCCATCTATTCTACTTACGCTGATTCTTTGACTATATTTTTTGGTTGAGAAACTTGGAAATTTAGATGAGTTTTGTTTTTAATCCAGGAGGTGTTGAAGTAGGAAGAAAGAGGAAAGCAATTGCTATTTGATGACCATAATGGTCTGAATGTTTGTATCCTTACAAAATTCATTTGTTGAAGCCTTATTGCTCTTTGTCATTGTATTTGAAAATAGTATCTATGAGGATGATATGGTTTGGCTGTGTCCCCACTCAAATCTCATCTTGAATTGTAGTTCCCATAATTCCCACCTGTCATGGGAGGAACCCCGTGGGAGATATTTAAATCATGAAGGCAGTTTCCCCTATGGTGTTCTCATAGTGAGTGAGAACTCATGAGATTTAATGGTTTTATAAGGGGCTTTTCCCCTTCTGTTAGTACTCATTCCCTCTCCTGCCACCCTGTGAAGAGGTGCCTTCTCCCATGACTGTAAGTTTCTTGAGGCCTCCCCAGCTATGCTGAATGGAGAGTCAGTTAAACCTTATTTCCTTATAAATTACCCAGTCTTGAGTATTTTTTATAGCAGCGTGAGAACAGACTAATACAGTAAATTCGTACCACAGAGAGTGGGATGCTACTTTAAAGATACCCAAAAATGTGGGAATGACTTTGAATCTTGGTATCAGGTAGAAGTTGGAATAGTTTGGAGGGCTCAGAAGAAGACAAGAAAATGTGGAAAAGTTTGGAACTTCCAAGAGAGTTAGAGGGCTCAGAAGACAGGAAAATGAGAAAAAGTTTGGAACTTCCTAGAGACTTGTTGAATGGCTTTAACCAAAATGCTGACAGTGATATGGACAATGAAGTCCAGGCTGAGGTGGTCTCAGATGAAGATGAGGAACTTGTGGGGAAGGAGTAAAGGTTGCTCATGTCAGGCAAAGAGGCTGGTGGCATTTCGCCCCTGTCCTGGAGATCTGTGGAACTTTGAACTTGAGAGGGATTATTTAGGGTATCTGGCAGAAGAAATGTCTGAGCAGCAAAGCATTCAAGAGGAAGCAGAACATAAATGTTTGGAAAAATTGCAGTCTAATGATGTGATAAAGAAGAAGAAACAATTTTCTGAAGAGGAATTTAAGCCAGCTGCATAAATTTGCATAAGTAATGTTAATCTCCAAGAAATGGAGAAAATGTCTCCAGGGCATGTAAGAGGGCTTCATGTGAGAGGCCCATCACAGGCCTGGAGGCATAAAACAGAAAAAATGGTCTGTGGGAAGGGCCCAGGGCCCTCCCCCGACCCCCATACCCCTGCTCTGTGAAGCCTTTGGATATGGTGCCCTGTGTCCCAGCTGCTTCAGCTCCAGCCATGGCTAAAAGGGGCCAGGGTACATCTTAAGCCATTGCTTTAGAGGGTGCAAGTCCTAAGCCTTGGCATATTATATGTAGTGTTGGCCTGTGGGTGTGCAGAAGTCCAGAATTGAGGTTTGGGAACCTCCACCTACATTTCAGAGGATTTATAAAAATGTCTGTATATCCAGGCAGAAGTTTGCTGCAAGGGCAGAGCCCCCATGAAGAACTTCTGCTAGAACACTGTGGAAGGGAAATGTGAGGTTGGAGCCCCCACACAGAGTCCCCACTAGGGCGCTGCTTAGAGGAGCTGTGAGAAGAGGACAACCACCCTCCAGTCCTCACAATGGTAGATCCACTGACACCTTGCACCATGCACCTGCAAAAGTTACAGACACTCAACAACAGCCATGAAAGTAGCCAGGAGGAGGTTTAATGACTGCCCCATTGGATTTTGGACTTGCATGGGGCCTGTAACCCCTTTATTTTGGCCAATTTCTCCCATTTGGAATGGTATATTTACCCAATGCCTGTACCCCCATTTTATCTAGAATGTAACTAATTTTCTTTTGATTTTGCAGGCTTATAGGCAGAGGAACTTGCTTTTCCTCATGTGAATCTTTGGACTTGGACTCTTAATGTTGGAATGAGCTAAGACTTTGGAGGACTGTTGGAAAGACATGATTGTGTTTTGGAATGTGAGGACATTAACTTTGGGAGGGGCAGCTTGGTTGGAATGATATGGTTTGGTTCTGTCCCTACCCAAATCTCATATTTAATTGTAGTTCTCATAATCCCATATGTCATGGAAGACTCCTGGTGGGAGGTAATTGAATCATGAGGGCAGTTTCCCCCATGTTGTTCTCATGATAGTGAGTTCTCATGAGATCTAACAGTTTTATAAGGGGCTTTCCCCTTTGCTCTGCAATCATTCTCTCTCCTGCTACCCTGTGAAGAGGTGCCTTCCACCATGACTGTAAGTTTCCTGAGGCCTCTCCAACCATGCAGAGCTGTGAGTCAATTAAACCTCTTTCCTTTATTCATTACCCAGTCTCAGGTATTACTTCTTAGCAGTGTGAGAGCAGACAAATACTGAGAAGGCAATAAAGGTTAAGTGACGTCATAAGGATGGAGTCCTAATTTGATAGGGCTAGGGTCCTTTTAAGAAAAATAGACATCAAACCTTTCTCTCTGCCATGTGAGGACACAATGAGAAGGCAACAGTCTTCAATCCAGGGAAAGAAACCTCTCAAGGAACTGAATCAGTGATAAGAAATAAAAATAAAATTCTAAGCCCCTAGCTGACTGAACAAACACCCTATTGACCAAGAGGACCCCAGAGAAACCTTGATAGCTGAGTTTCTAGTCATAATACAATAGGAGGTGGGACACATTTTACTATACCTTCTCCCTTGCTTACTGTCATCAAGCTTTCTTCTCTAACGGATAAACAGGAAACAGCTTTTTCAAAAGACTTCACACTAAAATTTGACTGGCTTTAAATAAAAGACTCTATGCTAATAATATTGATTACTAGCTTATCTTCCTAGGCACAGAACAAAGAAAACATGAGATTAATCATGCCTTTGCTTCTCCCTGAGACATCTTTTTCTTCTTTTCTCCTGTTCTTCAAACATTCGCCTTATGTAAAATGTAGATTTAATGGGCACTATCTAAAGTCTCACAGGTATGTAAACATTTGTCTCATCGCTGTCCCCTTTTTAAAGG
Organism: Homo sapiens; assembly: GCF_000001405.40. Classification (NCBI taxonomy): domain Eukaryota; kingdom Metazoa; phylum Chordata; class Mammalia; order Primates; family Hominidae; genus Homo; species Homo sapiens. The sequence goes on from NC_000023.11 coordinate 94,937,533, forward strand.
AAAATGAATAAATACTAAACCTCCTGAGAATCTCTTTGAAAAAAGAAAAAAACAGCCACAGATGCATTGGTGACTAGTGTTTCTTTCAGGTATGTCCTCAAACTGGCTCAACTAGCTTTTATGTATGTATTGGGTCACCTGACTTAGTCACCCAGTTTAGTTGCCAGCCAGTACCTTCATCTTGGACTTTGCAGCCTCCAGAAATGTGAAAACAAATATTTTTTGCTGTTTAAGCTACCATTCTATGGTATTTTGTTATTGGAAACTTCAGCAACGTATCATAGTGACACAAAAAGAATGTAAAAAGTCAGTTTGCTTGCTCTTTGTCTTCTGACTGAAAATGCAAAGAGCTAGTAAAGAAGTTATTCCATTATACAGTGTGCCTGTATAATTTGAATAGGTAATTCAAATACCTGGAGATGATCCAGAGAGATCACCTACTGTTTATAGTAAATAATTAATTGCAAAAGTTTTAAAAAATAACTGGTTTTCTGAGCCATTGCCTAGGTCATACAAATAGTGTTCCTAAATCTTTTGTATAGAATTAAAAGTATTCATACATTTTTGTTATCCGAGTTATGTTTTATTTTTTCACTATACACTGCATTTACTCCTTTTTTTTTTTTTTTTTTTTTTTTTGAGATGGAGTCTTGCTCTGTTGCCCGGGCTGGAGGGCAGCGGTGCGATCTCCACTCACTGCAAGCTCTGCTGCCTCCCGGGTTCACGCGATTCTCCTGCCTCAGCCTCCTGAGTAGCTGTGACTACAGGCACCCGCCACCACGCCTGGCTAATTTTTTGTATTTTTAGTAGAGACGGGGTTTCACCATGTTAGCCAGGATGGTCTCGATCTCCTGACCTCGTGATCCACCTGCCTTGGCCTCCCAAAGTGCTGGGATTACAGGCGTGAGCCACCACGCCCAGACTACTCTTTTTTTTTTTTGGAGAGAAAGGCTGTAAGCTTGCTCACTTATAAAGGCTCAGTGTTTTTAGCATTGTGTCCATTAACCACACAGAAATAGAAAAGAGATTTACTAGCATTTCTGTCCCCCCAAGTGCTTTAATAGAAAGAGGAAATGTATTATTACTACACAAATCTAATGTAAAAAATGTAAAGGGGTTAAATTTCTTTTAAGTGCACTCTTTTGTGAGATGCTTAGAGCCGATCCTATTCAGATATCTAGTACTTTCTAGAAAACCATCCTTACTTGTCAGAATCACCATGGTCTTTCCTAAATTTCTTACAGCAATCAAAATTTGATATATTGTGTTACATTCCTTGGGAACATGGAAGGTGAATTAGCTTATTCAAATAAAAGGTTACTGGATACTGACATCTCAAAATATAATTTCATTCCTAGTTAGCAGGTGGGCATTTCAACAAGGATATTTACAACATTAGCCTAAGAATTGATTTTTGTAAAAATGTTAAGTACTATTTCAGGACAATGAAAGAAATATTTGTAAATCTCTAAATTTTATTTCACTGGAAGTTATTGTTTATTTATTTTTCCTCATATTACTAAAAACATATATCATAAATATCCACTTTGCATACTAAAAAAATAGGTAATTCAAATATGTTCAAAAGTTTAAATAATGTCCCAGCTTATTCTTGAGTAGATAATAAATACTGTGGGCCAACTTTTAGTTACCCTACATTTATTTTGTGAAAGTAGTTACAGATAGTAAAAAAAAAAAAAGAAAAGAAAAAAAGTGCTACTATGATCTCCAACTCTTAAACCTCCCTATTTCCAACAAGGATATTACCAGAAAAAAAGATTTTCTTGTAATTAAAATTTAAATACATGTCTCCTGTGATTTTTCACCAAAAAGGGGAGCTACTTATCTGATAAAAAATACTAGAAATTATTTGGAACTTTTTTTTCCCGAAGATATGTTTTAGGTCAAGATACTAACCACAAACACATAGTCCAATTGTTATTGCTGGTATTTTTTAACGTTTTTCAGATGATGTAGTTTTATTTCTGGAAAACCTCAACAACACAGATAAGTAAAAGATAAATAAATAAACACTTCCATAAAAGCCTAACAGATTTTTTAGAAAAATTGCTTTATTTTTGTCTTAGGTTAAATACTACATGTTTCTTACTATATTTTAGAAAAAGTGTTAACTACTATGCCTGATGTATTAGTTCATTCTCACATGGCCATAAAGAACTGCCAGAGACTGGGTAATTTATAAAGAAAAGAGGCTTCATAGGCTCATAGTTCCACAGGCTATACAGGAAGCATGGCTGGGGAGGCCTCTGAAATCTTATAATCATGACAGAAAGCGAAGGGGAAGGAGGCACATCCTACATGTCTGAAGCAAGAGGAAGAGAACAAAGGCAGGGGTGCTACACACTATTAAACAACCAGATCTCGTGAGAACTCACTTGATACCATGAGAACAGCAAGGAAGAAATCTATTCCCATGATCCAATCACCTCTTGCGAGGCCCTTCTTTAACATTGGGGATTACCATAAAACATGAGATTTGGTCAGGGGCACATATTTGAACCAACCTGAGATAAAATAAATGTTTATATTTGTCTTAACAATTACAATATGATTTCCATAAAGATAGAAGTTGCCTGCATACCTTATCACCTCTGTACCCATATCTGGGGCCTTTTAAGACTACCATAGTGTTTTAAATGTAGAAGTCATTTATGAGTAGAATCCTGAGTAATTGAATGTCGTCAAAAACAGTTGAGTAGAAAAGAATACTACTTTACAGAAAATGAAATAATATTTAAAATTATTGAGATTCTTAGTTTATTCATTTTTTCATTGCAAAAGCAGTACAGATTCATTATAACAAACCAAACAAAAAATAGATGCATAACATTAATAAGAAAATAACCTCTTTTTCTACATAATCTCACTCAGAATTTATTTTTCCACACATTGCCTGCATTAATAACATATAAGCATATATATTTACTTCTATTTTGTATAAAATACTATATTATACCATTATTCTACTTTTGTAAATAAGAACTAAATCACAGATACCTTCTGTAAGCTAATGCATACAGACTTAATATATAATTTCCATTAACTGCAAATTATGCCATTAAGTCTTCTATAATATTTTCTTTCTCTCTCTATATATATATATTTAGGTTATTTCCAATTTTTATATTTTCAAATAATTATATAAGGAAAAATACTGTATATTGATCCTTTGATTTTTACATATTTCATTCCTAAAACATAGAATTTCTTAGTCAAAAAGACTGTTATTCTAAATAGGTTCTTACTAATTACTTTTCAACAATATATAAGGCATTAGTAATTCACATGCCTAAATATAATGCATGAGTATCTGATTTCCAACAATTAGATCAATATCAGATGTTGTAAATATTTTAAATTTTTGGTAATATGAGAAACAAGAAATCATATCTCATTGTTTCGATTGGTATTTTATTGACTACAAAGTGAAACTGATGATCTTTCTATGTATTTGTTGGGAGTTTAAATTTGCTGTTTTGTGAGTATTCTGCTCTTACATTTTATGAATTTTTCTACTGGCTGGCTGTTTCTTATCAATTATAAGACTTTGTCCATGAAAAAAAAGCCAAACTTTGTAAGGTATTTGAAGAAATTTATTCTGAGCCAAATGTGAGTACCATGACTTGTGATCCAGTCTCAGAAGGTCCTTAGAAAATGTGCTTAAGATGGTTGAGTTACAGCTTGATTTTATACATTTTAGGGCGACATAAAACATCAATTAATACATGCAAGTTATACATTGGTTCAGTCTGGAATGGTGGCACAACTAAAAGCAAGGGAGCTTTCTGGTCATAGGTAGATTCAAAGGTTTTCTGATTGGTAATCAGTTGAAAGAGTTATCTAAAGACCTAGAATTGATAGAAAGGAGTGTCTTGGTTAAGATAAGGTGTTGTGAAGACCAAGGTTCTTATTTATTTATTTATTTATTTATTTTTGAGACAGGGTTTCCTTCTGTCACACAGGCTGGAGTGCAGTGGTGTGACCACAGCTCACTGCAACCTCTGCCTTGCAGCCTCAAATAATCCTCTCATCTCAACTTCCCAAGTACCTGGAACCACAGGTGTGTGCCACCACGCCTGGATAATTTTGTATATTTTCTATTTTTGGGAGAGATGGGGTTTTGCCATGTTTCTCAGGCTTGTCTACAACCGTTGGGCTCAAGCGATCTGCCCACCTCAGCCTCCCAAAGTGCTGAAATTACAGGTGTGAGCCACCATGCCTAGCCACCAAGGTTCTTATTATGTAGAGTCTCACAGGTGGCCACTCTGAGAGATAATAGACAGCAAATATTTGCTATTCGGGCCTTTAAAAGGTTCTAGATTCTCAGTTAACATCTTCAAGATCAGAAAAAAACCCGAAAGTGGAATAAGCTTCTCTACGAAATGTACATTTTTCCCACAAGAAACAGCGATGCATGGCTGTTGGCAAGTATGTGTCAAAAAATACATTTTGGGGTAAAATAATTTGATTTCTTTCTGGACATGATATCTTTTGTGTGGTGTTATACTACAGTTATGTTGAAATTTAATGTCTTACTACTAGAAAGAGTCTGTTTTGTCAGTCTTAAGATCTCTTTCTAAATGTGAATGCTGGTCAGTTATGTTTGAACTTTAAAGGGAGGAGAGTATAATGAGGCGCCATTGAACATTCCCTTTCCATCATGGCCTGAGCTAGTTTTTCAGGTTTCTTTGGAATCCCCTTGGCCAAGAGGAGACTCCATTCAGTAGGTTGGGGGAATTAGAATTTTATTTTTGGGGGCTGGAGCCAAGATGGCTAGCTAGAAGGAGCGGCGATCAGAGGCTCCCACTGAAAAGAACCATAATAGCGTGTGAATCCTGCACCGGCAAATGAGGTATCCAAGTTCTCTCATCAGAACTGACTAAATAGCTGGTGTGACCCTCAGAGAGGAAGGAAGAGCAGTGTGATGTGGCAGCCCACCTGAGAGCCACATGGGGCAGGGGAGCCCCCACCTCCCAGCCAAGGGAGGCGGTGAGCGTGCTAAACAGCTGGAGAAACCGCGCTTTTTCCACGGAACTGTGCAACCCACGGATCAGAAGATCTCACTTATGAACCCATGCCACCGGTGCCTAGGGTCCCAACCCAAGAACCTCACAGATTCTCAACAACTTCTCAGATAGAATTTGCTTAAGCCTGCCTCATTCCCATGGGAAGGCACAACCAGCACTTTAACTGTGGCTGCCTGCTATCTAAGCCATTTAAGCTGCTTTGGAGAGAGGCAGCAGCCAGCACTGGGACTGATAGCTGCCTAAGACGCTAAGCTCCCTGGGTGGGGGAAGGGCAGCAGACATCTTTATAGCTCCAAACAGTGCTTTTCCCCTGCTGGAGCCATGGAGGCTGGATGGCTTGGTCCCAAGAGGTGTCCCCTACATCTCAACACACTGGCTGTGGCAGACTGTGGCCACAGTGCCTCTTCAAGCCTGACCCTGACCCATCCGTCCTCACTGGGTAGAGCCTCCCTGCAGTAACTCCAACAACTCCAGCCAGGGTCTCAGGGACAGAACCCTGATCTCCCTGGGCCAGCACCCATAGGGGAAGGGGTGGCTGCAGTCGCTGCAGACCAGCAGACATAGCCTTCTCTCCTAGTATTTCTCAGGAATCCAGGCAGCCCAGATGAGTGGGTTTCCCCCCAGCAAAGCACACCACCTCCACCAAAGGACAGTCAAAGTGCTTCATTAAATGGGTCTTGTTACCCATGCCACCCAACTGGGTGAGACCCTCCAGCAGGAGTTGTCAGACACACTATACAGGAGCAATCCTACTGAAATCAGGTTGGTGCTTCTCAAGGTCGGAGATCCCAGAAGAAGGAGCAGGCACCCATCTCTGCTGTTCTCCAGCCCCCTTGAGTAACATCTCCAGGTGCAGAGCAAACCAGATGAATAGGGCCTGAAGTGAACCCCCAGCAAACTACAACAGCACTACAGAAAAGGGACCTGACCATTGAAAGAAAAACAAACTAACAGAAGACAACAACGACAGCATCATCAACAACAAAAAGTTCCCACAAAAACTCCATTCATAGGTCACTAGCCTCTAAGTTTGAAACTAGATACACTCACGAAGATGAGAAAAAATCAATGAAAAAATGCTGAAAACCCAAAAGGCCAGAATGCCTCTTCCCCTCCAAATGATCACAACACCTCTCCAGCAAGGGTGCAGAACTGAACAGCAGATAAAATGGATTAATTGACAGAAGTATGGTTCAGAAGACGTGTAATTAAAAAACTTTGCTGAGCTAAAGTAGCATGTTCTAACCCAATGCAAAGAAGCTAAGAATCTTGATAAAAGGTTGGAGCTGCTAACTAGAATATCCGGTTTAGAGAGGAACATAAATGATCTGATGGAGCTGAAAAACACAGCACGGGAACTTTGTGAAGCATACATAATTATCAATAGCTGAATCAACCAAGTGGAAGAAAGGATATCAGAATTTGAAGACCACCTTGCTGAAATAAGGTAAGCAAACAAGACTAGAGAAAAAAGAACAAAAGGGAAAGAACAAAGCCTCTGAGAAATATGGGACTATATAAAAAGATCAAACGTACTATCTATTGGAATACCTGAAAGAGACGAGGATAATAGAAAAGCTGGAAAACACACTTCAGAGTATTATCCAGGAGAACTTCTCCAACCTAGCAAGACAGACCAACATTCAAATTCAGGAAATACAGAGAAAACCACTAAGATACTCCAAGAGAAGATCAACCACAAGACACATAATCATCAGATTCTCCAATGTCAAAATGAAGGAAAAAATGTTACGGGCTGCCAGAAAGAAAAGCCAGGTCACCTAGAAAGGGAAGCCCATAAGATTAACAGCAGACCTTTCAGCAGAAACCCTACAAACCAAGAGAGATTGGGGGTCAGTATTCAACATTCTTAAAGAAAAACATTTGAACCCAGAATTTCATATTCAGCCAAACTAAGCTTCATAAGTGAAGGAGAAATAAAAATCTTTCCAGACAAACAAATGCTGAGGTATTTTGCCACCACCAGGCCTGACTTGCAAGAGTTGTTGAAGGAAGCACTAAATATGGAAAGGAAACACCAGTACCAGCCACTGCAAAAACACACCAAAATATAAAGACCAATGACACTATGAAGAAACTGCATCAACTAGTGCGCAAAATAACCAGCTAGCATCATGAGTACAGGATCAAATTCATACATAACAATACTAATCTTAAATGTAAATGGGCTAAATGCCCCAATTAAAAGACACAGACTGACAAATTGGATATAGAGTAAAAACCCATCCATGTCCTGTATTTGGGAGATCCATCTCACGTGCAAAGACACACATAGGCTCAAAATAAAGGGATGGAGAAAAATTTACCAAGAAAATGGAAAGAAAAAAATAAAGAAAAAATAAAGAAAAAACAGGAGTTGCAATCCTAGTCTCTGACAAAACAGACTTTAAACTGACAAAGATCAAAAAAGACAGAGAAAGGCATTACATAATGGTCAAAGGATTAATTCAACAAGAAGAGCTAACTATCCTAAATATATATGCACCCAATACAGAAGCACCCAGATTCATAAAAGAAGTTCTTAGAGACCTACAAAAAATGTAGGATCCCACACAATAATAGTGGGAGAGTATAACACCCCACTGTCAATATTAGATCAATGAGACAGAAAATTTACAAGGATATTCAGAACATGAACTCAGCTCTGGATCAAGTGGACCTAATAGACATCTACAGAACTCTCCACCCCAAATCAACAGAATATACATTCTTCTCGGTGCCACATGGCACTTATTCTAAAATTGACCACATAGTTGGAAGTAAAACACTCCTCAGCAGATGCGAAAGAACTGAAGTTATAGCAGTCTGTCAGACCACAGTGCAATCAAATTACAACTTACGATTAAGAAACTCACTTAAAATCACACAATTTCATGGAAATTGAACCACCTGCTCCTGAAAGACTCCTGGGTAAATAATGAATTTAAGGCAGAAATCAAGAAGTTATTTGAAACCAATGGGAACAAAGAGACAATGTGCCCCAATCTCGGACATCGATAAAGCAGTTAAGAGGGAAATTTATAGCAGTAAATGCCCACATCAGAAAGCTACAAAGATCTCAAATCAACACCCTAACATCACAATTAAAAGAGCTAGAGAAGCAAGAGCAAACTAATCCAAAAGCTAGCAGAAGACAAGAAATAAGATCAGAGCAGAATTAAAGGAGATAGAGACATGAAAAACCCTTCAAATAATCAATGAAACCAGGAGCTAGTTTTTTGAAAAAAGTAACAAAATAGATAGACTGCTAGCTAGACTAATAAAGAAGAACAGAGAGATGAATCAAATAGGCATAATAAAAAATGATAAAGAGGACATTAGCACTGACCGTGCAGAAATACAAACTGCCATCAGAGAATACTATACACACCTCTATACAAATAAACCAGAAAATTGAGAAGAAATGGATAAATTCCTGGACATATACACCCTCCCAAGACTAAACCAGGAAGAAGTCAAATCCCTGAATAGACCCATAACAAGTTCTGAAATTGAAGTAGTAATTAATTGCCTACCAACTGAAAAAAAAAAAAAAAGCCCAGGACAAGATGGATTCACAGCTGAATTCTACCAGAGGTACAAAGAGGAACTGGTACCATTCCTTCTGACACTATTCCAAACAATCGAAAAGAAGGGACTCCTCTCTAACTCATTTTATGAAGCCAGTATCATCCTGATACCAAAACCTGGCAGAGAAACAACGAAAAAATAAATAAATAAATAAATAAATAAATAAATAAATAAATAAATAAATAAAACTTCAGGTCCATATCCCTGATGAACATCTAGGCAAAAATCCTCAATAAAATACTGGCAAACTGAATTCAGCAGCACATCAGAAAATTTATCCACCACGATCAAGTTGGCTTCATCCCTGGGATGAAAAGCTGGTTCAACATATGCAAATCAATAAATGTAATCCATCACATAAACAGAAACAAACACAAAAACCACATGATTATCTTAATACATGCAGAAATGGCCTTTGAAAAAACTCAACATCCCTTAATTTTAAGAACTCTCAATAAACTAGGCATAGATGGAACATTTCTCAAAATAATAAGAGCTATTTATGACAAACCCACAGCCAATATTACATTGAACAGGCAAACGCTGGAAGCATTATCTTTGAGAACTGGTACAAGACAAGGATGCCCTCTCTCACCACTACTATTCAACATAGTATTGGAAGTTCTGGCCAGCACAATTACAAGAGAAAGAAGCAAAGCGTATACAAATAGGAAGAGAGAAAGTCAAATTGTCTCTGTTTGCAGACGTCATGATTCTATATCTAGAAAATCCCATCATCTCAGCCCCAAAACTTTTTAAGCCGATAAGCAACTTCAGCAAAGTCTCAGGATACAAAATCAATGTGCAAAAATCACAAGCATGCTTTCACACAAACGATAGACAAGCAGAGAGCCAAATCATGAATAAACTTCTATTCAAAATTGCCACAAAGAGAATAAATATCTAGGAATACAGCTAACAAGAGATATGAAGGACCTCTTCAAGGAGAAATACAAACCACTGCTCAAGGAAATAAGAGAAGACACAAAGAAATGGAAAAACATTCCATCCTCATGGAATCAAAGAATCAATATTGGGAAAATGGCCATACTGCCCAAAGTAACTTACAGATTCAGTGCTATTCCCATCAAACTACCATTGACATTCTTTACAGAATTAGAAAAAAAAAAACTGCTTTAATTTTCATGTGGAGCCAAAGAAGAGCCCATATAGCCAAGACAATTCTAAGCGAAAAGAGCAAAACTGGGGGCATCACGCTGTCTGACTTCAAACTATACTACAAGACCACAGTAACCAAAAGAGCATGGTACTGGTACCAAAACAGACATATAGACCAATGGAACAGAACAGAGACCTCAGGAATAACACCACACATCTACAACCATCTGATCTTTGACAAACCTGATAAAAACAAGCAATGGCGAAAGGATCTCCTATTCGATAAATGGTGCTGGGAAAACCAACTAGCCATATGCAGAAAACTGAAACTGGACCCCTTTCTTACACCTTATACAAAAATTAACTCAAGATGGATTAAATACTTAAATGTAAAACCCCAAACCATAAAAACCCTAGAAGAAAACCTAGGCAATACCATTCAGGACATAGGCATGTTCAAAGACTTCATGACAAAAACACAAAAAGCAATTGCAACAAAAGCCAAAATTGACAAATGTAATCTAATTAAACAGCAAAAGAAACTATCATCACAGTAAACAGGCAACCTACAGAATGAGAAAAAAAAATTTGCAATCTACCTATCTGACAAAGGTGTAATATCAAGAATCTCCAAGGAACTTAAACAAATTTACAAGAGAAAAACAACCCCATCAAAAAGTGGACAGATGATATGAACAAACATTTCTCAAAAGAAGACATTTACATGGCCAACAAACATATGAAAAAAAGGTCAACATCACTGATCATTAGAAAAATGCAAATCAAAACCACAATGAGGCACCATCACATGCCAGTCAGAATGGTGATTATTAAAAAGTCAAAAAACAATAGATGCTGGTGAGGCTGTGGAGAGATAGGAATGCTTTTACACTGTTGGTGGGAATGTAAATTAGTTCAACCATTGTGGAAGGCAGTATGGCAATTTGTCAAGAATCTAGAACCAGAAATACCATTTGAGCTGGCAATCTCATTACAGGGTATATACCCAAAGGAATATAAATCATTCTACTATAAAGACACATGTACACTTATGTTTATTGCAGCACTATTTACAATAGCAAAGACATGGAACCAACCCAAATGCCCATCAATGATAGACTGGATAAAGAAATTGTGGTACATATACACCATGGAATACTATGCAGACATAAAGCAGAATGAGATCATGTCCTTTGCAGGGACATGGATGAAGCTGGAAGCCATCATCCTCAGCAAACTAACACAGGAACAGAAAACCAAACATCACATGTTCTCACTCTTAAGTGGGAGTTGAATAATGAGAGAACATCGACACAGGGAAGGGAACAACATACACCAGGGCCTGTTGGGGACTGGGAGATGAGGGGAGGGAACTTAGAGGACAAGTCAATAGGTGCAGCAAACCACCATGGCACAAGTATACCTGTGTAACAAACCTGCACGGTCTGCACATGTGTCCCAGAGCTTAAAGTAAACTTTAAAAAAAGAAAAATAAATTTTTGATTTATAACTTATTTATGCTCTAACGACTTTAAATTTTACCTATTCATTTAGGCTACGAATGTTTTCCCCCAAGCTATTCTTAATCTGACTTTATAAACTCCTTTGACATTCCTTTAACAATATTTATGAAGTTAAACCTGTTTATCTTTGTATAGATTACACATTTTCTGTTTACAAAAGGAAAATATTCTACCTCCCCCATTCTGAAATTTTACAAATACTCTTAAGTTGTGTTGATGTTTTTATTTACTATTTTATCCTTTTGATATGTAATTTTGCATATTCTCTGACTCAGATTTCTAAAATTTCTTTTTTTCAGACAGCCATTTTTAAAAGATAGTTTGTTAAATAAACTACCTATTTACATAATTGAATTAAATTATTCATTGAATCGACAGTGATATTTTGATCAATCAACAGACCTTTACTGAGAACATAGTATAACCCAGGCTTTTTTTCCTATAAGGTGATCAATTTTATAAATACTGTTGCTACCCCCTAGGAACTTACATTTTAGCCTGGAAAGACCCACATTAAATACACGAACAAATCAATGAGCTAAGTTTTGGTAGAGATATATGTAATAAAAAAATGTAATACAGACATGGCAAGAGAGGCAAATCTGTTAGAGTAATCAGAAATGGGCTCTCTGAGGAAGCAATATTCTGAGACTATAATAATATAAGAGAGTATTAGTATACTGACAAATTGATACATAGAAAATTTTAAGATTGAATCACAGAAGTTTAGAAAAAATGATTTTAGCATGAAAAAATGTGAGAACTACGTGGAATATGGCAAAAGAGTTCTTTTATGTGCAACTGCCACCTGAAAAGAACAGGAGAGATAACAGAACACAGCAATACTTAAAGAAATACTGGCTTAGAATTTTCCAAAAGTGATAAAATACGTTAAGTCATAAACTCAAGAAGATCAACTCTCCCAAAGAAGGATAAGTACAGAGGAGAAAAAAAAAAAAATCTCTACAGCTGTTAATAAACTGCTGAAAACCAAAAGCAAAGATAAAATCTTAAAAGCAGACATAGCAAAAAAAAAAAAAGGGCACATAACCAAGGGTGAGAAAATAAAATTGGCCGATGAGTGTTCAATAGTAATGATAGAAGCCAAAATGTAATAAAATGACAATGTCAATGAGCTCAGTAAAAATAACTGCTGAGCCAGACTTCTACAGTGAATGTTCTACTGATTTACAAAAAAAGAGTCTTTTCTAGTGCTGAGAGAGAAAGAAAATCACTCTTAATAAAGGCTGCTAGTTCCGTTGTATATTCTGTTCACATGGAAAATAATAAAACCTCTGTCGTAGAAGGTTAAAAATCAATTTAAAGTATATCAGAGATTTAATGTGAATTTCCAAACAAATTTTTTTCTGTGTGAAGATAAAATAAAATACTTTCATGATTCTAGATTACACAAAACACAGAAAATAAAACCATTAAGAAAATAATTGCAAAATTAAATAACACATCTAGAAATTTAAAAAGGCAAGCTGTAACTACCCAAGGTGTTTTTCCTGCCCGCTGCATAAAGAAAGACCATGGCATTGTAGCAGAGTAAGAGTTTAATAGACACAAGGCTGGACATGACACATAGGAGATAGAGTTTGTATTCAAATTATCTCATCCAAATCCATAAGTTAGGGACTTTTCAAAGGCAGTTTGGGGGAAAGGGGGGGAGTGGCAAGGTAACAGGTGCTTACTGCTGATGGTGTTGGAACAGAGATAAAATCATGAAAGGTTAAAGCTGTCCTTCTGTGGCCTGAATTGCTTCTGGGTGGTATCACAGGAGCAGGGTTGGCAGTCCAGATAGACATAAAAAAAACCTGGAAATATATCTCAGAAGACCAATCTACAATAGTGATGTTATTTGCAGGAGTAATTGGGGTAAGTTGCAGATCTTATAACCTCTGAAATAATGGCTGACAACCATTTATGTCTGCACCTTAGCTGGACTCAGGCTCCTCTTCTACTGCAAGCCTGATAGCCTCCCATTAGCTTTACAAAAACAATTGAGTTTTGGGCAAGGCCCATTATAATTTACACTGTAGCCTAAATGTTTTCCAAAGTTAGCTCAGCTCAACAGCCCAGGAATAATTAAGGAAAAGGCAAGATGGGGAGGGGGTGTTAGCTTGCCTTACTGTTCCAAGTTTTCTCACTGATATCATTTTTGTAAACTCATTTTCAGTTCTCGTCTTTGGCTTTTATATACCTTATTCTTAAAGTGTTGGCTATAGAGATGGAAAAAGGATGACAACCACTCTGGATTCTTCCTGCTGACAGAAGGTTTAGTTGCAGGGAGTGGTCCCAGAGGAATAGGAGTAAAACTGCTCCTTTGGAATGACCTGCCTGTACTCTGGGGTGTATATGGCAAAGATGTTAATATCCTGACTTACAGTTCTACTACAGAACTTAAGTGAACAGTAGACTATAGGTTGTTAGAAAAGACAGACTGAGCAAATTTAAATATACTGTCTCATATATATTTTAATCAGTGTCCTAGTCCTGTTACTAGAATAGTTTAGTTAAACAGCTGTTTCCTATTATCAGGAGGTGGCAGTGCAGACGGGCTAGGCATCTGTATGTCATGAAGGCAAACAGTTTTTTTTTTTTTTAATAAGAGACATTTCTATAAAGACAGAATAAAAACAAAGGTCAATGTTGGGCACAATTTATCCAGATGTTAGGCTCAGAGCATTTTTAGTTACAGAGAAGGAAGGCAATGACAATGTGACCTGTTTTTTTCTTTCCTATATTACAAGGAATAAGCTTCAGTTTGCAGGGCTGTTTGAAGGTTCCTCATAAAAACTGAAAATGGAGCTACCATATTTTCCAACAATCTCACTGCTGGGTATATACCCAAAATAAAGTAGTAAAACAGTAATATCAAAGACATCTGCTCTGTTTGTTGCAGCACTGTTCACATTAGCTAAGATTTGAATGAAAATTAAGTTTCCCTCAATAAATGAGTGGATAGAGAAAATGTGGTATATATGCACATTTGAGTACTATTCGGCCATAAAAAAATGAGATCATGTCATTTGCAACAACATGGATGGAAGTGGAGACAAACATTCCATGTTCCATATTCTCATTTATTTGTGGCATTTAAAAATCAAAACAATTAAACTTATGAACATAGAGAGTAGAAGGATGGTTACCAGAGGCTGGAAGGGTAGTGGTGGCTTGGGTGGGAGGTTAGGATGGTTAATGGGTACCAAAAAAATTGCTAGGAATGATGAGTAAGACTTGCTATTTGATAACACAACAGGATGACTATAGTCAATAATAACAATTGTACATTTTTAAATAACTAAAAGAGGATTGTTTTTAACACAAAGGCTTGAGGGAAGGACAACCCATTCTCCATGATGTGATTATGTCACATTGCATGTCTGTAACAAAATATCTCATGTACCCAATAAATATATACACTTACTATGTACCCACAAAAACTAAAAATAAAAATAATTTAAAAATGTATATTTCTGGCTTATGGTTCCCAATTGTTTTGTTAGTCTGGCAATTTTTCTTTTTTAGAAAGTTGCTACATGACAGTTTTTTTAAATATTTATCCAGAATTTATAGATGCTTGTTGCAGTTTTTTTCACATTTTGCCATCTTTTATAATTTAGAGATCATCAATCTAAATGCTAACATTAAGCCACTTTTGCTTTAGAATTTTTAATTAAAGAAACAGTGCTGATTGAGTTGTAATTTCCCAGTTCTTCATGAATTTCATATTCCCTGCATTCATTGCTAAATTCATTTTGAATTTGTCTTTCTATGTCAGTTTTTGTTTTATACTTTCATTAAACATACAAAATTTTAAAATACATTTGTTTAATATGTATAATGTCCTCTTCTAAGTACATTAAATAGTTAATCTAATTTAATTTCACAACAACCTATTAGGTATTTACCATGCTTTTTTCACTTACGGATGAGGAGTAGAGACACAAGAAGATAGCGTGTCAAAGGTGACAGAAATAGTAAACATAAGAGTGAAAGAATTGAGATTCCAACACAGGCAGTTTTATTCTAGAATTCCTGATGTGCTTAACCAGTAACAAGCAAAGTAGAGTTCAATGTTTTAAATAGATGCAAGGATGGCATTTAAGCAACTTGAGTTTTTATTTAACATTATGATTTTGAGATCCAATTATGTAAATAGATTTAGAATAATGTATTTATTTTAATTATTATAGAGCATTCTATTTAATGAAATTCAGATATCATTTATTCATTTAACTTTTAAGAGATTTTCCTATGTATTACTCTTACATTGCAATTAATATTCATGTGGATGTGCAGACATTTTTCTAGATTGTAAAAGAAAAATCAAGAAACATATCTGTTTTGTCCTTCTGTATTTTTCTTGCTTTTCTTTTTATGACACTTCTAAGGATCCATAAATAAGACAGGATTTACTTTTGCTTCCCATATGTTCTTTTTTTCTTCACTCCAATTAAGCCTGTAGGATTAATTATGCAATGGTTTTATAAAATGAGTTCTCCAAGATCAGTTGCTAATAAGCTAAAGCAAAATACTAAGAAATATAAAAAATATTTTCATATAGAATAATCTGTCTTGTACATTTGTTATTTATTAATCTGTCTTGTAAACATCATATACCTATTTCTGAAGTTGAGGGGTCAGTATAACATAGTAGTCAATAACACAGATGCTAGGGTCAGATTGTTTGAGTTTAAATCTTAGCTTTGCTACTTGTTCACAGCATGACCTGTGGGCAAGGTACTTAGCTGGTTATTTTCTCAGTTATCTTACATATAAACTGGGGATGATAACAGCATTTTTCTAAAAGTGTTCTGTTGAATATTAAGTGATATATGTACAGTGCTTAGCAGAGTTCCTAAAATCAAATATGTCATATTTATTTATTTTAAAAATCATTTTACTTTGTCAATTATACAAGCAATACATAATATGCATTCATTGTAAAAAAAAAGATACAAAACTGTATACAACAAAAAAGTAAAAGTTTACTCTCACTCCATTCCAAACCTATTTTCCCATACTTTGTTGTGTTTTTTCTAATTGTTTGTATAGATATAGATATATTAACATATAGCTTATATCTATATGTAACATATATATTTATCTTTTAAAATGAGTGAAATGTTATGCTATATTATTTTGAGGTCAATTTTTTCCCTAACAATATACCAGTAAGATTTATGAAAATAATAATGCACACTGCTGTTTTGAGAATTACTAAAGGATGTAATTTTCTTAAAATAATATTTGGCACATAATAAGCTCTCAATAAGTTATTCCTATTGTCTTTCCTCACAAGTATATAAAGAAATAAAAATTAAAATGAGAAAACTTTTTAAATCAAGTACAATGATTTTTTTTTTAAACAACTGTTGTGAGAGTATTCAAATTGGCCTCTCATATATTTCTTGTACAAAAGAAATAAATAAAATACAATTATTCTGAGGGAGCAATTTATAAGTTGTTTCAGATGTCTTAAAATGCACATGCTTGGTCATTTTGCAGATAATTTGACATAAACATAGTCTGTCTCTATTCACTCCCAAGTGTAACCCGTCTGCCTTTCCTGAGTCAAGTAACTGCATGGCAGTCAGAGGAAGGCACAAAAGGGCTCAGGCTGGCTCCTGGCAGAAAGGATTAAGCATATTTCCTCCTCTCCAGGCCTGAGGAGTTACTTGGGAAAGTTTATTAAAAGTTCTGATTGTAGGAAAAGTTTGGTTTTCAGCAATCTATCTCTATCTCCTCTCTCAAGGCAAGGGTGACATTGGTTACCATGAACTGATGTGATTTCTTTGGTCACCTATGAGCACAAGTTGTTGTTCTGGTAATTCACCCCGAAAACTGCAGGAATGTGAGAAGACCTGCGTAAAAAGAAGCTTCTTCCTGAGTACTGTCAGTGGTCTGACATTATGCAAGGGGATACTTAATATATAAATCAATTATGTGTTTGTCTCAAGCTCTGTAAGGTGAGCATAAGATAAGGTGAACATAGAGTAGCTTCCTGTGGAGATGTTTAACCTTTTATCTGTAGCTATCTGCTTAGGAACACAAAGAAAGTCACTTTCTTGCATGACTCAGCTTTCAGCTTATTTTTTTTTCTTTTGGCATAGTGAATTGGGGTCCTAAGATTTTATTTTCCATTTGCAAACTTTGACAGACAAGAGATGGAGCTACCTAGCCAGAGAAAGAACAAAGGGAATATTCAGAAATAGACTCTAACTAAGTGAATGACTTGAAGAAATGGACAAATTAATGACAATAAAGCACTTAAAATATTTAAGCATTGTACAAATGGGGACTTTCTAGAAGCAAAACACTATTTCTAAACAAAAATATGATAGACAAATTGAGGGAGGTGATGGTTACTGTGGGGTATTCAGTAACTTAAATTGAAAAAAATCTCAAGCACGGAACAAAATACAATATTGTAAACCTTGAAAGAAAAGATGAGAGATTAAAAAATGTGTCAAGGAGAAGTGATGTGCAATTCACAAGCATTCTGGTAGATGAAACAAAGAAAAAATGGAGAAATGTGATTATAAATGAACAAATAATAGAAGAAATTAGAAACTTTCTCTAAGTAAATTGGGGAAAGATGTAAAAATAGCAGAAAATGAACAGATTCATAAAGTTTCAGGCTAGAATTGTGAGAAACAACACACACAAAAATTAAAATCCAGGTAAATATTCTCAGCTCTGGGATAATGAGAAAAGTTTTACAAACATTTAGCCAAAAGAAAAAGGCAGTTGTAAAAGAGAGATATAAGACTAGTGATGGCCATCTAATCTGTAACATTTGAAGCTATTGAGAAAAATAATAATTCAGCCCATAAAATTTATTCATTACTAAGATACACTTAACTATCATAATCAAAGAAAGGTACGGTATCTGCTTTTGTTAAGAACTCAGAGTCAATAATATAGACAAAAAAACTCAAGAAAACCGTCAGGAAAAAGAAATTCTACAGAAAACAAGAGGACTGAGGTGTTGAGATCAGGATAGATGTAAAATAGTAGAAATGCTCGTGTGTAATTAATGTTGCAATACACTGGGTTACATCTAAATAGAAGATATAATCCATCTGGGATTGTGTAATATGAATGCTAAACAATAGTGAAATAGAAGAGGTAATTTAATGTAATGTAAGGGAATTTCTAGTAATTTATTATATAATTATTACTATTAAAAGCAAGGTTGTGGAGCTGTGATGTAGAGAGAGGATGTAAATAGTTCCAAATGCCTTTTCTGAAAATTGGGAGAAGAATAGAAACTGTAAGTATTACAGAAGTTTTACCTTTTGGAGTTGAAAGGAGAGCAGTGGAAAACCCAAACAACTTGGTGGGAAAAATAATTAATAAATTGTTTTAACATAATGATATTATAGAAAATATATTAGGATGAAGCAAATGTAATTGTGCTTTTTGCAATTACATTTATGGCAAAGACTGCACTTACTTTTTCAACAACCTGATACATGGTAGAAATGGTAGAAAATATACATCTGATTACTAGTGCTGAAAATTAAAGCCATTTAAGGAACCAGAAAAGTACAGTGAAATTTTGAAATTAACAAATTTCCAAATTATCCTGGATATAAAACAATTGAATGGAAACTTTACATAGCAACTTAATGATATGTGAAAGGAAAGGAGGATGCTATATTTTAAAAAATCTACAAATATAAAATATTATCAAATTGTTACAATAATGTGAACAGACTGAATGTTCTGCTTAAAAGATGGCATCTGCCTGATACTTATGGTTATCAGAGGCTATGAAGGGTGTATGTAAGTTGGGGAGTGGGGATGAAGAGAGGCTGGGTAATGGATATAAACATGTGATTAGATGGAAGAAATATGTCCTAGTGTTCAATAGCCCAGTAGGGTGAGTATAGTTAGCAACAATGTATGTACATTTCCCAATAGCTAGAAGAGAAGATTTGAAATATTACCAACAATAAAAACCAATAATTTGCTGGTTCAAAGTAATGATAAATGTTTGAGGTGATGGGTATCCTAAATACCCTGATTTGATTTGATCATTATACATTGTATGAAATTACTTATTACATGTTCTCCATAAACATGTACAATTATTATGTATCAAATTTTTAAAATGTAAAAACTTAAAACTACAGGGTAAATAAAACAAAAAAAAAAAAACATGTCCAAGAACCTGGTAAAAGTTCTATTAAAGGATGATACTTGAATAAATCCCTTCAGAATGAGAAGATCTATTTACCAAGAACATAGAGGAATTAAAAATGCAAACAGCAAACTCCAGTAACTCTGCTAGATTATTACTAACATTATTTCATTTCATCCTTATAACAACCCTGAAATGTAAGTATTTTATCCCTATTTGAATGGAAGAAAAATTGAGACTCAGTGCTTAAGCAACTTACACAAGTTTACATAGGTAGGAGATAGCTAGTGCATAGAAGAATGAATATTTAAACCAGGCCTTCCTGACTAAGGGGCTCTCTGCAGCCCTACCTCAGCCCGCTCCACCCCTGCTTTTTAAATTAGAGTAAGAGGTAGCAGAACAAAATGTTCAAGATTGGGGATTCTGCCAAGCACTATGTAACCTTGAAAAGTTTAATTAAACTTTCTGTGTTCCAGTTTTCTAATATGACAAATGAAGATGCTCTAATTATTAGACCATAGGGTAGCTGTGAGAATCAAATGTGGCAATACTTGCAAATACTTAAAGCCATACTTCACAGAGAATAAGTGGTAATTACCAGCTATGCTTTTCTTGGTGCTTTATCCTCTTACAGTCATAGAATTCTGAGTTAAAAAACTACCTCTAGTTAACAGTGACAAAATGATTAGTCATAGACTATTATGGTCAAGATTTTAGGGCTCAGACTAAGTGAAAATGATTGTCATTAACATGTTGGTGTAGATCTTCAACTCAATATAGAAGAGAAAAAAGGAGATAAACTAGTGTTAGGGCATTGCATGACTAGGCCCTCTTAAGTCACATCATTGCATAGGATCAACATTATATAGACATATTATTTTCTCTAATTATTGTTTCTATCAGGAGGCAAAATTAATTTATCAACTCACTTTCAAAAGTTAAGTATTGGCTGGGCGCTGTGGGTCATGTCTGTAATCCCAGCACTTTGGGTGGCTGAGGCGAGTGAATCACCTGAGGTCAGGAGTTTGAGACCAGCCTGACCAACATGGTAAAAACCTTGTATAGACACAAGGAAAAACCCTAAATGTATTTGGCTCTCATCCCTACTTCATTTCCTCTGGTCTATTTTTTTTTTCTTTTATCACATTATAAACAATTAATTATACTTGTTTCCAAATTGTCTTTCTTATTAATTTTTGGTGGCGGGTGCCTGTAATCCCAGCTACCTGGGGGCTGAGGCAGGAGAATCACTTCAACCTGGGAGGCGGAGCTTGCAGTGACCCGAGATCGTGCATTACACTCCAGCCTGGGCAACAGTGAGACTGTGTCTAAAAAAGTTAAGAATTTAAACTGGAAAGTCAAGTTGAAGTATGTTTAGTATCCTATTGAAAGAGTGAGTAAATCTGTTTTTCAAACATTCAACTCAACTCAGTAAATTAGATTAATTAAATGCGGTTAACATACCCTTGTTCTTTCTTTATTCTTTTTTATATTATCTACCTTTTAGCATTTTATTTTTTGATATTTGTTATAACTTTACATATTGGCTAGAAAAGGATCCAACTTTATACTTTGGGATCTTTGGTGATTTTTCATCTGTGCTATTTTATGAATCCTATTATTTCTTCAGCTCTTAGAATTATAAGATTGGCTATAGTCAATCGCAAAGAAATCTAACCTGCTCAGGTACATTAGAACCAAATCCCTGCAAGGTTATTTGGTGAAACATGAAATAATTTACTGACTCTAAGACAATTTTCACAGACATTCTTAACAAATTTCATCCTGTCTTTCTACTACAAATTACTATATAGAAGACAGAGGATGAGCATGCATAAAGAGTCAAGATTTCTTTACTGCAAGTGATGCAAATTAACTCAAAATAGAGTCAGAAAAAAGGCAAAGAGGGGTAAATTGTTGCCTTACATAAATGGAATAGGCTTATAGGACAAGATCCAGAAATTTGGAGAATATCTTTGAAGCTGTTTTTCTCTACAACTCTAAAATTTAGTTGGATACTAAGGTGGTAGCAAGACCACAGACACCCCACCCCCATTCACACTCCCATCCTAACCTGAGTAATTATTGACCGAAGTCTTTCAATCCTGTTGATGACTGACTGGAGATGTCCAGTCATATGTCCATCTCTGTGATGGGAAGAGTGGGTGAGATGAAGTCAGGCCCAACTAAACCAACTGGAATAGGAGCCCTGCTGGGTGGATTTGTTGTGTTATCAGCAATAGAGAAAAATAGGCATTGAACAACCTTATAGATATCCACTGTGTATAGAACAAGGAAAAACCCTAAATGTATTTGTCTCTCATCCCTACTTAATTTCCTTGGTCTACTTTTTTTTTCATATTATAAACAATTAATTATACTTGTTTCCAAATTGTCTTTCTTATTTTCTTTTTGGTATATATTGACACTTTTTTTGGGGGGGTGGTGGAGATATGTGTGATAATTTTATCTCAGTTCAAATACTTTGATGAATTCCTAAAGGTAATATTGCTTCTTTCACCACAGAATTATCTTTATGCATTCAAAAGGTAAGTAGTCTGGCCTCTTACTCTTCAGAAGTTAAAGGTTATTAGTACTTTACAATCAATAATTAAACTATAATAAAATTCCATTTACTTTTCCCTTCTGTGATCAAAATTAAAATCAAATTTTGGGGTATCTTGTGTTTTAACCCTCTATTTCTTATATACCTTAATGAAAAACTGATCATTTAGTGTTCCTCTATTCTTTTTTCTAACATATTATCATCTTATTTTAAGTCCAAATATTTTTAGATTTTTCAAAAGTGCTTTATTTGCTAATGAAGTGGCATCTAACAAATGACGAATTGTACCAAAGCTGATGGACTAATTCGCCTTTTACTACTAAGAAACATGTCTCCAGGTAACAGTATTAAGTAGCAATAATCCATTTTGTAGTATATATCAAAGAATCATATATAATAAACATACCATAACTTAATTTTAGTTAAATGAGTATCCTCAGTTGTATTTTTTCTGGTGTCATTGCAAAATGACAGAATTGCTACCTCTCAAAAATGAATGGTTGACATTTGAAGTTAGTCAGTTTAATTTGGAGACACCCAATGACAGGGAATAAATATTTATGATTCAGAGTATTTTCAAAACTCCCCATTATAGTACAATGCAGGTTTGTTACATATATTGCAAAATTATTATAGATAATTTTATATTAAAAACATTGAATGGCAGTCATAGAATATAAATGAAATTAATCAGGATAAGTGTTTTCTCTGTACGACAGAGAATACAATAGAATAAACATTATGTCAATATACAATACGAATGATCTTCTCTGCATGGTGCAGCAACACTCAACTTCCTAATTTATGCTGAGAATATAGCTTAACATCTGCAAATATTCTCAGTACACGAGACATTATGATTGTTGCACACAAATTTAAACCATTTTTATATTATTTTTTATCCCCATAGCACTTATTACAAACTTATATGAGAAACACACACTTCCCTTTTAAAGATTAGCAGGTTAAAGTTTGTTAGTTTGAAGAGACAGTAGAATAAATATATACACACATTGGACTCTGAGTACTGAAGACAGATATCCATTATAGACATACAGAAAAGGAAGGAAAAATAGAAATAAATCCACTCAAAGAATATGCACTTAGCATTATTCAAAGACAGAGAATACCCAAATTTCAAAGTAACTGTAAGTCAAATAAGAAAAATAATAAATTCTCAGAACATAATCTGTTACACTTCTGCTCCACTGAAAGGCTTTGTGGCAAGTAAAGGCAGAACAAGAAACCTATAGAGCAGAGAAAAGGGAGATAGCAATGGGGCTTTGGGTTGATATAAACCACTGCCAAAAGACAAAAGGCTCAGTTCATCCTAATTATAAAAAATTCAAAGGAACAAAATCCTGTCTAGAAGCAAGCACAAGCTACACAAAAAAATCCAAAATGTGGACTTTCTGTATCCACTTGGGGGTGCACCACTCCTAACATTACAATGAAAAGTAAAGGGAATAAGAAGAAACAGCAAAATTCTTTTGAGTTCTGAGGTTGTGGAACAAACTGGCCCCAAATTGAAGGTGAGATAGATCCTGCAGAAAGAGATGAGACATAAGCATGACTTACCAGTCAAGATGCAGATAGACATTAATATGGACCATTTAAGATGGGTGATTGTGGCATTCTTACCAAAAAATATATTACCTTTATTCTAATCATTGAAACAAAGCAGACATACCCATGTGGAATGGCACCCTAAGGTATGCCTAACCAATTGTCTTCCAAAGTGTCAAATTATAAAAGACAGAAAAAAAAAAAAAAAAAAAAAGACCAAGAGACTGGCCAAGATTGTAGGAAACTAAATAGACATCACTACTAATGAACTGTAGGATCCGGGATTGGATTCTAATCCAGTGAGAAGCATTAGTAGGAAAATTGACAAAATTCAAATAAAGTCTATATATTAGTTAATAGTGTTGTACCCAATTTAATTTCCTAGTTTTTATAAGCACAGTGGTTATGTTATAGGTTTATAAGTGCAGTATGTGTTTATAAGTATACTATGTTTATGTTACCATTAAGTGAAAATAAGTGAAGAGTGTTTAGAAAATATCTACTATTTTTGCAACTTTTCTGTAGGTCTAAAATTACTTCCAAATAATAATCTAAAACATTTCAAAATTTAGATTATCTTAAATATATGCATGAACATTTAAAATCAGAAATATCTTCTTTATTTCATAGGTTTTTTTTAGAATTGGAAAATTAATCAAATTAACTTGATAGTAATAAGCACTTACTACTTATTGCTGTATATTTTTTACATTCCCCAAGGGACTTTCCAATAAATGATCTCACTTGTCACTTACATCAGTCCTGTAAAGAAAATATCAGATCATGTTACAGATGAGGAGTGAATATTCAATGAGGTTACAAAGTGTCTTGCCCAAGGGCATATAACCATTTTGTAGCAGATTCACTGTCTGATACTATGCTGCTTCCAAGTGCCTGCTATGTGCAAGACACTGGCCAATCTCTAGCAACACATATTTGATTTTTTGTTAAAACAAAATTGTACTGAAGTTTGGAAAAGCATATTACACGTAAAGGATTCGTTGAGGTTTGTTGAGAGCATTAATCATGAATCAGGGATGTGATATCAGATGATGTAAAAAAGCAGTCAACGGTGCAGGCATCTTTGATTAGAAACAGAGCAAGAGAGAAATCACTTTCTATTGTGTTTGTGCCTCAAGCTCCTCAGATTTCAGATGGATTACATTTAATTGCCAGAAATACTCAGGCATTTTGATACTTTTCTAAGCAACCAAGTTGCTTTTCTTTTAGATAATACAACATCAGTGGTTGAGAGAAAGCCAATTTGTTTTGTCAAAATTCACTTATTGTGCACTGTGGGTGTTTCTCTATTTGGCAGATGCATGCCTCATATTAAAACTAAAAGCAATTCCATTGCCAATTGAGGTACTTATCTTTGACATTTTCTGTCACTTTTCTCACCACTCAAAGGACAATAACAGCTTAATATTTTGGTTTTG